>NC_000011.10:94684537-95311750 GCF_000001405.40 Homo sapiens
ACTAGCATCAGTCATGTGACTCAGGCCCAACCCAACTCAACCACTATCCCAGAGGCAATCTCATCAGCCCAGAGACATAACAGAAAACAAATTTAACTTGCCAAAACTAGTCTGTAAAAACTGAAAGAAGAGTTCACTTTGATTGCACAGACACCAGTGCAAAGATACATGGATATCAAAGAATCAGACATATACAACACCACCAAAGGAACTTCATAAAGCTTCAATAACAGACCCCAAAGAAATGGATATACACACATTGTTTGAAAAATAATTCAAAACAATCATCTTAAAGAAGCTCAATGAGGCTGGATGCAGTGGCTAATGCCTGTAATCCCAGCACTTTGGGAGGCTGAGATGGGAGGATAACTTGAGCCCAGGAGATTGAAACCAGCCTGAGCAACATAGGGAGACCCCATCTCTACAAAAACTACAAAAATTAGCCTGGTATAGTGGTGCCTGTAATCCTAACTACCTGGGAGGCTGAGGTGGGAGGATCATTTGAACCTGAAAGTTCAAGGCTGCAGTGATCCTCGATTGAGCCACTGCACTCCAACCTGGGTGACAGACTGAGACCCTATCTCAAGAAAAAAAAAAAAAAAAAAAAAGAGAGATGCAAGAAACTATAGACAATTAAATAAAATTAGAAAAATAATTCATGAACAAAGGGAAAGGTTGAAAGGTTTAATAAAGAAATAGAAAATATAAGAAGAACCAAATAGAAATCCTGGAGCAAAATAATTTAATTAAGAACTGAAAAATTCAATTCAGAGTTTCAACAACAGACTTGCTTATGCAGAAGAAAGAATTAGTGAACTCGGCCAGGCACGGTGGCTCATGCCTGTAATCCCAGCACTTTGGGAGGCCGAGGCAGGTGGATCATAAGGTCAGGAGATCGAGACCATCCTGGCTAACATGGTGAAACCCCGTCTCTACTAAAAAATACAAAAAATTAGTTGGGTGTGGTGGCGGGCGCCTGTAGCCACAGCTACTCGAGATGCTGAGGCAGGAGAATGGCATGAACCCAGGAGGCAGAGCTTGCAGTAAGCCAAGATCGAGCCACTGCACTCCAGCCTGGGTGACAGAGCAAGACTCTGTCTCAAAAAAAAGAAGAATTAGTGAACTCAAGTACAGGTCACTTGGAATTAACCCATTAGAGGAATAAAAAGAAAAGGAAAACATTGAAAAAGAGTGAAGAAAGCATAAGGGATCTACCCAACACCATCAAACATTTGAGTATACAAATTATGAGATTACTCAAAGAAGAAGAGTGAGGAAAAGGGACGGAAAACTTATTTAAAGAAATACTGCCTGAGAGGCCAGGTGTGACGGCTCACACCTGTAATCCCAGGAATTTGGGATGCTCAGGTGGGAAGATTGCTTGAGGCTAGGAGTTCAAGACCAGCACAGGAAACATAGCAAAAAATTACAAACAAATAATGAAAGAATATTTAAATAATAATGATAATAAAAGAAATCCTATTGGAAAAGCTTCAAAATCTTGGGAGGGACATATACATACAGACTCGGTAAGCTCAAAGGACCCCAAACAAGATAAATTAAGAAAATAACACTCTGAGATACATTATAATCAAATTGTCAAAAGTCAAAGACAGATAATCTTGAAAGTAGCAAAGGAGAAGAAATTCATTACGTATAAAATATCCACCATAAAGCTATCCAGATTTTTCATCAGAAACCTTGCAAGCCAGAGGGAGTGGAATGACATATTCAAAGTGCTAAAAGAAAAACAATGCCAACCAAGAATGCTATACCTAGCAAATCTATCCCTCAGAAGTGAAGGAGAGACAAAGAAATTCCAAGACAAACAAAAGTGGAAGGAGTTCATCACCATGAGTCCGCCCTTACAAGAAATGCTAAAGAAAGTTTTTTGAGTTAAAGCAAAAGAATAGGTAGCAATATGAAAATATATGAAAGCATAAAACTCACTAGTAAAGGTAAATACATATAAAATTTAGAATACTCCAATACTGTGAAGGTATTGTGTAAATCCCTCTTAACTCTAGGATAAGAGTTAAAGAGACAAATGCATGAAAAACAGTGATAAACTTCTGATTAATAGATACACAATAAAATAGAGATAAATGGCATCAATAGTATAAAATGTAAGGGAGAGAAGTAAAAGTTTAGAGTCTTTGCATGTGATTGAAGCTAAGGTACTATCAGCTTAAATTAGGATATTATAATTATAAGATATTTTGTATAATCCTCATGACAACAATGAAGAAAAAAACCTCTTGGCTCATGCCTGTAATCCCAGCACTTTGGAAAGCCTAGGCGGGTGGATCACCAGAGGCCAGGAGTTCAAGACCAGCCTGGCCAACATGGCGAAATCCTGTCTCCACTAAAAATACAAAAATTAGGCCAGGCGCAGTGGCTCACGCCTATAATCCCAGCACTTTGGGAGGCCAAGGCAGGCGGATAATGAGGTCAGAAGTTCGATACTAGCCTGGCCAACATGGTGAAACCCTAATCTCTACTAAAAATACAAAAATTAGCCAGACATGGAGGCGGGCGCCTGTAATCCCAGTTACTCGGGAGGCTGAAGCAGGACAATGGCTTGAACCTGGGAGGCGGAGGTTGCAGTGAGCCGAGATCGTGCCACTGCACTTCAGCCTGAGCAACAGAGCAAGACTCCATCTCAAAAAAACACAAACAACAACAACAACAAGCCTCCCTCACTCCCAAATTAGCCGGGCATAGTGGTACATGCCTGTAATCCCAGCTACTTGGGTGGCTGAGGCATGAGAATTGCTTGAACCTGGGAGGTGGAGGTTGCAGTGAGCCAAGGTCACACCACTGCACTCTAGCCTGGGTGACAGAGTGAGACTCTGTCTCAAAAAAACAAAAAAGAGGAAAGAAAGAAGAAAGAAAGAAACAAAGAAAGAAAGAAAGTAAGAAAGAAAGAAAAGAAAGAACCTCTGATGGACACACTAAAGATAAAGAAATCAAAGCATGCCACTACAAGAAAATACAAGAAATTACAAATAAGGACGACAAAATTGGAAGAGAAGAACAAAAGAACTACATAACAGTCAGTAAAATATTAACAAAATACCAGAAGTCCTTACCTATCAATAATTACTTTAAATGTAATGGATTAAATTCTCCAATAAAAAGAAATGGAGTAGATGAATGGATAAAATAAAAACCAAGATCCAACAATATGATACCTAGAAGAGACCCACTGTAGCCTGAAAAACATACTAAGACTGAGAGTAAGGATTGTAAAAAGATATTCCAGGCAAATGGTATCTAAAATAGAGCAGGGGTGGCTATGCTTATATTAGAAAAAGTCGACTTTAAGTAAAACACCGTATAAAGAGATAAAGAAGGTCTTTATATTATGATAGAGGTCAATACATCAAGAGGATATAACAATTTTAAAAATATATGCATCCAACATCAAAACACCTAAATACATGAAGGAAGTATTCATAGATCTGAAGGGTGAGATAGACTGCAACACAATGATAGTAGCAGACTTCCATAATCCACTTTCAACAATGTATAGGTCATCAACACAGAAAATCAATAAGAAAACAGAGTACCTGAACAACACCTTAGACCAAATAGACCTAACATATATGTATATAAAATATTCTATCCCAGAGCAACAAAATACACATTCTTCTCAAGCACAGAACATTCTCCAGAATAGATGATATGTTAGTGAGCAAAACAAGTCTTAGCAAATTTAAGAATATTAAAATCATATCAAGTATATTACCTAGCCACAATTGAGTGAAACTAGAAACCAGTTACAAAAGAACTTTTAGAAAACTCACAAATACACAGGAATTAAGCAATATGCTCCTGAATAACCAATGGGTTAAAGAAGAAATTCAAAGAGAAATAAAAAGCATTTTGAGACAAATGAAAATAGAAGCACAATGTATCAAAACTCATGGGAGGCAGCAAAAGCAGTTCTAAGAAGAAAGTTTACAGCAATAAATGCCTACATTGAAAAAGAAGGAAGATCTCAAATAAACAACTTACTTCCTTACACCTGAAGGAACTAGAAAAAAAGAAAAAATTAAACCTAAAATCAGTAGAAGAAAAGAAATAATAAAAATCAGAGCAGAAATAAATGAAATTGAGAGAAGACAATAGAAAAGATCGATGGAACTAAGAGATGATTCTTTGAAAAGTGAAACAAAATCAACAAACCTTTAACTAGACTAAGAAAAAATGAGAGAAAACTCAGTATCAGAACTTGAAAAAGGAGACATTACAACTGATATCACAAAAATACAAATGATTATAAGAAACTACCATGAACAATTAATTGTATGCCAACCAATTGGATAACCTAGAAGAAATGGATACATTCCTAAAAACATACAATCTACCAATACTAAATCAAGAAGAAATAGAAAATTGGAATAGATTAACAAGTGAGATGATTGAGTCAATAATTTAAAAAAAACCTCCCATCAAACAAAAGCCCAGAACCAGATGGTTTCACAGCAGAATTCTACCACCAAATATTTAAAGAAATAATACCAATCCTTCCAAAAAATAGAAGAAAAAATACTTCCCAACTAATTATCTGAGGCCAGTATTCCCCTGATACCAAAGCCAGACAAGGACACTACAAGGAAAGAAAATTACAGGCCAATGTCTACGATGAACATAGATGCAAGAATCTTCAAACTAGCAAACCAAATTCAGCAGCACATTAAAAGGTTAGTATACTATAATCAAGTGGGATTTATCCCTGGGATGCAAAAATAGTTCAACATATGCAAATCAATAAATGTGATACATTATACTAACAGAATGAAGGACAAAAACATATGATCATCTTGAGAAATGCAGAAAGTGAATATAACAAAATTCAACATCTTTTGATGATAAAAACTCTCAGCAAATTAGGTATAGAAGGAATATATCTCAGTACAATAAAGGATATATATGAAAAACCTACAGTTAACATGGTACTCAATCATAAAAAGTTGAAAGCTTGGCTGGGTGCGGTGGCTCATGCCTGTAATCCCAGCACTTTGGGAAGCCAAGGTGGGTGGATCACCTGAGGTCAGGAGTTTGAGACCAGCCTGACCAACATGGAGAAACCCCGTCTCTACTAAAAATACAAAAATTAGCCAGGCGTGGTGGCTCATGCCCATAATCCCAGCTACCTGGGAGGCTGAGGCAGGATGATTGCTTGAAGCCAGGAGGTGGAGGTTGCGGTGAGCTAAGATCACACCATTGCATTCCAGGCTGGGCAACAAGAGCAAAACTCCATCTCAAAAAAAAAAAAAAGTTGAAAGCTTTCCCTGTAAGATCAGGAACAAAACAAGGGTGCTCACTCTCACCACTTCCATTCAACATAGTACTGGAAGTTCTAGCCAGAAAAATTGGACAAGAAAAAGAAATTTAAAAAAGAAAAGCGAAATTGTTTGTTTGTGGATGACATGATCATATATAGAGAAAATTCTAAAGGCTCCACCAAAACATTGTTAGAACTGATAAACTAATTTCATAAAGTTGTAGGGCACAAAATTAACACAAAAAATCAGTAGTGTTTCTTTACTTTAACAATAAAATTATCTATAAAAAAATTAAGAAATCAATTTCATTCACAATAGCTTGAAAAAATACATAGGAATAAATTTATCCAAGGAGTTGAAAGATCTGTTTGTTGAGAAGTATAAAATATTTATGAAAGAATTTGAGGACAACACAAATAAGTTTTGTCTGTTCATGGTTTGGAATAGTTAGTATTGTTAATATGTCTACACTACCCAAAGTGATCTACAGATACAAGGCATTCCCTATTAAAATTCCAATGTCATTCTTCACAAAAATTTTAAAAAATACTGAAATTTGTATGGAATTGCAAAAGACCTTGAATAGCCAAAGCAATCTTGAACAACAACAACAACGACAACAAAAAAACAAAACAAAGCTGGAGGCATCACAATACCTCATGTCACAAAATCTATTCCAAAGCTATTGTAATGAAAATCGAATGGCACTGGCATTAAAAACAGAATCACTGACCAATGGAATGGGATAGGAAGCCTAGAAATAAACTCACATATTTATGGTTAATTGATTTTCATCAAAGTTGCCAAGAATACACAATGGAGAAATAACAATTTCTTCAATAAATGGTGTTGGGAAACAGGACGTCCACCGCAGAATAAAATTGAAACTTTTTTCACACTGTATTAAAAATCAACTTGAAATGTATTAAGTATTTAGACATAATACCTGACACTATAAAACTACCAAAAGAAAACATCGGGGAAATGCTCCACGACATTGGTCTGGGCAAAGATTTCTTGAATATGACCCCAAAACTACAGGCAGCAAAAGAAAAAATAGACAAATGAGATTGCATCAAACTAAAAAGATTTGGCACAACAAAGGATACAACTGATGGAGTGAAGAGACAACCCACGGATTAGGAGAAAATATTTGTAAACCATACATCAGATAAGATGCTAATATTCAAAATATATAAGGAACTCAAGCAACTCAATATCAAGAAGGCAAATAATTCAATCAAAAATAAGCAAAGAAGCTAAACAGACTCTTTTGAAAGAAGATATACCAATGGTTAACACATACATGAAAAAATTCTCATTATAATTAATCATCGGAGAAATGCAAATTAAAACCACAATGAGATATCACCTTGCACCTGTTAGAATGGCTATTAATGAAAAAGACAAAAGATAACAAGTGTTGGTGAGGATATTATATATACCACATTGGCCAAAGGAAACCTTGGCATTGTTAGTGGGAATGTAAACTAATACAACCATTATGGAAAAACAGTATGGAAGTTCCTCAGAAAACCAAACATAGAATTGCCATATGATCCAGCAATCTCACTTCTGGGTATATATCCAAAGAAATTGAAATCAGTGTGCTGAAGAAATATCTGAACTCTCATGTACATTGCAGCATTATTTATAATAGCTAGGATATGGAAGCAACCTAGATGTCTATCATCAGGTGAATGGATAAAGAAAATGTAAGTACATACACACAATGAATATGGAATATTATTCAGCCTTAAAAAAGGGAGAAATCCTATTATTTGCAACAACATGGGTGAACCTGGAAAACATTATGCTAAGTGAAATAAGCCAGGCACAGAAAGACAAATACTACATGATATCACTTATATGTGGAATCTAAAAATACTGAATTCATCTAAGGGGAGAGTAGAATGATGGTTACCAGAGGCTGGGGGAGAAGGGTGGTTGGGAAAAGGGGAAATGTTGATCAAAGCGTAGAAAGTTTCAGTTAGACATAAGGAATAAGCTTTAGTAATCAATTGCATGGAATGCTGACTATAATAAATAATAATATATTGTGGATTTCAAAACTGCTGAAAGAGTAGATTTTAAATATTTTCACCACAAAAAAATGATAAGTATGTGAGGAATAGAATTAGCCTGCTTTAATTATTTCATACCAAACATAGATCAAAACATCACGTTTTGCCCCATATATATATACACAATTATTATGTATCAATGAAAAATAAAACTAAAAAAAGAAATTTATTATCTCTTGGTTCTGGAGGTTAGAAGTCAAAGGCCAAGGTGTCAGACCAAGGTGTCATCAGGGCTGGTTCCTTCTGAGGACTGTGAGAAAGAATCTCTTCCCCTCACTTCTGGTGGTTTGCTGGAAATCACACACTCTCTGTGTTCTAGAAGCATCCCTCTGATCTCTGCCTGCATCTTCCATGGTATTCTCCCTGTGTGCATGTCTGCCTCCACATTTCCCCTTTTGACAAGGACACTAGTCTTATTGGATTAGGGCCCACCCTAGTCACCTCCTTTTAACTTGTCTGCCTCTGTAAAGACCCTATTTCTACATAAAGTCATATTCTGAGGTGCTGAGACTTAGGATTCCAACACTTCTTTTTGTAGGGGGCACAAGTCAACACATAATAGCCCTACTCTCACTCCTTGCCAAAGAGCAAGGATCTGGGGGCTGGATTTTAGTGGAACTCCCATGGCTAGGGCCATATGTTGCAGCTAGAGAGAGCACGTGCACAAGCAGGAGCTCAGAGGACAATGGGCCCATGGACTAAGAAAACTTGAGGAAGTCCTCACATGTCCACTAGCCATTGACCAAATGGTGTTATAGAAAACATTTCAGAAAATCAATTTCAAAGCACATGTCAAAGTTTCATTATAGTCTTACTGCAAGTGAAAAGGCCACTAGAAGCCCAATTCAAAGATTCAATTTTGTCAGGGACATTTTATAGGACAAGAGAATGATGGATTATTATTAAGCTAAGATGCAAAAAGAAATGATTTTTTTTTTCCCGTAAACAATTGCCTAAACACTGAGACAATTGACTGACAGAGCAGGTGGGTGGGTGGATGATTAGATTCCCAGAACAAATCTTAATCTCATTAAACTTAATTAGAAAATTGATTAAGTGTTTTATCAGGAAAGCTCACTTCTTCTCAGAAGTAGAGTTTGAACTACATCAACTAAAAAGGTTCTGTCCTAGACTAGATTTAGAATGTCTTTTCTCTTACAGGGGTTCAAACCTTTTTGCCCCCTGCTGACATCTGGGCTCCATTCTAAGGATCCCATGTCCCAGTGGCATCTATTCCATAGAAGCACCACATAAGCACCTCCATAGGAGCAGCTCCTGTCCATCCTGTCCTCTCTCTCCAAGAAACGGGAACTGTTCTCCCTTTGCAAAACCCAGACTCCTTCTTTGGGCCCAGTATGATCACCCTCACCTTGTCTCAGAGAGATCTCTTCTTGACTCACTCCCCTCCATCCACATTGACTCCCTTTCTATTCTTCAGAACTGTCAAGTTCTTTTGTGTTTTGGGCTTTTGCACTTTCTTGTCCCTCTGCCTGCAGTGTTCTTCCACAGAGTCGGCTCCTTCTCACATTTGGGGCTCAGTTCAATGACACCTACTCACAGAGGCTTTCTCCAGCCAAATTACCTGTCTCGTTTTATCCTGCTTACTTCCTTCATGGCACTAAGCAGCACCCACCCATATGTTGTCACTTATTCATGCCCTTTTCTCTTGTCTGCATTTCCTACCAGATTGTTAGATGCATTGTTCATTCCATTGGCCAAATGGCCTGTAGCATATAGTAGACTCTCAATAAATTGTTGATGAATCTTGAAATGTTGAATTCATATATATTGGTGAACACTATAAATGTATGGGGGACCGTGGCTCAGAGAGTTGGGTAATTGACATAAGATCACACAACTTTAAGTGGTGGAATGAAGAAACTAATTTGACTCACTGCAAACCCTCTACTCTTCTCACTCTTTCTCTTTGTCTTGTTTATCTCTTAATCCTAGGAGTGCTCAACCCTTCTTTGTTGTTAGCTATCCTCATTCTGTGGGCCTGACCATGCAAGAGCTAGTTTACTTTGACCTAGAGGACACAAATCTCTTCTGATGCTTTAGGTCCCATGGGCAGCCCAGCTGGCTCTAAGATGATTGCCCTTCCTTCCAAAGCAACCAAGATGCTCACTGGGCAGCCCCAAAGCATCTCTTCTTCCCCACCTTAGAAGCCCTTCATTCCACACTTGTGCAACAATCATCAAACCTCCTCTGGGCCAGGTCTGTCCTAGGAGCTACGATGCTGTCCTTGCTTCTCCTAGTGAGGCTTTCTGTCTCTGCACTGCTCCATCTGATTTCCTTTTTAATTTCTCTAAACATAAATAAGTCAATAACATTTTCTATCTTTTCTCTTATCAGCCCTTTTCCTGCTGAATCTCAGATCCTGCTCACACCTGCCTATTCCTGTCCCTGGGTTAGGCAGAAAACAATCTATCCTAGCTCAGTACAAGCATTAGCATATCAAAAACTCCAGGTTACATTGTGGTTACTCCCATTCAGTACAGCACCTGAGACTCAAATCCCAACAGATGTTGAGGCAAATGGTTGCATATATTAAATTTCCATATAAGGAGCCTGGTGTGATACAGACACACAAGCCCTATAACAAAATCTCCCCAAACTTTCTCTCCAAACTCCAACCCAAAGGTACTGAGGAGGCAGGTTGGACTTGCCTGGCCTTGCCTTGTCTCAGATGCTAGTCCAGGACAAGTCTAAAATTAGCCACACCCCCTCCTGCTGCTAAAACTCAGCTGGAGCAGCAGCAGCACGGGGCCCAGCTACTTTTAGAAACCATTTCTTTGTGGCTTAGTGCTGAGCAACAGAAACAGGTGATGGAAACTGGGCCCGGAAAGAAAAGCTGGATCAAGTTTAGAAGCTGGAATCAGGATGCCAGATCCAGGGACCAGGGATGCAAATCCAGGCTGATGTGGTCATGGTCAGTCAAGGAGAAACAGCTCAGAAACAAGCCGGAATTGTCCATAGCTCTTATTACAATGCTGAGGTCAGGGGGAGGAGGTGAGGAGTGCAGAGACAGAAGGGAGCAGATATTTATTGGTACACACTGCGTGCCAGTTGACTTATATATGGCATCACATTGAGCCTCATTAGTAGGTACTATTATTTTGCCTCTTGTACCATTAACTAAATGGAGTGTCAGAGATGGTCAGCAACTTAGCTAATGTCATACAGCTAGTCAACGGCAAAGCAGGGATTCAAACCTTAGCCTATTTAACATAAAGCCTGACATTTTTCTCTATGTTGTCTCCAGGAGTAGCAGGGAAGGGGATTTCAAATGCACAACCCAGGAGAATGGCCCACCAATTCACATCATCAATATTTCTCACCTTGGATCAAATCCTAATCACCTGAGGAGCCTGGAAAAAGATACCAGTTTTTGGACCTCATCACCCAGAGGTTCTGAGTTAATTATTCTGGGGTGGGTCCTTGGAATAGCTATTTCACGATATTCACAGAGATTCTTTTGTGTGGCTCAGGTCAAGAATCACACTGTATGCTTTGTTGTTGTCCAACTCTCTTGGGCAAGCTGGAGAAGTAGGGTGGCCATAGATTTTTTTTTTTAATTTTTATTTATTTATTTATTTTTTGAGACAGAGTCTTGCTCTGTGGCCCAGGCTAGAGTGCAGTGGCGTAATCTCGGCTCACTGCAAGCTCCGCCTCCTGGGTTCACACCATTCTCCTGCCTCAGCCTCCCAAGTAGCTGTGACTACAGGCGCCCACCACCACTCCTGGCTAATTTTTTGTATTTTTTAGTAGAGATGGGGTTTCTCCGTGTTAGCCAGGATGGTCTCGATCTCCTGACCTCGTGATCCGCCCTCCTCGGCCTCCCAAAGTGCTGGGATTACAGGCATGAACCACCGTGCCCGGCCAGATATTTATACTTAACTCACCTGGGTTCCACAGCAGACAGACAGAACAACTGGCCAGTGACGGCACATTTCCACAGAGGCTTCTCTGGTTGAAGGTGGTCTCAAATTCTGAAATCAGGTAAGGAATTAAAACAGCATTCCCACAAACAAAGATCAGAGGCCAGGAACCTGGGATCTTGGGATTTTATAAAGAAGAAATGTTCAAAGAAGACAGGAATAGAATCAGTGCCACCTGTCATTCTAATGTGTCACTGTACCCCTTTCTCCAACCTGCTGCTAGAAACCTCTAAGAAAGAAAAGAGTCCCTCAGTGTGGCAGGTGGGGCTCCACCAAGATGAGCCCACCTCTGATTGCACTCAAAGGTGTCTGCCCTCAGAGGCTCAGCTCACAGCTTCCACACATTGGCACCTAATTTTGTATATTTGCTGTCCTTTTGTTTCTAATTGTTTCATGTTTAATTGCTTCAAGTACTGTCCTGTCTGAACTCTCTTGGAGGACAGGATCTGTGCCATGCAGGAGATAGAAACTGACATCTGAAAAAGCTCTGCTATCCTGGCTATTACATCTTTAGGTCCTCTTGAATGCATACCGGTGTCATCTTGGGAACTTTAAAAAACACAAATGTCTGTGTCCCAATCCCTGAGAATGTGATTTAATTAGTATGGGTTGTAGCATGAGCATGAGGACTTTTCAAAGCTCCTCACGTAGTTCTAATGTACACCTGAGGTTGAGAATGAAAATTTGAAGAATAACAAGGCACTATGTGGAAAAGATAACAATGGTATGTCTCAGAGGGAAAAAATGGGTTGGCTTGATTTATTTTTGCTAATTTGTATTCTCCATGTATCTATGTTGATTATTTAATTTTTAAAAGGGAAACTAAAACAAAAATTAGGCTGAATGAGGTATTCCTAAGCTGTCTACTTTTTCTGGGATAGATCACTGATGATAAACTATACTAAATTGGGATGGGTCCTGGTTAGACACTACTCTCACTCATTCACTATTTATTGAGTGACTACTATGTTCCACATGAGAGACACTGGGCATATAAGAGTGAATTTCACAAGCACAATCCCTTCATTTAGTGGGGAATATTAGCCATCAAACAAGCAAATATTGTACTCTTACTTCAAGGATATGTTCTAATAGGTACAAACTTCTGAGTATTATACATTGTTTTGTAAGTAACTATTACAAAAATTGCAACTATCTGGTCCTGTGCCCAAGGCAGGCAATACTTATTGATTATGTCACCCTTTTCTGCAGAAGCTCCATATCTTATTCAGCATTACTAGGAAAAGGGTGAGATGCAAGGTAATTCATAGCAAAAAGCTATAAATTATTTTGTAGAAGATAAACTAAGTGACTCAAAATGTAACTGGATATTTTGGTATGTCCATATAGCTCTTTTGAACCAAATCTCTTACAGATAACAACTATAAACTCTGGACAAAATATGAGACCAACTGGTTGAAGACACTGGAGAGAGAACAAAAGCAAGCAGAAACTAGAGGAGAAATAACAGTTGGGAGAAGAGTAAGTTTTATGAGGTGAGTTTTCTGATTTATAGCTTTTAGTCTAAGAACAGGACCCTGTGTGCAATATATAAGGCAGAGAAGAAGGCTTACATTTCATTTGTGTTCAGCCACATTAAAGTCCTAATTAAAGAAAAGTCAATACTCCTTAGGAGAGCATGATAGAATTCAGGCTTTCTACAACATATCATTCATCATAACAAGGATATGCTCCAAAATTATCCGACATATAACAAAACGGAAAACATGACTTGTTTAAGGAGAAAGAATAATTGACAGGGATCAACTCTAAGATGACCTACATGCTGGAATTAGCAGACAAGAATTTTTAAAAAGTCATTGTAACCATGCTCAAGTACATAAAAGAAAATGTGTTCACAATGAATATAGAAATATAGAATATGGAAAATCTTAGCAGAGATATAGAAACTATAAAAAAGAACCAATGAGAATACGAGAACTAAAAAAGACAATATCTAAAATAATAATTCAGTGGATGCTCTTGACAGCACAAGGGAGATGAAAGAATAAAGAGTCAATGGACTAGAAGATAGATCATTAGAAATGATCTGGATAGATCAGCACAAATGATCAGATTGAGAAACAGAGATTTAATATTAATAAATGTGCAAAAACTTAGGGATCTTTGCAGCAATACCAAAAGGTCTAATATGCATATAATTGAAGTTCCAAAAGGAGAGGAGAGAGAATGATCCAGAAACTAATTTAAGTAAATAAGGGGTGAAAAGTTCACACATTTGGTAAAAGACATACATGTGCAGATTCTAAAACCTCAAGAAACATCAAGAAAGATTAGTATCAAAAACAAAACAAAAATAAAAACACCTAGGCATATCATAGTCAAAGTGCTGCAAATAAATCACAAAAAGAAAATAATGAAAACAGTCAGAGAAAATGACATTGCCTGAATCATTTCAAAATCCACTAACAATTATTTCTTATCCACTGATACCTCATCAGAAACAATGGAGCCCAGAAGGCAGTGGATCAACATCTTTAAAGTGCTGAAAGAAAAATAGCCTATCAATCAAAATTTTATATCCAGTGAAAATGTCCTTGATGAATAAAGATTAAATAAGACAGCTTTAGAAAAATTTTTCACTTGCATGTCATGGAATGCAGGGTAAAGTAAAACAAAACCCAATAGAGACTCGATTACTCAGGAAAGAGTAAAATACATTCGATGGTAAATATGTGTAACTGTAAAGTATTATTATTCTGCTTAATTAACTTAAAATATGATTAGTTCAAGAACAAATATGACATTGTATTGTGTAGTTTATAGCACATGTAAAGAAGTACATATGATAAGGATAACATAAAGGATGAGGAGGGGGCAGTCAATGAACCAAATTGGTTGCAAGATTTCTACATATTTATGTGAAGTATACAATATTAACTCCCAGTAAACTATGAAAAATAGAAAATATATATACATATATATATATTTAATCCTTAAAAGCAACCACTAAAGATGTAATGCAAAGAAGTATACCTTAAAATCTCATAGATAATTAAAATGGAATTTTAAAATATACTTAATCCAAAAGAAGCCCACAGGGAAAAACAGAGAGACAAAAAGCCAAAGAAGCAAGCAGAAAACAAATAGTAAAGTTGGATTTAAGTCCAACCATATCTTGGACCTCAATCCAACCATGTCGGTAATCACATTAAGTGATAATTAATTAAACATACCAAATGAAAATAAAATATTATTAAAATGAAATTTTTAAAAAACACACCAACTCAATTATATGCTGTCTGCAAGAAATCCATTTTGAACATAAAACCACCAATTGTTTGAAAACAAATGGATGAAAAAATAATATTGCATGTATAGTAAGTATAAGAAAGCTGATTGGCTTAGCCAAGCATGGTGGTGGGCGCCTGTGATCCCAGCTACTCAGGAGGCTGAGGCAGGAGAATTGCTTGAACCTGGGAGGTGGAGGTTGCAGTGAGCTAAGATTGCACCACTGCACACTCCAGCCTGGGCAACAGAGGAGACTCCACCTCAAAAAAAAAAAAAAAAAAAAAAACACTGATTGGCAATATTAATATCAGACAAAGTAGACTTTAAAATAGAGTGTATTAACAAAAATAGAGGGACATTTCATAATGATAAAAAGGTCAATACATCAGGAAGAAATAACAAAAATAAATGTGTATGTATCCAAAAACAGAGGTTCAAAATAAATGAATCAAAACTTCACAGAATTAAAAGGAAAAATAGAAAATGCCACAATCACAGTTGGAGAATTTAACATCCTACTCTCAGCAACTGATAGAACAATCGAACAAAAGTGCTGTGATGACACAGATCTGAGCAACACTATTATTGTGGGTTAAATTACGTCGTCCTAAGAAGATATATTGAAGTCTTAACCCTCCAGTCCTTCAGGGTGTGACATTATTTGAAGTGGCTTTACAGAGGTAACAAAGTTAAAATGAGGTATTAGAGTGGGACCATAATTAATTCTTATAAAAAGAGGAAATTTGGACACAGGCACAGCCTGTGGGAAGGAAGATGATGTGGAAGGGAAGATACTGTGAAGACACACTGGGAGAAAGCCATGTGAAGATGAAGTCAGAGATTGGAGTGATGAAGCTGCAAGCTAAAGAATGCCAAGGATTGCCAGCCATAACCAGAAGCTAAGAAGGGTAAGGAAGGACTTTACCCAAAATCTCAGAGGGGCATGGCTATGTTGATACCTGATTTTGTTGCCAGAAAAGGGATTCCAGAATCCAAGAAAGGGTTCTTGGATCTCAGGAAGGAAGGAATTCAGGGCAAGTTGCAGAGTGCAGTGAAAAGAGGTGGTTTATTGAAAGCTACTCAGTTACTGAGTAGGGTGTCCTCAGAAAGCAAGCAGAGGAATGCACCATCTTACCATCTTCATTTTAAGTTTTTCTTTAACTTTTTAAAAAGTTATATAGGGGTTTTCTCTATGTAAAGACTAAACTAAGTGATGCCTACATGTAGGTGGGCTGACAGCATGACAAAATTTATTATTCTGTTGATTTAAAGAAAACTATCCTTGAAATTTTAGTGTGTTAAGTACACCAAAGCATAACTATAATTATCTGTAAGCATATATTTTTATGGGTATTGGGACATCTGGACCTTTTGTTGTTGTAGGAGTTTGTCCTTGCAGGCATTACCAAGCTGCTTCCTTAGCTGTAAACATCTTGGGACCATGGGTCATGACTGACAAGGAATGTGTCTTGCTAGTTTTAAGACGGAGTTTATTTTAAAATGGCATTACTTTGGCTCTCCCAGGCTCCTGCTTCCCTAACAATTTCAGACTTCTAGCATGTAGAATAGTGAGACAATAAATTTCTGTTGATTAAGTCACTCAGTTTGTGGCAATTATATGGCAGCCCTAGATAGCTAATACAAGTATAAATCACTTTGATTTAATTGATATTTATAGAATATGGCACCCAACAAGTGCAGGATACATATTCTTTTAAGTACACATGATATGTTCATCAAGATAGATCATGATCTGGGCCATAAACTTAAAAGAACTGACGTCATACAGAGTATGTCCTCTGGCCACATGGAATTAAATTAGAGATGAGTAAGACATTAAGAAAAATCCTAAGTTAAACAACATACTTCTAAATAATCCATGGATTAAAAATAAATCACAAGGAAAGCTAGGAAATATTTTGAACTGAAAGATAATAAAATACATTTCAAAATTGTGGAATGCAGCTAAAGCAGTGCTTGGGGGAAATTTTAGCTTTAAATCAAATAATATGTTAGAAAAGAAGAACGTCTAAAGCCAAGGACCCAAGACTTTACCTTAAGAATCTAGAAAAAGAAAAGCAAAATAAACCCAAAGTCAGTACAAGAAGAAAAGCAGAAAAAAATTAACACAGCTGGATGGTATATCTTGGAAAAGTTAACAAAGTTGACAAATCCTTAGGTAGATTGATCAAGAAATAAGCAGAGAGAACACAAGTTACCAACATCATAAATGAGAGGGGGGTTTAACATTCAGAAATGTATGCTATTAACGCTAAAGAATAATGAAGGAAAATCACATAGTCACTTCAGTAAATGCAGAAAAACATTTAATAAATTCAATGCCTATTTATAATTAAAACACAGGATATTTGAAATAGAAGGTAACCTCCTTATTTTGATAAAGAGCACTTACAAAAGGCCTTCAGCTAACATCATACTTAATTGCAAAATATTGAACACTGTTTCCCTAAAGTTGGGAGCAAGTCAAGAACGCCCAATCTCACCACTTTGTTTAACAATGGACAGGAGGACTTAAGCATATTTAAAAAATTAAAACCTGCTGGGCGCGGTGGCTCACGCCTGTAATCCCAGTGCTTTGGGGGGCCGATGTGGGCGGGTCATGAAGTCAAGAGATTGAGACCACCCTGGCCAACATGGTGAAACCCTGTCTCTACTAACAGTACAAAAATTAGCTGGACATGGTGGCGTGTGCCTGTAGTCCCAGCTACTCGGGAGGCTGAGGCAGGAGAACCACTTGAAACCGAAAGGCAAAAGTTGCGGTGAGCTGAGATTGCGCCACTGCACTCCAGCCTGGTGACAGAGCGAGACTCTGTCTCAAAAAAAAAAAAAAAAAAAAAAATTCCAAAACGCATACAGAATGGAATTCAGAATTCAGAATGGAAAAAGTAAATGTAAAACTATCTCTATGTTAGATGACATGAGTATTCTTACAGAAATTCCTATTGTATTTACATAGCAACTACTTACCTATTAAGTGAATTTAGCAAAGTCATAGGATATCAGATTAATATACAAAGGTCAATTGCATTTTTATGTATTAGCAGCAAAGAATTGGACAGTTAAATTTAAAAAATAATTTTATATTAGTGTCAAAAGCAAAATATCTGGGAATAAATTTAGCGAAAGACATGCAAAACCTCTATACTAAAACAACAAAATATTGCTGAATAAAATTGAAGATATAAATCAATGGGGAGATAATCATGTTAATGGATTGAAAAACTCAGTTTTCTTAAGATGGCTATAATTACCAAATTGATCTAAAGATTCAATAAAATGATAATCATAATTCTACTATTCCTTTTGGTCAAAATTGACAAGATGATTCTAATTCTAAGAACCTAGAATATTCAAAGAAGTCTTGAAAAAAGAAATTTAAGTTGGATGATGTATTAATCTGTTCTCACGCCACTATAAATAACTACCTGAGACTGGGTAATTTATAAAGAAAAGTGGTTTAATTGAGTCACAGTTCCACAGGCTGTACAGAAGCATGGCTGTGAGGCCTCAGGAAACTTACTTACAATCATGGCAGAAGGTGAAGGGGAAGCAGGCACATCTTACCATGGTGGAGCAGGAAAGAGAGAAAAGGGGAGGAGCCACACACTTTCAAGCAATCAGATCTTGTGAGAACTAACTCACTATCATGAGAACAGCAAGGGGAAGATAAGAGGGAAATCTGCCCCCTTGAGCCAATCACCTTCCACCAGGACCCTCCTCCAATTTGATATGAGATCACATGACTCACATTGTTGGACGTCAAGACTTACCCTAAAGCTATAGTAATCAAGAGAGTCTGCAACTGGTATAAGGATCAACAAACAGACTGATGGAAAGAATAAGGAACCCAGAAATAAAAATAGACACATGCTTATACATTTATTTTATTTTCAACAAAGGTGCCAAAGTGACCTAATTGGGAAAGGAAGTCTTTTCAACAAATGGTGTTGAAATAACTACATTTTATATGGAAACAAATTAACCTTGCTTTAACTTATGCCGTCCACAAAAATTAATTTGTGATGGACCATAGACCTAAATATAAAAGCTAAAATTTAAAAAACTTCCAGAAGAAAATGTAGGAAAATATCTGTATGACTTTGAGTGAGGTAAAAACTAAAAAAGCAAAAATATTATGTTAGATAATAAAAATTTAAAGAAATGAAAAGAAGCACAGAAACATCATTAAGAAAATGTATAGACAAACCACAGGACAGAAGAAAATATTTGCAAAACTTACCTTAAAAAGTATTGGTATCTGGCTGGGCATGGTGGCTCATGCTTATAATCCCCACACTTTGGGAGGCCAAGGTAGCTGGATTGCTTGAGCTCAGGAACTCAAGATTAACCTGGGCAATATAGCAAAACCCTGCCTCTACTAAAAATACAAAAACTAGCTGGGTGTGGTTGCATGCACCAGTAGTCCTAGCTACTCAGGAGGCTGAGGTGAGAGGATCACTTGAGCCTGGGAGGTCAAGGCTGCAGTAAGCCATGATCAAGCCACTTCACTCCTACTTGGGCAACAGAGTGAGACCCTATCTCAAAAAAATAAAAAAGTATTGGTGTCCATGATATGCTAAGAACATCTAAAACAATAATAAAACAATTTAAAAATTTTTTAAATGGTCAAAAATTTTGGACACTTCACAAAAGGTAATAAGTGAATGGTCAATAAACACATGAAAAACATGAAATATCTTTAGTCATCAAGGAAATGCAAATTAGAACCACAATGAGATACCATTCCACATCTACCAGTGTGGCTAAAATTAAAGGCTGACAACACGAAATTTTGGTGAGGACATGAAGCAATTAAAGCTTTCATACATTGGTGGTGGGAGAGGAAAATTACATAAGAATGTTGGAAAAGATCTTGCAATTTTGTATAAAATTGCATATAGCTACCCTAAGAACCAACAATTTCACTCTTACGTATTTACTCAAAGGATCTGAAAACAAATGTTCACAGGGACATGTGCAAAAATGTTCACATTAGCTTCATTCCTAATAGCCCTAAGCTGGAAGCCCAGGTATCCATTACTAGAATACTGGCATATTCATAGAGTAAAATACTATTCAGCAATGAAAAGAAACCAACTTCTGATACAAGCAACAACATGGATGAATGAACCCCCAAAACATGCTGAGTGCACACAAATTTGCATAAAAGAATACAATTTGTATGGTTCCATTAATATAAAATACTAAAACAGGCAAAACTAATCTGGTGAAAATCATCAGAAGATTGGTTATCTCTTGGGATGTGAGATAGGGGTTTGCTAGGAAGGGACATAAAGAAACTTTCCAGAGTGATGGTTATGTTCTGTATCTTGGTAGGAGTTTGGATTGCACAGGTGTATGTGTCTAGAGGAACTTGGAAATGATACACTTAAGATCTGTGCATTGCACTGTATACAGATTTTATCTGAATAGAAACAAAGAAATTGTAAATAAATATTGAACTCTGGCTAATAATATTGAAGTATTTGGGGGGAATATACTAATGTCTGAAACTTATTTTGAAAGACAATAACAAAAATAATTAAATGAGTTGCTGGATGGATAGAGAAATGAGCAGAGAATCAACATGGGATAAAACTAACGTGGCAAAATGTTAATTGAAGAAACCCGGTGGTAAGTATATAGGTGTTCACTGTACAATTATTCTGACTTTTCTCTAAGTTTGAAAATTTTAATAGGCTTTTGAGAACAAAAAAAAATTGAAGACAATTGGCAGATTACCCATTGGGTTGAGTCCTGGCCTTAGGAAAAGACATGAGAGTCTAGCTCATAGGCAAAGGAGGCTCCTGGGGAGGAAAGGAGGCTCCTGAGTCCAGCAATTGGCCTTCTTTGCTCCATTCTAACTTTGGCAATGAACCTAGAGGCTGAGACAAAGCAAATAACCAAGTTCTTTTTCGTTCTACAAGACCCACTGGCTCATGCTCTCTCCAAATGCCTCACCAACAAGATGGTGACTTTAAGCATTCTCAGCAGATCTATTCTAGAGACCTGGAATGGAAAAGGACTGACACCATTCACTCTCCTTCTGCTGAGCACCTACTGTATGGTACTCTCTTTGCTAGGTTTCAAGGACATTATGATGAACCAAATAAAAATGACTCCTGCCTTCATTGTTCTTACCATTGATGAAACGCTGCCCGTCTTCTACTCCTATCATTATTCACACCCCAAACAAAAGATTTGCAAGTTCCCTTTGTAAGCCACTTTGACATGTCTTAAATCTGTGATTTCGAAAATCTCTAATGTTGGATCTGAATACCTCTATCTAAATAAAAAGTGCATTTTTTCTTGTTTTAGCCTCTTTGGAGTGAAACTTGACACAGGAAAATCTCAAAGCCTCAAAATAGCTGAGCAAGAAATTAGATAGAAGCCTAATGACCCAGAGTCACCTTATACTCTCCTGAAATAGAAGCCTGGGAGAAAGGGCAGCTGGCTGCTGAGCTCAACCCTCTGCCCCACTTCCAACAGAGATCACACTCATTACCATTCCTTTCCCTAGCACCCCAGCCAGAACTCTTGTCCAAAGTTTAGACCAAGGACTTGGCATCAAGAGTAGGTGATTGGCCCACTGGGTAGCTTGAAATGACCTTGAATCCCATGTTACAAATCTAATTCCTCCAGCCTCACCTTTAACATACAGAAGAAAAAAAATCCTGTCTCTTTCTCCAAATCCTTCTGTTTAGAACGCAGGCATGTTTTGAACTGATATGTTAATATTACAAATGACCCCATATTGAATGAGTGGCATTATGTTCAACAAAAAGAAAATAAAAATTGGTTGCATTTTTGAGAAAGGCTGTCACACTTTTTCCTGTAGCAACTAACCTCCTTTTCTTAACTGAATATTTTTCCCTTTGCAAAGTCCAGTCACCTGTTTGTCACCTTTGCTTACAGATTCATAGCTCTGAAAATTTCTTAGCAATTTGGTCATTTCCAGCTTCTTACAGCCCCTCCTCCTGGCTGAAATACCTTCGCTTCTTCTTCCTCCCTGCTTCCACTTCCCCAGTAATTTTCACCTCTCAGAAAGTCTAAATATCTATTTTCCTTCCCTAGAGTACTGTTTTTCAGAGTTGGATTTGGGGGAGATAATGACATGACTCAAGGAAATAAGTGCATAATTTTTCTTTCTCTGGTGCCAGTTAAGGCAATTGGTGCCTTAGGATTTTCTGAAGCTCTTTGAAAACAACAGGGTTAGTCAGATTCCAGCGATTTACCTTCTGAAGGCTGAGCATGTCTGGGCAATGGCTGCATAATTTGGATGGAGTCATCACTGATGAAGCAGAGTTGGCTCAGCCAGGCAGCACTCGTTGCTCTTTTTAAACTCCACGGCACCAGGGATGAAGTCACCTTTCTTCTTTTAAAACGAACACATTTGCTCTGTGAGTCCCTGTCACTTCTGTTAGAACTTAGTATTTTTTCCACTGCCGGTCACCAGGACTTCTCACAGGTAAGAAAATTCTTATTTAGTGGGTTTCACTCTAGGGAACCTTAACACGAGGGGGGGATTTTGGAAGGCATCTATGGGCAGAGTTGGAATTAGATCAAGAAATACTCCATTGGGTGGGGAGGGTGGCTGTTTCCATGGCAGCCGGTCCCCACCTGGTGGGGTGGCAGACCATGGCTAGGCGAAGTCAGCTTTGAGCTGCAGTGGTGGGCTCTCACAGTGGGTGTAGGAATCTAATCGGGGCTTGGTATTAGGTGCCTATTCTAAGAGCTGTATAATGAGCATGTTAGTGAAGCAACTGTAAGTGGACTCCTTTGGGCTAGGGCCATCCATACCTCCTTTGCCTTCCTACTGATTGGGTAGACTCTTAGAGAGCTGATTCTTATAAAATATGTGCAGAAAAGCAGCTCTCTGGAGAGCCTTGATTTGCTGTTTCGCTGGTGTGAATGCTTCCCTTCTTTCTCAGGAGTGTAGCAGGAAAAAAAGGGGCCCAGGATGCCTGTTCTGACATGCAGGTACCTTGTTCAAACAATGGCTGTGCTGCCGCATGCAGGGCAGAAGTGTACAAACATATCTTAGTGCCTGACCCTATGAGTTCTTCCAAGAAAATATACATGAGGTCTCTCTCTCTCTCTCTCTCTCTCTCTCTCTCTCTCTGTGTGTGTGTGTGTGTGTGTGTGTGTGTGTGTGAAGGCAGACCCTGTGCTCCTAGAGACCACTGAAATCTCCCTGCAACACTTCCTATGAGTTATATGAGTCTCTGTCACTGATTGAATCATACAACTCTTATCAGCTTTGGAAGGCTCAATAAAGACATCTTGTTTATGACAGAGGTGCCTACAGGATGATAAACGGCTTTTGGAAAGAAAGTTGAACCACTGTCAAATGAAAATGTTGAGAATTGCAGAGCCCTTTATTTCTTGGCACAGAACCCTGCCACATATAGTATTTGGCACAATCATCTATAACCTATACAGGGAGCAAAGACTCATTTAGATAAGAGATGTTTGCTTTGTTTTAAATGCAATTGCATACTGGCTGCCAGTGCCTGGTTATACATTCACCTCAGACTAGACCATATCCAGAATTCATCCTCACCTGAAATCTGCTCCCCCTTCTGTGTCCCCTAGGTCTGTGAAAAGTTCCTGGTGGTAGATTTCTGGATTTCACCCTAAACACCCCTCCAAACTTCCTCACATTTTCACATCTGATTTGGGAACACATTCAGCAGATTCGAACTCCATATTATTTCTCAAATCCATCCATTTCTCCCCACCTCCACAGATATTACCCTAGTTTAAAGCCGTTATCAATTTTTTCTAGGAATACAGAAACCTCACATCTGGGCCTCCTCTCTCCAGTCTTACCTCCCAGCAGCATCCAGAATGATGGTTCTAAAATAATTGATCAGCACCTGCACAATCCAATCAATCACTAGTCTGTTGAGTCAGTCTTCTTAATATCTCTCCAAATGGTTTACATCTCTCTACCCCACCACTACTACCTTGGTCTAACCCATCAACACGCTTTGCCTGAGTTATTGCATTATCCCCTTAGCTCGTCCCCCCTGCTACCAGGCTCACTCCACTCCTAGTATAAGACGCTCTAAGCTTCTTGTTTTACTAAGCTTTCTAAGGACATTTTTACCAGAGAAGAACTTGAAATGCTTATTACTCTATTTGGAGTTTAGAAGCATTAGCATTTTTATGACTCTTGTAGGTGCTTTAAGGAGAGAGGCCAGAATGCGAGAGGATAGGGAATGTAGAAAGCAGTGGGAAGGCAGCCTGAAGAATGCGTAAGCCTCAGACCTTGGAACCATGTGGGTCTTCATTTGAATCCCAGCTTCTCCACCTCCCGGTATGGCTTGGACCAAATGTCTAAACCTTCTTGAGGCTCATTTCCCTCAACTGTGAAATGGAAACAATACCTGCTTCATTAGGTAAATAGAAGAGTTAAATGAGAACATTTATGGAAGGCTCTAAAACATAGCAATTAAAAAATTTTAGTACCGCTCCTTCTTTCCTTCACTTTTAAGGGTTATAATCTCTAACCACCACCTATGTTGTAAGTATTCATGTGTATGTGTTTAAAACTATCTGTAGTTGGCATGGTAGGAAGGAGGAGTGGCAAAGAAATACATGCGAACTCTCTTAAGAAACTTGCAGTTTACTTAAGGAAATAAAGCCAACCTAAACAGCACATCTATAAACGTCTATAAAGCAAGCAATCTGTGATTGTAATGTGTGTAGTACTACCAATTGAGTACAGGAAACCAGTACAGTTAACCAGGAAAGGCCTGAGTAAACAGGTCTGCAAATACCTGCGGACAGAGTGTAAATAGATCTATATCAAGCAGTTTTAGAGTTAGGCTACTCAGAGATTTAAAAATCGTTGGTTGAAGTAAAAGTTTCTAAAAGGACTTGTGCATTTAGAGTGGCTTAAGGATGTGCAGATCAGTGTTTAAAATGACTACACACTCATTCATTAATCAAGCATTTATTGAGTGCCTACTCTGTGCCAGCTCCTAGACTGTACAAATTCTTTGCTACTCTTCCCACAGGAGTTTAATGCTAATTCTCCACCTCTTAAATATAGGCTAGCCTTAGAGACTTGGTTGACCAATAGAAAGAGAAGAAGGCAACATTCTGGGACAACCATTGCTAGGTTCTATGAAGGTTTACATCTTCCTTCTGGGTTTCTTGTCTCAGTTACTTTGGCAGAAGCCAACTACCATGTAGAGTCATGTGCTAGTAAACTGGCTCTCTGGAGAAAAAAAAAAGTTCCTTAATTTGCAGTGTTTGCCAATTTTCATGGTGTAAATACTCCCACCATGGCTTCCAAAATGATAGCACTGAACACAGGTTTGGGAGGAGATATGCAGAATCAGCTCTTATAAGCCAATACAAGCTGGCCCAAGCCCATGACTGCCAATTACTCTGAGACCAGCATACTGTGAGAAAGTCCAAGTTGGCCACATGGAGAGGCTACAAGGATTGAATCCCAACCAGTCCTCAGATTTTCCAGCCATTCAAACTTAGCCTTCAGACATGTAAGGAAAGAAACTTTTAAATAACTCCAGCCCCCACCACTATCTGACTGCAACTATATGAGAGACCCTGAATAAGAACCACTCAGCTCAGCCCACTCAGCCCATAGAACATTGAGAGATAATAACAATGTATATTAACTAAGTTTGGGGGTGGTTTTTATGTAGCATTAGATAATGGGAACAAGGTAGTAACCTTGTTTACTCTGAAGCCGGCTGAGATCAAGCCCCTGAGATGGTGTCAGAAATAGAAGAATCCAACCAGGTAGTTCTTTGTCCTTGCATATTTCCTGGCCTTATACCACTAACTCAAATGTTTTAGTTAAAAAGACTCGAGAAAGAGACTCATTTACTAACTCGTTTTACCGTTATAATAAAATCAGGGAAAAAACATTTCTCACACTCACACATACACTCTTCTCTCATCATCTGCCTCCATACCTACCCACCCAACTCTCCTCATACAAGGCTCTGCTGAAGATCTGCCTTGCCTGCTATATTGGCTGTGCCCAATCCTCCACATGGAATTTGTTAGGGGAAGGAGGTAGAGCAGAGACAATATGAAGTCAGGGAACTGCCCAGAGGTGCCACCTGAGGCCTGGTGGAAAGCACCTGAAGCCATGAGAAAAGAGTAGCAAAGAGGAGGGTTTTAAACAGGCTTTGGTGAAGACACATAGACTATTGGTTAAAAGTATGAATTTTGAAGTCAGATGACCCGGGTTCCTATCAGGACTCTGACATTTTCTAGTTGCTGACCTTGGGAAAGTATCTAGACATGTCTTCTCAGTTTCTTCTTCTTTAAAATCTGGATAGTAATGCCATCTCACAAGGTTCGTGTGGCGATTATATTTGTAGATGATATTTGTGGAGTGCTTAGCACAGTGCCTAATACATCTGTGTTACGTAAATGAATAACAGCTAACAGTGGCAGTAGTGACAGCGTTGGAGCAGTACTAATGATACTTTGTTGCAAGTCCCAAAGCCACAGGCTCCCTGGCAAACCCAGAGCTTCAGTTGGTCATCACTCTACAGGTGCTCAAGATAAGTGTTCAATAAATACTTATATCACACTGAATATTTACATTCTGAATATCTCTTCTACTGCCATTTTTTGTCCCTCTTTTTGCTCCTAAATGCATTTCCAAAGGCTTAAAAACAACCTCTGCATCCCATCCTCTGTATCTAAAATAATATGAATTGGGACCATGTTTTCTCATTTCTTGTGAGTCCTGTTCTTACCTTCCACTCTGTAGCAGGTAGTTGAATAGTTCAGTGCTCAATATATTATAACTATTTATTACTATTTTTAAAGTTGTGTTTAAGGAGAAACTGAAGTTAGATGACTTCTACGGGGATCCAAAGCCCAAGGTACTCCAAACATTTTAGGTTTACCAGTATACAGATAGATGCTACCACTTTGGTAGGTCAGGGTGAAGGATAAAATCACTCTTGAGAGCCAAATGTGAATATTAAGTTTTCTTGAGTTATTCAGACCTTGTGAATACAAAATTTTAATCTGTGTAATTTTAATATATGAATTGATGTTTGACAGATCCATCTCATTAAATTTATGGTTGATCTAGTTGTGGATTTTGTAAACAAAGAATCATGCAAACACTCTGGCTGTTAAAGAATAGCTGGCTTGTATATTTTTAAAAAACATTATGAAATATTTATAGATTCATGAGTCTATGAGTGCCCCCCTTCACCCAGCCTTCGCCACTGTTAACATTTACATACCTATAGTACAATATCAAAACCAGGTAATTGACATTGGTACGATCCACAGACCTTATCAGATTTTATCAGCTATGCATGTACTCATTGTGTGTGTGTGTGTTTGTGTGTGTGATTGTATACAGTTTTTGTCACATTAGCTTCATGTAACTATTGCCACAATCAAAATATCACTAACCATATCATCACTGCAAGGCTTCTTTATACTTCCCTTTTAAAGCCATGGTCCCATCCCTAACCCTTTGAGACTACTAATCTGTTGTCCATTTATATAATTTTATTTCAAGAATGTTATATAGTCATGCATTATGTAACCTTATGATATTGGCCTCTTCCATTCAGCATAATAATCTTGAGATCTATCCAGGTTGTTATGCGTATCAATAGTTGGTTCCTTTTTGTTACTGTGTTGTATTGAATAGTATGGATGTACTACAGTTTGCTTAAGCATTCACTCATTTATTCATTGGAGGACATTTGGGTAGTTTCTAATATTTGGCTGTTACAAATAAAGATGCTATGAACATTCATGTACAAGTTTTTTGCATGAACATAAATTTTCATTTATTTGGGATAAATGCCTGAAAATGTGATATCTGGGTTTTATGCTAAGTTTTTAGTTTAAAAGAAACTTCAAACTATTAATGTTTATATAGAACGGCCATAATATTTTATGTTACCACCAGCAATATATGAGTAATAGAGTTTCTGCATCCTTACCAGAATTTGGTGTTATTACTATTTTTTATTTTAGTCATTCTGATAGATGGATAGTGATATCTCATTGTGGTTTTAATTTGTGTTTGCGTAATGGGCAATGATGCTGACCATCTTTTCATGTTATCATCTGTATTTCCTCTTCAGTAAAATGTCTATTTATGCCTTTTGCCCCAATAAATGGGATAGCTGGCTAGCTATATGCAGAAGAATGAAACTGGACCCCTGCCTTTTACCATATACAAACATTCACTCAAGATGAATTAAAGATTTAAATGTAAGACCTCAAACTATAAAAATCCTACAAGAAAACCTAGAAAATCAGTCTTGGTAAAGAATTTTTAGCTAAGTCTCCAAAAGCAATTGTAACAAAAAGAAAAATTGACAAGTTGGACCTAATTAAACTAAAGAGCTTCTGTGCAACAAAAGAAACTAGCAACATAGTAGACAGACAACCTATAGAATGGGAGAAAATAGTTTCAAATTATGCATCTGACAAAGGTCTAATATCCAGAATCTCTAAAGAACTTAAACAAACCAAAACACAAATAACCCCACTATATTCTAATTGGATTGTTTTGTTGTTGTTGTTGTTTTTCACTGTTGAGTGTTGTGAGTTCTTTATATATTCTAGATATAAGTCCTTTATTAGATGTATGGTTTGCAGATATTCTCTCCCACTCTGTAATTTTTTATTCTATCCTCTTGAAAAGGTCTTTCACAGAGCAAAAGTGTTTAATTTTCATAAAGTCCAGTTAATCAATTTTTCCTTTAATGGATTGTGCTTTTAGTGCAAAGCATAAGAACTTTTTGCCTAGCCCCAGTTCCCAAATATTTTCTACTTTTTCCTAAAAGATTTATAGTTTTATACTTCACATTTAGGTCTTTAATCTATTTTGAATTAATTTGTATATAATATGTCAAGTTTAGTCAAATTTAGTTTTTTTTTGTTTTTTGTTTTGTTTTGTTTTTTGCCTCTGTATGTCCAATTTCTCAAGCACCATTTTTTTAAAAGGCTCTCCTTCTTTCTTTGGATTGGTTTTTCAGCTTTGTCAAGAAATCAACTGGGCATATTTGTATAACTTTATCTCTGGGTTCTCCATTCTCTTCCATTGATGTGCCTATATCTCTGACAATACCACACTCTTTTGAGTATTTGACTAATATTATATAGTAAGTTGCATGGTAGCTTTATAATAAGCAATACACTAGGTAGAGTTCTTCCTCCCATTTCAGGGTTATTTGTCAAAAGTTTTAGAGATCCTTGGGACTTTTACTTTCCATATAAACTTTAGAATGAACTTGTCTCTATCTACAGAACCTTGCTGGGATTTTGATAGGAATCCTGTTAGACATGTAGTTTAATTTGGGGAGAAATGACATTTTTACTATGTTGAGTCTTCCAATCCTTTAACATGGAAAATTTCTGCACTTATGTGAGTCTTCTTTGTTTTTTTTAATGAATATTTTATAATTTTCAATATACAGATTCTGTAGGTATTTTGTTAAATTTATACGAAGTACTTAACTTTCTTTGGAGCAATTGAAAATGATATTGCATTGTTATACTTCAGTTTCCACATATACATTGTTAATATAGAGAAATGCAATTAATTTTTATGTTAATATTAAATCCTGCAACTGTGTTGAACTCATTAGGTCTAGGTTTCTTCTTCTTTTTCTTCTTCTTTTTCTTTTTTCTTTGGTAAATTCCTTGGGATTTTCTACACAGACCATTATGTAATCTGAAAATAGAGCATTTTATTTTTCCCTTTCCATTCTGTATGATCTTTCTGGTTTCTTGCCTTATTGCACTGGCTAGACCTCTCAGTACTATGTTAAGTAAGAGAGATAAGACAGAAATCCTTTCCAATCTCAAAGGAAAAGCATTCAGTCTTTCACGATTAAATATGATGTTAGTTGCAGATGTTTTGTAGAGGTTCTTGATCAAGCTGAGGAAGCTTCCCTTTATTCCTACTTTGCTGAGGGTTTTTATCTTGAATGAGTGTTTGCTTGTTACATGCTTTTCGTGCAATGATCAGTATGATCATGTGATTTTTTATATTAGTCTGTCGATATGGTGAATTACATTGAATGATTTTCAAATATTGAACCAGCCTTACATAGCTGAAATAAATCTCATTTGGTCATGGCTTATTATTCTTTTTTATACATTGCTGGATTCAATTTAATGAAATTTTGTTAAGGATTTTTGCATCCCAGTTCATAAGAATTATTGATTTGTATTTTTTCTTCTTTTGTACCGTGTCTGGTTTCATATCAAGGTAGTACTGGCCTCATAAAATGAGTTAGAAAGTGATTGCTTCTTTTCTATTTTGAAAAAGAGATAGTGTGAAATTGGTGTTAATTCTTTAAATGCTTGGCAAAATTCTCCAGTGAAATCATCTGGACCTGGAAATTTCTTTTTGGAGAGATTTGTAATTATAAATTCAATTTTTTAAATAGTTGTAGAGCTGTTCAGATTTTCTATTTCATCTTGGCTGAGTTTTCATTGTGATTTTTGGGAATTAGTCCATTTCTTTGAAATTGTTGAATTTATGAGTGTAAAGTTGTTCATATATTTCATATTATTCTTTTAATGACTGTAAAATCTGTGGCAATATCTCCTGTTTGATATTGGTAATTTGTGTCTTCTTACTTTTGATCTTTACCAGTCTAGCTAGAGAGTTATCAATTATATCAATTTTTTCCACTAATAACCAGCTTTTTATTTCATGAATTCTTTCTATTGCTTTTCCTATTTCAGATTCATTTATTTCTGTCATTATCTTAATTTTTTTCCTTCCGCTTGACTTCGGTATATTTTGCTCTTCCTTTTGTTGTTTCTTGAGCTAGCGACTTAAATTACTGACTTGCGATTATTTCTCTTTTCTAATGTAAGCCTTTGGTGCTATAAATTTTTCTTTTGCCACTTTAGCTGCATCTTACAAATTCTGATGTTGTTTCTTCATTTTTGTTAAGTTGTATTTAGTCTGTAAAAACGCCCTTTGAGACTTTCTCATTTACCTATGGCTTATTTAAAAGTGTGTCATTTAACTTCCATGTGCCTAAAGGTTTTTCTGTTTTTGTTTTGCTACTGATTTCTAGTCTTATTCCATAAGGTTAGAAAACATACTCTATTTGATTTCAATTTCTTAACATTTGTTAATAGCTGTTTTATGACCCAGTATATAGTCTATTATGATGAATATTCCATGGATGCCACCACTCCCAGCTAATGCTATTATTTTTCTTTTGTAGAACTGGGGTCTTGCTATATTGCCCAGGCTAGTCTCAAATTCCTGGCCTCAAGTGATCCTCCCACCCTGGCCTCCCAAAGTGCTGGGATTATAGGTGTGACTCACTGCACCCAGCCCCAGCCTTCCTTTGTTCTCACCTTCTTTCTGTTTGAGAGCTTCCTTTAGCCATTGTTTAATGGTAGGTCTGTTGGTGACAAATTCTCTTAGTTTTCCTTTGCCTGATAATGTCTTTATTTCCCCCTTCATTCTTGAAGGATAGTTTTGCTAGATACAGGATTCATGGTTTTGGATTTTCTTCTTTCAGGGATTGAAATATATTGTGTCAGGTCCTTCTGGCCTTCATAGTTTCAAACGAGAAATCCTCTGTCATTCAAATTTGTGTTTGTCTGTAGGTAATGCATCATTTCTCTTTGGCTGTTTTTAAGATTTTGTTTTATTTCGTTTCAGTTTTCAGAAGTTTAATTATAATGTGTCTTAGTGTGGATTTCCTTGGATTTATCTTATTTAGGTTCACTTGGCTTCTTGAATCTATGTGTTTATGCATTTCACCAAATTTGAAAGTTTTCAGCCAGTATGTTTTTTGAATACTTTTTCAGCAACACAGTATATTTCTTCTCTCTCTGAGATGCTAATGATAAAATATTATATCTTTGTTTTGATCCTACAGAGCCTCTGAGGCTCTGTTAAATTTTTTGTTTATTTTTCCTTTTTTGTACAAGTAAATTCTATTGATTTGTCCTTAAGTTCACTGATTCTGTCTTATCATCATCACTCTACTACTAAGCTCATCTGGTGACTTTTTATTTGTTATTGTCTCTTTAAATTCTATTTTCTGCATTTGTTTCTTTTTTATGACTTCTATTTCTTTGTTGGAATTGTGTGTTTTTGATGTGTTTCAAGAAAATCTGTAACTGTTTGTTGAAACATTTTTATAATGATTGCCTTAAAATCCTTTTCAGATAATTCCAACATCTGAGTCTCTTCAAAGTTGGCATCAGTTGATTGTCATTTCTCATAAAAGTTGTATGTTTCCTTGTTCTTGGTAAGATGAATGACTTCCACTTGTACCCTGGACATTTTGGGTATTATTTTAGAACATGCTTCATACTACTTAGATCTTTTATTTTTAGTAAGCAGTCACCCTTTTGGGGCTTAGCGTATAAGTTCTGGTCTACTTTTGTGAGTTATAGTTCCATGACAATTTGTTTTCAGAGTTCTTGCAATGCTAATAGTCTACCTTGTTCTTCTGCTGCTATTTGGGCTCCTGCTTTATTACTGCAGGTGCCTCGTGGGCTGTTTGATGGGTATGGAGGAAGGGACGGGTCCTGTTCAGGTTTGCTAATGCTTCGCCTGAGGATGGATTGGCCTACCTGTTGTCTTGGATATGGGATAGGTACCCTACTGATGTTGATGCAGGTGGAACCCACCACCATTCTATTATTGGATGGGGTTTGCTGATGTTGACACTGAAGAGAGTGCGGCTTGCCAGCATGTGTGGGGTGGGGAATGGTTCAGTCTGCTGTGCTACTATTGCTGCTGCAGGCAGATCAGTCTCTTGGTCCTGCCACAGATCAGCATGAGGACCAGAGGATTATTTCTCTGGTAGGACTCTTCTGGGCTTACCCTTTCCCTGCCTCTGGCCAGAGCCAGCAGGCTTTTGGTGTTTGTTTTTCAATGCTATGCCTGTTGGTGGTTTGGGGTTGTAAGCCTCCCTGGTGCTCAGCATGGGATATATGGGAGATAAAAAGAAAACCAGGGAAATCACTATGGTGTCTCACATCCTGAAATCCCTAGCCAGTCAACTTTTCTTTTTTCCATATTTCGGAGTCCTTTTACAATCATCTGTTGAGTTATTTCCAGAGTATTTAGTTATATTTAGAGGAGAGGGAGAGGTAAAAGTGAGTCTGTAACATCTTATCTCACAATAAACTTTTACAATTGAAAAATGGGAAGAGACAAACAATTTCTGGCAGGAAAAGCAATATGAGAGAGGAAGTCTAGTCATACTAGATAATTAAAGCATGTCAGAAAATATAATTATTAAAGTATGGGTACAAAACTGTAGAGATCAGTGGGAAAAAATAAAGAGTCCAGAAAGAGCCAACAAAAGTGGCAATATGGTGTTTCAACCCAGTGGTATTGAGGGAAATGACATTTGGAAAAGAAAGTTAAAGCTGTATTCCTGTCTCCAAATAAATTCCTGATTAATAACAACATATATTAAATATTAAGCAATAAAAAGAATTTTTAAATTGGTAAGTTATTTAATAATCTTGAATTAGAAAATAACTTTTTAAGCATGGCTCCAAACTCAGATGCTATACAAAGAAAAAACTGATACATTTAATTATCTAAAATATAAATAAAACATATGTGATGAAAGTAGTATAAATGAAATCAGAATACAACAATAAATAGAAAAAAGATCAAAATATACTTTAAAAATTTTAAATAGTACATTCAGTACAAAGAAAGAAATTGAATAAAAATGGGCAAAGTACATGAACAGGCTGTTCAGAAGAAAAGAAATAAAGATGGCCAATAAACATATGAAAGAAAGATAAACTCAGAATTTATAAAGAACAAATTAAAACAGTGAGAAAACTTTCTTCCTCTCATTATTTAAAAAATTACAAATTTAATAAATATGCCTTATAAAAATATATAAAATATATGGTGTTAATAAAGTTTCCTTCTATGCTTCATACTCTCAAGCTTGAAATCTCACTCCCTTCCCTAGAAGTATCTCTATTAAAAGTCTGCTATTCCTTGAAGGCCTGTCTCTATGTGATTAAAAGTGTACATGTGTATCTTTCTTGGAAAAAAATTGGACCCTCTTTGTAAATTGTTTTGCACCTGGCTTTTTACAATTTACAGGAAATTTGTCAATTTCCTGACTTATCAGTTCTTATAGAGTCATTTTATTTGTTTTAATGGCTATGTGAGATTTACAATATAACTATACCTTACTTTAACTATTTATTGACAGTCATTAAAATTTTTTATTACAAAAAATGTCATATTACATATAACTTTGTGTGCACTTATTTTGTAATTGCTTTCTGTAGAATAGATTACTTAGAAGTGAAATTGCTAAATCAAATGACATATGAATTTGTATATTAGAGGATGTGGGGATGTGCCAAATTGCCATTTAAAAACTGTTTTTAGCATATTTTTCTACCAAAGTTAGAGAATATCTGTTTCTTCAAATAGTCACCGTTTCTTGATATTAATCTTTTAAAACATTTTGCCAATGTGATAAGTGAAAAAAAAGATATCAAGATTGTTTTGACTCTTTGAGTGTTGCATTGAATATCTTTTTATACTTTTATAATTAATATTTGTTTATCTATTGATTATCAGTTGATAGCCTTGTCTGGCTTTCTGTTGATTGTCAGTTTATTGATATATAGAAACATTTTTCAATATGGATATTAATCTTTTGTATACGTTATAAATTTTACCTTTCATTTTCTTATTTTTATTTTACTTTTCTTTACTCTTTCTTTTTAGAGAAAATTTAAATTTGATGTAGCCTAATCTGTCTATAGTTATTTTGTGACTTCTAGATTTTATGTATTATTTAGTAAGATTTTCCCATGCCAGAATTGTAAAATTATGTCCTCTAACATGCTTAGTTTTATTGTGAAGACTTTAATTCATCTTTAATTAATTTTTATATGCTGTGAATAGGAATCCACTTAAAAAAATGAATAGACAATTGTCCCAATAATTATCTCAATACTATTTATTGAATAGTGTATCCTTTATTTCCCCACTAATTTGAAATGCCAATTTTTTTCATATACTACATCAATTCTATTGATTATTTTTTGGACTTCCTATTCTGTGCTACCAAATAATTTATTTATTCCAGTAATAAGATCACACTGTTTTAATTACTTTAGTTTTACTTTTGTTTTATTATTTGGAAAAAGAAGTACTCAAACCCCGACACTGTTTTCCTTTATCGAAAATGTCTAGGCTAGGGTAGGGTGTGGGGTGTATGATAAAAAATTACTAAATAAGTATAATGTACATTATATGAGTGATGGCTACCCTAAAAGCCCTGAATGCATACAATCTATATACATAGTATACAATGTATGCATGTTACAAAATTAGACTTGTGCCCCATAGATTTATACAAAAAGAAATTCTAGGCTAATAATCAAGATATATTAGTAAGACAAAAAGCCAGAGCGAAAATGTGTGTGTGTGTGTGTGTGTGAGAGAGAGAGAGATTTAAATATTGAAAGAAACATAGGCAATATTTGGAGGACACATAAAAAACTGCAATAGTTACCTCTAGGGAGTGGAACCATTGGGAATACTACTGATGAGTGAGCCTTCTCACTTTGGATAATTCCTCACTACGTATTCTTTAAAAAAAATAAGTACGCTTTTCTTTTACAATTAAAAACAGAATCTGGTTTTCTGTGATAGAAACCCAAGTCTATGTGAGGGCACATCCGGTGTATCACACAGTATTTCTCAACTGTGGCTCCACATTAGAATTACTTCGGAGATTTTTAAGAAATACGGGCACCCAAGGATCTGCCCCCAGAGATTCTGATTTCAGAGTCTGAGGGAGGGCCTGGGACATCAGCATATTTTAGAAGTTTCCCAGACAGTTTGAATGTGCAGCCTCAGCTGAGAACCACTGCTGTAGATGATGTGAGACTTAAAAGAGTCCCCAGAAGGCCACTGTGCTGAGGTATTTTCAGAATATAATTACTTGGGGATGCGATCCAAGGTAATCCATCACTTCTGTGGCAGGCTAAGTCCTGGCATGAGATTGAGAGCAAACAAGTCCAAGGGGAGATGTGGAAAAGAACTTTGCTCAAATATATATGAAAATATCCCTCTCTGTGGAAGGCAATTGTGTTGAAAGGTAGACTCACTTAGGCTCCCTCAGCATATAAAGGATTCTTGAAAACTAGTCATGACCATGAGAGGTACAGGAATCGCATGGAAAACCAGAAACAGCGAAACAGCTGCACCTCAGAAGCCCAGACTGTGGCTGGTACCGGAAGGTTCTACTGGAGCTCCAGGAATCACAGTTATTTTGAGATCTCTCACCGGAGTCTTTCAAACGTCTTTCATCTGGAGAATCACTTTGTTAAAATGAAATGGCTTTTGGAAACCTGATGTGGAAACATGATTGAGAAGGAGCTATTCCAAGCCACATACCTCCCTCACCTAAAACCCCTCCCTGAAGAAATCTGAGAAGTGGCTGGAAACCCAATATTTGTAGCTCTCTCTTTCCTTCTCTCTTTTCTTTTGTGTGTGTCTTTTGGTGCTTCTCCCTATCTGCTGATTCTGCCTCTATATTCCTGACAGGGCATCTGATTAGCCCGTCAATTGTCTGCCCTGATTAAGCGAGATTTTCCACACGAGGTGACTACACAGGTGGAGTCATGTGTCCACTCTTGATCAGCTGGGCTAGAGAGGTGGTGAGGAGCAGAAGAAGAAATGGGGTGCCTAGGGATTGAAGGAGGAGGGTGTGCGTAAGTTAGTTTCCCTTAGAAGAGAGAGTGGATGGAACATAAACCATGATTAACCTGTCCAGGCCAAGCATTAAGTCAGCCTTCAGTGAATATTGAATTGGAGGGTAAATTTCAACAGGTATAAAATTGCTTAAAGTAAACATGCTAAGGGGAAACCTGTTGAGAATATGTAGAGATCTCTGAACACAACAATTCCAAAAGCCTTTTCTGGCTCTAAGAATCTAGGCTTTTAAAAGATCTTAAGAGCCTAGGAGGTCAGGAGAATAAAATTCATTTTCCTTTGGGATGGGGTCTGTACCATGTGTAGCTATTGAGCATTTGAAATGTGGATAGTCCAAGTGGACATGTGGCATAAGTGAAAATAGACACCGATTTCACCAATTTTGAAGATTGGGATGGAAAAAAATCTAACATTTTCAATAATAATGTTTTATTCTGATTGTGTGTTAAAATAGTATTGTGACTAAAGTGGATTAAATAAAATATATTATTAAAATTAATTTCACCTGTACTACTTTTTTTTTTTAAATGTGGTGTTATGGATTGAATGTTTGTGCTATCACAAATTCATATGTTGAAGCCCTAACCCTTGAGGAGATGGTATTTGGAGGTGGGACCTTTGGGAGGTGAATAAATTTAGGTGAGTCTTCAAGGTAGGCCCCCATGATGGAATTGGTATCCTTATAAGAACTAGGAGAGTCCAGAGTGCTCTGTCTTTCCACTACATGAGGACACAGGGAGAAGGTGGTCATCAGCAACCTAGGAAGAGAGTCCTTGCCAGGGAACAGAATTGACCAGGACCTTAATCTAGAATTTCCCAACCTTCAGAACTGTGAGAAATAAATAATTGTTATTGAAACCACCTAGACTGTGGTATTTTGTTATAGCAGCTGGAGCTGACTAACACATGTGGCTATTAGAATATTTAAAATTATATATGCAGCTCACATTCTCTTTCTAATGGACAGTGCTGGATTGGTTGGCAACTGTGATGTTTTCACCTGTTCGGGTATGGCTGTAAAGATCTATATATTAACAACAGCCCTTTGCTGTGGGGCCCATGTCAATATCCTATTCTTGGCTCATAATCAGAGAGCTGTGGCCATTTATCTTATTCGGGCTCTTTGTCTCTTTGCCTCATAGACTTCAGCCTAGCTCCTTCTCTCACATAGCAACACTTAATCCTCTCCTGGGGTTTCCCAACCTCCCACACCCAGGTGGTGTTGTTTATGGCTCCATCTCAGCAAGTCCTTACAGAGCATTCCTCTGCCTCTTCACCTCTGTTGCTCTTTCCTGACTAGTTTTTCCCCTCCCTTTCTAGAACTAGCACATATCAATGGATTCTTGTTTGCAATCTCACCCATTTTTTACACATCTTTTTTTCAGAGAAGTGTCTTCTAGCCAGCAGCTTATCCTTTGAGATAAATGACTCCTCACATTTTATTCTGTTTCTCCATGGAATGCAGTCTGCAGATGGGACAACATCACTTCCAGAAGTGTATCTACTTCACATGCTAATAGTGATAATAATAGAAACAACTACTATTGTCATTTACTTAGTTTTTATTTCTGGCCAGGATCTGTACTAGGTAAATTACAGACATTTCTCACTTAATCCCTACCATAGCCCTACAAAGCATGTGCTATGATACCCTATTACAGATAGAAAAAATTAGGATGAGTGATGTTATATACCTTGCTCACAGATCACTGCTAATAAATGGTAGATCTAAAATTTAAATCCAGATTTGTCTCCAAAGTCCTTGCTCTCATCCACGATATATATACTGCCTCCCACATTCTGTATCACTTCCCAAGTTAAGCAAGCAAGTTGGAATTCAGTGCTGCATAGCAAGTGAGCTCTATAAGCAAATTTGCTGAAATGGTAACAGTACTATGTATTTGTGCACTGCTTTGATGATTCTCCAGTTGGCATCTGATTTTCACAAAATTCAAAGATGGAAGAATAAACTTTATGAGTTCTATTTCATACCCATAAAAAACTAAGCTCTGGGGAGATAAGGTGATTTGTCCTGAGTCATTACATTAAAAAGCCACAAACCAGATGAGAACCCAGTTCTTTTGGAATATTTGTTTTCTTTTTTCTTTGCTCCTCAGTGTCCTTGGGCATTGTGCTGCCTACTGGCAGAAGTTAATGACAAATCTTTTGTTATGATTTCCGATTTAACCCTGCTTTATGTGAGGAGTTTGCAAGTATAGACTCACTTGAGTTTCTCAGCTGTAGGTATGTCAGTCTCCTTCATCCAACAAGAATTACCTGAGCCTGAGTATGGCCATGCACCGTGCTAACAGTGGGAACGGAAGGGTGAACAAGATGTGATTTTATCCTGAGGAGACAACTTCTAATGGAAGAGTATTATCCTGCAATGGAAAAATCATTGTCCTAATGGAATATAAAAAGCTGTGAGAAGCACAAAGGAAGAAAGAAATAGGTCTGCCTGGTAGGGTTTCATGGTAGAGGAGATTTCTGAGTGTGGTCTCAATGAACCAACTTCAGAGATGAAAAGCCTGAGTCGCTGAGAGTTCTGCAAAGGACCACATAATTTTAAAACTTCATTAGCTTCCTAAAAATATGCTTGTTGCCACAACTCCTTAGAGAGAAGATAGCACAAATTATTTATTGGAATATTTAAAATATTAACATCAATAAATTCCCCAGCAGCTTCACAAATACTCTGCCCAGTTGGATAAACCAATCTGAAATAATGGTTTCCAAGTGACTCAAACTCTTCAATTCTACAAAGCCAGTAAGAATTCTTGGATACAAACAAGAAGCCTAGAATAAGTATCTCAACTCTCTAAACATCAGCCATTTTAGACAGAGGAGGAGTCTATCCCTCTAGCATTTCATGTACTTTTATTCATGTAAAAAGGTATTTTTTTTTCTCACAGTGAATACCTAGAATGTTTTTCTATTCCAAACAAGTGTAAGATTATTGTAGGTGCCACTGAAATTTTATCACTTGAATATTAAGAGTGAAGATAGATTCTGATATGTTTGGAACTATTTGGAGCTAGAAGGAAAATAACTTTTCAAGCTTAGAAACGGAAACTCGTCAGAACCAAACCCTTGGAGCAGCCCAGGAGGAGACTTCCCTCTGTTCTACTGTGGTCCACAGGCCACTGATGATTAGGATTTTTGGATAGCTGACATAAACTAGACCTAGATCCTAGATGACGGAGATCTTAAGTATTTCTGGTGGAGAAGGAAGATCCCATTGTGTGACCTCTTCCCTCTTGTGCTTCAGTGGGTTGTTTGGTTTGTCTTCTGGGTGTGACCAGAAAGATTTACACCCTCTACTTGTAACCAAGATGGACTATTCCTTCTGATTCCTGACTCACTGAAGAAGGAGGTCTACATCTGCAAGGCTGGAGAGCATCTCTCCTTCAAGCAGCCTTTGAAGCACAGAACAAGGGGCAGGAGTTCCGGGAACAGCTCAGCAGCACTGAGGATTGCTGGTGAATATTAATATTTTGTTGAGACTCTGAAAGTGAATTGTTTCACAGAAGCGTTAAAAAATGTAATGGGCTATCTGGCGAGGGAGTGAGCTCCTTATCACTGGTAGTATTTAAGTATTGGCTGAATAAGCATATACTGGAAAGTCATGCATAAGGCAAGAGTTGGACTAAAGGCCCTGAGATCCATTCCAACTTCCAGATTTCATTATTTGCAGATCCCTGGTTTACCCTGTGCATGCATCTATGCTTGTACTTGGTATGTTGTTCTGTAATGATACGTTCATATACATGTCTCCTCCTCAAGTTTGAAAGCTACTTGAAGAAAGATACAATATTTGTTGTTTTTCTATTCCATGTGTTTAGTGCAGTGACTAGTACCTAGGAGACACCAAGTTAGTATTTATCAAATGAATGAATGAATTCATTTTTGTATGTCAGTATATATACATTTATGTATATCCTGATTTACAGTGTAAGTTACCAGCAAGTACACTTGTTTGCTGTGATGGTGTTCATATGCGTTAGAACTAGGGGTTGCTTGAATATCTGAATGATGGAATATGCTACCTGATTCCCCAGACATGGTACTTCTAGTTAATGAATTCCCTCTCTACAGATGGGGCCATATAGAGGCAATTAAGGCATAGTCAATGTACGACCAGGGTTTTTCTGAATTTGTATTTTTAGATCAAGTCTTCAGTGCCAGAAATGGCCCTAGAAGTGGTGGTTAGAAGTTCCAGTGTGACTTGGCTGCATTAGGTGGCAGGAGTATCCTGTGGATAATCAAGCATACGGATTCATCCCAAGCTTGGGGAAGGAGGCAGGAGTATGAGTGGCAGGGACTCCAGTGGCATGCTGGGTACAAGGGCAGGTATGTAAGCTGAAGTGTGAGAAGACGTGGGGGAATGTAGGCAAGTTAGACTGGATGAGGAGGCCAGAACAGGGCCAGGAAGCATAGGCAGCTTGGGTGTGGTTTTGAGATGGAGAAATTTCCAGAGAAGCTGAGGCAATGGGTGAGGTTGCAAACAGAATACTTTTCAAAAAGACATGTTAAGCTGAAATACACTTGTGCCAAACAACACTATTCATTCACATATTCATTCATTCAGCAAATCTATATTAAGTGCCTCCCTTATGATGACACTGTGCAAATGTTAGGGTCAAATAAAAATAAGATAGGATCTTTACTCTCAAGTGCATAACTATGAACTAAACTATAGATATATTAACAGAAAATTGCAATGCAGTGTGATAAATGCTATAATGAGGTAAGCACAGGGAGCCTGTGGGAGCCTCTGAGGAACACAGAACCAAGTCTAAGATGAGATGTGGAAGATAAGTTGTAGTTAGCAAGATGAAGAGGGTGGGCAGGAAGAACAGTCTTGCTAGAGCTCTAGGAATGGCTGAATATACAAAAGACTGAAGAAGGGAGCTTATTCAGGGACTGCAAATGCCTTGTAATAATTGAGCATTATATACCATGTTAAATAGTCCAGACTTTCTCCTGGGAACAATGAGTTACTGGAGTATTTTAATCCAGAAGTGACATGATCAGATGCGTGCTTTAAAAATACTACTACACCTAAATTGTGGAGAATGGGTTGGAGGAAATGAAGACCAGGGACTCACTGAAGTTGTCATAGTGCTTAGTGAGAGATGATGGCAGTTCAACAAAGGCTGAGGCAATGAAAACAGAAGCAGATGGATTATTGAGACATTTGAAAGAATGAACAAAGCATAGTGATCAGTTGGATGTGAGATGTAATAAGTCAAGGATGGCCAAGTTTCTGGCTTGGGCAGCTGGGTAGATGGACCCATAAAAGAAGAGGCTGTGTCAGTTTCAGGAGAGTTCTGGTCTACGGGTTTTAACAGGAGAGTTAAACCTTCTTAAATCCAAAGGTCCATTCTGCTGGTCTGTCTCACACCACTCTATCGGTGTACACAAATCTCCTTTGAGAGCTTTATGAGATCTAATACCTAGGTAGAGTCTTCACCCACACTGGGCATTTATTCATCCATTCAATCAACCAATATTTATGAAGTGCCAATTATGTATTCATAGTATTCCAGTATTCCATAGACCCCAATGTCCATCTATGCAGGTAGCTTAGTTCTAAAAAAGTGATTCTCAAAGCCAGAATTACATCTGTAAGTTTTTGATGGTCTTTCCCATTCACCCACCCCAACTTATCAGGCATATTAGTATTTGTGCTGTCATTAGAAAGTATTTCTTCACTTCCTGTTTCCATGGTTGCATTATGTTTTTCATTAAATTCTCAAGGTTGCATTACATTTTAGTTTCTTCTTCATGGACTTTGTCTATGGCAGGGTTTAGACTTGGATGGAGGTTAAATACCCAATAGAAATTCTTTAGTAAGTTATTTTATATGGCCTGAGGCCTGAAAACTCTTTTCTAGGCTCCAGAATCTCCTGAGCAACTCTGGGGCTTCCTGTGGCTAAAGGGAGGTGTTGGAATTTCAGTAACAGGTGTGATGGATCAAAACCTTCCTCAAAATACATGTGTTTGATGCCATTTCATTTTACATTTAGTGCTTGGTTTTCCCAAGCTGAAGTGAAATTCAAGCATCAGAGAAACCAGCAGGGGTTGCAGGTTGAAGTTAATAAAACACTCACCATGGGCCTATGTAGTTCAGATTAATAAAATAAAATCATGGATGTGAGAGCCTAACCTCACACATCCATATCATCTTGCAAATCTGTTTCCTGGAAGCCAGAGGGTACCTAGGCCACTGGGCCAAGAGAGATGGGAATCTTCTTTGAAAACCACTCTTTGGTTAATCACTAAAGCCTATTTTTGTCAAACAAAGCTCTTGGAGTCTCTACTTCACTTCCCAAAGATACTGCAAAGATTAATGAAGTGATTTTGAATTACCTGTTGTAAATAAGTGTTGCTTTTTAAGGATGTAGTATTATTGTTAATACTATTTAATAATCAGCAAAGATATAAAATGTTGGATATTTACTTCAGTTGATTAAATGATGATACCAGTGTGATTATGGCCCAATATTGGATTTCTACTCCAGACATGTTTTTAGTTTTGCACAGAGAACGTGTCTGGTTCAATGGCAGACTACTTCTAGCCTCAATCAGCCACCTCTTGTGTGCTGATGTCTCAGTTGGCTAACGGATAAATAATGCAGCTTCCTCAATCCACTGACATGGGTGGATAGGTAGCCTTTGTATACAAAAGCATATTATTATAGGCTGCAAGTCTGGGAGGCCTGAAGAGGTCTTTGCAAGAGGAAATTAAGCCCAGAGAAAGTAACTGGTTTGCCCAAAGTCATCCAGTTAGTGCAGAGTCAGGGCTAAAATCTGGATTTATTGATAAGTCTAACGTTCTCACTATTACACTGTGCCATATTCACTCTGGTCTAGAACTCCCTTCCAAAATTTTTGGGTAATTGGATTCAACACAAATTGCTAGAGAAGCAGTACCCAATAAAGTGCACTACATTCTTTGGTACTTCCTAGTATTTTATTAGATATTGTTATTTGTTTGGTGCATCTCCCATAAGTATCATATTTTTCCAGGCAGATAGCCAAAAAGCAACAAGTCAATCTACCATGTCTGCAGTCTGGCAGGCAATGCAGGAACCCGCAGGGCAACTCTGAACAGCATTCTAGAGACCAAATTAAGCCAGCTGGGCTGACTACAGCAAATGATGATTGGTGCCTATCCTAATTAGGCTGACAGGACTTCTACTGTGTGGATGTCCCACTTGCTGCATTCACAGATGTGATGAATCAGTCATGTTCAATTACTCAATCACTTTCATTTGAGAACCTGCTACATGCAGAGCGTTATCAAGATCTCTTTGTAATATGGGCAAGAGTTTGGCCATGAGTTGTAATCAGCCCAGGTACAGTTTGCATATAGAGAGATTCTTCAGGCTGGCCTTCTCAGTGGTGGCCAATGGAGTGGGAATGATCTTTTTACGAAAGCCAAGAGCCCTTGTAACTGTGCCTTTCTATTATAGTTTTCAAAAGGAAAAGGAAAATTGGTCTCCATGGTCCCTCTTGGCTCTGAAGTGTTCTTTTAAAATAATATTTATTGCATACCTTTTTGAGATTACAAAAGCAATACATGTTCATTGTTGAAAATGCAGAAAATTACAAGGAAGATAAAAAGTAGTCATAATTCTAATACAATGAAAACTGCTTCTAACTTATTAGTTCAAGTTTTTTTAGTCATTTTTTAGGCAAATAGAAGAGTGTGTATCTTTTAAATAAAATTGAGATCCCACTATATCCTGCCCTGAAATTCTAGGAGTCTATAAACTATGCACAACTAAATAGTAAATTTCTTGCTCAAAGCCTGGCATACAATAGTCATTCCACAAATATTTGTTAACTGAATGGTGAGGAAAACCTGGTTTGTGGGCTTGAGCAACTTCACACTCAGGCCATACCCAAATCTAGACAACGAGCTTTGTGTGCCAAAGGAATGAAATGAGCTAGAAACTGACCACTTTCCTTCAAGAAAGCTTCTCTTCACAAAGAGAACATCAGTGGTAATTCAAATCCCTTTTTTATATTCATTATTTATTTCAGGAGATTGCTTCCATTTGATCTGAAAGCTATACATACAAGGGGCTAGAAGCATGGACCTCAGTGAAAAATGGACTTTGGAGGAAGGAGCCTGGTTATCCCATGCTGGAATTCATCATTTTGCCAGCACCAGAGCGGGTAAGGCCGTTTTTGATGTCCCTGATAGCATGGTACTCTTCAGCTTCTGCACCTCATTATGTCAATCCACTGTACTCAGTACGTGCCCACGCTGTTTGTCTTTTCAAAAGCAGCTGAGTGGAGAGGAGAGGGAATGGACTTTGAAGTCAGACAGACCTGGGTTCAGATACCGAATTCACTATTTACAAGTTTTATGGCCTTGAGAAAATCTGTCATTCCCTGGGCTCTAACATGAGAGTAAGAATGCCCACTTTGCAGTGTTATGATGAGGACCATCAGCTGTCATGTAATGAGCTCTTGCCCTGGCCAGGTGGGAAGCTGGTCAGACATCTTTGAGCACCTAACATGTGTTAGGCACTCTGTTCCTGTTTTGCTCATTTCTCCTCTCAGCAGCCTGTAAACATTCAAGTTGAGGATAAAGCAACCAATATAAACAGAGTAGGCCAGCTCTTTCCCTTCTTTATGATTATCCAATTAATGTGACTCAGCATTAAATGATGGAGATATTGTTACTTTCCTGGAGCAGAGCATACAAATATAAGAACCATACCCTGACACAGAGCTGTGGTCCTCTGTCAGGTCTAAGAGTCCGCTCCCTCCTCCATCCCTCAAATCTGATAGAGACCTACTTTGATGGTAGGAGCCATTCTATAGATGGACGATGAAAGGTTGTTGAGGTTAATGCACTCACAGATGTTTTCACAAGGATATGTCTCCCATTTGTTTGTTGTTTATTCATTTATTCAACAAATATTATTGAGTATCTATTTTATGCCAAGCACTAGTAATACAAGAACGAGAGCAAGATAGACATAGAGAACAACAGACTATACTCTCTGATGTGCCCACCTCTAAAACAGGGTAACTTATATGGCAACAAACATTTGCAGACCTTCTGCACTACACCAGGGTATGTCTTCCAACCAAGACTGCTTCACACAATGAGATAGTCGCCAAAGGGAAGACAGGAAGCTTTGAGAGAGGAAATTTGGATGCATTCCACCCAAAAACCAACTGTCATTTGTTCCTGTGCACTGTCATACTGTCATTCCAGCCTCTTTTTAGAAGTTCTTAAGCCAGCATCTCTTCACACCCCATGGAAAAAAACTAAACCTCCCTAGTTCAACACACAGCCCTTCCAGATCTGACCTCTGCCTGCCCCTCTAGATTCATCTCCTGCTGCCCATCACTAATAGCAACCCCCTCCTTCTCACTGTATCAGCCTCTTCCTGGATCCCTGAATACATCCTGCCCTCACATGCCTGTGAACCTTTGCAAAGGCTGCTATTATCATCTCTCTTCCACTTGGCCAGTTCCTACTCATCTTTGAAGCTTCTGCTTAAGTCATCTGTTCTGGGATCTCTTCCTGCCACCACCTCCTACCAACCCCCATCCTGGTCTGAAGGAGAGTCTCTCCTCCCTCCTCAGTGCTGCCATAGCCTCTGCAGATTCCCATGTCACAGCACGTATCATCACACTGTATTGTGCTTGCCTGAATCCTGAACAGCCTGTGTGCTTCTTGAGACAGATGCCTTGTTTTATTCATCTTTGTACCCCTTTCACTGTTGCATGGCAAATTCATGGTGTATATTTGATGGCTGGCTGGCTGTGTGGCTGGATGAATGAATGAATGAATGAATGACAGTTGGGACCACATCCTCTGAATATCTCTGCCTTCATTGAAAACCTTTTTTGGCTGTGGGAACCTATCTGATTATACAACTGCTTCTGGCACCACCACATCACTTCACCTTGCTTTCAGCACACCTATAGCATTTGATTCAATGACCCTAGGCTTGTTACCAAAGCCTAAAGGCAGAGGAGAGAAAGAAAGTGTGGTTTTCCCACTGATGCTTGGTGCTTTTGTAACCTAGGCAATAGAATCATCCACCAGAGAATTTTAGAACTGAAAGAAGCCTTAGGGATCACTGTAACAAAGGGGTGGCTAAAAACTCCATACTGTGACCATCTCCAAGCTCTGTCTTATCCTTCTGTGAGTTTACCATGTCATCTATCTGCAATCTTTGGGGCAAGGCTGGAACATAGGAAGGGAAGCCAGACCTGTGTCTAGGTTTGCCTAAAGAGAAGGTACTGCTTTTGGGTAAGTGACGAGCTTCTGGGGCTGAGGGAAAAGCTTAGTTCTGGTAGGCAACAGATACCATAATATCTGGTTCCAGTTCAGATAATCAGTCTATATCCTGCAAATATGAAGGCATCCAAGACAAAGCAGGGCAGTGTTGTGGTGAAGTGGGTGAAGCACAGTCACCCACTGTCAGTGGGTGAAGCACAGACACAAGGAATCAGTGTGGCTGAAATCTGTAAATCCTTGTGGGCAGCTGATACTAAGGTGGTTCTCAGAGGCCTGGGATGAGATCCAAGAAAGGTGCAGGTCCTCAGAGGACAGAGTCAGGTGCCAAAATGAGAACCTCGTGAGGTGTTGAAGTAGGATGAGGATACTGGCACTCGGAGAGGAAGTGTAATGTGCCAGAGCTAAGTCAGAAATGGACGAATTATAGAAAAATATTTTAACCATTTATTAGATATATAATATTGCCAGATGTTACACTAAGCCTTTTTTGTATAGATATAGACTATCTCAATTAATTCTCACAACAGCTTTATTCTGAGTTCATGAATGAAAAAATTGGCCTGAAGAGGCTGAGAAACTTGTACGACATCATTCAGCTCACAAATGGCAGAGCTGGAATTTAAACTGAGATCAGTCCAATCCTAGCCACCATAGGCTTCTGTCCCTCCAATTCCCTCTCCAACACTCCCTACTCTGCCTTCACAGCTTAAGGCTCTGGTGGTCCATTTACAAACTTGTATTGCTGGTTATTTGCTTGTCACAGTTAAAATGAAAACTAGCCCTGAGCAGGGCCAGAAAATAAACAGTGCTGTTGTAACATGTGCATTCTCATCCAAGCTCACAGCAGGGCTCTCCCCTACAGCCATCTCAGCTCATGCATAGCCAAGGCCTTGACCCACCTGCTTCAAAGCATCTTTCCTCGACACTCCATTTCCCTACCTCACCTCTCCCCACCACTGGCTAGTGCCAGCTATTCTATCTCTGAGGCTCAATATGGGCTGGTGGGGTTTGCATTTCTAGTGGAGTACCAGAGAAAGCCCTGGAGTGTCCAAACCTTGGGGTTTTGTTGTTGGCTTCCTGCAGTCCACAGAGAATTGCATTATCTTCCAGGGAGTCTCTGTCATCCTGTTGAGTCATAGGCCTTGAGGCAGATCCACACAACATCTGCCCTTCTATTATCCTCAGAGCATCTCGGGCTGCAATTGGGTAGGAGAGCTTCCAGGAAGCTAGCTGTGAACCCAGGATGTTTGGGGGTGATAAGGAGTTTCTGAAGGGAAGTCCCTCTTCCACTCCTGCTTCTGACACTCCTAAAAATATTCCCAGTGATCTGGGCCACTGGGTTTTCAAACTCATTTTAAAGGTCTGGAGCACATTTTCCAAAAGAAATCACATGCAGTCCCTGACATATGAAACAAAAGGGAGACAGTGTTTGGCCACTGTCGCATTTCTGACTGTTGCATTACAAGTTGATTGGGCTGTTCGGCCACCAGCCATATCAAGTATGTGGGGATTTGGTACGGAAGAGGAGTTCCTTCTCAGCAAATCTATAAAATATTTCTTCTTCCTCTTATAGATGTGCTCACTCAGCTGTTTGGGAATCCTGCTGTCTGTCATCCATGCTTCCCAGGGAACTCAACCTGCTTAAGCTCCTCTTTAGGGGAGAGGCAGGAAGTCTGGGAAACACGGCCTGGCAGCGTGGGCCAGGTGCGTCATAGAAATTCAGTGGTACTGTTCCCATTATGGTTATATAAACAGGAAGGAGCAGATTTCCTTTCTGAAGCCTCTCAGGGTCAGGGAGAGTTTTAACACTGGTCAAGGAGGAAGGAGGCAACTTTTCCTGACAGCAGTCTGTGTGCCAAACATTGCCATGTACATGATTTCATTGCATTCAAACCCTTATTGAAATCTTGTGAAGTAGTTAGTCTTATCTCCATTTTGCAGATGAGAAAACTGAGTCTTGCAAAGGCAAACTAACTAAGCCCAGCTCAGACAGCAGATTCACACTCAGGTCTTCATACTCCAGAGCTGCGTTCTATCCATTTTACTCCTGTCTGTCAGTTTCTAAGGACAACATTACTCTGCATCTCCACCTTTCTGAGAAGTTTGATCCTTTTTGTCTATTTTTCTTGCGTACTCTGTAGTGAACAGATGCATATAATGGAATCCATTATCTGTGATCTCCTACTGGCACTTGTTTCAATTAGTTCCTTAAAGTCTCTCATCTGTTTCAACTGTCGTTTTACAGAGAAGAGCACAGTATAAGCAGATTAGGACACTTATTAAAGATTAGTGGCAAAAACAGGGCTACAGCAAGGTCTCCTGCTTCTCTTTCTACCACCCACACTATGCTGACTGCTAAGGCAATAGCATCTTGGGAAAACCACTTTTCTGTGAAAGAAGAGAAGCCTCTGTGTGGTCCAAGAAGACTCGATTTGCAGCTCTGAAAGAAGCAATTCCCCCTCAGGCCTCTGCCTTAGATGCTGGGTTGGAAATATAAGATCATGGTCTCTGCATTTCAGCAGAAACTCACATTTATCCTACAGATTTTGTTTTTTAATAGTTTAGTCATAGATTTCAATTGCAGCAAATGTTTTTGTCCTTAATCTTAACACTGGGTATTTTGTCTGATTTCACTCAATAGATCTGAGTGTAAGTCGGAAGTGTATGATTTTCCTCTGCAGGGACCTTTTCTTGTATGTATTTTTGGAATCGTTCTTTATTCTGACTCATGTCCAAGTACACCTTCTAGTAGCTTCTTGGCTCAGCCAGATTTTATTTCCTTTGATATGATATTGAGTGAAGATTCTTTTAAATCTTCCTCTCTGGACTATACTTGGTAACAGGAATCTGGTGGGGAACGCAGTGCAGGAATGGGACAAATTTAATTTATTTATATATTTCCCAAAACACCTTGCTTTTGTTGATAGCACCTCCTGCATTGATATTTGGAATTTTTAGAGGACACATTTGGCATTTTTACCAAAATGAACCATTGGCTTCCTGTCAGAGTTAATTTCATTTCATCTCTTGGTCGCTGGCCTTGAGGCAGATCCATACAACATCTGTATTGTTTCTGCTTAGGATAATGATTTTTTTAGGTGAGATATGGTTAATTATTCTTCCTATGGAGCCCACTCCTGTCTTCTGGAAATTACGAAACAAAGTAGTTACCTGAGGCCTGATTTTCATTTAGGGAAAATAAAACAGCTGTGTTTTCTTTTTCCTTTTCATCAAGTCTTATAAAGAAGTGGAGCTGTGCTAAAAGGAAAGACTATTAAATCCTAGAGAACAAGAAATGCCCATTGGGCCAATTCAGCCTGGGAGCTAATGCTTCAACCAATCAATTGCAAATTTCATTTTGATGAAACCTTACTGATAGGCATGTGTTTGTCCTATCTGTTGGCTTGTCCTAGGAGGTGCAGATAAGAGACAAGGATAACAGAAGAGAGTCATGCTGAGCTCAGGCAGCCTTAGCCCCTCTTCCCTCTAAATCAGTCCTGCCCATGCTCCCCTGGGAGAGGAGGGGAGGAGGAGCGGGTATTGCTTCCCCGCTCTGCTCTGCTGTTAACTAGCAGAGGGCCTCCAGGAGAGAGAAGGCTACCTGCAGAGAAGATGATCAAAGGGCAATACCAGGAAGGAGAGGAAGGCAGAGAGATGACTCAGCTCAGCTCACTTCTTTCTGTCTTTCATGCTTGAAATTGGTGATTTCCTTGGGGGCTGGGGATGGGAAGGCCATACACACATCCTAGTGGGCCCTAGCTACTGTCTTAACTTGTTATTATGGCATTTGTGCAGCTCTTTCTTGCAAAGAGAATTAATAGCATCATTTGGCTGGATAAAGTTTCTCCCCATGTGGCATTTAGCCCCTCACCCATCTCTTGGAGAAAGAAGCATATCTGTGTGAGACTCCGTCTCTTCCTCTTCTGAACACCATCAAGTAGCTATGTAACCCCTGGGGGCCCCTTGAGTGAGAACAGCCTGTAAAGGCCCTCCTGTGGTCTGCTCCTCCAAGTAGAGCCTGCAGTCAAAGCAGACCCTGCCACCTCTGCAGCAGAGGCTGGGCAGGGGCTTGATGGCATTCCCAGACTGCTACAGGGCAGGTTCCCGGCTTACAGCTGGAGTCCCTGCACACTAAGCAGAATATCTGTGATGGGCATTGTACCCCCAAAAAAGTATGTAGAGTGTGCTCTTAGCTCTAGAAATGCAGCTAAGATTTCCTTTGATCCTGGCATTATGTCCAGTGTTGCTATATAACCATACCTCATTTACTGAGGAACGAGGGAGCTGATTGAGTTTTCCAGATAACTGAAGCGTTATGTGTTACCCTTTAAACACTTAAATTTTGTTTAAGATTTTACTGTTTTCTAATGGTTGATAAGACTTTTCTTCTATGACTTTTTAATATACTTTCTTGCCTTCCTAAACAGAAAACAGTCATACCCCAGCTTATGTTTGGGAGTGGAGCAAAATTTCATTTAGAAATTTTTGCCTTTAATCTGGAATCCATAATAATAATATCCAACTTGTTTAAACAATTCGTATACACATTTGAATATGCCTTAAAAATTCCTACTAGGACACATAAGAAGTTGTGGATGGTTTTTAGTTTGCGGATGGAGATTAGGAGAGGACAGGAAAGGAGACTTTTATTTTTCAGTTTATACTCATCTATACCAAATGTTTTTTCCTTTACAGCAAACACATTTTATTTGTTTATATTATAAAAATAAAATTAAAACATTTACAATAATATAAGGAAAGAAAGAACATTAGAGTTAGGAGTTGGGTTCCCAGGCCAGCTCCCAAAAGCCCATCAACTCACGATATATCATGGCAATAGTAACAGTGACCATTAGACACCAGGCCCCTGTATAATCTGTTTCTATGGTAAACTTCCTCTTGAGCTCCAGAAATATTTCCACCTTGTCGTTTCCTCCCCATACGTCCCACCTCTAATAAATATGCTTCCCTAGAAACAGGGGCAGGGACTCCCTCTTGCTGTCTGCTGGGGCCATGGCAGCAGGAGGCCCACCTGCCACCTGGGATGAAAAGGAGAGCAATCTGGCATGCTCTAGCCCTCTATGTGGGAAGAAAATGAACATTTATTTATGTATGTATGTATTTTGAGACGAAATCTCACTCTGTCACCCAGGCTGGAGTGCAATGGCACAATCTCTGCTCACTGCAACCTCTGCCTCACGGGTTCAAGCGATTCTCCTGCTTCAGCCTCCTGAGTAGCTGGGATTACAGGCACCTGCCTCCACACCCAGCTAATTTTTGTATTTTTAGTAGAGATGGAGTTTCACCATGTTGGCCAGGCTGCTTTTGAACTCCTGACCTCAGGTGATCCACCTGCCTCTGCCTCCCAAAGTGTTGTGATTACAGGCATGAGCCACCATTCCCAGCCAGAAAATGAATATTTATTATGTACCTATGTGTGCTAGACACTGTGCCTGGTCTGTCTCATACCTTACCTATTTCGCTGCTCCTAACAATCCAGTGAGGTATGTATTATTGTTAGGAAACTGAAAATGCCTGCCACCCAATATTCACAGAGCTGAGATGCAAATCCGTAAACTTGTGCACTGTTTATTATAACTCAGTGACACTCCAGCAGAACCATTTCTTTATAAGAGACCTATAAAAGTCAAGTGTGGGTAGGCACTTTGGACATTGCCCTGAGATTCAATAAGGTCTGTCATGGAATCCCTTATTAGAAGGGCACTGATCATCTCTGTGTCTGCAGTGCCTTGCACAGCGCTGGAAGCATGGTAAATTCCCAATAAATGTTTGTTTAATTAATATGAAACATTATTGTTGGCTCTATTCTACTTCCTAAGATAGAAAATTGGAATCATTGACTTTAGAGAATTTTCAACAGCAAATACTGAAACAAGAGAAATGTTTTCTCATTAACCCTCAGTTGATTAGGAAATTCAAATAACTAAAATGTTGTAAGGATAGTTCCTAGTTTACAAGTCATCCATTTATATGAACAAATTGAAGGCAAGTCCATTGTGAGAACAGTTTGGCAGGCTCCAGAACCTAATCACCCTGTGGAGCACTGGCAACGCTCTTCATAGGGGTAAACCTGTTGCCAGCTCCAAGTAACCAGCCTTCAAGCCAACTCTTGGAATGCAAACTAAAAGTTGGAGACAACGAACATTCCTCTAATGTAAACATACTCTGTGGTTAATATCTTCTTTTAGTAACTCAAAATTGTTAAGGGATAAAAAGAGTCCATTTGTGTCAGCTGTAAAGGAGCATGGCATCCAATAATAACTAATGTTTATTTGACTTTTACAGTGTGACACTCTCTCTCCTAGGGGCTCCAAGTGCATTAGTTTATTGCACTCTCACCACATTGGTATGCTAGGTATGATTATTATCTCCATGTTTACACAAAGCTAAGGCTGAAAGAAATTAAGTTACTAGCTAGTATTGGAACAGGTATTAGAACCCAGGTCTGGCTGATCCCAAGGCCTTCTATAGGTCACCTCTCTTGAGACACAAATGTTATTTGCTTGATTCTATGGGAAACCAGAGGAGACTGATTCTGCAGACAGCCCATCTGAGCCCATCCACTCATAAGATCAGCAGGTCAAAACCTGCTGTTAGGATCTAGGACTGATAATTGGAATTGGCAATGGCAAAGCCATTCTTGACCTTGACAAGAGCTACTCTGGCAGAGTGAGGTAGAAACCTATTTAGGCTGCTTGTAAGAGCAAAATGGAGAATGGGTGCTATCAGTGTAGACAATTATTTTAATGAATTTTGTTGTAAAGGGGAGATGAGAATTGGAGTAATGGCTGGAGATACATAGAGTCAAGAAAGGATTTTTAAAAAGACAGGATCATAGTAGTATGTCTGTATACTGACAGGAGTGATCAAGGACAGAAGAAAATATTAATCCAGGTGGGAAGAGGGAAAAGCCACATAAATGGGATCTGATCCATACAGGAGGCCATAATGGCCTTAGATGATTCATCCATAGCAACAAGAGAGCGGGAGAGTAAATAAACAGGCAAATGCAGAGTGATTGCTGGGCTGCACTAGCTCCATTTGATTTTAGTGGACATGAATCGAAAATAAGACCAGAGAGCATAATTTTGTGCTTTTTTTTTTTTTTTTGAGACGGAGTCTTGCTCTGTCACCCAGGCTGGACTGCAATGGCGTGATCTCTGCTCACTGCAACCTCCACCTCCTGGTATCAAGCGATTCTCCTGCCTCAGCCTCCTGAGTAGCTGGGATTACAGACATGTGCCACCACACTTGGCTAATTTTTGTATTTTTACTAGAGATGGGTTTTCACCATGTTGGCCAGGCTGGTCTCAAATTCAGGACCTCAGGTGATCCACCCACCTCAGCCTCCCAGAGTGCTGGAAATATAGATGTGAGCCACCATGCCCAGCCAATTTTGTGCTTCTTCAATCATGTTTAGCTGGGTGTAGATGGAAAGAAGGTGGAGAGTTATATTTTACTAGGGTTGTGTTTTCACCAGGTAAATAGCATGGAAAGAGAGCAGAACATGGATTTGAAGGTGTAAGTAAGAGAGAAATAATAATGAAACTGGAAACTAAAGTCCATAAGGAAGGAAGGAGGGTCATGAGGAGAGTGAGGGGCAGAGAAAAGGTCATGGATAAGTAAATTATAGATGCTGGTGGGGTCAAGGACACATTGGATTAAAATAACAGAGGGGATAAGCTGGAAAGGTAGGAGAGTGGATTACTTCACCTTGATATTATGCATGGTGTCGCTATGACAGCAGGGGGCTGGTGTGGTTGGAGCAGGTCAAGAAAGGGATAAGATGCAGAAGAGTTGAGAGATCAGAGTGTGACTATGTAGATGGAGAAAAATAAGAATAATCACAGGAATGATACTGGGAAAAGTGACAGTGAATCAGATGCCATTATCTTCAAGAAATGAGGTAGAACAACCAGAGGATCCATAGATGGCTGAAATAAGTAGAGGAGGCAAGTAATGCAGCCTGTTATTTTCAAGGAAAGCCAGGTATGGGTCAGAGCACAACACTGAAAGAAACATTCAGAGAGGAGGCTGAGGATATATAGATTTTGCTAGCGATGAACCATGAGTTCCAGAGGACAAATGGGAGGATTCTAGGAGTTGGGAGGGGATGGAGTGATGAGTGCAAACCCTCACCCAAACATATTTAATTCCTGGATTTGGGAGCTCAGATTATAAGAAGCAGGAAAAAGAAGAGGTTGGAGAGATAGGCTCAGCAGCTCAAGAATGCTGCCTTGCTTGGGGAGGACAGCCCCACCCCTGCTTCCCTGGGCTCCCTAAGCAATGCTGGCCGAAGGGGCTTTCTGTCCTTCATGGTGATTTGTAAACCAAAAACTGACAGTGGAAAAGCCAGAGATGGCTGAGTGTTTACAGGATGAGAGCACATTGGCTCAGATCGGGGCCCTTAGGCTGCTGCAGCTGGTGCTCTGATCACTTTGAGACAATAGAAGGCCCCCAGGAGGCTGCCCAGACTGTTGACCCTCCAATAGTCCTCCAAGGATGGAGAAAGGACAACCATTTCCATACTTGTTCCTTCCTTCCCACTGACCCTGTTATGGGCCATCAGCTGCGGGGCTCTCTCTGGAGCACACCCCAAGTCCAGCACCCTCGCCCCCTTAATGCAGAGCAGTCACAGTCAGTCCTGGGGGCTGGGGGGAGATACATAACACATCTGTCCAAGTTATCAGGCTACTGACTCAGAGGGGGAGGTTCTCACAGTGTTACATTAATTATTTTAGAATTTACAGTTCTCAGAGCATAACCATTGCTTCTACATTCTGTATTTGAAAGCAGTCAATCTTTTATAGAGTAGAAGGAGCACTGCTCTTCTCTCCTCCCCCACTTCTCCCTCACATACCCCTACCATAATGATGTCACGCATAAATTAACAACTTCTCAGCCTCGGTTTCCCAACCTGTGCAATGCAGCTCATATTACTTTGCCCACTTGAGCCAGGTGATCTCTTGAAGAGTAGGAAATAATGTTGGACTGGAGTTGGAATTCTGGTTCCAAAAGGAGGGGATTGGGGGGCATTTGGGTCTCCTCCTACCTTTCTGCAAGCTCTGAAAATCGTCCATCTCCTCAGGAGAAGCCCACAGAACAAACGATTTCCCAAGCATCAGAGGAGGGCAGACATAACATAACAGAGCAGGGAATCGGGTTAGAACGGGTTATGCTCTGATTTTTTGGAAAATGGGCAAACGGGGCGGGGACTAGGGAGGATTCCGCCAGCCGGGAGTTGGGAGGCCGCGCGCGCCTCTGCGGAGCGTGACGGCCACGGTCGCCTAGCAACGAGCGGGGATGCGCGGGGCGCCTGGGTGGGCGAGGGGTGCTCGCCGCCGCCGCCGCGCGCCCTCGGGCCCCCGGGACCGCGGGAAAACTTCGCGGCTCCTCGGCGCTGGGGCGTCGGCGCCAGGCCCGGCAGACAGAGCAATGCGCCCCGCGGGCTGAGGGCAGAGGATGCGGCCGCGGCCCAGCGCCCGGCCGGGGGAGCCGCGGGGTGGCACGCGGGGAAAGTTGGCGCGCGCCTGACCGCGCCTGGAAGCCGCGCGGTGCCAGGGCCGAGTTGTCCCCCAAGTTTCTGCGGCGATTTGTCACTCCCTGGGGATCTGGCGGTCTGAATCCCGCGGGGCCTCCGGCTCAGGGATTCTGAGCGCTGGGAGAGAGAAGCCCGCGCTTTTCCCGGGGACCTGCGCTTGAGCTGGTGCTTGTGCGGGTTCGTCCTGAATGGTAGCGATTCGAGTTGTTTTCTGCTTTTCTTCTCCCCCAGACAGTGAGTTTGTGGAAGCCTCGCCCGCATCCTACAGCCCAGACGAGTTAGGTAAGTCTGCTCATTTTGTCTTTTATTTCTTGGTCGCAATTCTGCCCGAGAACTGCGAGTTTGGGGGGCGTCCATAGGAACTCAGCTAGGGATGGGGCTGGGGTTGGAGGGCGGAGGGAAAGGGTCAGGGGACACCTGCTGCCTTCGCGGCCGGAACCGGCCTTTCCTCGGCGCTGTGCTTTCGGGGGTGGCAGGGCAAGTGTCCAATGAGCCGTGCGTGTGTGTGTGTGTGCGTGCGTGTGCGTGTGTGTGTGTGTGAGTGCGTGTGTGTGCGTGTTCGTCTGGGGCAGTGGTGCTGCTCCGAGGAGCCTGGCACAGCAAACTTCCAGAGCTGGGGCTTCTGAAACCTGCGCTCATCTTGCCGGGAGGACACAGCGGCGACTGGTTCTGACTTGCCAAGTACCTGGCACGAGAAGGACGTCGTGTGGGTCGTCCTTACCCTGAATTTAATGAAGTCAGGGGCTGAAAACGGCGGTGTAATCATTAAACTGTAAGACCTAGGAGCTGCTTCCCTCCCTGATTTCTATTCCTCAGTTAGCCTGTAGGTGTCTCGAGATAGGACATTCCATCCTCATGCCTGTCATGGTAAGTGGAGATTTGCGATGGGTGAACCGGGACACTCTTGTCAAGAGACAGGCTGAAGAGAGAGTGAAGAGAAGGAAATGCGAATGGGCAGGATCTCTCTAACTCTTCCTGCCACCCATTCTCACTCGGTGGCTTAGTGGCTCTCTTTTTTTTTTCTTCTGCTTTCAAGGTTAGTTTAGCTGCTACTGGTCTGGGCTATCAAGTCTCTCCTTACTGTTCTTTCATCACTAGCCTGAATATCTTGCCTTCCTAAGATGAAATGAAAGGATTTATTTTATGATATATGTTGACAGTAAAGGAGGAGGGGAACTGTCCACAAACAGCGGTTTAAATATGTTTATCCTCAGTAACACACTCAGCTGTGGCACCCTGTCCCTGGTCAGCTTCTTGTGCTGGGAAGAATGTCCTCATCAAGTCCCACAGGACCTGAAGCAAAATTCCACCTCAACAACGACTTTCATTCATTTCTAGGAGCCAAGCGCCCAAAATAGATCTGGATCAAGGTTGGCATTCTGTGGCTGGGAGGAGTACCATGTTTTATTCAGAGGATGTGTTTCTGACAAGTTGCGAGGCAATCACATCTCTATCAGTGGAATTGTAGACTAAATGCATGAGCAAAACTAGCTTTTAAGACATACTGTGGTGAATCATTTTATGAAATGAAAGTGACATCTAAACCATAGCTTTTCATGATGTGATTTATTAAGAGGACAGGTACTCGATGATCTGCTCCACGCATGTATAATTGTATGTTAATGACACCAGCATTGACACTCCACAGTGCGACGAAGCCATTTGGTCCTCTTAAATTGTACATAAACATAAGCAATGGTAGGATGAGCATTGCTTGCTCTGGGAAATCAGACTGTATAACTACTAAATTGTTTGCCTTCACAGAATGATTTGTGCTTCAGGAAGGCCCAGGTATTTGACCCTTTTTCATCTCCATATCTCCCTCTGGGACTTACAGACTGGACTGCCCCCATGAGGCACTGATAAATATGAGTATCCTTTCAAATTAGCAGTAGAAAATAAAAAACAATGTTTTTTTCTCTTCAGCTCCCCTATGGTAAAAGCCCAGTTTCTCATGAGGAGATTAGAGTGTGTGTCTTAGTCCATTTGTGTTGTTATATCAAAAACAGATTGGGTAGTTTGTAAACAGCAGAAATTTATTTCTCACAAGTTCTGGAGGCTGGGAATTCTAAGATCAAGAAACTGGCAGGTTCAGTGTCTGGTGAGGGCCTGCTTCCTGGTTCATAGATGTCTATCTTCTCACTGTGTCCTCAACATGGCAGAAAAGGGCCAGGGAGCTCTTGCGGTCTCTTTTCTAAGTGCCCTAATCCCTCTGGTGAGAGCTCCACCCTTATGACCTAATCACTTCCCAAAGGCCTCACCTCCAAATACCATCACATTGAGGATTAGGTTTCAATACATGAATTTTGAGGGGATATAAATATTCAGTCTATAGCAGCGTGATGGGAACCATGGGGTTCCCTTCTGGGATCTGGGCTTGCAGGGTGATAGAGAAAATAAAACAGAAGCCTGAGAGTTTGAGATCAAGGTTCTAGCTTTCACCCTGCTCCAGCTTCTTTAATAGACATGTTAACTAGCCTCAGTTTCCTTATCTGCAAAAAGCGGGGGTTGTGCCCGGGGATCCCTAAGGCGTCTTCCAGTTCTATTTTCACCTCTTAAAGTGCTGTGAGGGGCTGTAAGCCAAAGGAGGCCTATAGCCATTGGGTATTCATTGTTTATATTCATGTGCTGTGCTGTTTGGGTACTTGGTGTCCCCAAGGGTTATTCTCTCCATGACAGGGCAGCTCTCTGGATCAGACTGCCTTGTTTTCATGCTATTCAGGTCAAAGACGGAGCTGTCATTTCTCCCTTGGAAAGAGTCATGGTGGTTTTTTGGTGCTTTTCTTAGACACACAGCAGGAAAAATGCCTTTTACAGCAGTTGATGAGCTTGTCAAGCAGCCATTCTTTCGGGAGCACAGATGAGCACAGGTTCACTCCTGGCCGGAATATAAGAAGAAGCAGAGCAAAGTTAAAAGAAAATTATTTCTCTACTCACAATACTTCTTTTTTTTTTTTTTTTTTTTTTTTTGTGACGGTGTCTCGCTCTGTCGCCCAGATGGGAGTGCAATGGCATGATCTCGGCTTACTGCAACCTCTGTCTCCTGGGTTCAACCTATTCTCCTGCCTCAGCCTCCCAACTAGCTGGGATTACAGGTGCCCGCCACCATGCCCAGCTAATTTTTGGAAATTTAGTAGAGACAGGGTTTTGCCATGTTAGCCAGGCTGGTCTCGAACTCCTGACCTCTGGTGATCTGCCCTCTTCTGTCGGCCTCCCAAAGTGCTAGGATTACAGGCGTGAGCCACTGTGCCTGGCCTGTACTCACAATACTTCTGACACCCAATGTGTGGGTTTTCCACACCAAGTAATTCTTAAATATTTTGCAGCCACCAACCAGATGTCCTAGAATTTAATTAAATTTTACCACTACCCAGAGTTAGCACAGGCCCTATAGGTTAAGAGCTCAGTCCTGCAAGACTATCTACCACTTCAGATATCAACGGCAAGTGGTGGGTCCACATATTACCCACACTTATGTCTAACTTGGCTACAAATCAGGGCTTCCTACAACCTTCTTTTGGTTTCTATAATTTACTTTAATAGCTTAGAGAACTCAGGGAAGCACTATGCTTATGTTTACCAGGTTATTTTAAAGGATATAAATGAACAGCTGGATGAGGAGATGCAAAAGGTGAAGTCTGGAAGGGTCCAAAGCACAGGAGCTTCTGTCCTTTTAGAGTTGGGGTGCACCACCCTCCTGGCACATGGATAGGTTCACTAAGTCAGAAACTCTCCATACCTCCTCATTTAGGGTTTTTATGGATGTTCCATTAGGCATGATTGATTGAATCATTGGCCATGGGTGATTAACTCAATCCCCAGTCCCTTTCCCCTCCCCAGAGGTCAGGTATGTGTGTGGCAGGGTGGAGGGGTAGTAGGTGGGGAAGTGGGGAGAATAGGTCGGTGGGCTGGAAATTCCAACTTTTTTTTTCCTCAATGTAATTTTTGTTAATGTATATCTGTAAGCACTATTTATTTCTGCACCTACAATGGTTCCTGGATTCTAAACAGTCATGGAGTTTAAATTTGTAACATTGGTTTAATAACAACTTTTCAGAGAGCAAAAGATGAAATTTTTCACTCCATGAAATATCCCATATTCTATGAGTCAGCACATGTAAAGCACACATAACAGAACCTGGTACAAAGTAAGTGCAAGATGAATGTTAGCTATTATATCTATGATATTAAAATGTGAAAAGATGACACCTTAGCATTGAAGAAATATGGTTTTTTAAATTTTTAAATCAATATTATAAAGTTACTTTTAGTGTTGATTTGTTGAAATTTATTATCTTTATCCCAGGGAATGCCTTCCTTGGCTCTTGATCTTTATTTTCCTTGACCTGCTAACAAACTTTTTTTTTTATACTTTAAGTTCTAGGGTACATGTGCACAACATGCAGGTTTGTTACATAGGTATACATGTACCATGTTGGTTTGCTGCACCCATTAACTCGTCATTTACATTATGACACAATGCTATCCCTCCCCCATCCCCCATACATTATGACATTATGACATAATGCTATCCCTCCCCCATCCCCCCACCCCACGACAGGACCCAGTGTGTGATGTTCCCCACTCTGTGTCCAAGTGTTCTAATTGAATTCCAACCTTTTAATAATATGGTTGGTTCTTCCCACAACCAGCCCCCAACCTGAAGCTAAGGACTTTCAGCCACCAGTTATCTCATTAGCATAAACTCAGGTATGGTTAAAAGGTATTTATTATGAATAAAAAAAAGATGCTCCTATCACCTCTATCACTCAGGAAATTTCAAGGGTTTTAGGAGCTCTGTGCTGAGAACCAGGGATGAAAACCAAATATATGTATATTTTTTATTATGTTGTGTCATCACAGAAGTCCTAAAAATTTAGTTTGAATTCTCTTGCAGTTTCTTGTGACCTTGGGCAGGTGATTAAGCTGCTTTAAGCCTCAGTTATTTAATCAACTCAACTGGGACCTTGCGTGGATATGGTAAATGGTGTATGTAAAGTCCATGTATTGAATGTGCTTGGAATTCAGGAAGTGCTTTTATTTTATTGTTTTATTATTATTATTCATTTAAAACATACTTATTTCCCAAGATTGAAGGATAAAATAGCTTTTACCAGTTATCCCACCTACTAATCAAGCGGTTTTTATTTCTGGAAGCTTCTCTACAACTTACCTAGTCTCCAAAAGGAGGTAGTCAGGAATGGTGATTAGGTCAGTGGAATTATTTAGTGATTCGTCCCTGGAGCCACATGTGGAATGGTTTTCCATCTGAGGTTTTGGTGATAGTTCCACTACTTTTTTGCCTCATGATTGATAGTCCATTCCACCTTTGAATTTTTATATCAGTCTGCAAATGAATAACTATTGGCTCCTTGGGGGATTGATTCTCAGTGTTGCAGCAAGATCATATAATAAAATTAAGTCACCAAAAAGGGGATTTTTTAAAAGGCAGTAGAGAAAGGGGTGTGTCTCTGGATGAATGCTGTATTGAAGTGTCATGATGGAGTGTCAAGAAATATGCTTTCTTTCTTGAGATGGTGGTACCATTTTCTGAGGAGGCAAAGCCCACACCTTTCCATAGCCTTTCGGTAGTTCCATGCATAGCTAGAAGTTACGGTCATCTGAGAGGGTTAGAAAGGATGTGTGGAGAGTTGGATGAACCCAGATGTGACCATGTCTGCCCTGTGAATAACCTTGACTGACTCTCCTCTACCTGGAGGATAGATATTTGGTTTGACATAGGAGGAACGCCATAACCTGCATCACTCATACCCACTATGACATTCTAGTTGTATGGAACTATGGGGCAATCCTCTACATTCAGCTTGGTTTCCTCCACCTGGATGCCCCTCTTCCCCCTTCTCCCTTTCTCCCCTGGCTTGCTCCTATCTAGCCTTCAACCCTAATCCCATGTGTCATGTCCTCCTGGTGGTTTTCCATTTTGGCTGCACATTAGAATCAGGAGGAGCTTTTATAAGTCCTGAGACCAGTTCCCAATCCTGAATGATTACATCCACATCTCTGGCATGTGGACCCAAGCATCAATGTTATTGTGTTTTTTTGTTTGTTTGCTTGGGTTTAATCACATCTCAAGTGATTTCAATGTGCAGCTAAGATTGTGAACAACTGCGCTACACTGTGGCCACCTTATTCTTCTTTGTAAATCTAGCAGCCAGCACAGTGCCCAGCACAAGTTAATCTTCAGTAAATATTTGTTGAATGACGGAGTGAGGGTGTGACCCGTGAGACACTTTATCTTTTCAGTTGTATATCTCTAAGACTGGCCTTTCTGCTTGTTGTAACAGTGCCTTGAGGACTGGATCCTTTCTTCTGTGACCTCTATCTCCTATGTTTATTCCTGGGGCTTATCCAGCTTATTTTTTATCTTTCTTAAAACTTGAAGTTTTGAAAGTCCAATTTTTAAACTTTAGTTTTTTAGTATAAAAGCAGTATGTGCTTATTTTAGAAAATCTGGACTTTAGAAAGAATAGGTGGGGGAGCTCACTCTCACCACCCACAAGCAAACTGGTTCCTTGTTTTCTTAACCTTTCATAATTTGTTGCCCTTTGGGGTTGCTTGACCCTCTGGCATGCCTCAAGGAGCTCAGTTGGTGCTGTCTCTGCTCAGACCTGGTGAACTGGCCTATGAGTGCCAGGAGAGGAGTGTGTCATGAGAATAGCATTCTTGGGAGCCACCAGGGCTAACTCCCCTGAGGGCCAATATGCAAGGAGAAAGTGTTTTCTTGTGCTATTCTGGCCTTCCTCATTCAGGCAGGATGTATGCTGGGTCTTATTAGGACAAATTATGACATTTGTATAACTTCTTTAAAATAATAACTTAAATATTTCCCAGTCTCCTCCTACCCCCTTGTCCTCCAAAAATATGGGATGAGATTGCAGCTCTGGATCACAGTGTTTATGCCTTAGTCAGGATAGGCTAAACCCCAGTGTCAGTGGCTTAACACAAGGAAGACTGCGTTTCGTGCTTGTGCAATGGTCAAATGTAGAGTTGTCAGAGGGCTGTGCTTCATGTGTCATTAAGGACCCTGGCTTCTTCCGTTTCCTGGCTTTACCATCTTCTAGGGGCTCAGATTCTTTCAGTGATGTTTGCATCCATTTGTCAGGTAAGTGAATCAGGTGAGCAAGAATGTTCACCCTTGATTGCCTCAGCCTGGAGGCAAAATACTCACTTCTCCTCATTTTCCAAGGGTAAGAACTAGTCTTACAGCCTCACCCAGATGGAATGGGGTGGGGTGGAAAAATGTAGTCTAGTTATATGCCAGGAAAAAGAGGAGAAGACACACATTGGTGATCACTAGCTGACTATACCAGTCGTATTTCTCTTATTGCTCAAACCATTATGACTGAGCCTCATTTGGGCCATGTGGGTGCTTGGTCTTGGTATTATTTAGGATATAGGTTGGGCTGCTATAACAAAGGCCAAAATGACAGTTACTTAAACAATATGTAAGTTTATTTCTTTTTAACTTAGAGCATGAACAGTCCAGTGCTGATCTGGTGGCTTCAGGGTGCACTATATCCTCAAAAGTAATTTCCATGCAGTGGTTCAAGGTGACTGTTTCAGCTTCTACTATCACATCCGCATTCTAGTCCATAGACGAGGGAGAAGGAAAGTGGTGGGCACAACCTGAAAGCTGCACACATCTAATGGTGTTCACTTATATTCCATTGGCCTGAACTTTAGTCACGTGGCTACCCGCAGTTCCAGGAAGACTGGGAAAACTGGGTGGGGATAGGATGGAGTCTATTATCAGAGAATAGCTGGGTAGGGTACAGGGAGAAAGAGATGCTGGATGACTAGCAATCTTCCTAACAAGTTATAGGAAGCACATCTTAGTGGTTAAGAGCATGGGTATCAAGCCATACTGAGTGATGAATTTTAGCTCCACCTCTTACTTGCTTTATGACCATAGACAAGTTACTTAATCTGTATCTTCTTTTCCTAAACTTTAAAATCATGTACTATTTTCTGATGCTTTTCCAGACCCACTTACCATCCTTTATCACTCTTCTCTGTGCTCTGAAACACTTACCTTTTGGAATGCATCACCTGGATTCCTGTTGTATTTGACCAATAAGAAGCACTGGCAGGATACAGGAGGGTGGTAAGAAAGAGAACTCAGTGTACCTACTTCCTTCCCATCAAGCTGTGGGACAATATGGCTGTGTGATTCTGCTGCACATAACTATAGAATGGCCTTCTCTTATAGCATCTTGTCTTGCTGGATTCTGATAACTTCCTCTTCCAGCTTATGGGTTGCATTAGGGTTCTCCAGAGAGACAGAACAAATAGGATATATATAGGTATAGTTGGATGAGAGGGAATTTATTAGGGGAATCTGCTCTTGTGATTATGGAGGGTGAGAAGTCCCGTGACAGGCTGTCTGCAAGCTGGGGAACCATGGAAGCCATGGTGAGCCTCAGTCCAAGTCTGAAATCCTCAGAACCATGGAACATGATGATGTAACTCTCAGCCCAAGGCCAAAGGCCTGAGAACCTGGGTAACCACTGGTGCGAGTACTGGAGTTCAAAACCCAAACAACCTGGAGTTCTGATGTCCAAGGGCAGAAGAAGAGCGTCCCAGCTCTTGAAGAGACAGCAAGGATTTGCCTTTCCTCAGCCCTTTTGGTTCCATCCAGGCCCCCGGCCAATTGGATGGTGCCTATCCACATTGAAGGCAGATCTTCCCCACTCAGTCTACCTACTCAAATGCCAGCCTCTTCTGGAAACACCCTCACAGACACACCCAGAAATAATGCATTGTCATCTCTCTAGGTATCCCTGAATTCAGTCATGTCGACACCTAAAACTAACCATCACAGGGATGGTAGCAGCTCCTCATAGTGACTAGCCCCAGGGTGCTTCATCATCATTTGCTGTTTTCCTTTAACCCTTTTGTAAATAGTTGCTTCATTAGACTGTCTTCAGTCACTCCTTTTGCACATACCATCTATTTCCTGATAGGACGCTGACTGATACAATGGGGATAATAATAGTACTGACCGCAGCCCATGGTGGTGAGGATTAAATGCATTATGTGAGAAATGCCTGATTGTAGTAACCACCATTAAATGTCTTTCTGTCTGATACCTCCAAGTATGGTCAAAGCTTTCTGAAAGATTTGGCATATAAGTTAAATAATACTGTCACTTATCTCCTCTTCCCTATCCTGTTTCAGAAGGATGGGTTGAGATTCAAGACTTTTGAACAAATCTGTTCTAAGACAAATGTAAAGTTTCCTCCCTCTCATTTTTATGGGGATGAAAAAGGAGACAGGAACCAGGCTAGATTCACCTACTGTGTCAGGCACTTTGTACTTTATACATATAACCATTGTACTCAGCTTATGGCTTGGGTCATGTTACCCACAGTGGTACCCCCAAATATAACAATTTCCAAGCATTTGCCTGCCCATCTTACTAAGAAATGGAGTCTTTTTAAAGGCCACCCTGCAGTTTTATGGTCCAGGAATCCTTAGGTGGTGCTTATTTGCATGCACAGAGTCAGTTCTGGCTGCTCTAGTGTCTTGTCAGGGGAGCTGGGATTCAGAAACACCATATTGAGACCCGTGAACACCGTGATAATTGCTCCATGCCCTCTCTTCTCCACTTGACACTGGCTGTTGCTGCTGCTGCCCCTACTCACACCAGAACTTGGAGGCTTGGCCTTTGCTTACTTGAGAGCCTGACTGGTTTCCCAGGGTCCTACTCTCTCCTGGCTGCAGGGATGAGAATGCTACTCTCCTGTGCACTCTCTGAGTGGGCCCAGGTCCTCCTGATTGCGACACAAGCCTACACCTGTCCTAGGTTTTGGGATTGGGTGGGCTACGTGTGCGTAGCCTTGAGCTGGCCTCCAACTGACAGGGGCGTCCCTATCCCCTGCCTTGCTCCCGTGATGTACCCTAGATCTCTCCACCCTTTAGAAGCCTATGTATCCTGCCATCCTCCTCCTCAAGCCCTGAACACAGCTTCTGAGAGCTAACTTTTTCTCAGGATGATTGACAGTGGAAAATTCAATTCCCTTCACAGGAAACCTCACCCTACCACGGGGGTGTGGTTTGGCCTCCTATTCCAACAAAACAATCACAAAATAGTTCAGCGTTGTTACACTTCCCCAAATCTGAGTAACTCAGTCTTTTCCATGATTAATCTTGTTGGGCACATTAGTTTATTTCATTCTCAGAACAACTTAGTGAAGCAGATGAAATTATTTTCATTTTCTAAAGGAGGAAACAGAGGCTCAGAGAGGTTAAAGGATCTGCCCAGAGTCGTTTGGCTAGAGGCAAAGATTAGATTCAACATCTAATCTCTGGCTCCAGAGCCAGTTTCGGTTTTCTAGGAAGGAGAATGTACAAGTTGGTCTCCTCCTAGGGAGACTGTATTGGGAATTGAATAAATATGTTAAAGTATCCAGCACAGGGACAGGCAGTACAATACATGGATATTCAGTACGTATTTCTTGAACAAAAGATGACTGGTAGGCACTCAAAACTATATATATATATTTTTTTTATTTTTTAGACCACCAAATAATGATCAATATTATCTGAATATTGATCTGAAACAACAACCATAAAAACTCCTCTTTGCTTCCTTCATTTATTTCCTGCCCTTTCTGCCCTTTCCATCCATTCATTCCTATGTATTGCAGCAGAGTCCCTGGGACACGAAATCTCCCCTGGTTTCCCAATAGTGCTGATACTATTTCTAAAAGAAACGAAACCTTTGCAGCAGCACAATTTGGGGCGAGGCGGTAGAAGCCTAAGGAGAATACAAAAGGACGATTCAGGGCAGGTGGACTCAAACTTGAATGTAAAATTGATCACCACTCCCCTAATATTGGTTTGCAAAGTGATATTACACATTGCTCAGGAAGTGAGTTTTATTTCAGGGTATTCTAGTTGGGAGAGAGAATGGAGTAGGAAGGGGGAAAATGACAATAAATTCTGAAGATAAATGGTTATCTGCTTTGGCTAAAAAAAAAAAAAAGATCAAGGAAAGAGATCTGGAGTAATGGGATAAAACATATATATGCTCACATGCATTCACACAGCACACACACACACACACACACACGTGCACACACGCACACACACACATAGGAAAATGGGAAGGGCATTTTCCCTGCCAAAAAGATGTTTCTACTAGAAATAAATGGAAGAGTGGCCATTCATTCCTGAAAATTAAACACAAGCGTGACTCCCCAGAAACGATATTTCATCAGTTGTTAAGCACTAAGGGAGTCTAAAGAGTGTATAAATTACTAGTGTGATTTGTTCAAGGATACTATGATTATGGTTTCTGGGGCACATTCTTGCCGGATGATCATTGTGGAATTTATCCTGTTTGTTTTTTATTACTCTCACACTCCTCAAATCAGTTTTGCCCAGTGTGGACACATTAAATTAATTTGATATTCATGGTTTGCTCTCTCTCTCCTGCTCACCCCCTCTCCTTTCCAGTTTCTCTCCTTTTCTCACTCTCTTCTTTCCCTCCTCCATTTCTGTCTCTGTTTTCCTAAGTCAGTTGCACCCTCCTCAGCCCCCACTCACCTCCTCTTGCTCCCTCCTCCTTTTTCCATCTTATATTGGAATATGGACAGAAAAGGCAGTGCTTGCCTTCCTAGGGCTCTCTGCCAGAAAATGGAATAGGTCAGATTATAAAAGGGGATAAAAAAAGAATGTTCCTTGGCAAAATGGGGAAAACATGTTCAGGGATGGTTTGCTGTCTCTTGCTGCCTGCTGCCTGCGGAAATACACTCCTTACAGGACCCCTGCTTATGAACATTTATCCCCATGGCACATATGTGTGGTTATGTTAATGTCAAATATGTATAAACATTTATTTCTGCTTAATTCTCTTCCCCCTGTGACCTTTGTACCCCCAAATCTAGAGTGGACAAGATTACTGATCACCTGATGGTAAGACTTATTAACCTTTTCTCAGGGATTTTTTAAAAGATTACTGGGAAGAGTGGACACTGAGACTGCTTTCAGGTTGCTGTCTAACAGTCAATAGCTTTTGGAAACTTTAGGTTCTTAAGAAAACACAGAAGGGACATGTGGGTACAAAACCTGGTCTGGAATGAATCCTGTGGAAAATACAGGGTTTGGGGCCGGTGGGGTGGGGTACAATAGTCTACTGCTGGGATCTGTAAACCTGCCAGGGCTCCTTTGTCTGTCTCCCAAGGGTTTGCTGTTTACTGTCTGTTGACCATGAATAAATGTCCATTATTGTTGCTCTTGTGGTTGGTCAGCCAGAGAGTTAGACTTTAGGCTCCTTTTATAAAAATATTTACCTGCTAGCTCTAAAAGTCATTTTCCCTCAAATTCAAACGGCAACTCCAGACTGAGTATTTGCTGTGAACTAAGGAGTGTGGCAGGCAGTTTTATGTCGCTGTCTGGCTGTGGTGGGGGTTAACTTCAGGTGAACACCGGCTACCTCCCCCTCCACTGGTTCCCCTCCCATCTTGTAGGCGGGTGATTAGGATCAAAAGAATTAGCACATTTAAATCATTTAGAATAGTGCCTGAAAATGACTAGCATCTAATAAATATTATTCTCATCCTACTGCTTTCCTGCTTTTTTTTTTTTTTTTTTTCCTGTCTTCCCCTCCTTGCCTTGTCACTCTCAAGTATGGCTTCTTACCCTGAAGTCCATTTTGTTTCTACTCTCTTAATTCATTTGCTGACATTGAAAAAAGATAGAAAAAGAAAATAAATTACAAATAGCTTTATTAAATGCATTATAATAAAAAGAGCTAATATTTATTGAGTGCTTTTCATGTGTTAGATTATAACATTATGTCAGTCATCTTAAAACAATCCTGTAAGACAGGTACTATTACTTCCCTCATCTTTCAGATGGAGAACTGAAGCTAAGACAAGTTAAATAACTTGCCAAATCATACCTGGTAAGTGGTAGGGCCAGGGCTTAAACCCAGCCCTGTTCTTCTCTATTGCTAGGATTCCTAACCACCATCTTCAGTTCCAGAGCAAGTCACTAGAACCCAAACTCCTGATTCTCAATAACAGATTCTTGGCAGAACCCTAATTTGTGACTAGGTATGTTTAACTACAAAACCTTAGCTTGACTCACTCACAATACTGCCTACAACTTGCCACACACTGCAAGCTAGGCTCAGGCATGTGAAGGTGAGTGAGACACAGTCCTTCCCTCAAAGAACTGGTAACTTAATTGGGAAGAAAGATCTATTAACAGGAACATTTACAACGTGGAGTTCTAGCTCCTTCAGGCCAGTGGGCACTGATGGGCTGCATGACCTTGGGCAAGTGATCTAACCCCTGTGGACTTCAGTTTCCTCATCTGTGATATGGGAAGGCAAATATCTACTTCATAGGGTTATTGGAAGGGGTTAAGTGAGATAATATATGTAGAGTGCCCAGCACATATTTGGCACTCTATGAGCAATTTCAATTATTGTTGTTATTATATGGTGACTGCAAGGGGGACATGGGACCCCAGAGAAGAGGAACCCGACTCAGTCATGGAGGTCAAGGAGAGGCCAGGCTGGCTTTCCAGATGAGATCCATCCATCACAGTGTGACCCGAACGGCATCATGTATGCCTCAGAACAGCTGGCGGCAGCCATTGTGAGCTCTTCCTCTGGGGTCCCTGTGACCAAATGCTGAATAATAAAGTGCAGAAGAATGAAGCTGAATCTTCTCTCCCATACAAACCCAGATTTAGCATGGGAACGCTCCGAAGTGGGACTGTAACCTTGTTATCTCCTTCCTCAAATGCTGTCCACACCCTCATGCCTCACAGTGTCTGTTTTGCTTACTCTTAAGAGGTCCTTAAATTTGGCTCAGTAGTATTCAGTGGGACAAAGCTGTTACACCATGCTCACTTGCATTTCACTCCTTTTTCCATCCTTATCAGTATTGCTTTTTACTACTATCAGCTTCTTATAGCTGACATTCCACACTGTTTACCAAATGAGAGACTAAGGGCTCCACTAAAGGAATTTTAGGGATATAACCTAGTGTAGGTAGGTTGGTATTTGCCAGACTTAGGAAATAAAACACAGGAGACCCAGTCAAATTTGAATTTCAGATAAACAGTGAATATTTTTTTTAGTATAAGTATGTCCACTACAATATTTTGGACACATAATACTAAAATATTTTGTTGTTTATCTTCAGATAAACAGATAATTTGAATTCAGATCCAACTGGTGTTTCATCTGGCAGCCCTAGGTGTGGGAGCAACATCTGGGGATGCTCTGCTCTTTGCATTGGATTTTGGCTTGCTCTTAGTAGGTGTGATAAATGGTGACTCAGTTCCATGTCACCAGGTATTCAGTTGCCACTTGACTCCATTTAGGTGCTTACATCGATGAGACTTGATTGCTGCTATGCATATTATTTTATCACCTCAGTTAGAAAATGGATGCTTGAAATTAACCCTTCCTACAGTAGAAATCCTGAACAACTTCAGGGATTTGATGCGTGCTTCACTGTGCTCAATATATAAACACAGAAGACTGCCTACTCCTGGACTGGTTATATGGCTTCTGGGGTCTGAATGTTAAGGTTTTGATTTTCTTCCATTCTTTCTTTTAGCAGAAGCTCATGTCTGATCGACTCCATTTTGGAGAGTCAGAGCATCTTAGTGTCCTCATAGGAGGGAATACCCAATGCCGTCCTCCTTAATGCACCATCACTCAGCCTCTGCTAGAACATCTTCTGAGCAGGTGTTGTATGAGTGGGGGAGGAGCTCCTGCTTCCTGAGAAAACCTGGTCTATTGTTACACAGTGATCATTATTATAACGATTTCTTTATAGAGAGCTGAAACCTGACTTACTGTTTCTTACACACAGTTGTCCATGTTTTGCCTTCTAGAGCTTTCCAACATTTATTTTACTGAAATGGGAGGAGTTCCCATATCCCCGTCACAGGGCCTGCGACAGGGGCGTGGCTCGCTTCTTCAGTGCCTCGCTGCTCAAACTCCTAGAGGCCGCATGCAGACAGGCAGGTTGTGGGGAGCGTTTTTGGGCTCCAAGCCCACGGCAGCATCTAGGGTTGACTGTTTACAGCTCCCGAAGCCCCAGTGGGTGTGTGTTACAGTGTGCTCTTTCAGTTTTGCTGTCTGCAGGCCGCTTGTGTTCATCAGCTCAGTTAGACCCTCTGCCTTATCCCAAGGACAGAGGGCTTTCTGTATCCTGAGTTCTTGCCCTATTGTACCAGAAAAATTGGATCACACGTGGGCTTGGAGGATGGGTGCAAGGTTTTATTGAGTGGTGGAGGTAGCTCTGAATGAGGTGGACGGGAAACCAGAAAGGGGATGGAGTTGGAATGTGACCTTCCGCTGGAGTCAGGCTGCTCAGCAGCCAGACTCTCCTCTGACTGCCCCCAACCAAATTCCGCTGTCGATGGCCTGCAGTGTTGGATGGTGTCTGGTGGTGTGCTCTTCTGCTCCTCTCAACGTCCAGCCGCTTGTGTCTGTGCCCGCTAGGGTCTCGGGTTTTTATGGGCACAGGATGGGGGGCGTGGCAGGCCAAAAGCAGCTTTTTGGGTGCAAAAACAGAAATGCCTGTCCTCATTTAGGTTTGTGGGCACAGGCCCGAGGATGGAGCCCTTGCCAGGGACCCCGCCCTTCTCTACCCAGCACTTCCCTGCCCTCCTCCTGTATCATTATTATGACCCAACATAAGGATATATTTTATGTTTAGACCCACAAACACAAATACAAATATAAATATAATTAAACAGAATTTCATGGAATAGCTATTACTCTTATTCGGCTGCATCTGGTATTTCCTATTATATTCTATTTCATTTATTTAAAATGCGGGTCAGGACCCCGTTAAACTGATTTCATGACCCACAATTGGGTGACCAACTACTGTTTGAAAAACATTATTGCTATATAGTGTTACAGAGCAAATACAGAATAAGTCTATTCCTCATTTCTTTCTAAAAGATTTTGAAATATTTGAAGGTTGTCATTATTATTATGTCTTAATCTTCTCTTTTCTACACTAGATATGGCCGAGTTTCCCCATCCACTCCCATCCTGCTCAACACCTTCTGAGTGCTTTCTAGCTGAGAAACATTTCACTTAAAATTTGGCACTGAGACATGAGCACATCACCTCACATATAACTTGGCCAATACGTGGCATTGTGGGACCATTAGACCTCTTGATTTCAACTCCCCTGCCTGAGTTTATATCAATCAGTTAATTAATATTCATTTGGGTATAGTTATAATTACTAATTTACCTAAAATACCTAACCTAGCCCATTTTTTTTTTTCTGTTTTGTCTATTTTGGTATCTTGAAATATTTTTCCTATTTGTTGGGGTGGGGGGATGGGGAGCTCAAATCAAGATGATAATTATTCATGTTTCCTGGATCTGCCCAAAACTCAGGAAATATAAACAAAAAGAAACTATGTGTCTAGCACAGTCTAGCACAGCAATAATTAAAACTCCACGAAAATGACCATATTTGGTAAGAAAATGGCTAACAGGTTAATAATAGTTAATATTTCTAGAACACCTGCTGCAAGTTAAGCACTGGACTAAGAGCTTTACATGTAATTTACTCATGAATTTCTCACAGTCCTGTGAGGTGGATACTATTGTAACCACCGCTTATGAAATGAGGAAAAACGGCTTTACAGAAGTTAAGTCGTTCAGCCAATATCATAGGACTACTAAGTGGCAGAGGAGGGGTGATTCCAGGCCCATCTGGCTGCTAAGTCTGTGTTTTAAAATCTGTAACTGCTTCCCACAGAGAGGAAACCACCTCTGGTGGTTTAAAAAGAGAGAGTGCCTGTAACATGCTGAGAATAATGCTTACATGGAGGCTTAATAAATAGATCTTACTGTCTCCTATAAGAAAAGGGAACAGCTTAGTAGCAAATTCAGGCCACTAAGAGTCCCCAGGAGTCTGTGAAAACTGTCTAGATTCATCACTAACCACAATGGGGCAGGCCTCAGAGTGCTTTCCAGTCGGGAAGTAAGGTCTGGAGTCAAGAAACATCTTTCTTGTACCCATGAGATGGGAGGCAACATAAAATAGTAGTTAAGAGCAAGAGCTTCTCACACCTGTAATCCCAGCACTTTGGTAGGCTGAGGCAGATGGATCACCTGAGGTCAGGAGTTCAAGACCAGCCTGACCAACATGGTGAAACCCCGTCTCTACCAAAAATACAAAAATTAGCTGAGCATGGTGGCGCATGCCTGCAATCCCAGCTACTTGGAAGGATAAGACAGGAGAATAACTTGAACCAGGGAGGCAGAAGTTGCAGTGAGCCAAGACTGTGCCATTGCACTCCAGCCTGGGCAATAGAGTGAGACTCCATCTCAAAAAAACAAAAAAGGCAAGAGTTCTGCAAAAACAGACTTGAATCTTGGCTCTGTTAATTTCATTTAATTAATTTCAAATTAATTTCAGGGTTTTTTGAGGCTTTTGACACAGTTATTAGCTAAAAAATCAAATGTTCAAAGATATGGAGCAGTGCCTAATGTCTGGAGAGCAGCACTACCATTTATTATTTCATTTATAGTTGGGAAAGTTTTTGATGGTACTAACAGATCAAAGTGGTGGCAGGAGGTTTTGGAACGGCTGGTTTAAATGGCTTCAGGAGACTTCAGTGTTTTGTTTAGCTACATGATTGAATGCGTAATAAATGCTTTGTGCTTTTGACTATCAATGCCTAGAGAAAGTGCATCAGTGAAGAGATGCAGGACGTTCAACTGATTGGCAAAAAGCAAGCTTTAGCTTGTCTTACAGGATGCTTAGTTTGCCAGTACACTTCAGACCAATGGGATAGTCATAGATGGCGTGACAGTGTTTAAAGGCAACAAAAGGCTACATCTCCATGTGGCCAGCACTGTCATGAGCCTCACTAAGCTATTTTGAAGATTTTTAAGCAATGATAAATTAAAAAGAAATTATACCCCACCTAAAGTAGTACATAAAGTATAGCAGGATTTCCGTATACTCTGCAATCAGTTCTTTGAAAGAAAAGTCAAAAAGTAGAGAATACAAGAAATTTTTGGGATATAATTTGAATGACTGTGAAAACATGACCTTTGATACTGAACTCATTTGCTCACTCCTTAACTTGACAGCAAAGCCCAGTATGTACAACTGTGTTGACTGTGGGTGGTCTCCAAGGCCACGCTGCTCTCTGAATTGATTTTGAGTTTTGTTTGTAAGATGATCACAGTCATGTTACACTGACCTGAAGGGCATATATATACATAACACTTTAAAAAAAACACTCTGCCTCATTCTTATTTCAAGATGAATTTCTATACGGATTAGATATGTTTTTTTCTGAAGATCATATCAATTAGACATTTTGAAAATGACTTAAAATGTTTTCCTTAATGTTCTCAGAAAACAAGTTTCTTTTGTAGTTTTAACCAAAAAAGTGCCCTTTTTGTCACTGGATTCACCTAGCATTCATAATTTTTTTTTCATACAATGAATTAAAATTTGCTAAAATCATGGACTGGCTTTCTGGTTGGATTTCAGGTGAGATGTGTTTAAGGCCAGAGCTTTTCTCAATATTTGATTTTTTTCCTCAATATTTGATTTTTTAAAAATATACACATAGGTGCTGCATTTATATCTGCTGGTTTAAATTCTGTCATATTTCACTTCTAGACTTTTAGTATGGCAAATCATATTTTACTTTTACTTAAGCATTTGTAGTTTGGAGTATCTGGTACTAGCTAAGAAATAATTCTATAGTTGAGTTTTCTGCTCACCATATATGGATCATTCCTCATCTATAATGTGCCCCAAATGCAGCTTCATTTTCCAGATACCTTGACGCAGAGTGAAGTTTTTCATCTTTTAGGTGCAAAAAAAAAAAAAAAAAGGGCAAGAGCTCTGCAAAAACCAGACTTGAATCTTGAATCTTGGCTCTGTCACTTATTAGCCATGTGATCTCAGGTAATTCACAGGACCTCGCCTAGCCTCCAGTCCACATGGGTAACACATGGGTAATAATATCTGCCATACTGATGGAATGAGATAATGAATGAAATCATCTGGTTCAGAGGAGACACTCCATATGTGCCAGTTCAACATAGAAAACTGGATTATGATCTTTCTTCTTGTACAATATCATGTGCCTGTTTCCTTATTTAGGTTGAAATTCTGAATGCATAGAAATATAGGCCCTCAAATATCCTAAACCAGTGGTTCTCAAAGTGTGGTCCATGGACAAGCAGCATCAGCACAATCAGATAATTTGTTGCCAATGCAAATTCTTGGGCCCCATCCAGGCCTACCAAATCAGAAACTCTGGAGCGGGGCCCTGCAATCTGTGTTTTAGCAAGCCCTTCAGGTGATACTGATACAGCTAAAGTTTAAGAACTACTGCCCTAATGGCACTGAAGATTCTGAGTCTTCTCCTGTTTTCAACAGGACTCAGTTAAAGCTCTAAAGAGGCTGCATCTTTTGGGTAGATATTGTAATCAAATACATAGACTGTGGAGTTTACTTTCAGGTTGTTTCCATTTAATCTTTTTATTGTTGTTTATCCCAAACTGGCCATTTTCTGATTTCTCTTTCTCTCCTCTATTTAATTTGAAACCCCTATTGTATATACCTTACATCACATAGGTTGAATAGAAAGGGGCCATTCCCAGACACCCAGGTAAAGGAGACAAGTAACATTCCTAAAGAGCTTTCCTGGGCCATCCCTGCATCCTCAGCACAGGGTACCTGCAGGGACTATACTTCCTTTGCCTCCTTTAAGTTCCTGGAACTTTCTGAGAATTTTTCTGCCACAAGATCTTTGCACATGATATTGGCTTGGCCTGGAATGCTCTTCCTGCCTCCTTTATGTGGCCAAACCTTCCTGTCTTTTAGGTCTTTACTTACATATCTCCTTGGAGAAGGCTTCCCCTTTCATCCTCTCTAAATGACCACTTTCTCCCTAATTGTTAACCCCTCTGTTATTGCAGTCCTAGTCTGCTCCTTTTTTTCATTGCACATAGGCTAGTTTGTAATTGTAGACTTCTTTATATGTTTTAGTAAGACAAAGCCCATACCAGGGTATTTGAGCATCTAGCAGAGTATGTGGATTATCAATGTAATCAATAATTTTTTTTGATGGTTTTGGGGGAACAGGGTGTCATTCTGTCATCCAGGCTGGAGTGCAATGGTGCCATCCTAGCTCACTGTAACCTCAAACTCCACCACACCTGGTCAATTTTTTATTTTTATTTTTATTTTTTGTAGGGACAGGGTCTGACTGTGTTGCTCAGGCTGGTCTTGAACTCCTGGTGTCAAGCGATCTTCCCGTCTTGGCCTCCCAAAGTGCTGGGATTACAGGAATAAGTCAATGTGCTCGGCCAATATTTCTGAATGAATGAATGAACCATTATAGTTCTCACATACTTTGCCTTCTTTCAAACTTTATTGTCCTTTCAGTTAATCCTCTGTTTAGGACTTAATTTTTTTCTTTTTTCTTTTCTTTTTTTTTTTTTTAGACAGAGTCTTGCTCTGTTACCCAGGCTGGAGTGCAGTGGCGTGATCTCGGCTCACTGCAACCTCCGCCTCCCAGGTTTAAGTGATTTTCCTGCCTCCGTCTCCTGAGTAGCTTGGATTACAGGCACCTGCCACCATGCCTGGCTAATTTTTGTATTTTTAGTAGAGACAGGGTTTCACCATGTTGGCCAGGCTGGTCTCCAACTCATGACCTCAAGTGATCCGCACCCCCTGGCCTCCCAAAGTGCTGGGATTACAGGCATGAGCGACTGCGCCTGGCCCAGGACTTTATTTTTTCTAGTTATTTCTAATTTTTTTCTAGTTATTTTTAATTATTCCTCTCTCTCTCCCAATCCATACTTTGGACTTTTCTGAAGACTTGTACCTAGCATGATACTGGCTCTATGGCTGAGATGCAATAAATGCTTTCTGATTTCTTGATCAATAACTTATAGAACATTTAAGACATGAATTTTAACTTCTTCCCTCACTTTGAGTTTATGCTGTAAAACAAATTTTTCTCCTGAATGGAACCATCTAGAGTGTCTGGAGCCATTAGGAATGGTGAGAATTTCCCCACTTCTCTGTCTTTCCTTGGCTTTTAAAAAGGTGTAAGACCTGTTGGTCTGTAGTGCATATTCTGGAGAGAGAAGAACTAAAATTGCTGAACAGGTTGTGGAGGGGTCATTTCTCTCACTGTTCTTTCTATGAACTGAAAATATATGTTTTCAGTATAAACATCCAATAATTACTTTCAAAATGGGGATTACAAGGGTTCTTTAGGGTGAACATTCTGAACTTCAGCTATTGTGAAACTCCTTATTTTTAATAGTGGCTTTATGTTGTTTTAGAAACTCAGTATGATTCCAGTTTTAGAAACAAAAATGTGTCTATATCATCACTGGAAATCAGAGAGGAAAACATGATTAGTTTTTTTGCTCATGAAAAGAGGAAAGGGAAGCAATCATAATAGAATGATATATTATAGGGTGGATGGAACTGAAGCTGCTATTAGTATGCAATTAGATTCACCCAGTATCTCAATGGAATGATCAATATGATTAGAAGCTTGGGAGCTTCTTTTAAAGTGGGTAACATCAATTAATCAACTAACTCAGTGGTTCTCAATCAGAGGCAATTTTGCCCCCTAGGGGACATTTGGCAATGTCTGGAGACAGTTTTTGTTTTCATAAATGAAGGTAGAGGGGGTGGTTGCCACTGGCATCTAGTGGGTAGAGGCCATCCCTACAATGCACTGGGCAGTCTCTCACAACAAAGAATCATCAGCCCCAAATGTCAGAGGGCCAGGGTTGAGAAACCCTGCAATAACATCAGCCAAAAAAGTATTATGAGTTTTCAGTACTCCCAAGGTTTCCGTAGTAGTAGTAGCAAATAATGTTTAGAATAACTGTCATGTATCGAATATCTACTCCATGTCGGAATCTTTATATTTACAGCTGGTCTGTCTCAGTCCGGGTCTGACACCAGTTTGTTTGGGGCCAACGTCTCTACTCTTCTTCCTTACCCCATTTGGTACAGGTGCATTTTCTCTGGACATCAGCATATCTATCCTCAGTTTCTTGTGTTTATATAGATAAAATTATGTGTTTAGTGCATATTAGGTAATATGCTTACAGGAGAAAGCAGTCAAGCCAGAAGAGACTGGTGTGTCACTATGGGTGTGAAACGAAAAACATCCCGACAAACAGGCCTCAGATCTATAACTTAACGATCCCGCCAAACTACCTATGTAGCATGGTAGCACAGAGCCTGGTCCTCAGTAGGTACTTAATAAATATTTGTTGGGAAACTTTTTTCATAATCCACACAGAGTCCTTGATAAGCTTCAAATGGAGCAGGGTGTTCAAATGATCTCTTCTGTTGCATAACATTTTATTTGTTCCAGGAGCAGTTTCTTCATCCACAGGCACCTGATATTTCCAGAACTACACAAGTGTCGTACCTTGTGTATCTTCCCACTTGCCCTCCACATTGTCCTCCTTTTTGTTTTTCATTCTTTCACTCTGAGACCATCTGGTCCTGACAAAGGCTCATCCCCTTGCCCTTTCCTCTCCTTACGACAATGTACACTCAGTACTCTCTGCTTTAGACACTGCCAGTATTCCCTGAATTATGCTCCTGCCAACAGTTTGCAGGGCAGGGCATGTGTCAGAATCTTCAGAGGAGGCATGTGCTGTGTGAAAAAGCTTATTTGAGAATATTATTTTATATTTAGAAAAAGGCAGGAAAAAACACACTAGAGTTGACCCTTGAACAATGCAGGAGTCACGGGCGCTGACCCCCTCACACAGTTGAAAATCCAAATATAACTTCTGACTCCCCAAAAACTTAACTGCTAATAGCCTACTGTTGACTGGAAGCCTTACCGATAATATAAACAGTTGATTAACACATATTTCATATGTTATATGTATTAATACTGTATTCTTACAATAAATAATAAGCTATAGAAAAGAAAATGTTATTAAGAAAATCACAAGGCAGAGATGATCATCATAAAAGTCTTCATCCTTGTCATCTTCACATTGAGTAGGCTGAGGAGGAGGAAGAAGGGGGTGGGTTGGGCTTGCTGGTTCAGGGTGGCAGAGGTGGAGGAAGATCTGTGTGTAAGTTGACCTGCACTGTTCAAACCTGTGTTGTGCAAGGGTCTGCTGTATTGCCATTGTAAAACAGAGAACTGAAAGAAAAGGTTGGAAAAAAACTTCTCACCTGGTGATTATATAGGGGTTTATTAACTCTGGGGTTGATGTGACCATTTGATGTTTATAAAAAGAAGAAATTAAAAGAAAAGGTGTTTAGAAGCATGGCAGCGTATGCTTTCCTTCCTTGTGTCCATGCCTTTGCTCGAAATATCCTCCTCTCAGCACCTGGATTTCTTGGAACTTGCCCGTTTTTTTCCTGTGCATCATTCCTCTATGCTCCCATAATGCTTTGTGTCTAATCTCTAGTGTGTTCACCATCATTTTTTATCTTTAGCATACTACACTCTGATGTAGTAAATACTTCTGAAAGTGAATTGCAGGAGCACTGACTAACCCCAGTGAGCCAGCTGGAAACCTCAATGTGCTAGGAGTCATTTCGAGTGGATTCTAGGACTGCACCTTTAGAGATTCAGAAATTTGGAGGTGGAACATGAGGAGTTTAAATTTTTACATGCTTTGGTTTCATAAGTTACACTTCAGAAAGTGCTTGAAATTGAACTTAAAAAATATCCTTACTTGTTCTAGGAGCAAAACAAGCATTTTGATCAAAGCAGCCTGGGTGCATCAAATCATTGGTTTGTTCATTCAACAGTCATTAATGGAGAACTACCAGTTGTAGCGATGGTCCCAGGTGAGGCTGTGTGTAGTAGCTGTTCCTTACGTAGTCATGTTCATCCACTCTTCTTTTGCTGTTTGGCTTCTCTGTCTTTGCAAGCCCAAGCCCATTCTTAGGGCCCATTCAGTGAAAGTATTAGCTGGTAAAGACTTTAAATGTTTGTCAAGAAGGGGTGCTGAGAAAAGTGAGAGGAGAAAGACATTTGCATTTTAATAGAGTATTTAAATTCCTTGGTATTTCAAATTACTGGAGAAGAGGAGGGTTTCTAACTTTTACTGAATTCCTAGATGTGCCCAGCACTTGACCTGTATTATCTCATTTAACCCTTGCAATAAGTTTATGAGGCAAATGTTATTATTTTATAGAGGAGGAAGCTGAGGCTCTCCGTGTCTAGAAATAGATAGAACATGGACTAGAAGCAGGTCTTACTGTAAAGGCCCTGCTCATTCTCCTCTATCCAGATGCCTCTGTTACTTCAACATTCTTCCCGCCTCTATGCTTGTTGGGAACAGCTTGGTATCACTGGAACATCCTGGTACTCGTCCTGTTTTGAGTGAAAGACTGCTCTCTGGGCTGCCCCAAAGAGCACTAAAATTGGCCCATCATCTTCTTAGCTTTCTTAGGAATGAGTAAATGACAACTTGGGTCACTTTAGAAAGGATGCTGACCTTTAGGATGAGTGCATAGATCTAAAGAAGGCACAGATGTGGACTGGTTCACTACCTTGCTGTTAGTGAAGGTGTGTTCAATTTTTATTGTAAACATACTTTGTTTCCATTAGACACAAACCAGACATCAGAATCTCCAGCCAAGTGTGCTTACTGAAAGATGTTATTGATAACTTCTTGCTAGTGAAATTCAGAGTCTTTTTTTGCAGGCCTTAGTTCCTGAACAATAGATTCAGGAACTAAGTTAAGGCCTGAAAAGATTGTTTTCTGCATTTGATGTAGAGCTTATTCACAGATAAGGAAATTAAGGCACAGGAGGGAAACATTGGTCTCCAGCAGTGTTTTCTGCCTGTGCTTCCATGTATCTGATTACTGGGTATTAATTTGAGGAGTCTAGGCTAGGTCCACCTGATTGAATCAGAAGATCCTTGAACCCACAAGCTGTGCCTAGCACTTCATTGCAGGTCTAAGAATCTGTAGCATTTGATAGAAGGACCCACTTCTTAAAACTTCCTCTGGCTTCCATGCCTTTACCTTTTCCCAGCTCTTCTACTTCTCCAGATTCTTCCTCTTCTCCCTCCTTCTTTCCCTGTTTTCCAGTTGTGGACATTCTGTTAATGAACTGATCTTCAAAGCTTCATCTCTCCTTTTCTCTACACCTCTGTCCTCCACTTCTCACCCAGTCCCTTGTTCCTTGTTTCCTCTTGCCCAGAGGATAGTAAGTCACTCAGCATCTTTCTCAAACCGTTTCCTCTTCTCAACTGTGCTTCATCTGTCATTGGTCTAATGATCCATTCTTCTAAGACTGCAAGATCTATTCTTCCTATGACTGGGCTCAAAGCCTAGGTTAACTTGATTACTTTGTCCTTTTCCCCAGGATAAACAACGAGTCAATGAGAAGAATAAAATCTTGCTTCAAAGATTTGATACCTTTCTTTATGACATCTGGTATCTCCAAAGATATGGTATCTCTCATTTCCTTTTTATCACCTCTGTCAACCTCACCTATCATTGCTTCCTGCAACTATCCTAGATAGTCTCTTGAAATAATAATAGCAAATGTATATTGAATACTACATGCATTGTGCTGAGTATTTTACATTTGTTATTTTATTCAGTCTTCACAACCACTCTGTGAGATGCTATTTTCTTCATCTTGCCAAAAAGGATACTGAGGTTTAGAGAAGTTAGGCAACTTGCTCAGCGTCACACAGATACTGAATGGTGGAGCTGCAACTCAGCTCATGCCTGTTTTGTTCTAAACTTGATGGTTGTAACTTGGAAATTTTGCTGCTTCCTAGACTATAGGATGGTATCTAGGAGTGGGCAATTAGTAAAGATTAGTTTCCTTTCTTCTTTTTCTATCCATCACTTCTTCCCCAATTTGTATTAAATTCGCGCAAATGTTAGGTGAATCAGTGGTCCCTTCACTGTCCATAAGATAACCACTTCAGCTCCTAATTTGCGATTCAGGGTTCACAATGTGTAATACAAGGCACATTGAGGCAGAGGTTGTTTCTATACCTGGCTTTGCTACTAAACTTGTTCTGTAACATTGGACAAGTCATTCAACAGCTATGCCTGAGCTTCTTCATCCGGCAAGTGAAAGGTTTAGTTGACACTTTCTTAGATTCTTTCCAGGCCTACATTTTTGTGACGTTGTTATTCTGCCTTCCCTTGTTTTCTCCTCGTTTCTGGTAAAAACGCTTTCCTCTATGCCTTCTTCCCAAGCACCCAGACCTTGTCATCTCCCTCTTGGCTTTTGCCTCTGCTTGCCCAGTGCTGCCTTTTCCTCTTTCTGCTGTGTCTGAACTCCACCACCCTCCCAGGCTTTTCCTTCTGTGTAGTCAGTGCCTCTCTCCGCCCTTCCCAGGCATCTGCAGTACTTGGATCTCCTGCTTTGTTGCTTGCCTGTTTTCTGTTCACACATCTTGTCTTCTTAGACAGATAACAGATCCTTGAAGGGCTGGTCAGCTGCTCTAAGTTTCTTTTGTGTGCTAAGTTTCTTTTGTGTGTACCAGGGTAGATGACTTTAAATGGAGTAGGCATTTCATAAATAATTGTTAAATGATTACATTTGGGCTTTATCTTGAGAGCAGAGTTTACTCAGTAGGAGGGCCCATCAGGGGAATCAGAATCAGGACATGCAACCCACCAGAACTGATGAGAGGTAAAACTGCTGGCAGTCTAGTTAGGGAACTGCCACAATCCAGGGAGGAGTCCCTGAAGGCCGGACCTAGATAGCAGGTAAACAGAGGCAGGGAGCACCAGATAAGAGAGGCTTGGTGTGCGCTAACTCTCCCACTAACATCCTGGGCAGCAACTGTACAGTTACCTAGCTTTCTCTTCTCCAAGCAGTAGAGCTGCCCGGAAAAAGCCAGGCAGAAGTGCTATGGGGCAGGCTCGGGCACCCCAGATTAGGGCTCCAGAGAGCCGCCAGTATAAACCAATATAATGAGGTGGATGAGTAGTTCTCAGCACAGCCTGATTTTAAGAGGTGGGGCAACATTTTCCCAGAGTCGCTTACTTTCTTTACCTCTACTCAGGCAGATAACAGCCTGGGGATTTATGGCCAGAGGATGTACGGTTCTGCGAACACATTTAATATCCGAGGCTGTCAGGTCTGTTTTGGCCCTTCTGTTTGTCAACGGAGCACATAGTAGCAGCTTATCGCCCAATCTCAAGTGCGTGATGGAAGCACTGGGGCCTGGGGAATGCTGAGAAAAGTGTGGCCACTTTCTACCTGGAAATTCCACTTAAGAAGAAAAAAAACCAACCTAAGCAAATCTAGACTTTTGGGCAGATCCGGAAACAGAATTTTGGCCGGCATTGGGCTGGTGGGGAAGGAAGACAAAGTGGAGGGAGAACTGGTGAGTCTGAAATTAATCAAAACCCGGCAGGGGACAAAGGAAGGGATGCTGTCGCCCTCCTAAGTCTCAGGGAGACACGTCAGCTTGAGCTCTGGGCAATTTCAGCCTGGCAGTCTCGCGGCCCGGGGAGGGGCGGCGGGTGTCTGCAGACGGGCTCTAGGGCCCAGCGGCCGGGCGCCACGGCGGGGGTGGAGTGTAGGGTTCTAGTGACGAGCCCGGGCGACCCTCCCCGGCCCGCGCGCGGGGAGCGGGGAGCGCGGACGGCGGCGGGAGCGCGCGAGAAGCTCTAGGACCCAGCAGCGGTTGTCGGGTTTGGGGCTGGAGGTGAAGCCCTGTGTGAATGGGGTTGATTGTCCGGCGCCACTTCCCCGCGCTGCCCGGCAGCCGTCTTCCCCAGCCGAGGGACTGAACTAGCCATGATCGCCTCATGTGGAGGGCAAAGTTGCGCCGGGGAACTTGTGAGCCTGCGGTGAAAGGTAACCAGCCCCCACTCGAGGTGCCGGGAGGGCGTCTCCGAGTCTCCCACGCGAAGAACCCAGTCGCCCCGGGCTCCCCGGGCCCCTGCTGCTCACGGAAGGGGGCAGCTTCTGGGGGCCCGGGGCTGAGATCCCAGATTGTTGTTTTTAAGCGGGTTCCCTTGCCCCGCTCCAGGTCCAGTTGCCTGCGGGCCGGGCCTCAGCGTCTTGCCGCCCCGCGACCCACGTTGACTGAAGTTGTGGCCCCGGGGTTTGGGCCCCGGGGTGCTGCGCGCCCGACGCGGGGCTGGCCTTTCCTGAGGGGCGCAGCCATATGGCCAGACACTCCGAGGCGCGCCCGCGCCCGCGCGCGGGTCTCGCGGCGAGGGAGGGGACGGAAGGGGGTGTCCGGTGCAGCTTTCCCCGGCGCGAGACAAAGGCGCGCGCACCGGCCCGCCCGACGGGCTCTGGCGCTGTGGACTGGACCCTTTCTGCCCGCCGGCCAGACCCGGCTCTGGCGGGTGGGGGCGACGAAAGGGTCGCACCCCAGCCCCAGACGCTCGGATCGCGTTAGCTGCTGCTCCTTCTTTGTTCTCTCCCCAGACAAGTTTCTTTGACAAACTGGAGAGTTACATCCAGCTCCCGCTTGCCTGTTAGGGCTGCCTTTACAATAATCTGCTTTCGCGGGGAGAAAATTTAAACTTTCCAAATGGAACTGTTTTTTCTTGGAATGTGACATTTGTGGCAGGAGGGAGAGTGGTACGTTGGCCGATGACAGCCGAGCGGAACGGTGGCCTAGTGCCGGGACAGGGACCGAGCGTGCCCCATAGGCGGCCGGGCTGGAGGACGCGGCGGCAGAGCAGACGAGCCCTGGCGCGCACCTCTAGGGCCTCCGCTACCTGGACTGCGCTCGCGGCGACGTGTCCAAGTTTCCCCCCTCAGAGCCCCAGGCCGAGAATCCCGGGTATCTGCGCAAAGCTCCCGCGCCTCGCCCACCCTACTCTTCCTATCTTTACTGATGACTAGGAAGACTTTCCTTTTCCATTTTTGTTCGAAGATTTTTGCCTTTTTGGCTTCGGTGTTGGTTTCCTGTCTCCGCGTGGCAAATACCTTTTGGCCGGGCTAGCGTGTGGATCACCTGGACTGGGGTTTCAGAGGTGGGCCCTGAGCGTGCGGCCTCCTGAGACGATGCGGTTTGGACCCAACATTTTGTCCCCATGGTCCCTCAGCTCCCTTTCTCTGTGAGGCCTTGGTTTCCCATTTTCTTCTCCTGAGGCATGTTATGAGAACTGAGTTTTTGTACTGCTTATAGAAGGCCTTGGTGGTGGTGGGGTACGTGGTCTCGAGAGCCAGTTGTGATACCTCGAAGATGCTTTCGGCTAACCAAAGCAGTAACGTGCTAACCTGCTCACCATAAACGAATTAAACCAGAATAGAGGGCTATTAATAGCTACAGTTCCAGAAAATTTCCTTCCTTTTCGGGAAGCAAAAAGTCAAGGCTTGAAATATTAAACAATCATGGCTCCCTGCTTCCAAAACTGGCCTATGGGTCACTGCCAAACTGGCTAAGATTTCCCCTGGCTGCATACCACTCCTGGGCCCGGGCAGCTGTGGAAGTCAGACCCAGGTTAACGATTAAGGAGCTCTCTAGATTGCAAGGTCTTAAAGAATCTAGAGCAACTGACATTTACTTCCTAGTAAGGTGCTCTGAGCCTTATAGTGTGTATCTACTTTGAAGGCTCTTTATGAGAATAATGTGGGAACAGTAGTTTAATATACTTTGAACTGTTAGTAAAGGGTGGAAAAGCACTGATTTGACTAGAATGAAGGAAAACACCGATTCGACCAGAATGAAAAGGGTAGGACATAGGTAGAAGGCTTTATACAGGCTCTACTTTTCCTTATGATGGTGGTGGGGGTTGGGGGGAGGGATGAGGATGTTTAGTTCTTGGAGTGCACTTTTGTTTTTCTGTGATGCATTTTTCAAGATAAATAAGGAAACCTTTGTAAACCTGCAGGTGGATAGGAGAGAAGGTGCTGTACCTGTAACGCCCCTTTCCCTCCCCCTTCTTTTTAAAATGCACAGAAGTCTTGGTCTTTCAGGTTCTTTGCAGATGATGGAGGATGTAGCATACTAATTTTCCAAAGGGCATGTGGAGATCAAAGCATTTAAAAATACATCTTTTCACGGAGGCTAATGGAGGATTTTCAGTTTAAATGAGATTTTAAAGTGCTGTCGTTAAGAAAAACACATGAATGCAGAAATGTGAGTGATTTTATGGGAAAGCACTCCGCTGATCAGACTTGAGAGTGTCTGCCCTGGGCCAGTTAGTCTAGAGGCTGTTGTGGGTAGAGCTCAGCTTTTCTGATGTCTACCCCTAAGGAAAAGTGTGGACCCAGGGCCTAGGGAAAAGATGGCTGAACTAATTGAAATGAGCAGTCTGGCTGGTGAGAGTTCTGTTGAAAGGTATAGCCTCTAGGTATCAGTGCTGCATTTCTTCATAGTAATTTGTGAAAATGCTTTGAAAATGATAAAACAAAGACTTTTGAAAAAAATAATTAATGACATGAAATGGGAATTGCTAGTGAAAATTGTAAAAGTTTGATTTTTCAGGCCAATAAATTAAAAAGAAGTAACTTTATAGGACCTGCTAATATTTCTGATATATAAAATTCCCCCAAAGTAACCTTTTCTATTTTCTTTTCTTTTTGGCGGGGTTGGGGGGGGGGTGCGGTGTGTGGCTATCTGCATTTTAAATGCATAAGGAAGCTCAGGTCAGAAAATTCTGCAGTGTTTTGAATAATTTTTCTCCTATTTTTCATTAATTTTGGCAGGTTCTTATGACTCAGAATTTAGTAGGTAATAAAATCCTCGAAAAGCAAGGGGTAGTGTGGAGGTCAAGTAAAGGGAGATATTTGATTACAAGGTTTGTTGGAAATAGTCTGAGGTTGTTGTGGTTTTATGTTTTGTTTTGTTTTTTTGTTTGCCTAGTGATTTTTTTAAAGTTAATTTTGTTGGCTTGGCTTTGTTTTGTCTTGAAGGAGAGGTACAATGTAAATCTTGGCCATTGTGGGTAGGGCAGTCCTCTACTTTTGCTGGAAGGAAGCCACTCCTGCTCTTGGTTTATGTGTTGGCATCAAGCTGAGTTCTACTTTAACTTGTGAGGCCCTTGGCTCTGCTCTCACGGCCAGGCCTTGTGTAACCTTAGGGTATATTCATTTTGGACACTCAGGACAGGACTCCTGGACTCCTAAAGGGGCTCACACATCAGGCATTTTCCCCCCATCTTTTAGGAGAGAGTAGGAGAGTAGCTCTAAGGTGTTGGAAATGTATCCCTGTTAAGATACTGAAGAATTAGATTTAAGTTTTCAAAAACTGTCGTTCTATGGTGTGTGTTTAAACCTGTGTTTGAGACCTCACTGGCCAATATTGCAGCTATATACCTCTATTTTTTCATTTTGTTTTTAAGTAAAATGTCTGCTGTTTACTTTTAACTTTTCGTTTTGAAATGATCATAGCTTCATAGGAAGTTGCAAAAATAGTAGAGAGGTCCTGTGTACCCTTCACCCAGTTTCCCCCATTGGTAACATCTTACATAACCATAGTACAGTAGCAGAACCAGGAAATTGACATTGGTACAGTCCACAGAGCATATTCAGATTTCACCAGTTTTACATGCACATGTAAAATTTGTATTTCTATGTGTGTACTTCTATGCATTTTTTCATGTGTAGATTCATGTAACCGCTACCACAATCAAGGTACAGACTATTTTATTACCCCAATGATCTCCCTTATGCTACACCTCTATAGTTGCACTGGCCCTCTTCTCCCCATCCTCACTCTGTTGCTAAATGCTTAGCAACCACTACTCCTGTTCACCATATCTATAATTTTATCATTTTGAGAATGTTACATAAATACAATCATGTAGTATGTGAGCTTTTGAGATTGGCTTTTCACTCAGCATAATGCCATGGGGATCCATCCAAATTTTTGCATCTCTCAATAGTTTGTTTCTTTTCATTGCTGAGTAGTATTCCATAATATGGATGTACTATGGTTTGTTTAACCATTCACCTATGGGTTTTTTCCAGTTCATGACTATTTCACATAAAGTTTTTATGAACATTTATATATAGGTGTTTGTGTGAACATAAGTTTTCATTTCTCTGGCGTAAATGCCCATGATTGTGATTGCTGGATTGTATGGTAAGTGTGTGTTTAGTTTTTTAAGAAATTGCCAAACTTTTCCAGAGTGGCTGCACCACTCCTATTAGCAATGTATGAGAGATCCAGTTTCTCTGCAACCTCACTAGCATTTGATGTTATCACTATTTTTTATTTTAGTTGTCCTAATAGGTGTTCTAGTAGGTGCTCTAATCTTACCATGGTTTTAATTTGCATTACCCTAATGGCTGATTATGTTTAATGTCTGTCTTTTTTATGTGCTTATTTGCTATCCATATATCCTCTTTGGCGAAATAACTATTCATGCCTTTTGCCCATTCCCTAACTGGATTATTTATTTTACTTTAGAGCTTTAAGAGTTCTTTATATATTCTAGATGCAAGTCCTTAGTCAGATTTGTGGCTTGCACATATATTTTCCCAAGTATGTAGCATGTCTTTTTATGTCCTTACCAAGGTCTTTTGCAGATCAAAAGTTTTTTATTTTGATAAAGTCCAGTTGATAGATTCCTTTTTTCTTTAAGGATGGTGCATTTAGTGTCACATCTAAGAACATTTTGCCTAGACCCATGTCTCAGACATTTTCTGCTGTGTTTTCTTCTAAAAGTTTTATAGTTTTACATTTTATTTTTAAGTTATAGTTCACTTTTGTCTGTCTTAAGAGTTTGTATGTCTTGCTGCTGAGCTTATAAACCATCTATTAGGTCTCGAATATGCACAGATGGACTATCAGGTGTAGTTCCCATTCTGAAGTGCTCACAGATTAGGGGTGTGGCATGTGGACATTACCATGTGTTACTACTATGATGGGGACACATGTGATGTACTGTGGGTGCTCTGAGGAGAGAGGGCTCACTTTGGTCCAGGCGGTCAGGGAGGGCTTCCCTGGGCATGCTGCCCAACCATGGTGGGAATAAAATTGGTTTGCTTTTGATCCAGTTTTTAGATCTTTATTGCCATGAATTCTTTAGAGTGTGTTACTCTGATTCTTGAGCACATGCTGATTGAGTTGGCATAAACTGAGTGGTTGAGGACCTTTTTGAACAGTACATGGCATGATAGCTTAAAAGAAGGTGAAAACACAGTACTTAAAACTCAGTAACATAAACAGTATGAATGAAGTTGAATAGATTAAGAGTTATGTATATGTTAAAATGAAAAAGGAGAGGTAGTATTTTGGATTGAGAACAGGTGTATCCTGGCCCTGCCGCCTCCTTGCTGTGTGACCTCGGAATTGTACATGCTGAAGCCTCATGAGTAAAATGGGGAAAATAATAGTTCTTCCCTCATGGAGCTGCATGAGGGCAAAGTGAAGCAATGCGCACAATGCTGGGCACGTTGAAAGCATTCAATAAATACCTGCTACCATTATTATTACTAAAACAGCAGAGAAGCAAAACACTTTATAATGTTACGTAAATTCGCATGTATCCGTCTTCTTTGAGAACCTGGAACCCCTGTTCTTACTCATGGAAGTGTTCCTTTTCACAGTTGGGAGCGCTGTGAATACTACTTAGTGAATGAGATAGAAGCTAGGATGCCCTATTCACAATCTATTACTATCTATAAAATAAACCTTTCTTTGCTTCTATAAAAGTATGATTTCTGATGAAAGAATGATTTCCTCTGTGCCCTTGAGCACAGGAGGCAGGAGGAGGTGGGTCTGCATTCAGAAGGCTAGTTCAGAGTTTATGGTGCTTGGTACTGTAGGTGCAGTAAGTCAGGGCTGATGTCACCAGGCCGTGTCTCAAATTTCATAACTGGCAGCTCTGTTTCCTTCTTGATGACCAAGTTGTTTACTTCTCAGAGGAAATTAATTGGGTCTTAGATGTACAATTCCAGGACAGTTGTTCTCAAATGTGATTGAGCATCAGAATACCCCAGAGGGTTTATTGAAACATGGATTGCTGGGCCGCACCCCTAGAGTTTCTGTTTCCTTGGTTGATTGAGGATAGGGCCTAAGACTTTGCATTTCTAACACGTTTCCAAGCAATGCTGATGCTGCTGGTACTGGAAACACATGTTAAGAATGACCATTTTAAAACATAGCCCCTTTAAATTGGGCCTGGACTGAGATGCTTACCCTTTGGAATGGAGTTTGTTCATCTATAAGTAATTGAGTTTGAAACAGATCTATTTCTAAGGTTATTAGTTGATATAGCTATATTTCTTCCTCTAATCACTCTTCTTTTGTGCCTCACTTTCCTGACCATGACTTTTTCTTCTATCATTTGTCTCTCACTCCTTGGAAGACATGCCACAACTGGGTATATGGCTACCATATTGCCTTGGTAAATCACTTAGGCTCTATAAAGTAAGTGTATTTACTAAATATTTATCTTCTAAGGTTATTGTGTGGCTTAAATGACATAGTGAATGTGAAAGAGCTTCATAAGAAGTGAAATTTTGTGTAAAATAGTTTTCTTAAAATTATTTTCTGCATCATCAGTATCTTTTTGGAGCAGTGTCTCTGACTGACGGTAAGTTTCATTGCTACTTGGGGGACTTGGTAACGATTGCATAGACATATGCAGGGACCATGGACATACTCAGGGACATCATGAAGAAGGTTCCTGCAGTGGATGGATGGTTAAGCTAGGGTCTGAGTGCCTTCCAAATGGAAATGTTTTGGAGGCTGATTGATAAATAGTTGTAGTAAGGACCAAAGGAGAGCCCAGTGCTGGAAAATTGCTTGAGCAGATGTTGAAATATTAGAGATTCAGCTTCCTCAGAGTAGAGAAATATAACTCTGTGACTTTTTTTTTTTCTAGCAGTTTAGGACAGATGTGATCTGGCCCACATCTATGTTTTTAAAGTTCTAGACCTATGCTGTCTGTAGTAACCACTAGTCACTTGTGGCTATTTAAATTAATGAAAATTAAACGAAATGAAAAATTCAGGACCTCAGTCACACTAGCCACAGTTCAAGTGCTTAATAGCCATTTCCATCACTGCAGCAATTTCTGTTGAGGAGTGTTGTTCTATAGTGAGATTGGCTCTGTTGTCTGATGGCAACACCACTGGGCTTCAGATGATAAGACAGGGACACATTTTTGAATGAAATGTACCACATCTCCCTTGGAGGGCTGGTATGAACTGATTGGGAATGCTCTATTCACTTGAACCCCATTTTACCACTTCTGTTTTGGAGGCTCATTCCATTTGAAAGCTGGGTCAGCATGGCAACTGGGTTATGCTGGCGGCAAAGCTTACCAGGCCATTATCAGGAGATGTCTGCTGTTTCTAGGGATGTTCCACTCATGGGATTCTTCCAGGGATCTGGTCCTTGAGAGAAGCAAATAGAAATGCTTGGGTGGAATTAGCACGGAAAGGTCCTCCTGAAGAGGACCATCAAAGGTCATCCTGAACTTCTCCACCTTGGATCCGTTCCACTGTTGAACCAAGCTTTGTCAATGAGAGGCAGGCAGCTGGCGCTTGTTCATCTCTCCAGTGTTTGCACATGCTCAGATACCATTCCACACTTCATCATCCTATTGTCTCCTTTGAAAGTGTTCTGTAAACTGTAATAAGGTTCATCTCCTTGCCCACCCTACATCCAGTCAGTCTTTAGGTCCTGCAGTTGACCTCCAAAATACTTCTTGCATACTTTCCCTTCCTTTGCATGTCTCTACAGCTAAACCAGTTTAAGGGCTAATTACCTGTTTCCTGGACTATTGTGATAGCCACTCACATAACAGGTCTTCCCACTTCTGTTTTCTTGCACCTCTTCTGACCTACTCTGTCCTTCCTTCTTTCCCTGCTTCCTCCCACCTTTCCTCCACCCTTCTCAGAATAGGCCCAGCAAGACAGGGATGATAGATATCTTGTCTTCCAAGCTTGCTTTGCTTTCTCTTTGTGAGGTAGGGCTCTGCACACGCCCTGTGGCCACGTGCCAGGGAGGAAGGAGGCATCTCACATTCAGCTGCTGCTTCTCAGCTGTGAGGGCTGCTCTGGGTGGTATGACCCAGCAATGTGACCCCTGACAGCAGGTGTGAAGCAGGCCTTTTCCTTTCTGACACGGGTGGTGTTCTGGAGGGCTCTGAGAACCAAGTGTTTTGTGAGCAAGCCTCCTCTATCTGCTGGTCTTGGGAAAAGTAGAGAATATGAAATCCTCTGGTAAGGCCCTGTTTCCTGAGGGACTGGCTCCTAAATATCACTGCAGTTATAGGTTGATTACTCATCCTGGTGATGTGGGAAAGGTTGGAACATAGAAGAAGGGCAGACAAAGAGATTAGGAAATGTGCTTTTTATGGAAATTACTGGATGCAGCACTCAGTGCATATCATTAAATTCATTGCAGAAAAACACATGTAAAACCAATCTAGCTTCTTGAAAAGAGAAATGGTCTAATGGTCTTTTTATCTAAAAGAGCAAAGAAAATGCCTTCTGAAATCACAGTAAGCTTCAATTAAGACACCTGGGAAAGTAATTTTAAAAGCATCACACAACCATTTATACAAACATTGAAGATAATGGCGGTGTCAGGTTTGTTTAAACTAGTAGGTTTGTTAAAGGACATAATCCTGTCAGGCTTATCTTCCCGTGGTATTGACTGGCCTGGCAGATCAAAAATGAGTGGTAAGTGGCATAAAAATGGTGAATAAATATACCTTAGCTGACTTTTAGAGTTGATCCTGTATGATAGTCATCAAAAAACTGAAGAATAGAGTCTAAAAAGTCTACTTTGAGATATATATTAGCTTAACCCTGAGTTGAGGCATTACATTTCCCCAAATTCTAACATTTCTTACTTTCAAATTTCTCCAAAATAAATTCCAGGAGTTTGGAGAAAAAAATTGAAATAAAGACAAATATTTACATTTTAATGACATTTATTAAGTGACTAAAATAACTTTATTAGTTTAGGAACAAAAAATGGGTTATGTGTAATTGTTTGTTCATAAAATAAAATACTGAATTTCTTGTATTAAATTTAGTAATTTATTTAGGCAGTAGTCACAATTATGCTAATTGAATTTACTTTGAATATTTTCAATTTCTCTTATAGAAGAGACATTAGGGAGCATGACATTTCTTATTTTGGACAGAATATAAATTAGGCAGAAATTTGGATACAGAATCACTCACTCCTTAAATATCTGTTGAGTGAATAACTCTGCTTTGTACAAGTCAATACTGAGGTGGAGAATTTGATGGGGTTACAATAAAAGGATATATAGTTCATCCATCTGATATTTGAGGGTCTGTCATGTGCCAGGAACTGGGCTAGGTGTGGGATATATATCCTTTGCTCCCCATGGAATTCATATTCTATAAAAGGAATGTAATGTATTAAGATGTTAGAAAACAAAAGACAAATGAACTGGGTTCGTTCTGCTCTAAGAAGAGAAGAAAGGATTCATAACTGTCTTTCAAGTATTTATTTTATTTTCACTTTGAAATGAGCTTAAATCACAGATATCATGACTTCTACAAGCTTAGAAGAGTTCTCTCCTGGGGAGGGTGGATAAATACAGATTAGGAGGATATGGAGGGCAAAGAGGCAACCAAAGAATTAATAGAAGTGTGGGGGTATCTTACTAGAAATCTGCTTAAATTGAGAAAATATGATGTAATGTCCTGCCTGATGGTGGGAAGAGGACCCTAATAGGCTAACTGTGGTGTGCCCTTTGGATATCTTTTTTTGATTTCAGTAATTATCTATGGAGCTTAATGGTTAAGACTCCAGAACTGGAAACCTGTATTCACACCCAAACTGTGCCACTCACTAGCTTTATAATCTTGGCTAAATTACTTAACCTCTCTGTCAAGTAGAATTTCCTCATGTGATATATAGGGATCTTAATTACACCTACCTCAAAAAATTGTTAGGAGAAATACATGCTGGGTATAAGAGCAATATCTGACACATTGGAAGAGTTAAGTGTTAGTTATCATGGTTGTTGCAGTTACTATTGCAACATTTTATTATGCTTATAGATTCTATGGGTCTGGACTTCAGGCAAGGCACTGTAGGATGCCCTGTCTCTGCTCCATCATTCCTGGGACTTCTGGGGCAAGAAGACTGAGAGCGCATGAGTGGTTTGTGACTGGATTCACATGTCTGGCACCTGGGCTGGGATGACTTGAAGGCTAGGTCTGCAGACCAGAGTGTCAACAAGTTGCCTTTCCACATGGCTTGGCTTCCTTATAGGATCGGGCTAGTTAGAATCTTATATGGTGGCTTAGGGTTCCAGGTGTGAGTATTCCCAGAAATTGGATGGAAACTGCATTGCCTTTTATGATTTAATTTTGGAAGTCACGTAGGGTTACTCCTCTATCTTCTCTTGGCCAAGTGGAAAATAGATATAATTATAAGCCTGCCTAAATTCAAGGATGTAGACCCACCTTTCCACAGGTGTGTCAAAGAATTTGCAGACATGTATTAAACTGCTACAGTCATCATCATTATCATGTTATCATTAGATAAAGTATGAAAAACGTAGCCCACAATAAGTCTTTAACTATTTGGATTACCTGGAAACTGCATTATTCTGAAGATGTGAATTTCTGTATAGTTGAAGGCAAATATTTTTGGTGGTGGTTTTTCTGTAAGATTGATCCCCTCCCCACTACTTTACCTCCTGCCTTATGTAACATTTTCTTGACGGTTCAGAAAATCATTATGAACATCAGTAATATGATGTGTTGTTTGAATCAGGAGTGGGGAGAGGCATATAGATAATACAAGTACGCAAGATAGTTTTCTTCCAAGAAGATGCTTTGCTTTCCGTAGTCAAGATTATGATTCCAAAATAGACAGTAACTGAAGGTACAAAATGATGATAGAATTAGTATAAAATGCATTTATATGCTCTATAAGCAAGAGGTAATGGGTAATACACTTGAAAGCCCTATTTTCGTAATTTTTTTTTCCCCTTTAAGACATTGTACCGTGAGACCCCTGGGCACTTGTCAGGTAGAACTTGATCAACACCCACAGAATAGGACAGAATCTCCAGAAATGTTATATTATGTTCTGGTCACATTGATTTAGACATTTTTTTCAAATAATTATTGTAAATCCATTTTGAGACCCTTGATTTGGAAAAATTATCCAGTTATCTGTTGCATAGGATACTAAAGAAAATATTACACATTATATACCTTGAAGTGAGGTTGGCCTTTTTAAAAAAAAAAATTATCGTTTGATTGGCTAGGCCATTAAAAGACTCACCGTTTTGAGGATGAAAATAGGCTTTAAATTGCCATGTATGTTATGATCCTGAAGGAATAGACTTTTTCTGCATTTTTGGTAGTAAAGAGTTTTTCCTATGTTGTCAGTGAAAGGAACAGATCACTGCAAAGAAGAGATTTGAAGTTCATGTTTTGATCTCTGTCCTATTATATCAGAGATGAAATGAAAGAAAAATTATGGAACAAAGGTGCTAGGGAGAGGAAAATTCTTTTCCTCTTGTTTGTAATGCTCAGTACAGAGGACAAATCCATCACTCCCTCCCTCAGTAACTACCCTATTGTCACTGTCTCTGAAGATGGAGCCTCTTAGGCAGCTGAGGGTATTCAGGCTAGTCTAGTTTCTGATACCTTCTCCAGGGCCACTTAGCCCTTGACTTGCATGCCAAGGTGGCCAGGTAAGGAGACTTTGAAGAACCTTTTGACAATACCATGTAGCCTTTTGTTTTGTTCTTTGATAGAACTGGACATTTTAAGCTTATTTTCTGAGTAATGGTGTATTATTGGTCTTCCCTCATCCCAAATTCTTGGAAAGTTGAAAATGTAATTTTAGCATAGTTTGTTAGCTGAATAGTCTGACCTAAACAAAACTCTAAAAGCTTTCATCTCTTATCTGCCTGAGCATCTTGCTGCTGTTCTATTTTAAAGAGCTCACTGATTTGATCATCTCTTGAAAGTGAACTTTACGGGGGTGATTCCTGTTATCTTTTCCTGTCTTCATGAACAGAAACTAAAATTTACCGAGCACTTCCTATGTGCTTGGAACACTGTTAATAGCCCTTTCTGTTGTCTCAATTAATCTTCGTAACAGCCCTATGTAGTAGGCCCTATTATTATTCTCACTTACTAATAAGGCAATGGGTACCAAGAAATTAAACCATTTGTTTATGTTCACATAGCTCATCAACAGCAGAGCCAGGATTCTTACATTGTTTAAAAAGCAGATTTGCCAAACAAAAACAGAAAGTATGGCATGTCCTTTCTTCCTGCTTGGTGGATATTTTCTCCTCTATCTTTTTTTGTTCTTTAAATCTTTCTAATAGTGTGGTCTTTTGGCTTGACAACATCATTCTCTTTCCCCTTCAGTCATCATGTCTTAACATCCTTCCCTTTGTCCAGGATCACCTGACTTCCTGCTGGGCAAGTTATTGCAATTTCTTTTCTCCTCACCTAAAACTAATCTCATGGAGCCTTTTTTTCCCCTAGTGAAATAATCATTGTTGGCTTATATTCCCCTTCATAAGAATTCCTCAAGGACCCGAAGGTGCATTCTTGTGCAGGTGTTTTCTGGGTGGGCGTCTAGCTCTCTCCAGATGCATTTTATTTAACCAACAGGGGTCCATTCGCCTGACTAATAGAGTTCAAGCAGTGCTTTATATCAAAGGGCCTCTTTCAGGTTTCACTGACTTCCAGGGGCCATGGCCATCTTCCTTTGCCTGGGCAGGGAGATAACTCATTCTCAGTTACAATTGATTGTCAGCATTTTCATCTTAAAATTCTCCTTGACTTTTACATCTTTTGGACTTTCCCCATGGGGGAGGCTGTGTCATTTAGAACAACGTTTCTCAAAGTATGTTCTGTGGAACCCTATGGGAGGAGGTCTCTGAGACCTAAAAACTCTCTTCATAATAAGCCGGGTGCGGTGGCTCACGCCTGTAATCCCAGCACTTTGGGAGGCCGAGGTGGTGGATCACGAGGTCAGGAGATCGAGACCATCCTGGCCAACATGGTGAAACCCCGTCTCTACTAAAAATACAAAAATTACCTGGGTGTGGTGGTGCATGCCTGTAATCCTAGCTACTCAGGAGACTGAGGCAGGAGAATCGCTTGAACCTGGGAGGCAGAGGTTGCAGTGAGCCGAGATCGTGCCACTGCACTCCAGCCTGGTGACATAGCGAGACTCCGTCTCAAAAAGAAGAAAAAAAAAAAAAGAAAAAAACTATCTTCATAATAATGCTAAGACATACTCTCACCATGAATCAAGACAGTGGTAGTAGTCAGTCAATTAGTCAGATACTCAGAATAACAAAAAAGCTCATTTCCACTTAGGAATGTTCTAGTTGAGGCAGTACAGATGATTATATTAAATCTCAAACCTTGAGTATGTCTTTTTAACATCCTGTGTGATGAAATGGGAAGATACATGAAGTGCTTCCGCTGCAAACTGAAAAAACCCCTTGTGTGATGGAATTGTGATGTAAATATGAAACTAGATGCTTTTCTCATGGAATCCATATTTACTTGAAAGAACAACTGACAAACTGTGGTTATTCTGGCTTGGGCATTTGGTAGATATTTTCTCCAAAATAAATAAAGGGAACTTGTCACTTCAAGAAAAACTACTATTTGCTGAATTGGATAAAACTCAAGCTTTCAAGTGAAATTTTAATTTTGGAATTTTTGGAAACTTGTATCTGCCACCGTGAACTGGACAACTTCCCAATATGTAAAAGACTTTTCTGATGATTGAAATCCATGGTATATTAACAAATGGGATTTTGTTGATATTATATACTTGAAATGTTTCAATGTATGGAAGATCTCTATAATTCATTGAACCATTGTTTTCCAGATGACCACATATGATGTTACATTCATATGTAAAAAATAACAACTCCCTTCAAAGTGAAAGACAGGCCAATAGATTTTAATGTAATACAGTACAGAGGAGTATCCATGAAAAGACCACTGGCAGGGTTTCATATTTTATGTTGCAATTGCCTTCAAGAAAATGCCAGTTGTTGAGTTTTGGTGTGGTTTCACAGAATAGTCACAATTATCTGAAGAGGCTATTAAAATACGCTTTCTTTTGCCAACTACATATTTGTATGAGGACAAATATTCTTCATTTACTTCAATCAAAAATTATATAACAACAGATTGAAATCAGAAGCAGATATGAGAATCCAGCTGTCTTATATTAAGCAAGATATTAAAGGAATTTGCAAAATTATAAAAAAATTCTCACTTCGTTTTAAAACTTTTTTTTCATAAAAATATTTATGTAACATATCATGGCTTTATTATTGATATTTTTACATGAATTAACATATACTTTCTAAGCTTCAGTTTCAAATGCATTAAATATTGATTTAGCTCACATTAACAATAACTCATTGGGTCCTCAATAATTTTTAGAGTATAAAAGGATCCTAAAACCAAAAAGTTTGGGCACTGTTGCTACAGTGGCAAAAGCCATAGACTCTAGAGCCAGGCTAGCTGGGGTTGAATCATAGTTTTATTCTTTACTGATGGTATGGCACTAGTCAAGTTACTCTCAGTGCTTTAGTATCCTCATCTGAACAATGGGGATAATCATCATATAGTTCTCATGGGGATTGAGTGAGTTAATACAAATTGTTCAGAACAGAACAATACCCTCCACATAGAAAATTCCCAGCAGTATTTGGTTACGTCCATTTGCCTGTAGTTGATTTGTCCCTAGAAATTTTATTTTCCAGCATGTTTCCCTGTTAGTCTCCCTCTCAGCATCATGGCTGATGATAAATTAGGGGTTACTACACTGGGCTTTGTAGTGAACTCCATGAAATTGTACACGAAATATATGTGTGTACAACCTTCTAGACCTAGGGAGAAGTTCTGTTGCTTTAGACAGATTTTTTAAGGGGTATCATGAGCCAAAACAAGAAGGTCAGAGAGGAGAAAGAAGTAGGTATAGCCCCAAGCACAGTTCTAGATCCTGTGTGTGTGCTTTGAGATGAATGTGGGCACTGGTATCCCAGCTCACCACTCCACACTTCCTTGATACTGTTATTTCTGCACTGTTAGACAGTTTTCTGCTTTATGTGTTTGTCTCTCTTGATAGACTTTCAGATTTGGGTCTTATATCTAGCACTGTCTTGCCCATGGCAGATGCTCACTGTCATATATCTTTGTGGAATGAATGACTGAATGGACAAATGGATGAGTGAATAATTCTGCCTTTTGCTGCCAACGACCCATGATCCTTTGTAACTCCTACTATCACATGTATCTGTTTTGTTTTTTTTTTTCTGTGAATGCTTTGGAGCAGTCAAAATTGAGTTTGCCTCTTAGCCTTATGGCTATGAGCCCTGTGACCCAGGGCCTGTCATTCCTGTTTTTGTATAGTACAAAGGAGAAAAAGAAACCTAATTCTCAGGAATATGAGGATTACCTGAGATAATGCTTGTAGCATGTCATGCTCAGTAATGTTTCTTTCTGTGTCTTTCTTCCCTATAACTAGATAGCTGCTTGTATTACTGGGACTTTTTGGCTGCAGTTGGCCACTACAACCAACTAGTGTGTAGTTGGTTCACATTAACTCACTTAAATCCTCATAACAACTTTATGAGGATTATCCCCCCATTCTTAGCAGAGGATTTTTGAGTTTCAGATTTATCAAGCATTTATGTATGGTATGCTAGGCATTTTCACAGCTTTATCTCATCATGTTGTTGAAATGAGTGTATAGTTTTTGTTATTAATATAATCACCTTTTTTCTGTTTAACAGTATTTTAGATGTGACTGAAATAGCCATATTCTCATACCCAGTCATTCAGGTTTGCACATATAAAATATAGGACACTAAAACTACTGACTTTAAATCTGAATTTATTGAAAAGTAATAAATTATAGGAAGTATTCTTCACATTACTAAAGGAATTATTGCAGGTTGGTTGGTTAGTTCTAGAAAGAGTTTAATCTCCTTTACTTATCCATTATTTTTTGGATTTATTAAATCCAACACATTTTGTACTTAAAATGTGATTTATTTACAAAATTTCAGTTTACCACAACTTTTCAGGAGTGTATATGTTTGTTGTGTAAGAGCTTATATTGGCAGAGAAGTGCAAACTTCCCAAACCTGACTGCATTCAAATTGTCTGTAAAAGATGGTCCAAAAACATCATTTCTGGTCTATACTTGTGGTGAAGCCAGTGTTGCAGGTCTGATGTGGGGACTTGGAAGTGAGGTTTTTAACAAGCTCCATGAGTGTTTCTGACACACTGTAAGTTTGGGATTCATTGTTAAAGTGGCAACACAGCCATGAAAATAATGTGCAAAAAAAAAAAAAGAAAAGAAAAGAAAATAATATGCAGCCAGATGGAAGTGATGAGGAAGGGTGGTTTCATCAATTGTCTTGGTGTTCTGGTGTTTGGCAGGGAGTGCCCTGTTATTCCCTGAAGCTTTTATAAAAAATAACACAAAGAGAATGGTTCTGGATCCTTCTCTGCCTCATACATGGAGAGAAATAAACTTTCCCAGGACCTTTCCCCTTTATCCACAAGTTAAGAATATTTCATTACAACTCTCCTAATTTTAATCTAAGAAATTTGGTGGGAAAAAAAAGACTTACAATTAGTTTGCATTTATTGAGGGGTCTTTGGAGGGCAGAATGGTGTAGTCAAAAGAGCTTTTCTGTTGGAGGAGCAGTGTTGCTGGCTGGTTTTGTAACTCTGGGCATTATGTAACCTCTGTGAGCTCAGTATCACTATCAACAAAATGGGAGTGAGTGGTGATAAATAATATGATTTTTATAACATCCTGGCACTAATAAGCACTCAATAAATGGTAGCTCCTGCTCTTATTGGTTATACTCTTTATTACTTAAGGGATGTTTAGTTTCTTGGAGATATTGGTTGTTTAAATTATGTAATTCATTCATGAACGCATATTGATTTAGGAGCTGGGTGAGTGTGATTAGAAGCAATGTGCTTGCCTCTTGAGAGAGTCCCAGTCCCTGTGGGATGCCGCTGCCTGACAGATATCCCAGTGTCACTCATCTGCAACAATACACACTAATAGGGTCCGGAAAGCTGGAGGAATCCGTGGCAGACAGGAAGTATCTGAACTGCTCCTTTCTCTTAGTGGGAGTGAGAGAGGGAGCTTTGCAGAGCATAATTATACAGACATATTGTCATTTCATGTCTGGAGGGTTATTTTAAAGCTTTCTATCCTGTTTGTTTTCCTTTGTTCAAAAAATATTAAGTACTTACTGTCTGCATTGAGTATTACATGCTGGTAATACTTGTTCACTCTCAGTGGGACCACAGTGTGTGCCAGAGCCACCCAAAAGAATACTACTGTGGTCCTGAGATACTTACTTCTATATAGGTATAAACAAACAGGTTATGATGAAAGATTATTTAAATTTCAGTAACTTAATTAAATATAGGGTTTATTTATTAAAACTTATCTGAGGAAAAGAATCTCGAGTTCAGGTACTTTCAGTCTTTTTGTTTTAGATAAGTTAAGCAACAAATATATCAACATAAAATATATATTATAATGTTACTATATACAATTTGAGTCAAGATATTTAAGGACCTTTGGATTTTATGTTAAAGGCTAAATTTTAAAAATTATTTTTGTAGAGAAAGCCTTTTTATTATGGATACTGCCACTGCATTCTCACGGTGACTCTGTGTGAGAGGTGGGACTGGGAATATTCCTTTTTTTATTTACCGCAAGTGAGAAGAGAGGACTCCTGCCTCTGCCCCGGTGCCCAGACCTGCGGAGGAAGCCCAAGCAAGGGCCGCATTTAGGGCACAGTCCTGTGGGCTCAGGACCTGCCTGTGGGGGCTGAGGAGGAGGGGAGCACGCCTTTCTCTGAAGTGTGAGTTTGTGCTCAAGCTACAGAATCCCTGTGTGGTTGTTACTTCTTTTTTCTTTTTTCTTTTTTTCTTTTTTATTATTATTATTACACTTTAAGTTTTAAGATGTTACTTCTAACATTATGTACAAAGCCTTTGTGCAATTGGATCACAGCACACTTGTAATTAACCTGTTTCAGCACTAGGTGGCTTTCTCTTTTTCCCCGCAACAGCTTTTACCTTCGTTTCCTGAGTAGTTTGAAGGGCCTTAAAAAAGGCAAACTTAACTTTGAGCTAAGCTCTGTAGTAAGAACATGCTTATAACTAGTTATTTTAAAATGTATCTGAATATATCTATTAAGCTAATGTATTTGTTGAGTCCACATGATGTGTCAGAAACTCTTCGGTACTAGGAACATATGCAGACGATTCATTGGTAAAATAAATATGTGTTGAGTACTTGCTGTGATCTTATTTCTGCTAGTAACTGGAGATACAAAGGTGAATAAGACACAGTCTCTGTTGTTATAAACTTATGAGTTAAGGGGGGAGGGGTGGGAAAGAAACTAAATACACAGGCAATTTAATACATTATGATATCAGTATGCATAGAATGCTTGGGGAGCACTGAGTAGCATATAGAAATTGGGGGGAGGAGGGAAAGATGACTCCCTGGAGGAAGTGGCACTAGAATAGAGCTTCAAAAGACTTTCTCATAATTAGTATATATTTTAGCATTTAGTATGTGCCAAAGTAAAAGTTTCATAGATTTGTAAGGGTAGACAGGCCCTCTAGATGAAGAAGACATCGGGGAACTACAAGTCTTTTTCACAGGTATTTGCACAAGGTTGGTGCCAAGGATAGGTAGGGCAATGTACATGAGTTACTATAATTCCAGGCAGATAGTGCTAAGTCATGTAGTACTTAAGATACAAAACAAACACTTTGGGAGGCCGAGACGGGCGGATCACGAGGTCAGGAGATCGAGACCATCCTGGCTAACACGGTGAAACCCCGTCTTTACTAAAAATACAAAAATTAGCCGGGCATGGTGGCGCGCGCCTGTAGTCCCAGCTACACGGGAGGCTGAGGCAGGAGAATGGCGTGAACCCGGGAGGCGGAGCTTGCAGTGAGTCGAGATCGCGCCACTGCACTCCAGCCTGGGCGACAGAGCGAAACTCCGTCTCAAAAAAAAAAAAAAAAAAAAAAAAAAAAAAAAAAAAAAAAGATACAAAACAAAATGCTGTACTAGAATGAGAATCAGAACAATTGCTTAAAAAAATAAGTCTATCAGAGATTCTTGATTGTAAGAAGCACAAAGTGACGTTGGGTAACTTAAGCAAAAGAGAAATTTATTGGAAATATATCGGGCAGCTCACAAATTAATTGGAAGGCTCAGAAAATGGGCAGGAATCTAGGCAGATAGCCACTGGGAACCCAGCCAGAGATACGCTACTTGTCTTGTTAGGGTGAGGTCACCATAGAGACTGCTGCTGCTCCTGGACTCCAGGGGATAGTGCTATCGCAGGTAGTTTATCAACACCTTTTTGTCCTTGCATCATTTCCTCAAGATTCAGTGCACATCCAGTTGACTGAGCCTAGGTCGTTCTAACTGCTGGAACAGGGTTGGCTTCTGTAATGGAAGGTAGATAGAACCTGCCCCTAGACTTAGACAGTGAGTTCAGTGTTCCCTAACATTGAAAGGATTTACTTAGGTGACTATCAGGAAGGGAACATGGTAGGTAATAGTTGGAAGTTGAACTACCTAATCTCTAATTTATTTTCCAGCTCTAACATGTTAGGAAAATAATGTACTCATGCTTTTAACCCCCTTCTCCTTACCCATAACTAAGCTACGCTGAACTCTCTATTCCTTAAAGAGACAACACTTTCATAACCCAGTCCTATGCTTTTGTTTTTCCCATGTTGGGCCGATCTTCCCTCACTACCACCTTCTCCACACCCCACAGTGGATTAACATCCTCCTCATTTTCCCTCCGGTTCAATTTCAGCCCACATATCTCTTTCTCCTTGTCACTGAAGCTCTATGTCCCTTCCGTCAGTCAACAGGTAGTAATGATTACTCATGGAACTCCAAAGCAGTATGTTCCTTTAACATACTTTGCAATAAAAATGGGTAGTTGTGTGCACGTTGGTCTCTGGAACCAAATCGTAAAATCCTAAGGGCCAAGGACAGTCTTACTCATTTCTTGCTATTTATAGCTCCACTCACAGTGATCTCTTGGACTCAATTGTTACTTTAAAGGTTAAGCATGTGCTCTGCATTTTGGTTTATATTGATAATATCTCAAAGATTTTTAAGTAAGCATTACAAAGTTAAACTTCAGACAAGTTTGAAGTTATTCAACACACATTCCACTTTCAGAGAGAGTCTAAGTTAAATAGGTGTCGGGGTCTTGATTTCACTTGTTTTCTGGAACATATGGATTGGTCCAGGGTTTAGAATTCAAGTTTGATGCCCATTCAAAAGACCTGCCATGTAGGGGTTGGGAATCTTGTAAACCCCACCCCTCAACCCCCAACTCCAAACCTCGGGTTTCAGGTAATGGTTGCTTGGGGGAAAAGAGAGTGAGAAAGCATATTCCAGGGAGTGCTTTTAGTTTAGTGGTGGAGCTTACTGTTTCCTTTTTATTTATTTCTGTATTTTTATTTTTTGAGACAGAGTCTAGCTCTGTCACCCAGGCTGGAGTGCAGTGGCGCAGTCTTGGCTCACTGCAACCTTTGCCTCCTGGGTTCAAGTGATTCTCCTGCCTCAGCCTCCCGAGTAGCTGAGACTACAGGTGCCCGCCACCATGCCTGGCTAATTTTTGTATTTTTAGTAGAGACAGGGTTTCACCATGTTGGCCAGGCTGGTCTCGAACTCCTGACCTCAAGTAATCCACCCTCCTCGGCCTCCCGAAGTGCTGGGATTACAGGCTTGAGCCACCGTGCCCGGCACTGTTTCCTTTTTAAAAACATGTGTTGCATGCAGGTGTTTGGAGGAGGCACTGCTGCCTGTCAGTGCTGCCCTTAAGATTGTGAATCAGCTAATCCAGATGAGCTGGCTTGGTTTCACATGAGGACTCCTAAACAGGCTGGCCCTTATTTTTCAGGTACTGGTCATAGGTTCTCCAGCCCTTTTGAAAACATTGTTTCCAGGGTATCCTTCTCCTTGAGCGGAGTATTCGGCTCCCTAGAAAAACCTCGAGTTCTGCCGGAATCAGAAGGCTTGATGGCTTACATTTAACTTTGAGGCTGCTGGCACACTCAGCAAATTCCTTAGCTCTTTGAAAGGTAAGATAGAAGCCACAGAATTGTTTGTTGCTGTGGTTAAAATCTCTGTTATAAAGTTATAGGAGGTTATTGTAATCTAGACAGTGAAATTGTTTTTAAATCATTAGGAGGTTTTGGATTACATGTAGCTGGCAGAAAGCTTTGCCCGTTGGTGACATAACACCTGGGAGTTGTTCTGCAGTTAGTGGTCTCTTTGAGGAATGGGTCGCTGGCCTGTAGAGTTGAAAGCACTAGTATTTGCTGCATAGGGGAGAGTAAGGGCCCCCTCATCTTACGGAGCTGAAAGGTACAAGGAATTATCTGGAATTCTCATAGAGACTGGCTTTGGAGGGATCTTTGTCTTTTCTTTAACTCTTACTTGGTACTGAGAACATTCCAGAGAATACCGCCATGTTCTTGCCATCAGTCAGCACGTAGTAAGAAGCATATGTCTTACATGCTACATGCTTGCAGAAATTAGCAAGTACACAGTACACTGCCTGTCTTCAAAGGGTAATGACTTCACCAGGGCCATAACACCAGCCTATTAAATGACTACTGCAAAATACTAGGCAGGTGAAATTTAAGTACCACAAGTTTTGTGTGCCTCAGATCATAAGTGTGGTGACAGTTGAGGGAAGGGAGATCAGTCAGGGCATGGGGGATGGTGTTGAGAGGCGTTCTAGAGGCGGTAAACTGAAGAGGTACATTTACTAGGATGAACTTTAGAGTAGTTAGGGGTGCATGTGAAGCCAGAAGGTGGCACTTGGAGAATGAGGATGACATGTTCACAGGATGCTGGGATGCTGAGGGGACCAGCAGGACTATGCACAGCTAAAGGGGGCCCTGTTTAGAGACAGCCTTGAAAACCACAAAAATTCCACCCTGAAGTTATAGTCCAAATCATTATGTGTAAGGGAGTGGCATGCCGGCAGTGGAATTTAAGGACAAGGGACTTCCTAGTTGTGTGTATTGTATGATAGCGGAATGACAGTTTCACGTCCTCCAGGGTTTAAACCTCATGGAGACTTTGAGCCTGTTGTATTAATGGCCTGTGGACAGATTCAGGAACTGACCCTTGGGAATTAGTAGTTCCAGTGGCAGGTGAATCAGAGGAGTGGCTCACCACGGTTTCTGTTGCTCCTCTTGCCTCCCCCAGACAACTCACTTCATTCACCTTAATTCATTTTTTTTCCCTTCAACAATGAAGCCGTTGTTATTGCCACTCTTGAGTAGGGAAAATAGTCTTGCTCAGAGTCACATTAGCTAAAGGCCTCTGTTACAAAGAAAGCAATGCATAAAACCATATGGGAAGGAAGTTTTCAGTGCTTCAGAAAAGCAAGCCAAAAAAGCAGTCATGCTCAAAGAGAGAGAAGCAAAGGAGTTTTCATGTTGACAAATGACGTGCAGATTTTGTTAAGAAAAAGGAGCCATTCTTGGTGAAATGGGTCATAGGCAACATAAGGCAGAAATGTTGTACCCTTAAACTAGAATGTTAGAATTTCATCCTTTGTGGAGTGCAGCAAAAACAGATCTTTAGGTTTTCTTCAGGTTAAGGGCCCTAGGCACTGTACTTTCTCCTCCCCAGTGGGAGACTCCCCAGAGAGCTGACTCCTTTACTCAGACCTTAGCTTGTTTTCCATTGCTTTTGCCACTTTCCCTATGCATACTAAAGCTGTGAGTGGTGATTCTTAGATAAGGTTCTGGTTTGAAAGAGATATCTAAAAGTTACCTACAAAGTCCAGAAGTGCTTGTATGGGAATGGTCTTTATGAAGCCCCTACAGGCAGCTACACTGTACACAGAACAACTGTAAAGCCAGGGGGGTCCTTGGCAGGCTGTGGGCTCCCCTAAAAACTGGCACCATTGCTCAGCCCCTGGTACCGAGCCAGGCTCTGCAGGGGCTTTCTGGGTGGTAATGGTATCTGGGAGGCTTCTGTGGTTTCTCCCAGCTCTCGCTCCTGGCCATGAACTTTTGACATAGAAAACAGCAGTCCCTCTCATGCCATAGGTTTATTTCCAATTCCTCATTTCAGATATCCTTGACCTTGTCGCTTAGATCATGTGCCCTGCATTTTGCCTAAGAAAGTAGACTCAATTTGTGTTGCAGGAGTTCCCAGTGAAGACAGTGAATTAAAATAGGCAGGGAAGGATTAGGTACATGTAGAATGGAACTGCGACCTCTGTTAAATTTTTGTTGTGTGGCCCCGGAATCTGGGGTAGACTCTGTGACTCACATTACTGTCACGTTTCCTTGTCTTTCAAGTGAGAAAGCTAGCAGTTAAAGTGACTCCTAGTAGAAGTCCATCAATGATAGACTGGATTAAGAAAATGTGGCACATATACACCATGGAATACTATGCAGCCATAAAAAAGGATGAGTTCATGTCCTTTGTAGGGATATGGGTGAAGCTAGAAACCATCATTCTGAGCAAACTATCGCAAGGACAGGAAACCAAACACCACATGTTCTCACTCATAGGTGGGAATTGAACAATGAGAACACTTGGACACAGGATGGGGAACATCACACACCGGGGCCTGACACTGACATGGACTGGGGGAGGGATAGCATTAGGAGATATACCTAATGTAAATGACGAGTTAATGGTTGCAGCACACCAACATGGCACATGTATACATATGTAACAAACCTGCACGTTGTGCACATGTACCCTAGAATTTAAAGTATAATAAATAAATAAATAAAGTGACTCCTTCAGGCTGTGTCAGTGCTGGGACAGCTCAGCCGGTTGGTTGTCTCTTGGCTTTAGACGAGTGGATGGTACCTGGGCATGTCCATCTGCTGGGTCTGTTGTCATCTGCTCTGCTCTCCAGCCTTTCTTCAGCACTGAGGAGTGGTCAGCAGCAGTGGGAGTGTAACTCAGTGGACGTGCAGGACCCTGGGTGTGTGTGAAGAAGTCCTAAGTGATCTTTGACATGTCTTAATAGTTAGGCATCCTGTCCTTCAGTGTGAATTCAGGTGTGTGTGGGGGTGTGTGAAATGCTTTAGTTCTTTCATGACACTGAGGAAACAGTGGTGAAGGGAAAAGGCATATCTTTGGTGTCCTCTGTGCTCCGGCCCTGCTTCAAGGATTGCCCTCTTTGTAGTGTTCTGTGGTTTGGAGTTCTTAAACCCACTCTTAGTTAGCAGACCATGAGATAAAGTGTGGAAAAGTAACTCATACTGACATTGTAGTGACAGTGAATGGCTTAGTGCTGGGATCCATACTGAGCTCCACATTGAAAGCACACACACACACAGCCCTACACTCTTCTTTATACACATATTCATATATATATACACACACACATATATATTTTAGTTGGACCTCAGTTTTATTATCAGTTTGCTCTGTTTTCATTTAACATTCTTAGTCATGTGACTAGATAGAATCATCTGAAGTTGTAATATGCTGGCACATGGCATTCCTGACTCAGTGTCTATTTTAAGAAAACATCACACTTTCTTTGATCGAAGCATATGGGCTCTCAACTCCTCTCTTACTCTGATTTGGTAGGAGGGATGGGAATGAAGGCACAGAAAGGTGTTTTGGGGTTTAGTTTTTCTGTTGCTCTTCTCCCTCTTGCTTAGAGCTTCCCCAGTTTCGCTCCACATTGGAATTGTTGGAAGAGCTGTATAAAATACAGGTGCCTAGGCCCTATCCTCAGAGCTTCTGATTGAATAGATCTGGGTGGTTCCTGGGTACAGAGATTTTAAAAGTTTCTTGGGTGATTTTAATGTGCAGCCAGAATTGCACCTTGTACCTTTTTCATTTTCCACTGTTTTCCACCTGCCTGAAAGAGGAAGCCAGATTAGGACTTGCCTTTGCATCCAGGTCATCCATGATTCCTAATTTTAGCCCTAGGCTTCTAGATTTATAGACGTAGAGGATGATGCCCGGAAAGGGGCTGAGTTTCTTTTCAGGTTAGTCTTTGTAGGTTGGCCAAAAGGAGAAGGCTGACAGATACTGTCATGCATTGGAACTGTAGTTTTAGACTGATCTTCATATAGTATCATCCGTACTCGGTTTATGTTCATCTTTAAAGTGGGCATTACAACTACATTATTTTTAATTTATAAGAAAAAAATTCTTGTCAGAATCCTTTCTCTTTCTAGTCCAAAATGTGCCTGTAATACATGTGAGCACACACGCAAATACTGTTTCATATGTTGAGGCAAAGAAACTCAGGAAGGAGATGAGGACATTCCCATCTTATGGTCGTTTGGTATCAATAATTAGTCACTTACCACTAGCTATGGCCTTGTGGGAAATGGGTAGATAACAAACCTAGTGAGAAGTTTCAAATTACCAGTTGGAAGCCATTGCTGAAAAACAGGATTTTTTCTTTTAATGGAATTTTCTTTTGAGCAAGGATGTTAATTTTTAAAAAAGTACTATGATTCTTTCCCCAGAGTAAAATAAGTTACTTTAGCTGAAAAGAGCCTTAAACTTGGTGCCCATGCAGAGGAATCAGTGCAGAGAGGGAAAACAGCCTGGGCCCGTCCTGCTGAATGTTCCCATGGATGTTGTGTGTGCGGTATCAGTGTTACTGTAGTACTATCTCATGTTCAGTGACTGAAGGACTGAACACAGTGTCACATTTAATTGGAACAGGAAGCACACTCCAGTTTGTGTGTGAAGCAGATAAACTGGAGCTGAAAGGCCAGTGCTTGGCAGAAGACCAGACCCCATTGCCCCAGCTCCACACTGTAACATTAGACTCCAGAAGTCTTTGAGTGGGGCAGAGAGCACATTCTCTTGCTAACACATGGTGTGGCAGAATGACCACTCCTTTCTGTATCTTTTATGTATTTTGAAAGACAGCTGCTCTTCCTGTTTTGCTTTCCTTCAGTGGCCTCCCTGCTTCCCTCCTTTCTGTCCTCAACCTTGACCATTCAGAACTTTGTGACACATTCAGTCCCGCAGAGGACTTGACTTTCGCTGGTGCTGCTGCAACCCTTGGAACCGGGTTGTGTGAGAACATTAGAGCATTTGCGCCTTCACTCAGTGTGTCTTGAGGACTGTTATGTTGACCTCACGGGTCATTTTGGTGGGTGGCTGGACTTGTGATAATTCTGAATAGTAACTTTGGAATTTTATGAATCAAAAAGAAAGAGCTCCCTCTGCCAAGTTGAAACACTGTGGGAGAATGCCTGGTGGGTTCTTGTGAGTCACACAGGAAGGAAGGAGGACTTGATGGGCACTCATATTCACTTCGCTTTCTTTCCCCCAGGGTCCCCTTCTGCTTGTTATAGCCCCAGTAGTCCTGTCCAGGTTCTAGAAGACTCCACCTACTTTTCCCCAGACTTTCAGCTCTATTCTGGGAGGCATGAAACATCTGCTTTGACGGTGGAGGCAACCAGTAGCATCAGGGAAAAAGTTGGTAAGTCCTTTTACCGGCACTTGTGTTGGAAAAGCAAAATGATCTTACGTTTCTCATCTTTAGCTCTTTTGCATAATTCAGATGTTTATTCTCTAATCTTGTTTTTTAAATCATCATATTGGATTATTGATTGTCTGTTCATAGATGCCTTATTTTTAATCATGTTTTGCTATGGTGTTAATAGACTGCTTTACTCTAATATGTGACTCTGTCTGAGAGCATCATACCTAAACATGTAGGAACTTCAGAATTATACCACTTATTTTCAGTTTTTCTCTGATTCCTAAATACTTTTTTCTCCCCTTTCTCAGAATCTCATTTCTTTTTTCCTTCTCTGCTTTTGTTTTTATCTCTTTTTGCAAATAATTTAGAAGTTAAAAGAAGTAATTCAGAACTATAGCAAGGAAGGAGCTGTCTCCTTTGTAAAAACTTCCTATCTCTTTTTGAGGGCTTTTGAGACTGGTTAAACTGTGAGGGAATCTTTAAACCACTTTAGGGAAGGATGTCATGGTTCTTGCTAAATATGCTTATAACTCATCTCTCTCTTACTTCAGTGAAAGGGGAATTCAATAGTTTTCATGCTTGTTGAGATCTATTCCTTTATTATTCATCCAAATACATCATTCTCCTTTGGAAATATATTTTGATTTGAAGTTGTATTCATTTTATTTTAAAATGTTTTAAAATTTTTTTATTTGAATGTGCTTGTTCCATTAAGTCTTTCAGATCAGTTACCCTGAGGGGAGGACTGTGTCCTCTTTACTTTCGTAACCCCAGCACCTGTCCCAATGCCTGAACTATAACACGTTTTCAGTAAATATGGTAGAGTGAAAGAGCAGACCAGTCCAACCCACATTGATCTGTCTTTCCTTGGGTAGTTAATGGTTTATTACAAATATTTGGCAATTCATGTTGTGTAGAGTTTTAATAGTTTGTTTTTATTGTTTAAAATTTTTTTGCTGTTGAACTTTGGGTTTATATCTCAGTTACAATATTGATTCTTTGACGGTAAGGGATAAATTTCAGTTTATTTCACATACATTCCTATGAGGCAGATATGAAAGTTTCTCCATTTTTCAGAGGAGAGAGGTTCAGAGAAGCCACAGAGGTGAGATTTTGGGGGTAAGGGTGACAGGGAGAGCCTTATGATCAAAGTTGAGCTTCAGGAACCAGTGTGTAAACTCCCTTCATTTCCTCAACAATCATGTCCTGAACGCCTTCTGTGTATCAGGACAGGGTTCAAGGCACTGGGGAGGCAACACATAAATATAACAAACAGAACTCTCTGCTCCCGGGAGTTTGAATCTGGCAGAGGAAGACAGGTCATAATGCAATATGGATTGAAAGGAGAAGGAGCCAGGGGCAAGAGATATTGAGAGGCCATTCAGCATGTCTAAATGGCTGGCAAGGAGAGTTGGAACCCGTAGAGTGGCTGAGGGCACGGAAGAACGGATGGGATGGGGGAGCTTGTTGGTGTAGAAACTAGGGCTTGGTTGTGATTTGTAACTGTTATAAATGTGAAATTTCTTAATGAAAATTAGGGGGCCATCACGGAGTTACAGTATTTTGCTATTGCAAGGACAGTAACAATGTCATCTGCTGTCACCTTTTTTTCATATTTTAATACCAAAAATGTAGGAGGGATGTGATCCTTGACAGTTCTTGCCCCAAAAAGGGCAGTTATGAACCTTCTAATGGCATATGTCTATTTACATACACATATAGATGTATTAATATACATATATGTATATATCTTGTATATAAGCATATCACACCACCTTTGTTTTTTTCTCATTTCACTGTAGACTGAGAAAAACGAGCGTGGCAGTTGATTAAATGTGGAGAGCAAAGGATAAAAAGGTCAGAAGTGAATATGACACTTCTATCTGGATGACTCATATTTGAGAATGCCATTTATAGGAAGAAAAGATGAACTTGGGGAAGAAAGATTGTTTTGGGAAAATGATGTGCCGTATGTACACATGAAACATAGAGCCATCATTACATGAATCTGTAAGAGTGAAGGCTGCCTAGAGATGATCTAGTTCAGCTCTCTTGGTTTATAGAGGAGGATATTGAGGCTCAGGGAGGGAAAGCGATTTGTTTAAGGTCATGCCAGTAGTTAGTGGTAGAATTTCTACTTTCATAATGCTATAATAATATCCTTAATGCACTACTTAATAGTCCTGTTGTGAAATGGGCTAAATTTTTTATTTCATGGAGCTCATGTAGGTATTCTTTTATTGGTTAAATATCTGAGCCCCTATGACATCCAGGCATTGGGCTTTGTTTTGGGGAGACCCAGATGCGAAGACATGATCTTTGCCTTTGAGGAGTTTAGACTCTTGTATAAATAAATAATTGCCATCTACTGTGAGAATTGCTGCAATGGAGATATATACAAATGGAGTGGGGACATTGGAGAAAAAGGCTCAGGCCTGCAGGGCTGTAGCAGGAAAGGTTTTACTCGGAAGGTAGTTTTGGAGCTATCACTTGTCCAATAATTTTCCCAAGAGATATGGTGAGATGCATTTTTCTAGGCAGAGGGAAGGCAAGCAAAGGTCCAGAGGCTGGAGAGAGCTAGCATGTCTTGGAAACTATATGTACATAAGTATTGCTGGAGCTTAAACGCCAAAGGATTGCCAGTGGGAGTTGGGAGCAGCATGAAATGTTGTTGGATAGGTAGGTAGTACCTGCTACACCATATGATAGAATATCAGTTTCATCCTGTAATTGATTATTGAGGAATTTTGGTGCAGAGGAGTGACATGATTAGATTTCTCTATTGGAACAATCTTTCAAGGTAGTGTGCCAGATAGATTGGGGTCAGAGGGGTGGGTTTGGAAGTGGGAATAAGATGAGTGTCAGGGAAATAGATAAGGAGGCTGTTGGAATGACCTGGGTATGTGTTGCTGAGAGCTTGTAATGTGGAATGAACACAGATTTGGTGTCATATCCCAGTTCTGCCTCTTCCCGCCTGGGGGCCTCGGCAATTTACCTTCTGTGAACATCTCTCCTCTTCTGTAAGGTGAGGGAATTACTATCTACCTCTTAGTGTTATATTTGGAATGAATGAAATAACACATGGAGAGAATTTAGTACAATACCTGGCACATCATATACATGTTTAAAGTAGTTCTTATGCTTGTATTGAAGTTATTAATGATGAACTTGGAGATTGGCACGGGAATAAGAAAGAGGGTTGGCAGAGATGTTGAGAAGGTTGAATTGACAGGCAGTGGCTGTCTGGATGTTGGGGTAAAGGGAGAGGAAGGAATTTTGGAAAACCTTCAGTTTTCTGGCTTGACAGAAAGTAGATGAGGCAGGGAATACAGGGGTTGGCATGGGTGGTTAAGTATTTTGGGCGAGGAAGACATGTTGAGTTAGAAGGACTCAGGGCCATCGTCTGGCAGTTGTAGATGTATGGGTCATGAGTCAGTAGTTGACGACGAGGGGTAGGTGTGGTGTCACTGGGAGACGCATAAAGGTGGAAGAGCACTCAGGACAGAGCTGTAGGAAACACCAGAATTTAAGGGACAGGTGGAGAGAAGGGAGCCAGAGATGGTGCATAGAGAGAGGCAGGAGCCAGGACCAAGAGGAGGGGTGACCTGGAGGCCGAATTAGGAGAGCATTGCAGGAAGAGGGTAACCAACCATGTCAAATGCTTCAGAAAAGTTAGGTGTATAATATGAGGGCTGGAAAATTCTCATTGGATTTGCTTACTGGTCAGAGCAGTGGGGAGGTTAGTGGATGGAGCATTTGGGAAGGGGAGACAGCAAGTGTAGGGTACTTACCAAAGACAACTAGATGAGAAGGAAAAGTGAGATACAGGGTGGTAGTTAGAGGTATATGGGAGGGCCAAGAAAAGGTGGTTTCTTTTGGTTTGATTTTGGTTTTCTCTTGTATTTTTTTTTAAATGGGAAAGACTTGGGTATATTTATGTGATGAAGAGAAAGGACCGGTGGGGAGATTAGAGAAAAGGGAGGGGTTGAAGGATGGAACAATGTTTAAGAGGAAGCAGAGGAGAGGGAGTGCAGAATAGTAGACTCGCTTTGAATTGGAGAAGAAAATTCCATGAGACATTGCCAGGTAAATGGAGGTGATGATGCATTTGAAATCTTATTTTTAAATGTTGCTGTAGTTAGAATGTTAATTATGTACCACATAGTCACAGACATATATCTCCTGTGGAGCTGCCTGATATCTTTTTTCCTATGTTTATCTTTTAGTTGAAGATCCTCTTTGTAACTTCCACTCCCCAAACTTCCTGAGGATCTCAGAGGTGGAAATGAGAGGTTCCGAGGATGCGGCAGCTGGAACAGTATTGCAGCGGCTGATCCAGGAACAACTGCGGTATGGCACCCCAACCGAGAACATGAACTTGCTGGCCATTCAGCACCAGGCCACAGGGAGTGCAGGACCAGCCCATCCTACAAACAACTTTTCTTCCACGGAAAACCTCACTCAAGAAGACCCACAAATGGTCTACCAGTCAGCACGCCAAGAACCGCAGGGTCAAGAACACCAGGTGGACAATACGGTGATGGAGAAACAGGTCCGGTCCACGCAGCCTCAGCAGAACAACGAGGAACTGCCCACTTACGAGGAGGCCAAAGCACAGTCGCAGTTCTTCAGGGGGCAGCAGCAGCAGCAACAGCAGCAGGGGGCGGTGGGCCATGGTTACTACATGGCAGGGGGCACCAGTCAGAAGTCCCGAACTGAGGGGAGGCCCACTGTGAACCGTGCCAACAGTGGACAGGCGCATAAGGACGAGGCGCTGAAGGAACTGAAGCAGGGCCACGTCCGCTCGCTCAGCGAGAGAATCATGCAGCTGTCCCTGGAGAGGAATGGGGCCAAGCAACACCTTCCCGGCTCGGGGAATGGAAAGGGCTTCAAAGTAGGAGGGGGGCCCTCCCCTGCCCAGCCTGCAGGTAAAGTGCTGGACCCTCGGGGTCCTCCACCTGAGTACCCCTTCAAGACCAAGCAAATGATGTCCCCAGTCAGCAAGACCCAGGAGCACGGACTTTTTTATGGTGACCAGCACCCCGGGATGCTCCACGAGATGGTCAAGCCCTACCCTGCTCCTCAGCCTGTGAGAACAGATGTGGCCGTCCTGCGGTACCAGCCACCCCCTGAGTATGGGGTAACGAGGTGATTATCAACTGCAGACGTTTCGTGCGGCTTTTCAAAATTCAATAGTCATGTTATTAGCATTTATTATTTTCAGAGCAGATTAGGTTTTTGTCATCAGGCTTTTTTCCTTATGCATGATATTTAATAAACCACTTTGTGGCCAGAATATATAGGGTGAAATAGAGTAGAGGGCAACTGAGGGATTTTCTCCAAACATAGCAGCAGGCAGTTGGGGATTTATGAGTTTAGGGGAGGGACCTCACTTGTTAGCTGTCCTTGGGAGCTCTGCCTAGTGGCCTGGCAAAGTAGCAATTTTCCAATGGCTTTGTGGAGACCGTCCAAACTCCTGGAACATATTATTACCAGAGGGTTTTATAGTCTTTTTTCATTGTAGATTTTAAAGGAAAATGTAGTCTGAATGCTAGAATGGAGGAGTTAAAGGGACTGTAGAAATCACATAGTCCCATCCCTCACTCAACAGATGAGAAACTAAAGCCTGGAGAGATTAATGAATTTCATAGACACAACTCTGAGGCAGCTGGGGGCTACACTCAAGTATCCTGACTGCCAAAATCTATTCACTCCCTTGCCCTAATTCTTCCTACAGCCTTCACTTGTATTCTTCCAGTTGATTGATGGATTCAGCAGCACCTACTGAGTGTATGCTGTACTCTGAAGCCCTGTTCCTGGTTCAGAGATGGGGTCCCTGCCCTTCAGGACCCTATAGCATTGTCTTGGAGGAAACCAGCATCTGAACAGATCATTGCCATTCAATGTGCTGTTCTAGGAGAGAAATGGGCCGAGGATGCTAGGGTAACAGGTAGGATAGTATAACTCACAACTGGAGGGGCTGGAGAGAGCTTCCCAGAGGAGGTGACATTTGAGTTGGAACTTGAAGGATAAATCAGAGTTGTAGGGTAGAGATGAAGTAGCAGTATGTGCTGTGTGAGGGAGTGCCGTGTCTTCAGACAAAGAGGTCATGAGGATTTTTGTCTGGAATGAGTGGCAATAATGCAGAGCACTGGTGGGCAAGGGTGTGGTAAGAAGTGACAGGAGATATGTTTGGACAGGGAAGTTGGGACCCGTTTGGTTGAGGTATGTTTGGACAGGGAAGTTGATGATGACGGTCTCTGGGTGTCGTATTAAGGAGTTTAGAATGTATCCATAAGCAATCGGGAAAAGCGGTGTTCTTAGGTAGGGATGGTAAGTGGATGTCTAACAGCTGATTTTGGTGGCAGTGCATGAATTAGAGGAAAGGGAGCCCCACGCCACAAGGAGCTCCAGGGATGCTTTCAGTAGTCCAGATCAGAATTGGTGAGGGTGGCCAAAGCTTGGGCAGGGAGAATAGAGGAGCATTATGTGCTAAGAGAGGTAGGGAAATAGAACTGACAGGGTTTAGGGATTGGTTAGATACAGAAATTCTGGAATAGGGATGATGGAAATAAGGGAATTACGAATCAAACTCTCAGGAGAGAAATTGGGTCTGAAGATCACACTTTGGGAGTCAGAAATGTTTAGATGTTGCTGACATTGAAGGAGGGGCAGGGAACATGAACAGAAAAGACATGTGGCCACTGCCTATTATTGGATGTGTCATTTTCATGAAGGGCTTTATTATCTGTTTCTAAATTGAACAAGCCAGGGTTTTCCCAAGCGACCTCAGTGGCTATGTGCAGGACATACCTTGGCTGTACATCTTCTGAAAAAGGAGAGGCTGGAGGTTGGCAGAGGGAGAGTGGCCTGATCTGCCACTGGCTTCCCAGCACTGACACATTTCCCCACATTAGACTGAGAATGCCAGCTCAGAAGCAGCATAACCAACTGTGAGATCTTGGCCAGGCAGGAGAACGCATTCTCCCTAAGTGGGCATAACCGGACTCCTCCCAGGAATCCAAGATGGGATCCAGGAGGCTCTTCTTCCCCCTTTATAGCTCCTTGATCAAATCCCTGGTATTTGCATCACAGTGATTTACCACAGTTGTTTAAAATAAGCCATGATGTTATTCCACCATCATACCAGAGTTTGGCTTATTATATTTCACCCTTTTCCCTGATAACTTAACTCAGCCTCTAGAGCTTGATAGAGGGGAAGCTATCCTGAAATGAAATCCCCTTCCTCTTCTTTGCTTTACTATTTGTAAAGTAATATGTACATACCGTGCAATGCATACAGTGGATCACTTTGCCTTTTGTCATTTGGTAATAGGTGTGATGTGAGGTGGGAGAAATGGTCAGGGGAGGAGGGGAACACTTTTGGAGGTCATTTTTCTCAAAGTTATGACGTTAGAAAGAAGAAGAAATGTGTGAGGGATTTGAGCTGACTGCCAGGCTTGGCAGCTGGTTAATATGACGCATCAAATGTCTCAGGAGACGTAACAGACAGGCCATTGAGGCTGGGTCCCAGAGCCACAAGGCCCCTTTGTGAACAGGGCCATGGCTAGCCAGCATGGCTCCAGTGGTGCAGCCCTTGGCTGACTGGGTAAACAATATTGCATCCACACCAGCCCTGCTTCAGACACATTTAACGTGGCCTGAACTCGAAGGATTGGACCTGAAACTCAGCAGTGTGTCATGTTCAACTTGCCTGTGACCCAGAAGACAAGTAGGGCCCCTTTCATTTCACTGACACATTATCTTGTGCTTAAAGGGTTATCTGTTTGTCATTGATCGTGATGGTTTAGGAAGCTGCAGGCCATTGTGTACATACGTACAACCACATAGACTCTTGGACTAGAAAGAGACGCCTCTGATGGAGATCATGGAGTCCATCTCCCTGGCTGGTGCCCATACTGGTGGGCTCAGTATGTAATGAGTACTCAGTAGTTTGGTCCAACCCATTACATTGTTGAGACTTCACTCCTTTTTGCCTAGAGGTAGAAAGCTCCAAAGAGACAAGTGATAGAACTTATGAGAAGAATAAGAATTTGAGTTTTTTGTGATCACTCTTGACTCACCATAGCTTACAAATTCTCTCACCTGCTCTGATGCGCCCTAAAGATGGAGATGTCTGGTAGGTGATTATAAGGCCCTTTAGGCCCCTTTCCTGGGAACCCTCTGGGAGATGAGGCCTTGACCTCGTTGACTTGACCCACCTTGGCCCATGTGGGTGAGCTACTGTGGCTGGTGGGGATGGGAGTGCTAAGGCAGCAGGGGCCTGCAGGGAACATGTGTTGGCTAGGGATGAAGGCTCTGGTTTTCCTCTTGTTCTACTATACTTTTTCCTCAACCTGAAAGTGTAAATGGATAAGAATGAGGACAAGATGGGAATTAAACAGGTTGTTACTGTGGAGAATTGTGACCACTCCCAACCCCCCAAGCAAAGGCAAGCATTTGGATATTACTTATGACTCTTTGTGGAAACAGACCACTTCTAGAAGTAGTGACTTGGCTTATGCAATCTGCACTGTTAATGGAAATGAATGCATGAATGAATACCAAGGGATGATCTAATTTTTATCAAAGCAGTTTGGAGTATATTAGTCAACATGCATATTTGTTTTCCAAAGAAATCCATATTTCAAAACATTTGGGAACTAGAGATGCTAAAAAAATTACTTAAAATATCCTACTTTCCTAATACACCCACTAACATTTTTCCTGTACAAATTAATTTTTTCACATTATAATGATAAATTATATTGTTTAGTATCCTCGCTTTTGAAAGATAGCATTGTATCACAAGCTTTTTTCCACAATCCTTTATTTTTTCAAAACCAACATTTTTATTGCTGTATAATATTTCATAAAGTATACCATTTACACCATTTTCTCCATGATAGAGCGAACATCATCATGCATATCAAATTATCTATGTTTTGGCTTCCTTAGGAATCATTATTTAGAAATGAAATTATTGGGTAAATTATAATAAACATTTAAAAGCTTCTGATGCCAGAAAACCTTGTAAAAATATTACGGTGCCTGTTTTACTGCACTTTGACCAACGTTAGTTATTACATCATTATAATTGCAAAATCTTTGCTAATTTAATAGGCAAATAGTGTTTTGTTGTTGTTGTCTTGAGATGCCTGTCGCTCAGGCTGGAGTGCAGCAGTGCAGTCACAGCTCACTGCAACCTCTGCCTCCCAAGCTCAAGTGATCCTCCCATCATAGTCTCCCCAGTAGCTGCGATTACAGGCATGTGCCACCGTGCCCAACTATTTTTGTAATTCTTTTTTGGTAGAGTTGGGGTTTCACTATGTTGGCAAGGCTGGTCTTGAACTCCTGGGCTCAAGCAGTCTACTCACCTTGGCCTCCCAAAGTGTTAAGATTACAGGTGAACACTGCACCCTGCCTGCAAATAGTCTTAACTTCCTATTTGAATTTGTTATAACTGGCTAGGTTAATTTTGTGGGGAAGGGAGTATGTTTTGCTATTTAGACTTAGTTGATCTCAAAAATAGGCTTTTTGTGTTTCTTGTTCCTAAGACTTATATATTATAATGGACTCAGCATAAACTAAAATCTGTTTTTTCTAACACTTGCTCTCATTGTCCATTTTCTAGAACTCTGTCTTCACCCTTAGCAGGTGAGAATGGAGTAGTTGTGGTGGTGGTAGTCATAGCAGGAGGGTGAAACCTTCACCGAATGCTGACTGTGTGCCAGGCACTTTGTGTGGGTTACTTATCTTCCTTAATCTTTACAACTCTAAAGGGTGGGTACTATTATTATCACAATTTTTACATACAATAAAAACTTAGGCTTAGAGAGGGAGGTTAACTAACTTGATCAAAGCCAGCAGCTTGCAAGTGCAGGAGCCAGGTGCAGACCTGGAATGCTTTGCTGCACACTGCGTCTCCCACGAGTGTAAACACTTGGCCACTGTACTTTGCAGTGGAGCCGCAGATTTAAGCTTTCACTTGGGGTCACTAAATCTGGTGAATTTCTAATCAGATTTATAGAATATATCACATGTGATGTCCAGCCTGTGCTCTGCCCACCTTCTGTTTTTTTCAACAGGACCAGAATTCTGGTGAAGTATTCTAGACTCTAGGAAGAAAGCTGTCTGGATACCTCTTTTTCTTCAGATATCTGGGAAGACTGTCACAGACCAGACTTAATGGGGCTGACAGCTGTGGGTGTGGGCTTTCGTCTGTCTTTTGGTTTGCTTTCATTTGGAGGTGCTTTCATTCCTAGGGTGAGGGTTGTGGGTTTTCTTTAGATATTTTTATTAGAATGTTTCCATTATGGAAGATGATGAATACTAACTTAAGACTAATTTGTATGTTTTAGGCAGTATCCATTTGGAAAAAGACTAAGAATGACTCCTGTCAATGAAAAGAACACTTAAGGCTCTGTTTCTACTCTCTCAGCCTGTACATTGCCTTTTTGGCCTTTATCTTGGCTCAATCTTGTCTGTTCAGCATAGGGGATTTGATTTACTAGCTTCCGGGAAGTGGAGAGAAGAGTGGTAACTGTTTATTAATATTTTGTTCATCTATGAGTACGTTAATTTGATTTTTTGGTATGTAGATAGATATTTTATAAAAGCATGACATGGTAGTGTTTGGCCCAGCCCTCCCATCCTAGGTTGATGAAAATATAAGATGATGTCAAAGCCAGAGGAGCTGTGGATTTCCTGTCGTAAAGCAGACTTCTTGCCTTGTCCCAGGACAGCCATCACCACCACCTTCTTTCTCATCAGGGCAGGGGGCTTGCAGTGTCATACATTAAGTGAGGGAACCTGTGGTATGACCTATTCCCCAAATCACTATTTTCCTTTAAAAAAATGCATTATGCATTTTCCCCCAGAAAACCTGATTTCTTTTCATTGAGGATAGAGTCAGAGGCACTGACATTCTCTGGGTACATGCCCACTGACAGTGCAGGGAGGAGGGACAAGTAAAGTGGGGGCAGCCCAAGAGTACATTTGGCAAATTAAAGATAACGCCTGTCCTCAGGGAACCCTGTCAGCCCAGCAGTGCAGCAAGTCCAGTCTAAACATGAACAAGCATGAAGATATTTGCTAAATCACAGGCCTTACTCCTAGTGGGCTCTGTGTTTGGAATGTGCCATATTACAAGAAAGAAGGTTTGATGGTCCTGTCTTACTTTGTGTTGGACATGGCTGGAGGAGGGAGGAGAATCTTGGGAGTAAGTATGTGTTTCCAAAATGGGGAATTATGATTTGCAGTTTATGCAATCATGAAAATGAATTGCTTTGTGGGATGAAAAGGTAAGCCAGACCCATGGCTGTTGAATTAAAAATGATGCATTGCCCTTAACGAAAATGAGGCCATGGAGCCTTATTTAAATTCCACCAGCTAAACATGTGTTTTGAATACCAGCATGGGAACTCAGGAGTTTCTCCGGTATTTAGGCCGAATTATGGCTGGATGAAGGAAATAAAATGCCCTGTGTGTCCTGACAAACGGCTCTGCAGCATGGGTATTTCAAGAAGCTAGGGTCAAGTTCAGGTTACTTTCTCAGGAAACCTAACAATTCCAGCTGTAATGTATTAAATGAGTGACTTCTGTAAACAGGAGGGTTATCTGTAGCCACCCTGGATAGCAATGATTTTGATCTTAGTTTACCCAAGAGTAGAGTCTTCATTTGAACAGTTATGAGATTTAAGGTGTCTACATGACCAAAGGGGTCCAGGTGGGAAGTTACATGAGTTTGGAAAAAAAATTTCAGGGGGTTTGGGTTCTGGCTCTTCCTTCCGGTAGCAAATTGCATAAGTTCTCAGAGCCTCAGTTTCCTTATCTGTGAAATGTTACAGCTGATTTTTTTTCCCTAAAACTATTAGGTTGGTGCAAAAGTAATTATGGTTTTTGCCATAATAACTGATTTTCTTCGTTCGATAAATAAAACATATTCATTGCACAAAATTTAGAAATACAGATAACTCCCATTCCGCCCCCCAAAAGAAAGAAAATAGAAATTGCCTCAGTCTTATTATCCAGAGATACCATTGTTAAACCCTCTGTTCACTATGTTGCTTCAAGGACTAGAAAATTATAAGAAAATACTGTAAGTTGCAAAGCTCTATATAAATAAGCGGTATTTTTATTGAGTCAACAGAATTCAAATTTGAACCTCTTCACAGCCAAGAAGCCCTATATTATTTAACCTCATTTTAAATTTCATTTTGTTTACATTTTTTCTGAATATTAAAATAACAATGCTGATTTTTTGGTTTATCCATGTTTTCTAATTTTTCTATAATGTACATGTATTATTTAGATAATAAAATTTTTTTAAGTAGCCATACATGTTCATTGTAGAAAATGTGTAAAGAACAGAAAACTATCAAGAGTAGAAGAAAAATCCATAGTCCCATCACTTGCAGTAATAGCTCCTTCCGGTCTTTTTTTCCTTTTGTAATAGTTCCTTCCAGTCTTTTTTCTCTGCATTATTTTTTACAAAGGCAAAAGCCTAATATATATTATATCTTGAGAAATTTGTTAATATTTCGCTATGGATGGCTACAAGTTATGGAAGGTTGCATATGTCACTGTTACTGATTAGAAGCAGCTGGCTCTTCAGAGGACTGACTCAGCCCTTTGATATGGAATGTGGATGATTTGGGATTTCATGCTAATGCTTAGTATCTAAGCTGCAGTTCCCAGATTGCGACCCAGTGGTTGAGATCAACAGAAAAATGAGTTTCCCAAGTCTTTGCAGAAGAGACACAGCTGTGGTTGGAGAACTACACATCAAGACTTTGTTTGCTTTTGTGAATGGCAAATAAATCTTGGGACCCCAAAATCACTAAGCCAAAGGGAAAAGTCGAGCTGGAAACTGTATCAGGCAAACCCGCCTCCTATTTTATTCTTAAATAAGATAGCTACAAAGACAAAACAAAACAAGAACAAAACAAAAAACTATATACTTTCCTCACAATTTGCCCACAAGGAAATTCCTTATGGACAAAGGACAGACACAACTCAAAATCATCCCTCTGCTTACCTGAGAAATACATGTGATTGCTTCCTCTGCCCTACTGTTTCACTAAGCAAGACTAAGGCATAAGCGACTATTCTTTTACCCTCCTCTCACATGTAAATTGTGTATTCAGTTGAATACTTGAGAAATGTTTTGATTTTAATTTCTCTATTAATTTTGCATAGGAAAATGTCTATTTAGCCCCCTGCATTTTCTCTTTATGAATTACTTCACTACATCCTTTTTCTATTTACCCATTGATTTTTTTTCTTTTCCTGTCATGTTTTGCAAAGTTTTTGTCAAACAAGCCATTTTTTATTACATATTAGCCTAATAGCCCAATTATAAAGGAACATAGAGTTTAATATATTGAGTGTGGCTTGCTGATCACCATTCATGCTTGAGAATCTGGGGACCCCAGAGTGGGAACAGCTAGTCTGTTGCATGAGTTGCTCTGATGCTCACTGAAATCTGGAACTGGCTCTCCAGAACCAGGCCTTCTAGGGTACATGCACAATGGTCTAGAGCAGCTCTCACTGTTCAATAGAAATGTAACATGAGCCACATATCTCATTAAACATTTTCTAGCAGTGACATCTTAAGTTTGAAAGAGACAAATGAAATTAATTTTAAAGCATAGTTTAGTTAACTCATTTAGAAACATTAAAAAAATTTAGTTAACCCATTATATCCAAAATATTGTCATTTTAACAGGTAATCAATATTAAAAACTCTCAGTGAGGTATTTTCCTTTTCTACCAAGTCTCTAAATTCTTTTCTTTCTTTCTTTTTTTTTTTTTTTTTTTTTTTGAGATGGAGTCTCACTTTGTTGCCCAGGCTGGAGTGCAGTGGCTCGATCTCAGCTCACTGCAACCTCTGCCTCCCGGGTTCAAGTGATTCTCCTACCTCAGCCTCCCAAGTAGCTGGGACTACAGGTGCATGCCACCACACCTGGCTAATTTTTGTATTTTTAGTAGAGATGGAGTTTTACCATGTTGATCAGGCTGGTCTCGAACTCCTGACCTCAAGTGATCCACCCACCTCGGCCTCCCAAAGTGTTGGGATTACAAGCATGAGCCACTGCGCCTGGCCCTAAGTCTTCAAGTTCTGATGTCTGTTTTACCCTTAGAGTACATCTCAGTTCAGACTAGCCACATTTCAAGTACCCAATAGCCTAGTGGTTAGTGGCCACTGTCTGGACAGTGTAGGACTAGAAGGAATGTGAATCTGTGTCTGAGAGTGTGTACTGACATGCACTGACATCAGTCCAGAACCATGCTCTGGTTGTGCATGGCATTGCATTCCGTGGTGCTGGATCATGCTGTGATTCCTCACACGGGCTGTAGGGACAGGGACTGTGATTCTTAGCTCATGGTCTCCGAAGAGGAAGGGCAATCCAAGGGTGGTGCTTCTTGCCTTTCTTCTATCATCCATTAGCAGTGTGTGATGATAACAGAGGCTAACGATTCATAACTTTATAGCCCTTATGCCAAATTTTTACATCTAGCAGAGATAAATATTAAGCCACTTTACCAATGAATCTAAACAATAATGTATGTTGACAATTCTGAAGCCATTTCTAATTACATTTCACGAATACTTTTAAAACTAGCTTATTTATTAAAAATTTACTTAAGTCACATAAACTTGAAAAAGCATTTGGCTCAAAGTCTGTTTTTTTTCTGATAAAGTGTTTGATTTAAGCACTTTTTCCTTTAAGCCAATTAATTAGAGCTTTTATGTATTTTTAGTAGTGAAACATATACGTGACACAAATACATAGATATACTAGACACATAGAAATAGATCTTATAGATTCATAACACCTCTTTTTTTTCCTCCTATTTTAGACTTCCAATTTCTTGATAACCTGTTTTATTACTCCAGGCAGATGTCAGCTACATAGCCCTAAATTTGCATATTAAAGGGCCAACTCTTGTGAAAAATCAGATAGTGAAATTTATATCTCAAGGTACAGAGAGAAAGAGTCTGGTGGTACTACAGGGAGATTAAAAATGGATGCCAAGTCAAACATAAAATTACAGAAATCTATCATAGAATTGTATAAGGAAACCAATTTTATTTAGATAGGTAGTTCTAAATTTAGTCTCTGTCTTTTAACTGGATCTGTGAACTCTGGGCAGAGCCCACACTGAATCCTGGGTCTCCAAAAAGAGAACTAGTATGGGGCTAGACCACGTGACGCTTTCATAGTGCACTTTTTTTCAAACAAAGACATTTCTCTAAGTGTCTAAACTACTCTCTTTCTTACTTTAAACACCCCAGAGTAATCTCTGCTACAATAACTATTTTAGTCCAAAAAAAAAAAAAAAAGAAAAGAAATGAGGTATGAGGTAATACACTAGTAAAGCAAGCAGTTTAAGATCTGAGACAAACTTATCTGTTTACACTCTTGGGGTTCCATAAGGAAAAACAGAGGTTTCTCCCCAAAAGGGAGTCTGGTGCCTTCTTTGTTTTCTTTAAGGAATCCTGGGCTATTAGAAACTATTTCAGGTCCCTTATGCAGCAGAGTGTGGCAAGAGAAAGGAGAGAGAGCAGAAGTAAATGGAGAAAACAGAATTCAGTCAACTGAGAAGAGAAAAAAACTTTTTCTCAAAAAAAAAAGAAAGATCCTAGGAGAGAAAAATAAAAGACACACACACACACACACACACACACACACACACACACGCGTACACACACATATCTTGGATATTAGCTTTTAATTGACTGCTAACCATTGAGCTACTTAAGAAAAAAAAATTTTAAGTCTCATTACCATATTTTAGCTAAAACAAATTGCTGATATTTCAAAACTAATACAAATGTCAAACCAGAAAGAGCCTGATTTAGGAACCAATCCCAGGCTATCGTGGTGACAAAAAATTGGGGGCAGAACCTTAGCTACCTTTAGCTACTGAACTGCAGCATGGGGCAACAGCCATTGCTACTTCAGTTTGGCTTGGCTTGTTACATAAATAAAGGTGCCCTTGTTATGTAAATAAAGCCCCTCAAGTGGTCAAAATCAAAAATCTTTCAGGCCTGCTGAAAGTGCTGTAATCCCAGCACTTTGGGAGGCTGCAGCAGGTGGAATGGCTGAGGTCAGGGGTTCGAGACCACCCTGGCTAACATGGTGAAACCCCGTCTCTACTAAAAATACAAAAAAATTAGCTGGGTGTGGTGGTGCACGCCTGTAGTCCCAGCCGCTCGGGAGGCTGAGGCAGGAGAATCCCTTGAACCCAGGAGGTGGAGGTTGCAGTAAGTCAAGATTAATGCCACTGCACTCCAGCCTGGGCGACAGAGCAAGACTCTGCCTCCGAGAAAAAAAAAATTCTTTTTTTTACCTTTTGCTGGCTGTCATTTTCCTTTTCCCATTTTTTTTTTTCAGATGTGGGAATTTAGCCAATTCAGAGGCCTTGTTCCCCATAATTTGAAACTTTCCCTTGGATTTGATCAAGTCAGATAGAGCTGGTCAAACCCAATAGGAAACAGATGGAAACAACAACAGAAACAAACAAGCAACAACAACAACAAAACAGTTATGCAAAACAAACAATCTCACAATTTATACAATTACTGAGCACTTTAAAGTTAAGGAGAAATTAAGACCAGCTGGTTGTTAAGTTTAGCCAAGACAAAACCCCAATTCAGCTACTTACCTAGGAGTGGGGCTCAGGCTAATGACTGCTCTCTACCATCCTATAAACAGGAAAAAAACTCTAACTTGCCTTCCCTGTTGGAAGCAAGCTAAAACTCCAGAAAGGAGTTACCTGCACTCCATCATGCAGAAAAACTTGTCTTCCTTGTTGGAAGAAAGCAAAACTCCAGAAAAGGAGCTGTACAGCAAAATAAACTTTAGATCTCGATCACATTTGGGGAAATCAGGGATTCTCCGGAGGGGAAGTTGCCAGGCCTCAGCAAATTGTCCTATTGATCCGAGCCTTAAAGGTATCTTAAGCTGCTACGAAGCACCCATAGATTTGTCAAAGTACAGGGGAACCACCACTCAGAATCCCTTCAGGTTTCCAATTTGTGAACCCCAAAGTATCTGAGACAGATCTCAGGAAGTTTATTTTGTCAAGCTTAAGAATGCACCCATGACACAGCCAATGAATGTAAGGTGTATATTGGTTTGGTCCAGAAGGGCAGGACAACTTGAGGTGGGGGAGGGGGCTTCCACATTATGGGTAGATAAGAGACAATCTGTTGCATTATTTAGAGTCTCTGATTAGCTTTCAACTGAATACACAATTTACATGTGAGAGGAGGGTAAAAGAATAGTCGCTTATGCCTTAGTCTTGCTTAGTGAAACAGTAGGGCAGAGGAAGCAATCACATGTATTTCTCAGGTAAGCAGAGGGATGATTTTGAGTTGTGTCTGTCCTTTGTCCATAAGGAATTTCCTTGTGGGCAAATTGTGAGGAAAGTATATAGTTTTTTGTTTTGTTTTGTTTTGTTTTGTCTTTGTAGCTATCTTATTTAAGAATAAAATAGGAGGCGGGTTTGCCTGATACAGTTTCCAGCTCGACTTTTCCCTTTGGCTTAGTGATTTTGGGGTCCCAAGATTTATTTGCCATTCACAAAAGCAAACAAAGTCTTGATGTGTAGTTCTCCAACCACAGCTGTGTCTCTTCTGCAAAGACTTGGGAAACTCATTTTTCTGTTGATCTCAACCACTGGGTCGCAATCTGGGAACTGCAGCTTAGATACTAAGCATTAGCATGAAATCCCAAATCATCCACATTCCATATCAAAGGGCTGAGTCAGTCCTCTGAAGAGCCAGCTGCTTCTAATCAGTAACAGTGACATATGCAACCTTCCATAACTTGTAGCCATCCATAGCGAAAGCTCTCAGAGCTACCCCCATTCTCCGCAGGAGGTCACCTAGCCTTATATTTTCCTTTTAAGTATGTTTGCTGAAATGTTTGTGAGCCTGTCAGCCTCTGTAGCTCTCATTTTGTAAGTATTTCTCATAGCCAGGTTTCCTCTGAATGCCAACTCCTAACAGCTGAATGTCAAACTCTAGAAGACAATTTGACAAGGATCACTTCAGCCCTCCCTACATGGATACGCAGACCTTCATAGAGATGGCCTCAGAATAAGTCCAGCAGATCCTAACAGAATAATTAGCCTCAGGCCTTGCTTGGTAACTGAACTCAAGACACTCCATCTGGGCTCAGGATGTGTTTCCCAGCTGGATTTCCTTAGGCCTTCAATTTAGCAGCCCTCCCATTTCATGTTGAAATAACTGGGATCAACGTTCCCCAGGCAAGGTAAAGAACTGGAGAGCTCAGTGCAATTCTTTATTCCATAAGTGACTTCACCTTGCAACCATCCGCAGTTTTCAGAAAGGAATGTTATCAGTGGGCACACCTAAACCATCCCTCCCCTCTCTCGCTACACACCCACTGCATAACCTGCCATCTCTTTAGACACAAAGCATTTCTGCATCTTGGTGAATTTGTGCCCCTTCCACACTGAAGTGCGTGTGAATATACATGTCGTCCCATGTGTACAAGGAAGTCCAACTCCACCACAAGAGTGAAATTCACAATGCCCTGCTTTCACCCCAGGTCACAGGAGCTTCGATCAGGAATGGACCCAAAACACTACACATCTGTCACTGAGTCAGTGCTTCCTGCAGGCTGGCTAAATCCTACAATAATACATTTTTCAGGGAAAAGAGGTTCTCTTGGTAAGAGCCAAAATGCCACAGATTACACCACTGCTTTTGAATGAAAGGGCAGAAACCCATTCCCACCTCCTGAGTATTCCCTTTCACACTTCACTTAATGTGAAGAGGAAACGCAGCTGTCTCCTACAGGCTGAGGGGCACAGATGAGTCTACAACTCCCTCCCCTTCTACTCAGGTAGCTTCGGGTGGGGCTTCTATCTTTTAACATTTATTTAACTCTGGGATTTGGAAGTCACTTATGGTCAATGGGAGCTTATCTTCTCCATCATCTTTTTATGTCAGGTAGCAATTACAAGGAAAACCAAGGAGAGAGGCTGAAATCAGGTGATAGTGCTTTCTTGATGCCAGCATACGTCATCAGTGATGGTGACTAGTTACCTGAATGACAGTGCAGAAAAGGCAGGTTTGCCAAGCTTAAGGGACAGGAAAGAATGGGCTTTTTCAAAATGGGAAATTTTCTATCAAACAGAGAGCACTGGCCTCACAAATAACTCAGTTACGCATTCATGCTAATAAATACCACATTACGATGGACAATGTGCAGGCAGGAGAGAAACTTCTATTCCTTGGCTCCACTGCTCAGCCAGCTGGGGTGAGTGAGCTCAAAGGTCTGTACAAGCAGATCTGAGCTTAGTGTAAACGAGGGAGAAGGAGTGTCAGAAGGGAACAGGACAATTTCACAGAAAATCATACCAGTGCTATGAAACAGCCTATCCTCGGCTTGCAAAGATAATGTTATTGATGGGCCCCTATTACGATAAACACGTGCAAGTAATGGGGACACAAAGAAAAGGGGAAAAGAGAGGATGGGAGCCCACACTTACTGATAAACTACTTGTGACTATAACTCCATGTTCTAATTGTCTATTTGTGAGCCTGTTTCCCTATTAGATTGTGAAATCAGAGAGGAAGCTTACTAGACATCCTGTATCTCCGTTTCATGGGACTATAATGCCACTTATTCAGTTGTCAGAGTCTGATACATAGTAAGCACTGCATAAATGTTAGATATTCTCACCATGATTATAATTATTATCATTGTATCCCACACCCCCTAATACAGAGCTTAGCACTGGGCATTCATGAGAAGCCTGGTAAATTTTTTCTATTACAGCAAACATTTATTGAACACTTTTTACAATCCAGCCACCAGAAAAAAGTAGACTTTGAGCCAAATGCTTTTTCAAGTTTATGTGACTTAAGTAAATTTTTAATAAATAAGCTAGTTTTAAAAGTATTCATGAAATGTAATTAGAAATGGCTTCAGAATTGTCAACATAAATTATCGTTTAGATTCATTGGTAAAGTGGCTTAATATTTATCTCTGCTAGATGTAAAAATGTGGCATGAGGGCTATAAAGTTATAAATGTAGCACAAAAGAAAATTATCTTTTTTTATGTAAACTTTGATAAATAAGGAATTCAGTATTGTTCAGTTAATGAAAACAGCTAAATCCTGAGTTATTGGCAAAAACAAACAAAAAAAAAATTTGTCTAATGTTAAGGTTCTTAGGAAAACCTGAACTCCACAGGTTATAAAATGGTTAACATTTTTAATGATAACTATCACAGTTTTAATAAGTAATCTGGTTGAAAAAACAATTAGTTAGATAAATGTAGTGGAATAAATGCCTATAAATAAACTTATCATATAATTTAAAATCTAAAGTTACATAATACGTATTCATTGAATGTCTGGGTCATTTCCAATTTTTAAATAAATTATAGAAAAATGTTTTTCTATAAAAGAAATGTGTTCTTATTTAAAGGAAAATAATATTTGTCTCATTCAAAGTTTATTTAAAAGTTATTTATAAAACAAGGTAATGGTAACCAGTATATAAAAGCATTGTAAAGAAAATTATAAATATAAAAAGGTATTTTTGGCAAGAAAGGTTAAAAAGGAAAATAATTTTATATGAGAAAGAATCTTGTATGGTAAATTTTTTTCCTAGAATAAAATGACTGGTTAAGAAAGAGGGATATTCAGGACAAACCAGAAAGTCCACGTATGCCATGAATGGTCTGTGTAAGTCATAATAAGGTTTGTAAAAGTAAAGTTTTATGGGGGAAGAAAAACTTTATATGATCAAGTTGTCTGTAATGAAAGAGAAATTATTTATAATGGTCTTTCTAGAGATTGTGTTTTGATATTTTAAAAAAACACTTATGCACTAAAGAATTGGGTAGTACAATGAAACTTTTTTTAAGATATTGATTTACCCTTAACAAAATTACAAGACATTTTAATTTTTTAACCCAAAGTTTAACTTTTATTGTATCTTGCTGTTTCAGCTTCCTCTCCCCTTTTAAAAGCCCCGAAATAGTAAATATCTCCTTCAACTCACTTTTGGCTCCCGTAAGTTTTATTCCTCGGGTGCTGTTTGTTTGTTGTGGCCTTACACTAAAAATGTTTTATCCTAAAGGCCTAAAGGAAATGTCTTCTCCAGCATAACATTCTGTGCTCTTGGCTTTAGATGGTTCTGTGAATCTAAAAATTTTTACTTGTTACCTAAGAAACACTCTTCCTATGTCTAATTGAAGTACGCTTTTTATTAGTTTGACTTTCAGGTTATTGATAATAAATGGATACCCCACAGGGAATAGCAGTGGCACTGCAGAAGATCTTTTCTTTTGCCTTTTGGTAACTGGCCTAACAAACACATTTTATATTTTATTGAAATAATTCCTTTGCCATTGTTATTAAGTTTTGGTTTGCTTAGAAAAAACTGAGATTAAATTTTTTTTTTAATTAAAGTTATCACATCTGTGTAACTTTCTATATTTTGCTTTTAAAGTCCTTGTGTCATTAAGTTATAGAGCTTTGACTTCTGGGGCTAAACAGGACACCAAGTCCTCTTCAGTCTTAAACCCTGACAGCAGTTAAAACCTCATCTTCAGATCCGGTAGAAGATGCCAACCAAAATAAACTGTGTTTGTGAGACACAGGGCCAGAAATTAAAACTATCCAACTCCTCAAGACCCAGAGACTATTGTGGAAGAGGTGGGCATGAGATTGTAAGGGCCAATGTTGAGAGATAAAATTAGTTCAGTTTCTCTATAAAGTAACCATTAATACCAAACGCACACTGATGCAAGACCAGCATATGAGCCTCTGTGTCAGATGAACACAATTTTTTTGGAGCATTAACTCACTCCTTAATAAAAGGTTATAAAGATTATAAAAAGATTTATGGAAATTATATCTTATGGTCAAGATAATTAAAATTTAATAAATTTACTTACAGAATTTTAAAAGACACATTTAATTGGCCTCATGCTGTCTTTATTAGGGCTTGTTGTTTGGGAAGTTAAATTGCTCTCAAAGAATAAAGGTTTATGCTTTTTTTTTTGGAAATCGTTGAGTTATCATTTGGGCTAAATGATTGACTTATTTTATAACAACTTGTGATCCTGTTTTGTGATATGAAGTGTTTTAAACTTTTTATATTTGACACACTTTCTGAAATCAAATTTTAACTTCAGTCCTCATTAATCTTTTGATATTTGGTCCCTTGAAGTCCAAAAAAGACATATTCAGCTTATTTGATGTAATAAAATCATACAGGAAGTAGTGTCAAATATGAAATGGGGTTTATCCTTCTTTGGATTATATTTATATAAATGTGTTATTAGTATGTGTTCCAGAATTGTATGAGATTCCTGTGAGCCTAATATATCTTAGTAAATGTTATCAGTAGTAATGGTGATTCTGATATAAAATTGTATGCCATAGAAGTAACCCAATTTCCTTGTCATTTGCATCTTTAACCATAACTTTTGTCATCTAGTTGTTTCACTTTTATTCTTTTCAAAAGGTGTTTTTTATAATCAGCTATAGGACTCTGACAGTTGTTCTTGAATGCAGGTTTCTGATAACTTTGGAGACTGTGACACTAGAATAGAGGAAAAACTTGCAAGACTCCCATAGAAAGCTAATGTGTTCATAAACATCGAGCAGAACATGACTTAATTACGTAGACTAATGAAAGACTGAAATAATCTTTTTTATGACTTTGTTTGGAATGTTGCTAATTCTTTTGTTTCTGCATCTAGAAAACCCTTTTTCTTTGAGCTGTTTACAGCTTTTAATAATTGGGGCAGCTACACTCCTGTGAGCAAAATCTGAAGCATATATCTCTCTACCTGATTTCTCCAGAATTTGAAAACTATTTGCAAGTATATTTAATTTATAGCAGTATAGTTATTTGCATAAGTTCAATAAGAATCTTTTTCTTTGTAATAGGACACAATTGGAGACACTGGTTATTTTACCAAGGCTTTCATTGGAATGGCATACTTTTAGATAGAACCAGATTGCTTTAAGGAATTGAGGTTGACTTGTAGAGCCAAATAAAACCCTTTGGGAAAGCTGGCCTTATACCATGTCTACACAGTCCCTGTACAGGTTCCTGACCTGCAGTAAGTAAAGAATGTCACTTTCTGACAGGCCCAGGAGCCCTAAGTTTTCTTGGGCCCTTGAGGTGAGGAATTCACCCAATTAGTACAGGTATTTGCAGGCACAGGCTGAGCTCAAAGCATTGAAGTCTAATCTGAGTTTCCTTGTGGAATAAAGTTGCAGTAAAGCCAATTAAAAAGAAAACAGCCTATATGGCAAATAATTTTTTTTTGCTGACTTTATGCAAATACTCAGGCCAAGTATAGTAAGACCAACAGTTATTTTACACATAAATTTGTCTTGTGATTTGTCTTTAGTGAAAATGGGGACTGGAGAGAGAAAAATTATGTTTCAAAATAAACTAGACTACACCTGTTATTAGATTCTAGTCTTGTCTAATGTTTTTCAATGTTTATTATTTTCTATAGTTTGGACTGAATTCTAAAGTTTTTCCTGGCTACACGTCTCCAAAGTAATGTTTTTAATTGATTTTTTCTTTCTTTCCTGTCCTATTTTCCCTCCATTTTTTTCTTGATTTAAAATCCCTAAAAATGAAGCTGTGCTTTCTTAAAGCCCTGCAAACTGAAGCTAGACAACTTAAGCTACAGAAGAAAATAACAGCAACTTATTTACATATATAAACCACTTTCATACCTGCCTATTGATGTGTGGACTTCAGATAATATGGCCTATATCAATTTTCCGGGATTGTTCTTCATCTTTTTTGTTTGTTTTTTTCTCTTCCTCCTCCTATTTTCTCTTCATAGGATATGAGATTTCACAACCTACTAAAAATGATCTTTCCTAATAACCTGACACCTACCTTTCTAGGAGTAAACTGTCCTAGTTATGAGAGATCAGACAAAACCTGAGACCAGAGGCTCATTCATTTTCTTATAAAATGCTTTTTTGGAAAGATGTGAAAGCAAAATAAATCTCAGAACCCCGAAATCAGTAAGCCAAAGGGAAAAGTCAAGCTGGGAACTGCATCAGGCAAACCTGCCTCACATTTTATTCTTAAATAAGATAGCTACAAAAATATAAAAAAGCCACATACCTGCCTCACAATTTCCCCACAAGGAAACTCCTTGTGGACATAGGACAGACACAACACAAAGTCATCCCTCTGCTTACCTGAGACAAATGCATATGTGATTAGTTCCTCTGCCCTATTTTTTTACTAAGCCAGACTAAGGTGTAAGTGACTATTCTTTTACCCTCCTCTCACACGTAAATTGTGTATTCAGTGAAAAGCTAATCAGAGACTCAAAATAATGCAACCAATTGTCTCTTTATCTACCTATGACCTAGAAGCCCCTTCCCCCACTTGGAGTTGTCCAGCCTTTCCAGACCAAACCAATGTTCATCTTACATACTGATTGACGTCTCGTGTCTCTCATGTCTCCCTAACGTGTATGTAACCAAGCTGTACCCAGACCACCTTGGGTAGATGTGGTCATGACCTCCTGAGGCTGTGTCATGGGCACATTCTTAACCTTGCAAAATAAACTTTCTAAATTGATTGAGATCTGTCTCAGATACTTTTTGGTTCATACCCTTTATATTTCTAAATGTTGTTAGGAGCCCTTGGCTTAGGTTGAAAGAAAATACAGTGATTCTTAGGAAACAGGTTAACTGAATAGTTAGGATGGACTTGTTAGGAATGGGGACGGGGATGGAAATTCATGATCTCAAAGATAGGAGCTAATACTAGGTATTTGAGCTATGAAGGGACACCCTTATGTGTTCTTTTTGACATGGCTAAAGTTAGACTCTTGAGCTCTAGACCTCCCTTACCTCAGCAAAACAAATCAGTTTCTCCCCAAGACTTCCCACTTCATTAAATGGTGCCCCTATCAATTTGTGTAGAGCCCAAAATCTAGGAGTAATTTTTAATTTTCCCGACTTCCCTTCTCCCCATCCATGATATATACAAAATGAATCCCAATTTCTGAGTGTTTCTCTTCTGCCACTACTCTGAGCTCTCCTCAGTTCTCACCTAGACCACACCTGGGCCTCATTGGACTCCACACGAGTGTTCCTGCCACCATGCACTGCATTCTGTGCACACCACAGGAGAGGCAGCTCCTCCCCTGGCCTCTGTACACTCCAAGGTAAAGTCTGGCTGTGGCACCTGCCCATCACCCTAGTCTTATCTTGCACTGCTACTTGCTGGCAGTGCTTCATACTACTTGCTTGTGCCAGTGCTAATTCCTACCTCAGGCCCTGTGCGCTAGCTTAGCATCTCCAACCTTCTTGGCACCAGGGATCCGTTTTGTGGAAGACAATTTTTCCGCAGACAATCGCGGGGTTGGAGTAGTTTTAGGATGATTCAAACGCATCACATTTATTGTGCGCTTTGTTTCTATTATTATTACATTGTAATATATGATGAAATAATTATGCAACTCACCATAATGTAGAATCAGTAGGAGCCCTGAGCTTGTTTTCTTGCAACTAGATTGTCCCATCTGGGGTTGATGGGAAACAGTGACAGGTTATCAGGCATTAGATTATCATAAGGAACAAACAACCTAGATCCCCTGCATGCACAATTCACAATAGGGTTCAAGCTCCTATGAGAATCTAATGCCACTGCTGATCTGACAGAAGATAGAGCTTAGGCAGTAATGTGAACCATCGGGAATGGCTGTAAATATAGATGAAACTTTGCTCACTTACCTATTGCTGTGTGGCCCAGTCCCTAATAGGCCACAGATGTGTACTGGTCCATGGCCCAGTGGTTGGGGACCACCGTGCTAGCTGACACCTCCTACATGGAATACTCCTTTCCCCCACTTCTTCACCCGCTCTGTCCAAACCACTGGTTCTTGTCTGTCAGTGTGACTTCAGCTCAAACCACCCCTCTCAGAGACTCCTTCTCTGCTCTCTCAGTAGGAAGTAGCCATGGGGTCATTCCCTGTCACTTGGGGTCATTCCCTGTCACATCACTCCACCTTATTCTTTGGAGAGTACTTGTTACGTTTTGATACTTGGCTTTATTGTTGGGTGGCTTGCCTTTCTCTCTCCCTACCATGTAAACATCTGAGAGCAGGGACCTGGTCTGTCTTGTTCGCTGTTTCCCCAATAGCCGGAATGGTGCCAATTGAGATGGGAGCACAGTGAATACCTCCCACTGGGAAGTGCACTGATGGCCTCTGACCATGGAAGCCATCAACAGTGCCAGTATTGTTGGGGCTTCCTTCCTGCTCCCACCATTTCCCCAGGCTCTAACTGCTGCCTTCCATTGCCTTGCAGCCGCCCATGCCAACTTCCGTTCCCATCAACCATGCAGCAGCACAGCCCCATGTCCTCCCAGACCTCTTCCGCCAGCGGGCCACTGCACTCTGTCTCCCTGCCGCTTCCACTCCCGATGGCCCTGGGTGCTCCACAGCCCCCGCCTGCCGCCTCCCCCAGCCAGCAGCTTGGTCCAGATGCCTTTGCGATTGTGGAGCGAGCCCAGCAAATGGTGGAGATATTAACAGAGGAGAACCGGGTGCTTCACCAGGAACTTCAGGGTTACTACGACAATGCCGACAAGCTCCACAAGGTGCGTGACTTCCCTGGGGAATGGGAGGGAGACAAATTCTTTACCTGGTCATGGGGAGTTGATGCACTGACTGACTTGCCAACATTGCAGTAGACCCCTTTTTATACTAGGCCCTGTGCAAGGCTTTAGGGAGATGAAAATAAATATGACCCAGTTCCTGCCTTGGAGGAGCTTACATTCCAAAAAGGGGAGAGAGTTGCATATGCTACCTTCAGTAAGAGTGTGAAGGGTCTACTGTAGGAACAGCAGAGGTGGCTCTTGACCGGAGACTCAGAGGCTAAGTAGGATTACCCCACCTGGACAAATGTAGAAGAGGGAACACGGAGAGTAAATAACACGGAGGAGGCCATGCGCGGTGGTCCATGCCTATAATCCCAGCACTTTGTGAGGCTGAGGCAGGTGGATCGCTTGAGCCTGGGAGTTTGAGACCAGCCTGGGCAACATGCCAAGACCCTGTCTCTACAAAAATTAGCCAGTCATGGTGGCCCATGCCTTGCAGTCCCAGCTACTCAGGAGGATCACATGAGCTTGGGAAGCATAGGTTATAGTGAGTCAAGATCGCTCCACTGCACTCCAGCCTGAGTGACAGAGTGAGACCCTGTCTCAAAAATAAAAAATAAATAAAACCACAGAGAAATGAAGTGAGAGATACCAAATTTTCCTTTAAATTTAGGAATCTCAGACAGGAACCTTGTGTTGTCATGTTCATTTCATTAGCCGGTCTCTGCAAAAAGCAGCCTTGCCTCAACATGAGAGGGTCAAGAGTACGAGTTATTGTGTGCTTTCTGCATGTTTGTGACTTATCAGGTGGGGAGATGCTGAGTAATTCCAGCCTGTGTAGTTACTGTTGGAATATTTAAATGTATGGCAGCCATTATTCTTACAGATTTATGCTGAGAGCCAAAGTAAATAGGGGAACGTCCAGCAAGAACGAGCTGTTGCTGGGCAGTGATTTCATTATGCCCCTCAGGTCAGCATCTGATGTGCTACAGGTAGGATGCAAGGGGGTTGAGCAAAGGTAATAGGATGTTTTAGGGCAGGACAGCCATAGAGCACTTGAGTTTCCTTTCTGGGGGTGAGGAGGCATGTGTAGTAGTAGCGATCCTCTAAGAGTAAGTGCGGGCTCTTCCCTTGGCAATAAAGGGCTTCTGTAAAGTTAAAGCGTAGGAGTGTAAACCCCATCTGACTACAAGAATGTTGTCACTTTGGCTCTATGTGACAATTAATGCTCCGGCTGGCCGATTTAGTGTTAGTGTTCATGAGTTAGTGGTGATTTCACAGGTCAAGCTGGTCATTTTGCTGGCCAAGGGTTTTAGAGTAGTAGGCTCTACTTGCTTCCTGAGGGTTGTCAGGGAGCAGTGGATTTGATGGTGCATGTGTTTACAGACAATTTGTCCCAGCACGTTTGTGCAGAGCTTCCACTGAAAAGGTCTGGAGCTCCCTGGAGTCAAGACCAGACTTGGCTGAGGGAGCTCTGGCTGCCTTTATTGGAGGGGAAAAATGAGAGCCAGAAACAGACAGGGGCCGCCTAAAGATTGTGGCCTCACTCCCACCCCCTCTTGCACCCTTAGAAGTTGGGAAATAGGCATGTTGTCTCACAGCCCTCAGCCTATAAGATGCTGCACAGGCCCAAGCTTGCCTCTGTCATTTTTGGGCAGCTTCTTTTAGGTATGGTCTGAAAATTGGGAAGTGCAGACTCAGCACTTCTTGGGAAACAAGGACCTCTTTCTTCTCTCCTAATGAAGCTTCAAGGCAGACATGTCCAGAAGCTATACAGACCCACTTGAAGGCAGAGTTTGGTGCTGGGGTTTTTCCCATGGCTGTTTCTGAAGAGTTACACAAATGGTGCAGAAATTGGAGGCCTTGTTATTTTTCATTGCCTTTTTATTAACATGTACTTTTTTTTTTTTTTTAAGATGGAGTCTCACTCCATTGCCAGGTTGGAGTGCAGTGGCGCGATCTCGGCTCACTGCAATCTCCGCTTCCCAGGTTCAAGCGATTCTCCTGCCTCAGCCTCCTGAGTAGCTGAGACTACAGTTGCGCACCACCACACCTGGCTAATTTTTTTTTTTGTATTTTAGTAGAGACGGGGTTTCACCATGTTGGCCAGGATGGTTTTGATCTCCTGACCTCGTGATCCGCCCACCTCGGCCTCCCAAAGTGCTAGGATTAAACATGTACTTTTTATTGACCTATAACATACATCTCTTTCTTGATTTTGATGCACATTTCCATTTTGAAAACTAAAGTGGCTTAATCTCCCAGTGTCTCAGTATTCCTGCACAGAGGATGGTTCTTAAAAGTTGTGGCCTAAAGGATTTTGATGACCTCTGGAAGAGGAGACAAATCAAAAGCTGTGTCCCTTCTTGAACCCAAAACTTTTTCAGTCCCTTGAATGTTATAAATTGTTCTACAAGTACAGTAAGTCCTCACTTAATATCATCAATAGGTTCTTGGAAGCTACAATTTTAAGCAAAGCCAATTTTTTCCTCATCAACATCACAATGAAATGATGTTATTTGGGGGCCTGCTATGTGTCATTTTACTTAAAGTTGCAGTTTCCAAGAACCTGTCAGTGACGTTACATGAGGACTTACTGTACTACATTAATCTGTCATATGTAAAACCAGAATTATTGATTCAAAACCTCAGATTTTGATGGATACTTGCATACTCATCACAAGTTGGATAACTGTTCTCAACAACTAGGACCAAGAGACACAAGAGTTGCATGAACTTCGTGACGTAACATTTTGTGCCTTGCGTTCCTAAGGTCACCCTAGTCCCAGATCTTCCCTCATCCCCAGCCTTGCCACTCAGTGTAGCTGCCTGAGCCTTAGGTCTGGGGAGAGGGTGGTCAGATGAGGTGACAACTTTGCTTCTCAGGGATGATAGCTGCCAGTTCTCCTGGCATGGATGTGACCCCTGTTTTGCTGTACAATCTTGTAGGATATGACCCCGCTATGCCCACAGTTTCATTCCATCTGAGTTCCTCGCAGCATTGGGAATGTTTTGGCCCTTGCAGAGATGCATTGTAAGGGCAGAACTAAAAATAGATGAATTTTTAATTGCAGAATTTAGCCTATGCATACTGTGCCAGGAACACAGCAGAAGAAAACGATTAAATTCAGAGACTATAAAATCCCAGCCTAGATATGAAGATCCTGTTTCCAAAGAGGCTCAAGGTAGTGATTATCACTGTTAATGTTGGAATGATGGTCGAGGACCCCCAGAAAGAGATGATGTTTTCAGTCTTTCCTTTTGGTTATTTTTTTTGCATCTTTTTCCTCCCGGTTTCCCTGAAACTTAATTAATGATGGAGTTTCTACCAGGGCCAGACTGTGGGCTGTTGAGTGGGTTGGCCTTGAAAGCCATCAGGGAATAGACGGGCACTTGATGGGAGAGGGCCAAGTATTAACAGTTACCCCAGGCTTGCTTTAGTGAAGACCCTCTTTTGTGAGTGAAACAAAGGTGGCTTTGATTGGGCAGTCTGTGGCTTGCACAGCAGGCCTTTCTTTGGTCCTGTGGATCCCTGAGTGTTGCACGTGAAGGTGCTCAGGGGAAAAAACCAGTATCTGGAGCTTGGAATGGCTGAGATTTTCTCAGGGCCTTCTCTGTCCATTTGCTTATTACAACAGTGCCAGTGGAAGTCATGCAGGGCTTTCTGCTCTGCTTGTAGTTCTGTCTCTGGGACATTGAGTGTATTTCTGTGATTGCAGGGATTCTTACAGCCTGGCCTAAGAGCTCCCTGACACCTAGGCCGAAAAGGAGAATGAGAGCTGGGAAGGTAAACTGGGATTCCCCTCCTGCACTGTACTCAGAGTCTGAGCTGGTCTGGATAGTTTTTGTATCAAACCAGCCTGTCTAACCCTCCCTGTATCTTTAACAAATATCAGAGGGTGCTTAAGATGTTCTGAACATGGAGTAATAGAAAGAAGAAGGTGTGGTTTTACTCTGAAGCAGTGTACAGTCAGAAATAAAAAGCTTTAGTTTTAAAATTCTTAAAATGAGTCTACTTCAACTTCCCATTCCTTAGTAATCCTTGTGTCATTCTCTGAAAGGAGGTATTCATCTTTTACTTGAATGCTTCCAGAGAAGAGAAGCTCACTAATGGGTATACTACACTTCTGGAAAATGTAGTTAGGAAATGTTTCTTTATGTTAAGTCAAAATCTACATCTTGGCCAGGTGTGGTGGCTCACCCCTGTAATCCCAGCACTTTGGGAGTCCAAGGCAGGTGGATCACTTGAGATCAGGAGTTCGAGACCAGCCTGGCTAACATGGTGAAACCCCATGTCTACTAAAAAAGAAAAAATACAAAAATTACCCAGCCATGGTGATGCACCCCTGTAATTCCAGCTGCCCTGGAGGCTGAGGCATGAGAATCACTTGAATCCAGGAGGTGGAGTTTGCAGTGAGCCAAGATTGTGTCACTGCACTCCAGCCTAGGTGATGGAATGAGACTGTCAAAAAGCAAAATCAAAAAAACCCTGCATCTATTTAACTTCCTACATTTACTCATAACTCTGTCCTCTGTAATCATACTTTTTTATTCCCTTTTGTGTTGTTATAACCGAATATCTGAGACTGGGTAATTTATAAAGAGAAGTGATTTATTTAGCTCGTGATTCTGCAGGCTGGGAAGTTTAAGAAGCATGACACTGGTATCTTCTTGGCTTCCAGCGAGGGCTTTTACGCTGTGTCACAACATGGCAGAAGGTCAAAGGGGAAGTGGACATGTATAAAGAGGCAAAACGTGAAGAGCACGTCCTTCTTCATAACAACCTGCTGTCATGGGAACTAATCTATTCCTGCAAAATCCAGTCTAGTCTTACTACTGCGAGAAAGGCACCAAGCCATTCACAAGGGACCCGCCCCCATGACCCAAACACTTCCCACTAGGCCCCACCTCCCAATGTCACCACACTGGGAATCAAATTTCAACATGAGTTTTGGTGGGGACAAACCATATCCATAGCATGCACTGAAGGGGATTAGTCTTTCTCTACCATTACAGCTATCAGTTCTCATAGGAATTACCTTGTTCTGAACTAAGATCCTTGTTTTTTTTTCTAGGTCCCTTCTAAGCAGATAACCTTATGTCAGGTCTTGATTGTTTTAGGATTTGAGATAGTAAACTATATCATGGTAGGGATCCTGAAGTTTCCTTTGACAGTATGCAGAGGGAGGTTCTTTGAGTAAAAGGAAAGAATGCATGATTCAGTGTCCAAGTCTGTCTTTAGAAGTTATACATTTAAAGATTAATTAATCAGTCAGTATTTTGTCATGGGCAAGGCATAGTTCTAGGAAAGTAAGAGCTATTCTACCCTCAAGGAGTTAGTAGTCGAATCAGAGCCGCACAGTGCAGATGCAGATTAGAATTCCAATGAGGGAAATACAACAGATAAAAAATACTATAAAATCAGACCAAGAGAAGGGTCCCTGTGGGTGTAGCTAAGGAAGCCTCGCTAGTTGTCCTAGACTGGAAGCCTGAACACCACTCTCATGGTGGATGCCTCAAAGTGTGTGGTACTCTCATCTTCCCTGGTGACTTGATGATGCCCTTTGGTCTTGATGGGGACTGTTCCTGTGACATGCCCAGCTGTCTGAAAACAAAGGCCACCTTTTATAGATAAAATCAGCAAAGAAGTGTTAGTGTGTCTGGGAGCCATCTCTTTTGTGAATAAAATTTAAAGACAGGATCATAATTCATGGTAAGGCTATGAACAGGATTTAGGACATACTGTCCTCTGTGCTGCTGCATTACCAGCGGTTCATGATATCTGTGGACGAATCAGAAAGGCCTTGTTGAAATGAGGGGACCACAGAAGAACCAACTCTGGTATAAGGAGGCCTTTGGGAACATAAGGTGGTACCGAAGGGAACCTTGGTTATCTCAGCTCGGCTCCAGTTGGCTGCCGCTAAGCAGAAGCCCCCGTGCTCTCCAGCCTGTTCATCAGCCTCTTCTCAGCCATATCCTGGCTCCTCTGTAACCTCTCAGGGTGCTGACCACAGTATCTCTCATTCCTTTAAGTTTTTGGCTTCTAGGCTCCTACGGCTCCACTGGCTTCAGTTTTTCCCTGGTGCCCTGCCCCTCCTTTGGCGTGAATGCTTTTTTGGCCTTCTAATCTTCTGTTTACCTCCCTGAGTGGTCTCCGCTTTCTGATGTCATCTGTCATCTGTACGTTGAGGACACCCAGCCACTCTCCTGGCTTTTAGACTTGTATGTTCACCTGCTAACTGGAAATCTTCGCCAATATGTGCAGCAGGTTCCTCAAACATGGTATCTCCAAACCCAGACTGGTTTTCTTTCTTTAGTGAGCTTGTTTCTCTTATAATCATTTATCTTGGTTAAGTCTCCTTACCCCATCTTCTAAGCTGTGAATGTTTATGTTGTATTTGCTTTCTTTCTTCCTTACTGTCTGCACCCAGTCACCAAAACCTGTTGATTCTACTCATTAGTGTCTTTGGAATTTGCCCTTTTAGTGTCATAGTTCAGGCCCTTGTCATCTGTCATTGAGCTGTTTACATTAGCTTTTTACCTGGATATCTCTTCTACCTCCTCTCCCATAAACCCCCACCCTCCAACCCCATCTGTTAGTTTTGTCTCTATAAAAACTTGGATGAGATCAGAGTTATAATCTTCCTTCCCCAGTATCTCTCACCCCCACTAAGCCTCCCCTGCCCATAATTTAAAGTCCTTCCTTCTGGCCCTACCTCCTGCCACTTCTACCTTGCCCTCATTCCTGGACTACCATCTCTTTGTAATATTTACAGGCCAACTTAAGACTCCTAGCTCCTAAAGGCCAGGAATTGCTGTCCTTATTTCTGTATCGTTGGCATCTGGAAAAACACCTGACATGTAAGCAAACAATGAATATCTGTTCAGATATTTATTATTTATAGGAGTCTTGGCAGGACTTTCTGATCTGGGCAGTTGGGGCTCAGAAAAGAGGGTCCCTGGCTCCTGGTGCCATTGCTGTCTTATGGAAGGACTGAAAACATGGCTGTGATCTGGGACCCAGTGAAGGGCACTAGTGCTTTCAACCCCATCAGCTTTGCCTTTGATTCTGACCTTAGCAGCATCTCATCAAGCATCCATCCATGTTTGCAGGCACCCTCACCTGGTCTTTACCCTTTCTCTTGCATTTATGTTACATAACAATACAATGGGATTTATTGATATCTACATCAAAATCACACTATTATATCAAACTCCTGTTAGAATAGAGCTATTTGTTATCAATTTATATGTGCCGTAGATTAAAGGCTTCCCCAGTTAGTTTTTGATTTAGTGAAATATTTTTTTAAATGATTTTAATTTCTTGGCTATCAATTCCTGAATATAAAGAGATTGTCTGTGATATATTTGTTTATGATTAGGTACATGTCCATTAATCCTTTTTTTTTTTTTTTTGGTGAGACGGAATCTCACTCTGTTGCCCTAGGCTGGAGTGCAGTGACGTGATCTTGCTCACTGCAACCTTCGCCTCCCAGGCTCAAGCGATCCTTCCACCTCAGCCTCCCAAGTAGCTGGGGTTACAGGTACCCACCACCATGCCCAGCTAATATTTGTATTTTTAGTAGAGGCAAGGTTTCACCATGTTGGCCAGACTGCTCAAACTCCTGACCTCAGGTGATCCACCCACCTCAGCCTCCCAAAGTGCTGGGATTACAGACGTGAGCCACTGCACCATATAGATAATTTTATAGACAAAGGAATAAAAATACTAGGTAATGAAGCCGTTCCTCCAGTGGATTTTATGTTCCTTTGGGGACAGATAGAAGTGTCTCTGGAAAGTGCACTGTACTTGGAGTCTGGAAACTTGGGTTCTAATTATAGTCGTTTCTTTTTTTGTACTTTAATATTTTCCTGATGTTAACTGGGAATAATCATAATAGCTATAAATTGCCATTAAAAGTGTAAGAGGTTTAAGTTATGATTAGATTTACCCCTTTCTAATATTGGTACAGAGGGACTTTTACAAGGTGACATCAGACAGTTCGGCCAGACTTGTGAGCCTGTAATTTACAAGATCCTAATGTAGTCTTTAGAGAGCAGGTGGGGGAGTGAAATCGATTATACAGTTTGGTACACATGAAACTTGAGATGCAGAAAGACTGCATTGAAGATACAGCCTTCACACTGGCAATGTCTAAGAATCCATTTTACCAAGACACCAGCATGAATGTCAAAGGTACCACTTTAATGCCAGTTCTTTCTTTTAGTTTGAAAAAGAACTTCAGAGAATTTCGGAAGCCTATGAAAGTCTGGTCAAGTCTACCACCAAGCGAGAATCGCTGGACAAGGCCATGAGAAACAAATTGGAAGGCGAGATTAGAAGACTTCATGATTTCAACAGAGACCTCCGAGGCAGGTTTATTCATGTTCTCTCTATCTAAACTACCTGTAGAGTTTTAGTGTAGCTAAAAGCACGACTTCAAGGCCAGAGTGCTTTGCCACAGGTACTGGTCTACCTGTGTTGGATAATCTTGTGTATTTCAATGATCTGGGGAAGGGAGGAGGTGCTCAAAAAGCAGAATTGTTCTTTTCTGCCTTGTGGGTTGTATATTGCAGCATCAAGCTTTGGAAGTGACAGCCTGTATGCATGAGTCTATCAAAGGAAGGGATTCTGTTTGCGGCTCCTTCTTGCTTTGAAAGTACTCAACCACGATTCATGGCTATGAGAATCCAAATGTTTGAAAAGATTAATGTTAGACGCACAACCCTTTCCACATGGGGCTGTCATTTGGTAGCACACTTTGAAAAGCAGCACTTAACTATTGCTAGGTGGACAATAGAAGACAGAGCTAGACATATTTTCCCCCTGGGGGGAAAAAGTCCCCACAGTTGTGAAATAAGTAGACAATAAACTCGCTGAAAGATAGGAGCCACCTGCTGCTGGATTTTGGCAGTCTCCAATATGCACAATGAGTTAACCTATAAATGTTACTTCACCTTCAGCCAAGCCATTTTCAGTTGCTTCATATGTCAAAACACTCAACATCCTGGTAGTACCCAGTAGCTAGATCCCACCTTTTCTGTTGCTACAAACTCTTTTGGGTTGAGTATCATCTGCATCCAGTGAATACTTGTTGAGTTGGATTATTTATTGAATAATTAAAGATTTACCAAGTGGTTTGAGCAAACATAGAACTTGCTGTGTACAGTCTTCATACATTAGGTCATTTTGACTTTTTTTGGTATTCGTTATTTTTTTTCTTTGATTCTGAGATACAAAAAGCTGTCACTGGCTAAAATATACAGCTGATGATCAAGATTAGACTAGGGCTGGGTTTGAGGCCAAGGAGACTGTCTTTGTGAATACTTCAAATCAGGTTTGCTGGCCTTGGAGGCAGTGAGGTGGTTTTTCTCAGCACCTCTCCCTAGCTGCCTGCTGCTCGTGCATATCATTTGGCATTAGATCGCATAAAGACACAGTGTGGCATCTGAAGCCTTTTCTTTTGATATTTTGGGACATAGTTACTGTCTGTCCCCAAGTTGTTCAGTTTTGGGCTCCTGCCTGAGCATCTCTTCCTCCCCAGCTCTTGGCACATATTTCATTTCTTGGTTAGATGATGACTTCAATCCATATACATTTCTTTGTAATCATTTCCTCTTTGTTCATAGATCGACTAGAGACTGCTAACAGGCAACTATCCAGCAGGGAATACGAAGGGCATGAAGACAAAGCTGCAGAGGGGCATTATGCTTCCCAGAGTGAGTCTCCACTTATTTATTATCCCAAAGTTTGTTTGTTTAAAAACGGGGTCCTGAAGGAAGAATCATATTAGTTTCAAGTGGGTTTTGTGCTGTTTGCTTTTTGTTTGTTAATTTAGCATACAACCTATTGATCTCAGATGAGGCCCTCCTAGGTCTGCCCGAGACAAAGCTGAGGTCACTGTGTGTTGCTTTAGTAATGTTTATTCTGTCCCTCTGACCTACAGTTTCTCTCTCTCTCTCTATAATACCCTTCAAGCAATAGCAACATCATAGCATGTCCTGGCACTCACTACTTCAGATAAGTTACAACCCTTTTTCTCCAGGAAATGGAAGGCAGCCTAGTGGTGGGGTTTGGTTCTCTCTAGGGAGGTTTTGTCCTCGTATAGGTTGTGGAGTTCTAGACTGGCTGCCCCTTGCCAGTGTGCAAGCCATCTAAGTGATCGCATTATATATCTCCATGTGTAACACTCATTTCCAGAAGCCACTGAGACCATTTCAGCCAGGAATAATGAACAGTGGCTTTGTAAGCCTTGATTTATTGGGAGAATATTTTATTAATTTTAGCAGAGGCAAATGATAGAATCAAATGGATTTTGAGAAACCATTGGTCAAGGTTTGAATTTCTGCAGATTCATTGCACTAGCCAGAAATTTAAAAATCCAACTGTCTTTTTTTAAGCTGTTTTGAAAATGGAATTCATATCTATATCATAATTCTCAATAAGATTATGAGTAAGTGCTCACAAAGTTAAGACAATTCAGAACAACAAAAAGTAATGTATTCAGGCACTAGCCATCTGTCTTATGATGGGGTCTTCTGATGTGTGGGTTCCTCAGTGCAGCCCTACATTTTAAAGACTGGAAAATAATTGGTTAAATTTTCTGATTTCCAATACTGTTTGGTTAGGTTTAACCTCTTGTGTGTCCCCCAGATTGATTAATTATTGCATTCCAGCTATTAATACTAGCTATATTTTTTAAATTCCGTTTTTTGCAAATGGACACTAATACTATCTAGGGCTTTTGCCTGGGATTCCTTTGTGGTCTCAGATGATTGGCCCATGTTCCAGATTCACATAAAAGGCTATAGCGGCACTTTGAATTACTTGCTTTTGTAACAAAATTTATCTTATATCTCTTCCTGTGGGTGCAATAGATCTCACCTTGGTTTCATTTGAAAGGTGAGTTGTCTTTACTACTTGCATTTAAGATCGTGACACATTCCTTCTGGATGACCGCATGCCTAGGTATAGTTAGTGTCTTTGGCAGGTATGTTAGCAATGCCAGTGTTGTACACTCTGTGGATACTTTGCCTTCTTGTCAAGGGACATAATTTGATTACTTAGTTCAGGTCAAAATGGAAAAGCCAGTTCAGTTTCACCTGATGGGCATTGTTCTGGCCTCCCAGCCAAGGCTGGTGTGGAATAATGGAGTAATAGGGTTTAGTGCTGTGTGAACTCAGAAATGTTCTTCAGAAAGACTTTAACCTTCTGGCTCAAAGCTGAAACATCAATTATCAAGCAAAGAGGCCCTTCCAGCTTGACAAGGAATTATTTGTTCTGTGCAAATATGCTCCACTTGTGTTCTGAAGGCAAACACAAGAGACCAGAGGCATTTTTCAACTGCTTAAAGGATCTCAGTGTCGATATGTAATGTAATTGAATCTAGGCAGAGCATTTGAAGCAGGTTTGGTAATGGTGATACCTAACCAATTTTCTTACACCTAATCTTTGCAGGACACTTTGTGCCTTCACAGCTTTATAATTATTTACATTAGTTTTTCCTCTCCTAGTGTGGCCAAGGGATGGACTCAAGATGTTATTTCAAATTTATAGTTAGGTTGTTTTCTTAGTGAGTTGTAAGAATTCTTTTATTAAGTAAATTAGCATGTCCCCCACATATATATGTCACAGATATTTTCTCCAGTTGTTTTTAATCTTTGTTCTTTATCTTATAGAAGACACTTTTAAGTGACCACATTTGTGCCTTCTAGGTTTTCTGTCCTGCTTAGAAATACCTTTTACCCTCCCAGGTTATAATAATATTCACCAATGTTTTCTTCAAATTATGAGTATGATTTCATTGTTTCCAAGGCACATATTTAGGCAGCTAACTTGGGAGGCAGAGCAGAGGAGAAATTCATGAGGGACTGTCCTAGAGGCAAGGAGACTAGTTAGCAGGTATTTCAGTACAGTTTCTGGGGAGGAGACAGAGAGGTCATGAACTAAGCCAGTGGAAATAGCAAGGAAGAGTAGGGGACAGATAAACAAATGACAACTTAGTAGGACTTGGTTGACCAATTGAATAATGGCAGTGAGAAAAAGGGATGTGACTGGAGCAGCTGGATGGATGATCACCCTTTACCAATAAAATGCAGGAGGAGGAGGTTGGGATTAGATAATGACTTAAGGTTTGAACATGTTCGTCATCTCACCTTGCAACCCACAGCTCAGTGAGCAGGTATAACAATAGGTGCAAAGATACTCAGAAGGTTGGATGGTGCTCTCTGTCAGGCTTTCATTTTAGCATGTGGGTACAGAATGGCAGGCATGAATTACTGCCTCTCTTCCTAGTTATTAATGTGTTCCATTATCTGTATATTTGTTCAGAAACCCTATTGTTAGAGTAAATTTCAAACACCTAGTGATTATAATTATAAATATTGCCCACTTAAGGGAAGCCATCCTTTTCAAGTGAGTTTTTTTTGGGATTCTAGCACTTGGTTAGAAGAAAGGCAAGACTGCAATAGAAGTTATGTCTCGGGCCGGGCGCGGTGGCTCACGCCTGTAATCCCAGCACTTTGGGAGGCCGAGGCAGGTGGATCACGAGGTCAGGAGATCGAGACCATCCTGAATAACCCGGTGAAACCCTGTCTCTACTAAAAATACAAAAAATTAGCTGGGCGTGATGGTGGGCGCCTGTAGTCCCAGCTACTCGGGGTGGGGCGCTGAGGCAGAAGAATGGCGTGAACCCGGGAGGCGGGGCTTGCAGTGAGCTGAGATCGCGCCACTGCACTCCAGCCTGGGCGACAGAGCGAGACTCCGTCTCAAAAAAAAAAAGTTATGTCTTGGAGTAATACATACCAAGAAGCCCGAGTTAGGCTGTGAAGCTTCTGCCAGCCACCTTGGCAATGGGAGAGTCAGAGGGAAGGGAGAAGTAGAGAATAACATGCTCAGCTTTTTTGCTAGGTGTTCGCACGGAAACTAGCCATCCAAGTCTAAGAACACCCAAACAACTCTTGCAGTTCAAGCAGCAGGTGGGACTTGAAAGATCTCCCAGTTAATGGAGGGAGGAGCTCCTTCCTGGCCAGATTTAAACATTTCCCTCTGCTCAGGGTAGTTTTCTTCTAAAAACTGAACTCTGCTCTTAAGTTAGAGTTTTATGAAGGCCTTGGTGGACTGCCTGGGTAATTACTACTTAATTCTAAAGACTGAAGTGGACATGAAACAGGCTCATTGTACTCCCCCAAGTCATGAGATTTGTCTATACAAAAAATCTTGAAGAATTAAGTGCTTAGGAGCTTGATGCCCTTGAGGAATTTTTTTCCCCTGTCACTTCATGGTATTGTAACATTCTCTTTGGAGGAATTCAGCTTTTTGTTTGTCTGTGAATTCTCTGGTCTTGCTTGTTTGTTTTTCCAAATGTTTTTGTAGCTTATAGGATGGTGATGTCAAAGCCAAATTGCTCCTGAAAACCAGGGCCTCTAGCCAACTCCTGTTTGGTCTGGCTGTGAGAAACTCGGGCTTCTTTGTCCCTCAACTTAACTAAGGTTCTCATTTTTCCCATTTGTTTGTCACATACACACATGCATACCAGAGGCAGGTTACTGTCTGCTAAAGGCAGAACCCCTGGAAATACCTCTTACCATTCTTAGCTGTGTCTTCTCAGTCACGGAAACTTTTTAAAACTGTTTCTTTCGAAAATGGATAGCGCTGCAGAATTCCCATCAGCTCTAGGCCAGAAAGCCAAAAATAAAATATTAGATGTGAAGAAAATGAACTGGTGGAAATGAAATTTCATTTTATTGGGGTTTTTAAATAGTTATGTTGGAGCTTTGTTGTATTCTTGAATTGAGTGGGACCTGATTAGCTCTGGCATGTTTGCGTTATTTTGGGATAAACCCAAATCATGTTTAAAGGTTGCACAAGAGCCTATCTCCACCGCTTTGGGATTTGCTAGGCACTGCAGGTTCAACATATCTGGTTAAACTCAAGTTTGTGTTAAGATTCTGGCTGTTAAATGATGTGCCTCTCTAAAAACAGAAGATTTCTTGGACATTCAATGATTTGTTTAAAACAACATATTGATGAGTCATGGGTGTAAATGAGTCAGAACTATATGCATTTGATTTCCCTTAAAATTCTTGCAGGTCTAAAAATTAACAGAAAAAAATGTGTTGGACCATATTGTTTTAAAAATAATAATTTGCTGTTTTCAATGTAGCTGGCTGGCAATCATCATCTTACCCTTGAATCTTATTTTAGCTATTTTCGTTTTCTGTCTCTTATAGAACTTAAAGGAGACTAAAATCATTTCCTAAAAGAAAATGCCTCCTGGTTTTTTTATTTCTATAAGGTCTTGTGTGAACCACAGATCAGAAATTAAGATGACATAAACATTTATTCTGTTGACCCACATAGAGCATAAGGAGATTATTTTGAATCCTCATTAGGTTTCATTACATCAGATGCTATGGGTTTCTATCAAGCATCATTAGGAAGGAAGGCTAGATGTTGTCACACGTGAACACACTGATTTACCTCCTCTTATGGACCAATCAGCACTAGTGCTTGCAGCTGCTCCTGACTCTGGGCTCCTTGGGGTGAAGCTCCTGTTACAGCATTTATTCTGCATCCTGTAAGGTCATGATTTATTTGGGTGACGCTCCACTAAATGAGAGAACTATAGACGTTCTTCACCAGTATTCATCCCCCACCAAAACCCCTTGCATGTTCATGTACCTGGCATTCAATAAATGTTTATTGAGAGAATGAGTAAGAGTGGAAAATCCTGGTGACAATAGGCTTGAAATTATCCTTATGCAGTGTCAGTATCAAAATATTCTTTTAAACTTAATGTTCCAGTCATGTTGAGAGAAACCCCAGGTAATCCTCTGTTATTTCAAGATATTAGGGTAAAATTATTAAACTACTATCAGAATAAAAGCAATTTAAAAATAGCTGAATTTCTTTTTTTGCATTCTTTCTTCCTTCCTTCTTTTTTTTTTTTTTTAGAATAGAAGAATATCCAGATAATAGGAGTCTTTCATTATTAAGAACAATAGTATTTCTCAAGAAAGGTGACATTAGTATAGTCCATTTTTGACTCCTTTAACTCCTTCCCATTTACCCTGCTGTGGATATGTTGGAGGTGAGAATTGGTCTGGTAGATAAAGGTTTTGGTAACAACTGGCCAGGTGCTCACACCAACCAATCCATAGGCCATGCTGGACACTGCAGATCTACACCATGAGCAAAGGGGAAGGATTGTCCAAGAAGCCTGCCAGGGTGACATCATTTTGATCAAGAAAGTTGTCTTAACTGATTCTCCTGAAAATGACCCTTACATGTAGTAGGACTATGCAGTTCTAAAAATCAAAGTTTTGTAGGTCCAGGCTCCAGCAAATTGTCTTGGATAAGCTGCCACATCTCCTGAGTCCTGGTGTCTTACTAACAGGCTCAGAGACCTGAAGTTAGATGCTTAATCTACCTGCACCTCTATTTCCTTTAAAGTAATAGAAGAATGAATCTCCCAATTTAGCCGCCAGAGCTCTGAGGGCTAACCAGTGACAGGAAATGTGAAGCAGAGTCTATAAAATACATGTATTCTGCAACACTTCTCCCTGCCTTCTTGCATCTATTTTGGCATGCACCTTCTCCAGAAGGACCTGCCAACTTTCAGGGTGGGAGAGTGGGCCATGTTCCCAAAGAATGCCTGCGTGGTTTACTGAGCCTCACTGACTTTGGAAAGCAAAGCATGTGAGTGCTTAAGCCCACTTGATCAACCTTGATAGGCAGCACTGAGAAACTTCAGACCTACATGACAACCAGAAGTGCGCACAGCCTGCAGGGCATCTGTTTATGTTCAATCACATCTCCTCCCCAAGTGTGAAAATTAATGTTACTCAATTTAGGCTCAAATTAGGCTCTGATTTGCCATGCTTAAAGAATGGAGCTGATTGAAGAAGTGCCTATTGGTCATGTGTTGATGTCTGGCCTTTAACAACTACACATGGGTTATGATTTTCACGTTGTTGGTTTTAAAATTATTTATTTGCTTGGCTTTCCTGTTATATATAAGGCTGAAAAATCAAGCATCTTAAACTTTTGAACATTCCTTGCACTACATAGTCAGATAGATGGATGGAGTAAGCACAAACTGGAAAACATACTGAAATCCATTTGCATTTCTTCTGGCATCAGGGAACCCTTGCTTTCCCTAATAATTCAGAACCAGGAAATCCATGTTCAGGCCTAAGCTTAAATTAAATGGCAGTTGCTTAGGGAAGAGTTCCTGAGATACGGTTAAATCTTCCTTTTATATACTCCCCCAGCACTGTGTACTTTTTTCCACTGTAAACACTCATCACAACTGTAAATAAGTAATTGTTTGGATAATCCTTTTCTATCTTCCCCCACTAAACTGTACACACCATAAGGGGAGGGGCCCTGTCTGTCATCTTCACATTGGAGTCCCAACTCATTGTATGTTCAGAACCTGGCATAGTGCCTGGCACTTAGAGGCATTTAATAAATATTTGCTGGACATTGAATGAAATGATCATTATCATTTATTCAAGCAAACAGTCATATAGGCTATCTACTATCAACTCACTGTGTTTTAGGCCACAAGTCAGCAAACTCTTTCTGTTAAGGGCCAGCTGGTAAATATTTCAGGCTTTGAGAGCCACAGCTACTCAAGTCTGTCCCTGTAGCCCCAAAGCCACCATAGATGATCCATAAACAAATGGGTGTAGCCCTGTTCTAATAAAAACCTTATTTACCAAAACAGGCTGTGGGCTGGGTTTGGCCTGCAGGTCATACTTTGCTGACCTCGGTTCCAGGAACCTAGTCATGGAAAAAGAAGAAGAAAGAACCCTAACAAAAGGAGAAAATATTGAAGGAAGATGCAAAATAAAGAACTTCAAAAGTATTCCCTAGATCTTACTTTGTAAATTGCCTTAATGTATAAATCAAGATATAATTGTTATTTTCTCTCTTAATCCCACATCAGGGGAACATAATTATTATCATTTTAGAAAAACAGAAAACTGAGACATAGAAATGCAGTAAAAAATTTTAGTTTCCCAGTGAGGATTCACAATTAGCTAATGATGGAGAAAGGTCTGGGCAGGACTAGCCCTGTGGTTATCCATGATAGTTAATTGGCTGGATAGTGAAGTCTTAGGGGTGCCTCTCCCAGTGGTGCCATAAATTCTCACCATAAGGATCCTACTGTGAAATGAGGTCTGCAGATCTGGATATCAGATTTGGAGAGTACCTTAAAGGTTACAAGTGTGGTTACCAGTAATGCCTGTGTCTTCAGAACCAGAGCCCAGTAACCAGCCATCTGATGGCCGCCACAAGTGTCAGTGTCTTTGGAGGCTGTGGAGCTGCTGGTTACAAGTGTATCCTCAGGTGGAGTTGCAGGTTTGCTCCCCAGTTTCCATCCTTCAGGTCCTGCCTGGTTCAGGCCAGACCGGCTGTGGTCATTTAACAACGGTAACAGCTGCCAACACTAATTGAACACTAATTGAGCACTTACTGTGAGCCAAGCACTCTGCTAGCCCTCACAGGTACATTGTCTCTTTTACTGTTCCAAACAAACCTTTGAGGTAAGTATTGCAGGTACTTTACAGATGGAGAAATTGAGGCACAGGAAGATTAAGTAACTTGTCCATGGTCATACAGGCTGATAACTGAAGCAGACAGATTTTGAACCTAGGTCATTCGATTCTGGAGCCCAAACTTATACTGAACTGCCATGGGGAAGCCATCTCCTACGTACCAGGTGAGTGGAGAGATGTTAGAATGTGAGAGGTGGCAATGTTGAACTCCTGGTGATTTTAGAGCTCATTAGTGTAGCGTTCACATTTTACAAAGAAGAAACTGCAACCGGAGTGATCAAGTGTTTAATGGCTAAACCACAACTAGAATTAGGACCTCCTTTTTCTTATTTTTTGCTTCCCCTTTTCCAAAAGGTCAATTTTGTCGGCTCTGGGATTGACCGAGGATTTCATGTTTTTACACTGGGAAGGATCTTGGATGGTAAATGAACAAAGTTTTTATACTAGAAAATTTTTATACTAGAAGTCTTAATTGGTTGCTAATTATTTAGCCCAGCGCTGTGACTTAATACTAATGTATTCAGATCTTCTCAAGTGAGTTCCAACTACTGGAATTAACATTCTGTGCCTTTGGCTTTTACATCTATGTTTGAACTAGAGCCAATTATAATAAAAGGCCTTGTTGGATAATCCAGTGTATCCTCTTCAGATACCCCCTGCCCCAAATTTATTTTCTTGAGATCAGAATAGAGCTTAGAGTTAATGAAAGAAAGAAAGAAAGAAAGAGAAAGCTTTCTCAAAATGTCTGTGAAATCAAACTTTATTCTCTGGATGATAAAAATTAAAAAATAAGCAGAATACAACGAGTAACTCCGTGGTGTGGTTTCTTACAATTATTTTTCAAAACTATTTTTAGTTCGTGAATTATAGTGAGAGCCTACAGCTGTATCTTAATGGATTCAGAGAACTTTTGAGGGGACAAAGTGTTTGTTTTAAGTCCAGAAAATTTGGTCGTAGACCATTAAAAATAAGCTTGCATCTGTTACTAATTTTCTTTTTGCTTACAAAGACTGGTTTGGTAGAAAGAAGGGGGAAAAAAAGGAATCTATTCAAAGCAAGTTGCAAAAATGACAGTGGGAGGGGTTACAGAAGTTAAAAGAAGGGAGAGAATATAATTGTAGACAACACATTTCTTCATCCCTGATCAGTCCTAGCATAAACAACTTTTTCCGCCGGATGTAATGATTTCCCCAGCATAACTTCTGTCTTTGGGGCAAGCTTTGATTAAGCCATATCTGCCATTCAGAGGGGCCACTTAAAAAACGTATATATATATATATATATATATATATACACACACACACACACACACACACACATATATATATACATATATATGTACACACACATATAATAATGCCTTAATGCCTTAGTTAAAACAAATATAAGTATATACATGTTATATACATATTTATATACCTATATTTGTTTTATACCTATATTGATTTCAATTAAGACATTATTTACATCCAGTAAAATTTACACACTTAAATGTCCTATTTCCTGAAATGTAACAATGAGCAAAATCAAGGTACAGAACTTATATAGCTAGTATGGCTTCTCCTCACCTCTGTAAGTGAGCTGCTACTCCCCATCAGAAACTGTCTGCTTCTGTTCACATTTTAACACCTTCAGATCATTATTCTTTATATTATGGCCAGGTTTTATGGTTGTTCTCTGCACAGGAGCCAAATCGTCCAGGAGGGTCTTACTTTGTCATATCTGCAACTAGAAGTGTCAGTTTTTTATGTTAAGAAAAGAGAAGGCAAGGCCAGTCACGGTGGCTCACACCTGTAATCCCAGCACTTTGGGAGGCTGAGGCGGGCTGATTACCTGAGGTCAGGAGTTCAAGACCAGCCTGGCCAACACCTGGCCAACACCATGAAACCCCATCTCTACTAAAAATACAAAAATTAGCTGGGCGTGGTGGCACGCACCTGTAATCCCAGCTATTCTGGAGGCTGGGGCAGGAGAATCGCATGAGCCCAGAAAGCAGAGGTTGTAGTGAGCCGAGATGGCACCACTGCACTCCAGCCTGGGCCACAGAGCCAGACTCTGTCTCAAAAAAAGAAAGAAAGAAAAAAGAAGGCAAAAAAGCACTTTTCTTCAGTGGTGGTTACAAAAAGTTTAAGTCTTCAGGTTTGATTTAAAATGGAATCACTAGTATGTATATAGTCGAAACCAAGAGCCCTGTGCCTCCTATATTTATGTGGCATTATTAATTCATTATCTAGTTTATTATGCTGTCAGCAGTGATGTCGAAGTAGCAGTACATTTTTATTTCAAGTAAAACAAAATAAAGTGAAAGGTTGAACAGTACATTTGGAAGCTGAGCTGGATGAATGGGTGTCTCCTCAGTCAGGCAAGTTTGTAAAGTGCATATGTAATAAACTTGGGTGGGTAAAAAAACCTCTGAATTACCCCTAAATGTGTAAGCACAATTTCCAGAAGTAAAGTGCAATGTGAGGAATAACTAGATCAGAGAAAATTGTATTTAAGAGAACTTCTACAGGTAGAGAGTCAAATAAATATTTTACCAAATCCTACCTGAGATATTTTACTTTTGGTGCTTTAAACTCACTGCGGGTTCTGGATAAGAGCAATAGATAAATTATATAAAATAACAAAAATATTATAACTATGTTAAGACAAAAATGTGTTGTTTTCCTATATTAGACCAATAGAAGATTTTGTGGTTAGGCTTTGTTACTTTTCAGTAACAAGTATTTGAAAACTGTTTTAAAGACTCAGTTAGAATTTGATTATATACCAATAGCATCCTCTTATTCAATAAGCTGTTGCCTAAACTTAATTTCTTCACATATAAGACACGTCGGTTATCTTAGATCTTTAGAGTCCTACGAAGATAGAAGGGTTTCGACGCACCGTGAAGAGAGCTTAGTCACTATGAAGAGGTCCAGTAGGAAAAATGAGACAGACACACATCAGCCACTGGACCTAGAGTGCAAGGCAGAATGTGGCAAGGACCTGTTAGAGAACCACACTCAAAAGAACCCCCACCTCAAAAAAAAAGTGGGTTGGGGGAGAAGCCTATAGCCTTTAGGGTGGGCCTTGAAAAGTCATTAACAGTTTAGAAGAATTTTGCTGCACAGCACTGTGTCAACAGGGACATTCCTATTCTTTTACATTTAGGCAACAGAGTTTGAATAAATGCATTGCACTTTAGGCTTTACCTCATTTTCCCATATTATCCATCTCTCCAGAAGATTTCTTCCCCACATTTTAACAGCAGCCATTTCCACAAATCTTTGTCTCTTTTGTAATGACTAAACTAGTAGCTTTCAAACTCAGAACTCTTGTTCAGATAGTGTGGAAGCATAATATGTAAAATGAAGGACAGCTGAAGAAATTTCTGGCTGAGATGGGTTCATCTTCAGAACTCCTCTCCTTCCCACTTGGCCCCAATGTCCCTTCTCTCCCTTCCCTCCCTTCCCTGTCCCTCTCCCAGGGTTCTGCAGAACAGTTTGGTTTGAATTCCCCTTCTTAATTTTCCTTATTACATAACTCATTTAAAAACACTCCACTCTCTCTGCCATTTAAAACCAGCCCTCGCTGGAGTGTTCCTGTTTGTGAATAGACCCACCTTAACCACCCACTTGCAGCCTATGTATCCAGCTGCCTGGCAGAACCCTGGTAATCTGCACCAGAGCTCAGGGACAGCAGAAAGCTGAAGACCCTTTCCCCAAATAACAAGCCTCCTTACCCAAGAAACCATCAGCAAATTTTAAAAAGACAACAAAAAATCAAACCAGCATCTTCTAAGGTCAGCGTTGTATCATATTGCTTTTCTGTTTGTGAATTAATGTGTGGCTTTAAAAAGTAGATCGTGTTTCATGTTGTTTTGCATCAAATAAGCCTCATGTGAATAGATCACTCGTATGTGTTGTAACCAGTGCTCTTTTTGGATTCTATTTTTTTTGAGTCTCTTTCTAGGTTCATCATTTTGACTCAAACTGGGGTGAGGATGTGGGGGCAGATGTTAAGAAGGGGCCCCTGAGTGTGGAATATCTTTGAGGCAGAAGGAACCTAAATAGTTTTGTAGACAGTAAAGTAAATGAAATATCTTCCTATTGTCTTTCCACTCCCACAACCTCAGAAAAAAAGAAATTACCTTTGGTATCAACAAGGACTTTCTAATAAATCTGACCCTTCAATTACCCTATAAATTGTAGCTGTCCCTTGGAATAGAATCCTCTCCAACATCTGTTCAGTATTATCAGATATGGTGCCAGGTATCTTGGAACTGAGGGATCACTGAGGAAGAAGAAATGGAGGAGAAACATTAGGGAGGGATAATGTGGCAGATAATTATTTGGACATCTTTTCATAAGAGGAGTTCATTTCAGCAGCATTGTGGAGAAGTTTATAGTTAACAGAATTGATGCCATTGGTGTTGATCAGCACTGGACTAGCTGGGCAGATAGCATGAAAGTTGTCTATTTCATAGAGCATTCCAGGTTAGGAAGCATTGGCCTCTTCACGCGGAGGTTCATTCTCTGAGTGAACCTCCAGTGCTGGACTTGGGGCTCTGGCACGGTACATAGAGGGCCTGGACACTGTTGTACATGGCTCCCATCAGTCTCCCTACTCGGCCTCTCCTTTGTCTATGGCCTCTTCTCTGGTAATGCCCTTTAAGCTATCTTCACTCAGAGAGTCCCAGAGACTGTCCTCTAAAATCAGTTATTAGCATTTCTGAGGTTCATTGTTGTGTCTGCCTCCTCCTCCTTTAACTCTGCCACCACCACCCCCTCTTCCCACATCCAAGAACCTTCCTTGAGAAGTGCCAGAGAGATACCTGACTCTCCAGAAGCAGGTGCCAAAATGGGCTAGTTATGTGTCACTATGGGAGCATTTGGAATTTGGAGCTTGAACAGAATTAGCTTGGCCTATTTTTATGCCTTCATACCTCTCTCTCTCTCCCTTCCTTTCTTCTTTCTCTCTCTCTGAGAGACCTAAACCCCCCAAATCCAGTTGGTTAAGGATCAAACCTTGATTCCAGCTGAAAAAGGAAAAGAATACTGTCTTAGTTCATTTTCTGCTGCTGTAACAGAATACCACAGACTAGGTAATTTACAAACAATAGAAGTTTATTTGGTTCATAGTTCGGGAGGCTGGGAAGTCCAAGAGCATGGTGCTGGCACCTAGTGAGGGCCTTGTGCTCTGTTATTGCATGGCCAAAGGGCAGAAGGCAGAAGTGATCCCATGAGACAGAATCAAGCAGAACTCATTTTTTAAATCAGTAGCCTATTCCCACAATAACCAACCTACTCCTACAGTAACAGCATTAATTCATTCATGAGGGCTGAACCCTCATGGCCTAATCACCTCTTAAAGGCCCCACCTCTTAATACTGTTACAATGAGGATTAAGTTTCTAACACATGAAATTTGGGGAACCATATTCAAACCATAGCAAACACCTATGTTTTACCTACCAAGCACTCCAGTGACTTAGACACTACTTGATCAAGCAGGCAGTAGCTGGACTCCTCTATCTCTCCAGCTACATGGGGTAGGGAAAAACTTCTCAAAAATCCGTTATATCAGAAAGCCCTAGAAATTAATTCCTATGTAGGAAGTGCTGGCTTACAGGTTTGCTGTCCTCAGAAGCCCCAGCCATAAGTGGGAGCACTGAATATGAAGCTGTAGCACAGCACATAGAGCCCTGACCTTATACACACATCCACCCTCAATGTTTCTTAACTGAAGTGGCTAAGATGGTAGAACAGGGTCGTCTGTCCCATGGATCAGCTGGCAGTTAGGCTTAGTGCTCAGATAGTAATCACAGAAACAGTTTCAGCAGGGTGTCCACTTGGAACCTTACCCAGAACTGACAAAGGAGAAGGGTAAGACAGAAAGGGGACATCTTTGAATTATTAGGCCTATTTCTACTTTCTACCACTTGTGTTCTTTCCTCAAGCAAGGGAGACTAACGTACGGGTGGAGACACAAATGGGACCACCATTCGACATTGTACAAGTGTCATAGCTTGTTTTGCTTCAGTTTTCTATTCGTCAAATGGGGCTTATGTGAGGATTATATGTTGTAAAGCTCTTGGAACAGTAGCTGGGACATGGTAAGTCCCCAGGAATATATGTTAGCTCTTGTTGTTATTTATCAAGTATAGTACTATGTGCCAAGTCCTGTGGTAGGCATTTTATGGGTACTTATTTTAATCCTCACCCGCAGTTCTGCAAAATAGATCTTGTGAGCTTCATTTGAGGAGATGGAGTCTCAGAGAGGTAAAGTCATGTGTCCAAGGTGAGCTGCTATGTGAAGGTGCCAAAGTCAAACCAGGTCGGCCTGGCCACACAGCCTGTGCCATCACTGTGGTTTCAAGAGTAAACAGTGTATGAGCAGACATCCTTCTATGTAAATGGGACCAGAGCCATCAAGCTAAACAGCTCCCTGCGCCACACAGTTCAGGGTAGTTCATATCCACTGAGTAAACAGACCATTCTGGGCAAGAATTCCCTTGTGTCAACTTGCCTGTTCTAGGAATTCTCAGTATATATATTGGAGCCCTACCAAAAATTCATCACGAGACTTGTCTTTCTTGAGATCCATCCTAAGAGGCTTAGCTAATAAACTGAAGGGCCTTCTTATGAGGTGGTTTCACCATGGGACTCTCCCTTGTTATCTCCCGAAGGATGACTTCTTTGAGTGAGTCTGATACACTTCATGGTCCCCATGTCTCCAAGAGTTGGGGAGCATAGCTAGCCCACCTTGTAGGCTCACTGCCTTGATACCCCATCTTCCTCACTCCCTGCCCTGAATTAGCTGTCCTTCCTGTGTTCTCATAGCACCCTGTGCATGCATCTGTTAGAGCACCTTGTCACATTGCCTTTGCCCATGTCCTTACGTCTTTTCCCACCAGATCAAGTGCAGAATGCTACATCCTACTCACCTCATAGCCCTAGAATTTATCATGCTTCCTGTAACAACAATAATAACCAGTGTTATCGAAGTTGACATTCATCGGGAACTTACTATATGCCTTTTGAAATAGGTACTATTGTGATGCTTACTTTTAAAGGCAGAGAAGCTGAAGCACAGAGAGGTTTGTTTACTACCTCAGTCACAGAACCATAAGTGGAAGAGCTGGGTGTGAACCCAGGCAGTACTCTGATGCCTCTGAGTAGTAGATGCTTCATTAGTTAATATTTGTAAATGGATACACATGTGAATGTAATTGCTATGTTTTCAGAGATATATGACCTGTGACATAACTTAAATCTGTGCAATAGTAAACTGTGTTATAATGGGGCTCTTCTATCCCTATGTGTGCTTGGAGAGGAGGGGCAGTACAGGGCTGTGTTTGGGAACACACATTAGATATAAATGCAACTTCTATTTCTGCCATTGATGATCATCACCTCTGTGGGCAAGTTACTTACCCTTTTTTTTAGTGGCATTTTCCTCAGCTGGAAAATAAGAATTATGGTGCCTACCTCATACAGTAAACTTAGAATAAAGAGACTACTATAAGTAACCATTCCTGGAACACAATACTTATTCAACAAACATGGGAAGATATTGTTACTACTATTATCATGAGCATTGTTTTTAAAACTTTATAATTGACAACACTACTTCCTATCAGTGGACAAGCAGTTCTGAACCAGTGTGAGTGATACTAAATGGTACTGCTGGAGCTTGAAGTCTAAAGTCACTAAATTCAGGACAGAGATGTTTGACCCATGTATTTCAGAGGTCTACAAAACACCCCAGAAACGAATGTAGCTTTTGTCCAGTCTCCACATCTTTGTCTGTAGTGTACACTGTGGGGTTTAGGGAGCCTGGGCAGAGGAAGGAACCAGAGGTATCCATGGTCAGTACCAGCCATCTGATGTGTCGCGGCTTGTAAGCGAGCAGTGGGTTTGAAGGTCGAGTGGACAGCTGCATAACAAAGGCTGTTAGGAGGTCATGAGGATACTGAATACCTAATAGCTAACAGGAGCTATAATTTCTTGTTCAGTGGACACTGAACTTGGCACATAATAGAGACTCACTCATTCATTCAACAATATTTTTGAGCCAGATGCTCTTATTGGCCCAGGGAATCAATAATAACCAAACAAAGTCCTTTATACTTTATAAGCATCATCGTCATCAACAGCATCATTGTAATAACACTGTGATGTAGATGTTACCATTGCCATTTGATAGTTGAGGGAGCTGAGGCACAGAGAGGTTAAATATCTCACCTGAGGCCTCATAATTGTAAAGTAGTGAGCCTAGGATTTGAATCCAGGTCTTTCTCATGCTAAAAATCCTTTGTTTAGCTACAATATGATACTGCTTATCAAGCAAATAGCAAATGCTGAGATCATGTATATATGCGGTGGGGGGGTGTTGGAGGGGGTGGGGTGTTTGTTGACTCAGGACTATCTAAATAGCTATCATTGTGACATAGCAATCAATAATAGTGATCACTGATTTGCAGAACATGAGAAGCTTTGGTTGTGGCTTCTATTCTTGAGCTCAGACTATCATTTTATTACTTCTGGTCAACATTAGTGTATACTTGGTGGCCCTCAACAAAGAGAAGAACTTTTATGCTTAGGTTGATAACCAGGCAGAAGCTCTGAGATCCTGTGGTTCATCTCCAGGATGCCTGCTTAGTAATACCTGAGTGCCCTCCAGAGCTTGGAGAAGGCCAGCAGCCACTATGCCCATTGAGATGTTGTCCAAACCTAGGGTTAGGTGGTCAAATATCAGTGACTTTGCACAGAAAGAGTGAGGTGCTTTGATCCCTTCAGGGCTGTGGATGGGGACGGGCAGCGCTAGTGGGCTGCTACTGACCCCTTAGTTTAGGTCTCTCACATGCCTGTTGTTGCTGAGGTCTCACATGCCCGTGGATTGGGAAGGAAGTTTCAGAGGCACCATTTCAAATGCTGCAGAAAGGAAGAAGGGGCAGTGCAGTGGGTCACTGCAGTGGGGCATAAAGAGCCCAGAAGTAGTGCTGTGCTCTGAGTCAGGATCTTGGTGGCCTCATCTTGTTTTCAGGGATGCCATTGTTTCTAGGAAGCACAGCCACCACTTAGCTTTACAAGTCAGCTCCTTCAGTCTATCGATTCAGAAGCTGTTCCATTGCCCTCTGATCCCATCGACATAATTCGACAATGCAAGGGTTGTGCAGTCAAGAAGGAAGGACATTGTACTGGGACATCAGGAAGACCAGATTCTGGCCCTGTCTCTGTCCCCACTGGCTGGGAGACCCTGGACAAGTGCCTTTGTTCCTCAGGGCTTTCCTCTTCTCAGCAATGAAGCAAAAGAGGGAGAACTGGATGTTGATGTTTCCTGTGATCCTTTCTGGCTCTAAAGTTGTGAGTTTATCTGATATTTGCAGCCTTACAGTGTCATTTTAATTTCCATGCCCTGTATTTAAAACCACATTTTTCTGCCCTGTTAGTGTGCTGCATTCTTTCTATTACTTCAGAACACATAGTGCTGGTCCTAAATAATTATTCGTTAAATTAACGAATGAATATAGACAGAAATATGAATGAATGCAAACACTGTTAACCACTGGTTAACCACTGATGTCGCTTCCAGACTTGGGTTCTCTATGGTTCAGTGTGGGTTGCTAGGATTGAGATAGCCAGTATGGAACATTGAAATGGTGTGGGCACAGAGAAATCCATTTCTAACTACTATTGTTGCTGCTACTATTGTCATTCTATGCCTCATTTTCTATAAATATGGAGTAGTATGCATACGGTTTTGTAACTACCTGTTTTCAACAAGGAGACTTTTTTTCATGTCACTAGTATTCTCTTATTTAATTTTAATGGATGCATCCTATCAGAGAGTTTCTAGAAGTTTATTTGGCCAATCTCTTACGTACTGTTTGTTCAATTTTCCATATTATAAGCAATGTATCTAAATAGTCTTATTTTTAAAAAACAGCATATTGCTTTTGCAACATGAAAAGTATTTTCAATAAGAAATGCTCATTCCATGACACTATCGACGCTGCCTGCTTAAACTACAACAGTAGAGCAGTCTGTATAGGACGATGGGTAACTAAGAGCATACCAGCCTTGGCTTCCCATATGCAAAGAGAGGCAGTGATCGCCATCATTACATCACCATTGAATGAGAGAAAAGCAGTTTTCCTAAATCTAAAGCCTTGTCCCTTTCCCCTTTTTAGCAGGAAAAGGGGAAATTGTGGGGCCAGGTCATATGGAAAGAGGATCTACCTGGAGATTGGAGGCCTGAGCTTGAAGCTCCCCTCTGCTGTCTAGCCTCAGGCAAAGAGCTTACCTCTCTGGACCTTGGTTTATTTTTCTATGAATGAGAATATTAATATTATTATTAATATTACCCACCCTTTCATCACAGATTTGGAAAATGGAAGCAGGGAATGTTGTAAGCATAAAATGTAATAGTAGATACAAGATTGATTTGAAGTATGAAAGTCAATGTTGTAGAGAAGTGAGTTATCGAGAATATAGGGTCACTGGTTCTTTGTGTACTGTTCACAAGTGTGGCCTGGAATGTATCCACTGTTGACCGTGGTTTTTGAGAAAACCATTACCTTCCATACCACCACTATGAAAAGGGAGCAGAAACAGCAATTCAGTCCTCCATTATTTGCATGCTTTTTTATTTTTAATCCTTGCCAGATGTCGACTGGCCGTGAGCCCAGAGGGTGTGCAATTTCTGATAGAGGTAGTTTTGTTCGTGTTTCCCTTCTAGACAAAGAATTCTTGAAGGAAAAGGAGAAATTAGAAATGGAGTTAGCAGCAGTGCGGACTGCAAGTGAGGACCATCGGAGACACATCGAGATCCTGGACCAGGCTTTGAGCAACGCCCAGGCCAGGGTCATCAAGCTGGAAGAGGAGGTGAGACCAGGCTGTGGGGATTTGGTGGGGAAGAGGGCAAGCAGAGCCCAGAGGGCTTCCACTTTCTTTTCCTAACCCACCTACTTTAACCAGAGCCAATTCCAAGGAGTTGAGACAGGGGAGGGATATGGGAAACTTCTCAAATAAAAGTGAATAAAAACAGAGTCTATGCATTCTAGAGCCAGGCAAAGTATGAAAAGCACATGGGAATCCCATCAGCAAAGCACTCACACTCGGTGTGAAGCCCAGCCTACAGCCCATCGGTTGACACGTGTCCTACTCAGTCATCATGCATTGCATTTAGTAGTTTCTGATGAAATCAACCCGTTAGCTTAAGTGTTATGAGGTAGCCTTTTCCTTAAAGCCTGACTGAGGAATTAAAATGACCATTTCCGAGGTCCAAGCCAAGGAATCCAGGCTATAGATGAAGAAGAAGAAAAGGAGCAGAGGCCTAGCCAGGCAGCCAGGGGCCAGCTGCCTCACACCTTCCAGCACCCTGTGGTGGTGGCGGCAGGTGCCTCTGTGTTACACAGGCTTACCTGAGCAGGATCCGTTCCAGGAAGTAGAAGCCCAAAGTCTATAAGAGTCTTAACTGAGAAAGTCTGCCTGAAGTGCTTAGCTTGTTGCTGGGCACAAAGGAAACAGTATTGTTACTAACCCAACTGTTGTTGAATTTAAAAAAACTGTCTCTTCAGAAAACCTCCCCCGATGCTAAGTAACAGGGATGTTTCATCAGATTTCAAACACAAGGATAAAGCAGCTGAAGAGGAAGATGATGGAGTAAACGAGGGTCTTGCCCATTGGAAGCCTTTAAAACCCCATAAGTCTTGCATAGAAACTACCATTTTAATACTAGCATAAGGCTCCGGGGCAACAGCCTTCCATGTTGCCACTAAGGAACGTATTAAATATGAAAACACTTGCCACAGAAAGTGACCTCAACCCCTTAAAGACAGGAGATCTGTTATGCCTAAGGGAGGCTGGGGCTTCTCATTATTGTCATCACTGAAATGACATCTCCATCTCCATGAGTGGAGCTAAGGAAAATCATGGTTTTTAAAATCTTTTAGTTTTAATATTTCTATTAAAGTAAAAATTAGTTGTGAGCTTCTTGAAGACAAGTTATAACAACCAATATGGGTCTTTTTTTTAAATCATTATATTTATGTGAAATCTTTGGTTGGTTGAATGTAGCCTCTCCAGAATGTCTCATAGGTCTGCTTCCAGCATCACTCCTTTCTAATTAGAGTTTCCTTTAAGGGTCTTAATTCAGTTCAGATACTGAGAGCCTACTGTAATTTACCATGATGGGTAAGAGTGAACTCTAGAGCAGACAGCTGTAAATGAGAATCCTGGCTCTATGGCCTGTCAGCTGTGTGACCTTAAGCAAGTCACGTAACCTTGAAGACTTTTCTCATCTCTAATGGAGATAATAAAGGACTTTACCTCCTCTTCCTGTTGTTACTTGGAGGATTAAATGAGATACTACATATAAAGCACAATGCTTGGCATGGTAGTGTTCCAACAGTGTTGGCTGATGTAATTACTGTTACTAATCATCCTCATCGGGATATATGCCTTGCTAGAATTAAGGTTGATACAAAGGTGAAGGAGACAGATTCCTGCCTTCAAGCTTCTTGCAATTGCTTAAGGATAGTATTTATTCATTTAACAAATACTTATTGGGTGCCTACTAAATGCTGAGCGCTATTCCAGGCATTGGGTACGCCCTGTTCACTCTGCCCAGTGGAGACCAAAATAGGCAAATCTCTTGGTGCTTATATTCTAGTAGCTGCACATTCAGAAAAGTATACTCAGTGGAAGATATGGTAAGTGGTGTATGAATCACACACACAAAATATTTTGTCAGATGAGGCTGCAGGAACCTTCACTTAGTAGGTCTTCAGAAGCCAGTGGAATTGAGCAATCAAAATCACAAGGAATGAAAGGGCCAGATGAAAATCAATCCCAAGAACAGGTGTAAAAAGTCTAAAGTTGCTCTCTCCTCCTTGAAAGGTCAAAGCATCTCCATTTTATTCCAGTGGCTTCAGCTAGGACAGGATATAGGTATAACTCACAGCAATGCTGCCTGCTGAGTCAGAAAGCTCACCTAGCAGCTAAATCACTAGCATGTTCCAGCTTGCCAGTGTCATCACTGAACTTAAGATTGAATACACCCAGGTGCGGAATGACAGGAAATAGCATCTGGTGTCTTCTCACCCAGGACCAAATCAAGTTGATGCCTAAGCCTGATTTTTGGCACTAGCCAGTTCTCAGAATGCTGTCAGTATGCCCAGGATTTATGAACATGGGCCAAACTCCTAATTGGAAGAAAACAAAGTGTGAGAGTAAGAGTTGGAAGTTGTTGGTCATAATTCTAAATCCATAGCTGATGTGACATTTCCATAAATTATTTTAACCTTAATTTCCATCTCCTCAGTTATTGTGTTGTTGAATATTCACTGTGCACTTCCCATCTCTTCAAGGCCCCAACTACCTATCTATAAAGGACTCTGAAATCTTTAGGACAAAGTTACTCCATAGATAACTGTAATAAGAAAAATTTTTTATTTATGCACACATACATAAATGGGTACACATACATATATAAATACATACCTAATTTCTCTATTATAAATGTAATTTATGCTTATAGAAAACTTGAAAAAATATAGAAAAGAATAAAGAATTGCCATTCTGTCATATAGATAAGCATGCTTAATGCTAAGTATTTCATTCCTGCCTTTTTTTCATGGATAGACATTGTTATGATAATGTTGTATATAATTTTTGATTCTGGATTTTTCACTTGACATTATAGAATAAGCATTTCTTCATGATGTCAAAAACTCTTTTTTTAATTCTATCTATTTTATGCTATTTTTAGTTTTACTTTAAGTTCCAGGATACAAGTGCAGAACGTGTAGATTTGTTACATAGGTCTACATGTGCCATGGTGGTTTGCTGCACCTACCAACCCATCATCCAGGTTTTAAGCCCCACATGTATTAGCTATTTGTCCTAATCCTCTCCCTCCCCTCACCCCCGGCCCCCAACTTGCCCTGGTATGTTTTGTTCCCCTCCCTGTGCCTATATGTTCTCATTGTTCAGCTCCCACTTACGAGTGAGAACATGTGGTGTTTAGTTTTCTGTTCCTGTGTTAGTTTGCTGAGAATGATGGCTTCCAGCTTCATCCATGTCCCTACAGAGGACGTGATCTCATTCCTTTTTATGGCTGCATAGTATTCCATGGTGTATATGTACCACATTGTCTTGGACATTTGGGTTGCTTCCATGTCTTTGCTATTGTAAATAGTCCTGCAATAAACATACGTGCAAAAACTCTTTATTTACCTCACTTCCAATGCCTGAAAATGCAGAAATTATTAAGCAATAAATGAGTATTGAGCTCAAAGCTGCACAAATTACCAAAAGCAGGTACCCCAGTAGAGTCTTCAATTTCATACATCCTAGCCATTGTAGGTATAACTGGCAGTCTATGTGTAAATCTTTTCTGTTCCAGTGCACTTGAAGGATAGGAGTAGGGCGGTGGGAGGTACGTGCACCTGTAGTTTAAATAGGATCTCCAGGTAATCTGACCCCACCTCCTCCACCCCAGCTTTGAGAATCAGTGGTCTAAATTCTGTGCTCTTTTTTACTCTTCTCCACTCAGTTACGAGAGAAGCAAGCATATGTTGAGAAAGTTGAGAAGCTGCAGCAGGCCCTGACCCAGCTGCAGTCTGCATGTGAGAAGCGAGAACAGATGGAGCGGAGACTGCGGACTTGGCTGGAGAGAGAGCTGGATGCACTGAGAACCCAGCAGGTAAGGAACTGGGCATGGACTGGTGAAAGAATTAGATATGTTCACTCAGCAAACGTATGGATGTTCTACCATGGGCCAGATCCTGCACCTTGCTCCCAGGATTCAGAGGGAAACAAGAACTCCCTGTCCTCAGTGAACCCATACAACAACCAGGAGAGAAGGCGAGCAGTCCGCTCACTGGAGTGACAGATGTCCTCACAGAGAGAAAGTGGTCGCCAGCTTGGGGCTGGGGAGAGCGGAATGCAGCATTAGATGACTTCAGAGAGGAAGACATTTGAGCTGGACATTGACAGATGAGTTTTTGGGCATTCAAGGGCAAGAACATCATAGGTAGAGGGAGAATATGGTAAAGGACAGGGCCCTGAAACGACATAGCACGTCCAGGGTAGCAGGGTGCAGGTAGCTAGGGGAAAGTGCCCAGTGCAGTGGCTGGTGAGGAGACTAAGGCCACTTGTGGAGGACATTTGGTCAAGCTGAGATACTGGGCTTTTTCTTATAGTCAACAGAGTACCAACAACTGGGAAGTTTTTAAGCTGGAGAGAAACATGATGCAAGAGATCAGGGAGAGAGCCCTCTGATGTCAGAGGACCATCCAGAGGGTGGATGTTAAAGTTGCAGAGGCCAGCCTGAAGGTTGTCGGTGCAGCCTAGGGTGTAGTGACAGTGAGAACCCATGGAGGAGTTGAAGGGAAGAGCCAATAAGGGGGTGACATTAGTAGCCCATGATGATCAGTGAGTTTTCAGAAGTAAAGGAGAGGAAGGGATGTAAGACCATCCCTAGAAAATAATGTTGGCCATAATTCCCTATTCCTGCTGCCTGTCCTTCTCTGCTGGTAACAACTGAGCATGTAACTCAGCTATGAGTAAGCACAGAGTGAAAAGCCCAGCCTGGGGTTCACCTGCACCACGGCAAGCAGGAAGAAGACTGGTCAAAGGCTCCTGGCCCCAGATGAGCCTGTCCACCATCACCCAGCATGATGAGCAGAGGCCTTTATGTAGCTGGTGAAGGGTGTGTTCTAAATTGGGATACCAGGGAAATGCAAGGCAGGGCCCCATGGAATTATCTACTGGATAGGGCATAGTGGTTGTGGTTGAAACACTTGAAAACACTTGAGCGCATGCACTCAGGCCAGCTCAGCCCTCTCACAGGGCAGGCCCATGCAGTTCCCTCTGGGTATGTGCATTTGGCTGGAGAAGGAGGTGTTAGTGAGATTGCCCAGAAAAGTAAGAAACCCACCTCCGCCTCCCACTGTCTTGGCTTGGTGGATAGCTCGTAAGAAAAGGCAGGTCTGTCTGTGGACTTCTAATACTGATAAACTGTGCCACATACTTTGGCACAGAGTTACACCGTTCAGCTGTTCTCTGTCACTCAGTTGCTGAGATCTTCGCTTCCCCATCTGGGGACAGGGGTTCTCCCTGGTTCCAGGTACAGCACTGGCCCACAGTAGACACTGATTAGTCTTTCTTTGGCTAACCAAATGGGCACATCTCGGTTCTTAGAGCACATAAAGAATGTTCCTTCCTGGTTAATATGCCGTCCACACCCTAAAGTTAGATTACTTCTCCTTGGCTCTTCTGAGTGCTGTGAAACCAGACTCACCTCCGTTATCCTTGTTGTTTATCAAGAAGAAATAAAATGTTAGAATTATTTGAAAAATATCTTAATTGCCACAGAGGATAGTTGGCTGTATGCACACTCAGACCCATGCACGCTCACCCACACAGTTTCCTCAGGCAGGCAAAAACAACATTCCTGCTGTGCATGAAGGCTGCTGACAGGCTGAGGAGTGCCAGTAGGGGACAGAAATTTCAGAATTGAGGCTCTCCCGGGAAATTACTCTGCTTTCATTTTGGATTTGTGTTCGGGAGCTGATGGCAGACCCCCAGCTGTGTATGGCTGACATGAGACCGAAGAGGAGGAGACAGTCTCTAAACAGAATTGTGATGCTCAGCATCTCTTTAAAAATAACATTACAGTTTGTTGTTGTTGTTGTTGTTTTAATGAGAGCATTAATCTGCCTCCTATGATATGAAATACATTCAGGGATTATGTCCCTGTTGCTCTTGATACTCATTAAAAAGATAAGTAGAGGTTGAGTATCCCTTATCTGAAATGCTTGGGACCAGAAGTGTTTTAGATTTTGTATTTTCAGGTTTAGGATGCTCAATCTTATTATTTTTTTTTCCTGTAATATTTCTTTATTTTCTAATGTTCCCAGTAAGCATACATTATCTTATAACCAAAAAAAGGTTAAAATGTTATTACAAAAAAATCCACTGGAAACATCTTGAGTTTTTTACTGGTTCCATGTGGCAGATACTGTGTAAAGGGCAAAGTGTATCTAAACTCATTTTTGGGGCCTGTGGGCTGGTCTGGGGGGCAGCTCTGCTGGTCTCACCAGAGATGACTCGGAATCCACTTGAGAACATGGGGTCATCTGAGGAACTCAGCCTGTCCGGGAAAGGGGATCCAGGGCCTCTCTGATCCCCTCCTCCTCATTCACCCTCACGCAACTCATGAATATGCCTGCCAGTTCTTGGGCAGCAGCCTCGGGAAAGACTTCTGCCGTCCACACCACACCCTGTTCCTTCATCCCTGTGTCCAAGGCAGTTATCTGACAGCTTTAGAAAGCATGCTGGGGTCACACTGTCACAAAGCTCCTGGTCATCTCCACCCTCAACAGAACAACAGACCAACCGCATGGACTCACCACTTCCCATAGGGCATGATTCTGAAGAGACTTTTGAGAGCACAGCTTAGAGTTCTTGTTGAATCAACAGCCCAGACAAGGGCTCTGCCCTTTGACTTATGCCGGGACACAGCTGAGCCCATCTACTTGGCCCCCTCTAACAACACAGAGCCCTTGAGCAGCTCCAATTATTTCAATTATTTCTTCTGGACCTTTCCAGAAGGGCTGGTACGCTGAGGATGAGCAGAGAGGCATGGAATCGTGTGTTGATTCTGAGCGTGGGCCCCAGGGTTAAACCAGCCACGGTTGAATCCTGCCTCCCACCAGAAAAGTAGCCTAGAGTAAGTCATCTTTCTGAGCCTCAACTTCCTTGTCTATAAAGTGAGGCAAATAAATTATACTTACCTCACACTTGTAACTACAAATAAAATCTGAACAAAGTACTTTTTGGAATGCCTTGCACTTAGCAACTGATTAAAAACAAATCACTCTCACTGCTGTTCTCATTGCCATCATTACCTTCAGAATCATTTGAAGTTTTAGGGCATTCGTAGGTACCCTCTCCCAAATTCCACCCTTATCCCGGATTTTCTAGCCTCATTGAAAACAAGGTCAACAGAAGTGTGGCTTATTGAAGGGGGGTGGAGAGAGAAAGATAGGTTGGGACAATAGGACTAGCAGAAAGAAAAGCTCTTAATCAACAGTTCCTGTTTTATAAGTAATTGCCCCTCTACCATGGGAGGTCAAATAGTACTTCAGCATCATTAGAAACTGGGAGGGAAGTGAAAGAGAAAAAAGATAAAAGAGAGAGGGGAATTTGCATTTTTAAGAACTCACAATTTTATCACTTTTACAAAGAGCTCAAATTAATTTTCGTGTCTTACTTCCACAGTAGTCCTATGAGAAAGAAGAGAGAAGGTTCTTGAAGAATGTTCTTTGAAAGGAAAATGAGGCACAGGGAAGTTAAAGGTCATGTAGCTAATGAGGACATTCCTCCCATGTGAACACACTGAGGGTGAAGACTTAATCTGTAGTGTTCACTGTTGCAACCCTGGTACATGGTACATGCTCAGTCAATACTTGTCGTCTAGATGGCTGAATGGGCGGCAGTAGCTGGCACACCTGACCATCAATCTGTTTTTCTCGGTAGCACACTTACCCATTAGACCATGCTAGCTCTGTACCCTTGAATGTTGACATTCATGCATTTATGTAAATAACTCTTAATGACCTGAATTAGGGGGGGCTATGAAGAGTTGTCATGATCTCACGTGAGGTTAAGAGGATTCTGCAAAAATAAGCCAGCTGAGATGGTAACAAAAGGGATTTAGATAGAAACTGACAAGCATAGATGGCAGCTTAGTGAATATGGGAGACTTTTCTTGGAAAGTTTCTAAAAATAAGGGAGCGTCTCATCTCGCTGGACTGGTTCATTTGTTCTCCTGCCTGAGGCTAGGTGCCTGGCCAGATGGAGTCAGTGCCCTTTATGCACAGGTCAGGTGAGGACAGGTATGCCCTTCTGCTCTGTTCCTACTTATAATGTTGGTCACTGGCAAGATAACACTTCCTAGAATAATTTATATTTGTAGCTTTAAAAAACTGAATAAAAACAAAATTTGGTTTACAAAAAACCCATACACCCATTTCTTTTTTCCTCTCTGATAGGATTAGTTTCCGTCAGTACAGCTTGAATGCCCAGCTGTTGCTCTGGGTAATTCCCCAGTCCTTTTCTTAATCTAGGGGATTATGTGGTTCTGGGTAAAGCATTCATGTGCCTCTCACCTTGCACCCAGCTCTGCATTTAAAATTTGCAACCACTGGAAAACAGGAGGGGAATGGGTACCCCAGGACATAGACTAACTGGGATGAAATCATTCTCCCTGGAGTACTAAGGAGCCTGGTCCACACTCTGACTGGGCCCCTAACCCTGAGACTCCAAGATAACTTATCTCTGCTGCTGCTCTGAAGGCAGAACTTTCTCAGAGCGCCATCTTCTTCTGTGTCATGCTCTTTAGAGGAAATAGTGTACCTAATTAAAGGAAAAAGATTCTGAAGTATGAACATCCTCAGTTTGTGAGCAATCCAGAAAATGGCTTTATTTTCTCTTATTGACACAGATGAAAAGGCCGAAAAATGAGCTTGCCTTATGCTAGAGGTCTTCTGCTTTCATATGCATTATCTAGTTTGATTCTCATTCTCAGGCCTCTGAGTGGGGCAGGTGTGAATACCTCCTTTCCCAGCATTGCAGCTAGGGAGGATGCAATTTGGGGCATCTCCCACTTCCTTTGCCTTCCATTTCCCCCACCAGCCTTAGCGGAAACAAACAACTGGAATCACTTTGTGGAATTCTGGAGAAAGTACCCTAGACCAGGAGGCCAAGACTTAATTCCTATTCTTGCTTTTGGTGTAATTAACTGCATGCCATTAGACAAGCCACTTCTTGTCATGCAAAGACCTTGACCTGTGGAGATAGACCCAGGTTTGAATCCTGACCCTACTACTGATAAGCTGAGAGACATTGCATCATTAATTTAATCCATCAGAAACTTCATTTCTCATCTGTAAAACTGGGATAATATTGTCGTTTTGCAGAGCGCCATGAGAATTAACTACAACAGAGGAATTTGGAGGTGAAGTAGCATGGTGTGTGAATTGCTGCAGGATCTGGGGAACCTCATGTGTTCTGTATGGGCAGTTGTGTAGACAGCATTGATGTGGTTTTGAGCATCAAGATTTTTTTTCTACTCCTTCAGAAACATGGAAATGGCCAGCCAGCCAACATGCCGGAATACAATGCCCCAGCCCTCCTGGAACTTGTGCGGGAGAAGGAGGAGCGGATCCTGGCCCTGGAGGCCGACATGACAAAGTGGGAGCAGAAGTACCTGGAGGAGAGCACCATCCGACACTTTGCCATGAATGCCGCAGCCACTGCAGCAGCTGAGAGGTGAGACCAGTGGAACTCTGGTGGTCATAAAAGCACAGTTAAAAAAATCAAAACAAAACAAACAGGCTATCCAGAGAGGTCCAAGGCCCATCCTAGGGAGTGAAGTCAGCTAAAAATTATTTTTAAGTAGTTACAGTGCTAGTTGGAGAGCAAAGTGGTATAACATTTCTAGAGGATGATTTGGCAACATATATCTTTCCTTTGAGTCCACAATTCAAGTTCTAGATATTTATCTTAAAAAAATCATAGACATGCCAGAAGGTGAATATCTAAAGAGTTAATCTCAGTGTTGTTGAAAATATCAATACATTTAACATAGCCTAGATTTCAACAAGAGGAGGTTCATTTAATAATTTAAAGTACATAACACAGTGGAATACTGTGCAATCACCAAGAATGATGTTGTGAAAGTATATTTAAGGCACTTTTTAATGCTGCGTTTATATCATGGGCCAAACTAGAAGAATAGATAATCCCCATAGCAGCCCTGAGGGCAGGTATATTATTATCATCTTCATTTTACAAGCAAAGAAAATGAGGCTTAGAGAGGTACAGTGGTTGATTCCTAATCACAATGGTAGTGAGTGATGGGGCTGTGTGTCAAATGGAGATCTGCCTGGCTTGAAAACATTTCATTTAGTTTGAAATTCTTTTCTGCTGCTGTCAGTTTTTACCTCTGTTGCCTTACCTTCTTTTTGTAGGTGTATGGCTTATTCTGTCTTTATAAACTAGCTCAAAGTGTGCAGTAATTCACAAAAAAAGCTCCCAAATGTTCTGTTAAAACATACTGTTGTCAGAGTGAGCAAGGCACTCTTGACCTTTGGCCACTGGATCTCAGCTGCATGCAAAGTCGCTGCACACACGTGGGGTGGCTGTGCAGGGGACCCATCCAGCCCCTCACTGCCTCCCACCCAGTTTGCTTTCTGCCCATAAGTTATATTGGACATTTAACTTAAAGTTGTTTGGAATTCACAATTCAGGATAAATTTATGTGGAAAGGATCCTCAAATTTCAAAGGAGCACCCAGAAAATGGGACTTCTTAATAAATAAGGGCTATGGTACTATTTGGATGACAGGACATGAACCGAGAGAGGAGTAAAAGCCACATTGCCTTGGGATGGGTTACTATATTTTTAATGACTACGAGAAGGCCTGTTGGGGTGCAGAGGGGATACTCTTGAAGTTATTCACGGACTCTCAGGCTCATTATCGACGTAGGGGAGAATCCCCAGTGGTATGCTCAGATGTTAGCACCAGGAATTGGAGAAAGCATTGCCACCATTCGGGCGTTGGTGTCTGCAGTGGGTGCCACAGCACACTTGCACCGAGAAAGACCTACAGACCCATGTGGAAAATGACCGTTTGGGAATCATTTTTCTGTGCTTCCACGTTGTTTATGTGGGTCTACACTTTGATGGGAAGCAGCCCGCAGTATCCATGAGAGTGAGGCTTTGGGAGTGGGGATAGACACTTGAGATGGTGCGGTGAAGTTCCGGGGTCCTGGGTTGAGAGTTGGAGGGAAGTTGCAGCCTCCAGTTCAGTCCCTGCAGTATATGGATGGGCACAGGGAAGCCTTTTGAAACATTGGTTGATTTTTACATAATTGAAATGGTTTTTTTTTCAGCTTTTTGTTTTCTAAGCTAATAACTAAATTTCCTCTCTATTCCGAGGAAGAGAACAGGTCATCATAAAGTCACAGAGGGACCTGGTCTTCTTGGACATATGTGGTCTAGTGCACTGCTGTCCACGGTTGCCCTGGGAGTTTCCTTCCTCCCTGCAATTTTAATGGAAAGAATGCTTTAATGGAAAGAACGTTGCACAGGGAGGCAGGACACCTGCGCTCAGGGCTTCTCCCTCCCTTCCTGACTGTGCGTGTGTGATCTGGGACAAGCCCTTCTGAGTGTCGCTTACATCACATGTGAAATATAAATGATGAGAGCAGGGAACCTGACCACATTGCTTTGGCTGAGGACACTAAAGCCCCAGTAGCAGTGTAAATGTGTGACCTTGGAGGAATGACACAGGGGCTTCCACGTGTCATTGTTGTTTCAGCGTCTGTGGGTTTATCACGTTAGATGTCTGTTTGGGATCCTGGGCCCTGAGGGTATGAATGGGACTAGAAAGTAAAATTCAGAAGTCGGGAAATGAATGAGTCCAAAGCATACACCCTGTAGTGGGCAGAGGAGGGAGGGTAGGGAGCGAGGAGAACCAGACCCAGTCACAATCACCCACTCACAGGATTCTAGGCCCAGCCTTGTTCTTATCCTCCGTGCAAGGGGAAATGACTCTTACCCCAGAGAACAGGAGTTCTGTGGGATTTACCCAGTCCCACTGTTCCCCTTCTCTGCCTTATTTGGAGTCTTGGATGGGCAGAGGGAGCCCCTTTCCATCCCCGTCACCCCTCCTTCTTTGCTTTTACACATATTTATTGAGCATCTAATAATTCTGTGAGCAACTACCCTCCCCATTACAGACTACCCCTTCTGGGTGGGGGAATAGGTTCAGAGAACCTCAGATAGCTCCAATCTTAATGTTCTTTTCAAAGAAAACCTCTGTCATTTCAGAATTGCTTTTTTCTTTTCAGTAAGAGAAAAAAGGAAAATGAAACATTTTTGAGAAAGGTACACATTTTGAGCTCTTATTGACTAGGTGCTAAATGGCCACAGTCAAATTGGTAAAAATGACTATTTCCAGCCATTAGTTTTGTGACTTTTCAACCACAGATGCATGCTTTATATTTATAATCAATGATTTTTAAACAAAGAAAATAACTTCTGTAAACCAACTGGTTTTCCCATCTTTATGCATCTTGATGGTGTTGGTCAGAATTTTTAGAGAGTCAGCTTATCTTTTATGTGTGCAGAAGGTTTTGAAAATTTTTAAAAATTTCAAAGCAATGTAATATTTCTTTCAGAGTTTTATATATTTACTATCTAAGTTGCTTTCCTCTAATTGTGTTTGCTCTCCTTACTTGGCAATGTAAACATGAATTTTCAGATTTGTTTCCAGCTCCATGTAAAGTCTCCAAAAGTAAATTTGTTGAAAATGTTTCTAGCCACTAATTTCTATATTGATGATTTTGTGCACCATAGTGTGAATTTATAATTTTGCAAATATGTTTAAAGCATTTTGTTTGCTTTCTACATCATTTGGCCTTTAGTGTATTTTCAATGACACTTTGCACTTTTCTGAGCCACATTCTCACATATGCCCTCTGGTTTGTTTTTATCTTTACTCATCTTTGCTGAGACCTTCTTCTTAAAGACATATGAAACTTGCAGGAGTATAGAGCGATGGTTAGGGGCATGGACTTTGGAGTCATAAATACCTGAGTTAGAATCCATTTTCACTATTCACTAACTGAGTATTCTTGGAAATGTCACCTAACCCTGGTTTCTTCATCTAGAAATTGAGGATAATAATACCTTGTGCACAAGTTGTGAGAACTAAATGAGAGACCATGTGTACCGTGCCCTACCCAGTCCCTGTATGAAGTAAATGCTCATTAATGTTGATAGCTGTCATTAAAGGGGCCTCTATTTTTCTGTTTTGGGCTATTCTGTAAAAAAAAAAAAAAAAGCTTTAAAGTTTTCAGGCGGGGCGCGGTGGCTCACGTCTGTAATCCCAGCACTCTGGGAGGCTGAGGCGGGTGAATCACCTGAGGTCAGGAGTTTGAGACCAGCCTGACCAACGTGGTGAAACACCATTTCTACTAAAAATACAAAATTAGCCAGATGTGGTGACGCATGTCTGTAATCCCAGCTACTTGGAAGGCTGAGACAAGAGAATCGCTTGAACTCAGGAGGTGGAGGTTGCAGTGAGCTGAGATCACGCCACTGCACTCCAGTCTGGGCAACAAGAATGAAACTCCATCTCAAAAAAAAAAAAGTTTTTCAGTATGATTGTACATTGGAATATGAAGTTAAAAGATGTGAAATACTTGGCTACATCATGTCTTACTAATTAAATACTCATGTAGTCAGAGCCATTATTGTGCCTTTCATCTTGAGCTATATCACTTAGATGATGCAGTGATCTTATTTTTACTAATCATTGTTAGTTAGTAGTAATTAAATTGTCAAAACCAGTGGCAGGAATAGTTATCTGTGACTGGTTGTTTATAGTCAGACAGATGCTTGCAGTGAAACTGCTTCTTGATCTTCTCGTGTCTGCCCTTGCCCTCACTGCACCCACCTCACCTGAACTTGTCAAGGACAGTGTCTGCCTTCTTCTTTCTGTCCTGGACCCTGGCATGCCTATTACATTGTCCTGACCTGCATCCCAGGCAGGGCCCATAAAACAAGAAGTGAGACAGAATACAACATGAAGGAAGACTTCAGCTTGGAGCCTCACTCTCTGAGAGGACCAGTCTCAGTTTTAAGTATTTACTGAGCCCCCATTTTACTGTAAAATACTGAAGTAGGCATTCTATGCTGTATGGATGATAAACAGAAATAAAACCTAAACTCTGATTGGAAAAGTGAGGTATAGGACAAGCATGAAAAAGTACAAGCATGGAAACACCAACAAATACAATAATAATAATAATAATAATAATAATAGTGTCCATAAGTCAGTAGATTAAATCTCTAGGTGCCCATTTTACATATTCATAACATGCCATGTAGCTACATACATAATGTAGTCAGAAGGGGGAGGGGACTTGATTTTTGAATTTTATTTTGTTTTCCTTAGATGCTGCTTAATTCTATCTAGTTAAGGAAGAGAATTGGACAGAATTCAGGAGAGGAAAAGTGGGTGAAGGAGTTTGTGGAGTTTTAGCACGGCACCCTGTGATCACCTCTCCACAAGCATTTACACCTTTCTCTGTATGGGCATCAGATGAGATTGATAACTGAGCTGGGGAAATTGGGAGGGAAAGGCTTCATGAGCCAATGCGAGATGCAGAGCTGATCTCTGTTCCAGCATGAACACCAGCCTCTCCATTCTGTGTCTGTTTGCATTGAGACAAAGCAAGAAGGTTTCCTATGATCAAACGCATATCCTTGTGTTGCCAGGGACACCACGATCATCAACCACTCACGGAATGGCAGCTACGGAGAGAGCTCGCTGGAGGCCCACATCTGGCAAGAGGAGGAGGAGGTGGTGCAGGCCAACAGAAGGTGTCAGGACATGGAATACACGTAAGGGACGACTATGTGTGACGTGTGGGGCCCGCTGCATTCACACTCCAGGCCTTCCAGAACAGATTGCTTCTCTGTCCTGTTCTGAAAGGCTGTGAGCATGAGGTCTCCAAAAACTCTCCTCCCCCATGCTGTGCCATGGAGAGAAGGAAAAGGTTCCAACCTAAGCACGTGGTTCCACTCAGCAATGGATCTGGTGCCGGAGTTCTCTGGGGGAAATTGCGTGTCACCTGCCGGTTTTAAGATGCAGGCTGAGTCTAGTGACAGAAGAATTTAGATGTCTGTGTTATTTCTTGGTGTCTATCTCTATGACATTATGAGCTGAAAGGGGGAAACATTATATCCCAAAGATTCAGAGTTTTTGAGCCAGAATTTATATATTCCAGTCCAAAATAAAGAACATATTTAGCTAATGCACTCTTCTGATGGGCTACACAAAATTTCCAGCAGACTTTTTGACATAATAAAACTAGCCTGTCCCCCTTCACTACCTAAGGGCTTGTGGAACCCTGGGAGCCCTAGGCCTCTTATTTTGCAGATGTGAAAATAGGGCTGAGTAGTTGAGCCATTGATAGATAGGCTCAGTGAGTTACTATCAAAGTTGTGAAAATAACTCAGCATTCTTCCAGAAAAATCATCTTCTACCAGAGAACCTGTTCATCTTGGTTCTTTTTTCTTAGAAAATAGAGAAATTGACTTTAGCTGAAAGCTCACCCTGTTTGAGGCTTTAGAGTTTTTATGCTTCCCTATCCCCTACCTACCCCCGGCCCCCACCGCCAATGCTAGACCCTCTAAATATGGTCCCCAGCCGACTTCGGTCCAGGAATGTGGCCACGGTCATTCTAACTGTACCTCGCTGAAGTCCCAGTCTCCCAAGGTGCCAGAGAAGGTGTACTCTTTTGACATATGACAAAAGACCTGTCTTAACAATTTGGAGATTATCAACATTTGAAGACTCGTACTGTGCTTCATCCTGTATCCCTAAATTACAATTAAAGTCTTTGGGACAGCCTGAGATAAATGTTTCAAGTTTTTCTAGCCAAGTGGCTTTTTATGGAGACTGTTTTGTTTTGTTTTACAGTATTAAAAATCTCCATGCCAAAATCATAGAGAAAGATGCTATGATTAAGGTCCTGCAGCAGCGATCTCGTAAAGATGCCGGGAAGACAGACTCCTCCAGCCTACGTCCTGCCCGCTCCGTTCCATCCATAGCAGCAGCTACTGGGACACACTCTCGCCAGACCTCTCTTACCAGCAGCCAGCTGGCTGAGGAAAAGAAGGAAGAGAAGACCTGGAAGGGGAGCATAGGTGAGCCCCACACCTCTGTCAGACCATGATTGGAAAAGCAAGACCAGACAGCTTCTCTGCCACTCATGGGACACGGAAATGTCCCTGAATAGTTCCTGGTCTCAGTTTACTCATCTGTGAAGTGGGGAGGGAAATCAGTCATACTTCAGTTATAGATATGTGGAAGCATTGTGTAAATTCTAAAGACTGCACCACTGGAGTAGCTCTTAGCCATGGGTTGACTCAGATCAGAATTATCTATTATTGTTGTAAGTTGAGGTGACCCTTATAACACAAAAGGCTCTCATAGAAAAGCCTAGAGACATCACGCCTCTGAACTTGGCTCTGCTCTAGACCAGTTGTATGACGGCTCCACCTCTGCTTCCACGTCTGGAAAGGGAGGACAGTGTCTGCCTGCTTTACCCCATGGGGAGTGGGAGGGAATAATGGGATAATGGGGGGAGGAGAGTGTCTGCCTGCTTTACCCCATGGGGCGTGGGAGGGAAGAATGGGATAATGGTGGGAGGAGAGTGTCTGCCTGCTTTACCCCATGGGGCGTGGGAGGGAAGAATGGGATAATGGGGGGAGGACAGTGTCTGCCTGCTTTACCCCATGGGGCGTGGGAGGGAAGAATGGGATAATGGGGAGAGCACATTGGAAGAAGTGCTCTCTCGCATAAGGTAGGGGTGGTAAGTTTTTGCTGTATTGTTGTTGCATGGGCAGAATTCCCTAAGTGTGGTCTTAGCCAGGAGTAGGTTTCTTGGGGGCAGGCAGGCTTGTTGGCTGGCTGGGCTAGCCAAGCTGGAGGGGAAGCAGGCAGCGTGCTCAGACACAGGTCCTCCACATCCTTCCCCTGCACTCTGGCCTCTCCAGGGGTCTGGCCCTTCTTTGATGCATTTCCCCACATCAGATCGTGTTTTTGTTTCTCTGTGCAGCTGAGAGCCAGTGGTCCTCAGCATAAGACCCCAAAGGAGACTGGCTGCTCTGGGCCAGAGGGGATAAGAGCTTCCATATGAACCCGACAGAGTTGGGGGGATCAAAGGCTCCCAACCAGAATCTGTGTTTGAAGTCCCTCCACTGGTGGCTTCAGCAGCCCCTGCCCCCAAAGGAAATGCACTTCAAAGAAGACGTGTGTGGACAGCAGCTGAGATCATCAAAGACTGTCCCAAGGACATTTAGCTCCCACCCCAGCTAGAGAGCTGGGAGGCAGTGCTGAGCCAGGCCTGGTCAAGGAGTTTGAAAATTTGCTCAGCTCTGGTAGCAACCTCCCTGGGAGTCCCCTGTTTGTGACGTGCAGCCAGGCAGGCATCTCTGGTGTCTGTGCCCGTATGCCCCAGGACCTGGCATGTCTAAACCAGGCCTGGGAGCCGGAGGACTTGTTTGAAGGAAGAGCTGCTGTGTTCCCTGCACTGATATTCCTCCTCATTGTTGTCATTGGTGTCCACGTGTCACAAACACAGGGACTCTCCAAGGGGCTGAGGCAGGTTCATGGGTGACTGCACAGTTCCCCACATGTTGTCACCATTGCTTGCCTGATAGGCTCTGGAAGGAGGTGGAGGTGACAGCATATACCTTCCCAATTGCCCAGGGTATCCCAGGAGCTATGGCTGGCTAGTGACTTATTCAGCCTGTCACTCCCTACGAGGACATCCTGCAGACTCTGGAGTTTCCACAGGCTGGGCGATGAAGTGGAAAGAACATAGGTTGGACTCCAAGTCAGGCACAGTTGGGTTTGAGTCCCATTTCTGCTGCTTCTTAGCTGTGAGATGTTAGTTTTTGTGAGCTTCCATTTCCTTCTCCGTAAGACAGGATAAGGCCTGTCTCGCAGGAATGACATGCAGTATGAAGTGAGATGATGTGGGAAGCGCAGGTGAAGGCCTTTGCTGCTCAGCGTGGTCTGTGGACCAGTGGCACCAGCACCATCTGGGAGCTTCTTAGAAATACAGAATCCCAGGCCCTGCCTGCTGGATCAGGTCTTCCTTTTAACGGTATAGCCAAGTCATTGTTATGCACATTGCATTTTGAAAAGCACTGCTCTCGACAAACTGAACTGCCCTGAGTTCTAAATGGGCACCTTAAAACAGCTCTGGCGAGGATACTTTATGAATTGCTGGCTATCTAACCAGATAAGAGAACAAATACTTGATTGCGCTTACCGCCTTTTCTATAGGCTAGCATTCTAGGGTGCTGGCACTTTCCCGCGTGTGTGCTGTATTTAAAAATAAAAAGTTATCCTCCCACCCAGCTTTCCAGGAAGGCTCTGAGGAAAATGGACACCTCTGCACACCACGCCTCCCATTTCCATAGCCAGCATCCCCTCTTCCCCACCCCAGCCTCACTACTCTTGAGGAAGGGGGTAAGGAGAGGGCTAAGTGGCCTTTCCTAGGAGGCTGGCTGGCTTTCTGCTTCTGGGAGGCTACAGTTCCACCGCAGAAATGTGCAGGTAGCATGTTTATCTTTGAATCCAAGCCTGTGGGGGACCATCATCCATTACAAGGAGTGGGGTGGAATTGTGAACTATTCAGAAGAGCAGCAAGCCAATGGGAACATGTCTAGGACCGGGGAAGCCTTGTAGTTTTTCTTAAGCACACTGCCACGCTTCAGGCCAGCCCTTCTGGGCCACGTTGGTAACAGCAAGCATGGTCTCTGGAAAGCCTTGTGGGAACCTCCCTACCCCTCCTGCTGGCAATTAGGCACTTCTCTGTTCGTCCATACCACCCTGTGAATAATTTATTTGTATCCTACAGTTTATATATTAAGTTATAATCAGTTTACTTGACAACTACTTCTCCACTCCAAAAAAAAAAAACAAAAAAAACACACAAAAAAAACCTACAATTTTTTAGGAAGGGGACTAGGTCTTCCATTTTTTATTCTCTCAGTGTTTGTTATTTTATCAGCCTTGTAATAAGTGTTTATTAAATGCTTGGGGAATGAATCAATGAATGAATGAAGCAATCATCAATCAACAAGGAACAGATCTGCAAGACTAGATTTAAAAAAAAAAAAAGGAAAAAAAGAATGTTGAAAAATCTGTTCTCTGCCCTCAGGATTGCTGCTGGGGAAGGAGCACCATGAGCATGCCTCTGCCCCACTGCTGCCACCCCCACCCACCTCAGCACTGTCCTCCATAGCCTCCACTACGGCAGCCAGCAGTGCCCACGCCAAGACAGGCAGCAAGGACAGCAGCACACAGACTGACAAGAGTGCCGAGCTCTTCTGGCCCAGCATGGCCTCCCTTCCCAGCCGCGGCCGGCTGAGCACGACCCCTGCTCACAGCCCCGTCCTGAAACACCCAGCGGCCAAAGGGACCGCAGAGAAACTGGGTATGTGGGCTACCCCACCTTGATGCCCCTGAAAACTGTGGAACTGTCTGGCCTAAGAGAATCTTTTGTTGAGCTAGAGAGGAAGCAGGGGCACCCATCAGCTCTTACTCTATGGGGATGCTATTCTAATGCACTTAGGATATGTGTGCCCTTTCTTATTACGGGAATAAATATGCATATAGACACATCTAGTTTATTACTATTTGAAATGAGTGCACGGCTTGAGACTACCCTGGCAATGCATACTTTTTAACTAACCTTTCCCCGGATGGAGTGACAACAGACCCTCTAAGGGGCTGAATGCCCTCTGGTATGTTTGGGAGCCAGAATTAGGCACCAGGTACATCAAAGGCACAAGTTCACTGTTGCCTTCAGGGCTCTAACTTACCAGGGATTCTGGCCTCAGTGGAGGACATTGTGATGGAAGGAGAAGGTAGATTGACCTGCAGAGTCGGTTAACGTGTGGCACAGCACTTGGGCCAGGACTAACGAGCTGTTTAAAATATTTACGGGAAGACAACTTGGGAGAGGTGATCTTTGCAGTGAGTCCCTAAGTGTCCTGGGTAAGAATAGACCTGGCCTCTTAAGGCACTCCTCTTAAGCAAAGGAGTACCATGGCCATGGTCAGTGGGATCCCACAAATGTTCTTAAATGGGTAAGGCTTTAAGTAGCCAGAGAGTACCCAGCCTACCATTGGCTTCTCCACATCCTAAAACCTGAGACTAATCATGGTCATGGGGACCTCCCTTTTCAGGAATTCTTTTGAGGAGGTGCAGGCTCTGTGGGCCCTAAGTTAACTGTTTCCTCCAAGGGGGTTGTTTATTTCATTTTTCAAAGTAGACAAGTAAATACAATGTTGTCACTTTTTAAAGATGTGATTCTTTTCCAAGTAAGCCAGAGAACCTGTCAAAAGTGCCTAGCTCAGAATATGCACCTGATAGTTTTGAGTAGAGGGTGTGAGGGGCTCCTGTACAGAGTCCCACTGTCATCCTCACCTTCTGAATCCTCTCCCTTCACCATCCTGGTTTGTATTTGTGTCTGAATCCTGGCCCAGTCATTCTGCATGTTCCCACTGTGGGCTGGATCATCTCACATGCCCTGTGGTGAGAATCCTGGGTGTGCAGTGGTATCGGACGTGGGTCCATTTTAGAGAACCTGGAAAGCCTATGCCCCTCCTGAGGAATGGGCAGCTGATGTTTCCCCTCTATTTGGCAGAGAACTCTCCTGGCCATGGGAAGTCGCCTGACCACAGAGGCCGGGTCAGCAGCTTGCTGCACAAGCCCGAGTTCCCTGATGGAGAGATGATGGAAGTCCTCATCTAACTGCCATCCCTGTGGAATTTCAGTACAGAACACTGACAAACAAGGAAAGCGGCAGAGAAAGAAGAAAGACCTAGAAGGTTGTAGATGGGAAATCAGGAATGATTTGAACTGATAAAGATTTCAGACTCATAAGAACACATTTTATAAATGTTAAACACAAAAACTACATGACTGAAGATAGAAGAGAATGCGATGGATTTTATTACACATGGTGGAAGAGAGAAGAGGCGTGTAGGTTTGCAAACAAAGTTAAGAAATAGGAAACTGAATTTTTCATTGTACAGAAAATGTATCTCTTGGGGAGGGCCTGTGTACCCCCATTCTCTGATTATAAACAGATAAACCCAAATGTGGATCATCCTTGGAATACCCCCATTCTCCTTGCCTCTTAGCATGTTTGATTTAAGAAAAGCCTCCAGGAAATCTTGAGAGCCTGTCTTGGCATAATGCAGTGTCACCTGTGCCAACCATGGGGTGTCCCGTGAGTGTGAGTGTGGCAGTGAGAAGAAGCATCGAGGGCGAGGGGAATATGAAAGTTGGTCTTCACCTAATTACCTGTTTGGTTTGGATTTTCAAGAGATGATTGGGCTTCTTAGCTTTTCTGAATTCTGCAGTATTTTCTAAACAGGATAGATTATGATCTCGGTCCCCATCCATCCTAACTTCTGAGTTCATCTCTGTCTCTGCTTTACAGTCTTTAATTTTTTGTTGTTCCTTCATTTTTTTCTTTTTAATAAGACATAGCAGAATTCCTTAGGTATGGGATTTATGAGACCAGTACCTGAACTGTCATCATTCCTACTGTGTTTGATAGTGACCAGTAGGACAAAGCCACGTGCCGACTTCCTGGCTGCTTCACCTTTGCATAGCTGGGTTGCAGCTGCGAACCTCATTCTGACTGTGAACTAAGCAAGCTTTGAGGAGGCAGGAGATTCCGTGGGTCCCTGTGACATATTGCATTAAGATCGTGGCACTTGCTTTTTTGTCTTTCACATCGGCTGTCTTGCAAGGAGCTTGACATTTCCAAATTCCATTGCTCTGTTTGGGGAAGACTTAGGACAGCACTCCAGGAAACAGATGACAATTTACAGACAGTTGTCTCAGTGGTTTCCAGAATCTCACCAGCCTCCCGTATAGCTTCTTGTATTGAGGCTCATGAGCGTATTCACACTCTTTCCTCCCCCGCGCACGCCTCTGCTTGCTCTCGATCAGCATCCAGACCTCCGTGGCACCAGGTTGCCTCTGTTGTGAACTTCTTTTGTAACCTACCAGGCCAGTTGTATATACAGTGTTGTCAGGTTTTTCCGGGTTTCAGTTTTGAGGCAGTTTATTCAAAGTGAGACAGAAGTGCCACGGAAAAGAGGCAGGAGTGTGTTAGGTGGTGGGTCCATTAGACCTCTGCTGTGACATTGCATATTCAGCTCTGCAGACACTGGCTTCCTTTACAAATCTAAGAGATGCTGGATTAGAAAAGAGGAGAAGCTCATCGGGCCATCAGAGAGATGCTCCTACAGGGTCCTGATGTTTTTGTACCTCCAGGTCAGCTGGATCGCTGTTTTCCCAGTTCCCTTTGCTCATGCTTACTTAGAGGAAGAAAGAAAGGGGGGTACCTCTTCCAAGTACCTTCTAAATGAAACACTCAAGAGAGTGCTACTCAGGAAACTTTGCTTGGATCCTAAAATGGACTGGTCTTGGGTGTGTAACCCCGGTGAAGTTATAGCCTCCCCAAATTGAGGTGACAGAAGGAAGACAAGAGGTGTAAGCTGGAGAGGGAAGGGAAGAAATCAGTGGCTTTGGCCAGCCTCTGTGCCACCCAGTACGACAGAGGAGTGGGAACTGGCCCTCTGGGGCTCTGCTTGGCCATAGGCACTGCACATTGTGCCACCTGCTCATCACCTCCTCTAGTCTCACACTGAGCATCGGAGTACCTGTTGTGCAGACAGGAAAACTGAGGAGCTCTGAGAGGCTGAGCATGGAGCTCACCCCATGCCATAGGGTGTGGGAAGAGGGCACAGGAGGCCTCATCCATGGGGGAAAGGGTTGAGGATGGACATGGGTGGGGAGAGGGCATAGACATCCCTTCCTAATCTCTGTTCCCACCACATTTCATAGGAGATGAGTTAGGAGATGACAGCTAACTCTCTTAAGGACATTTTGACCCCAGTTTATGTTGGGGATGGACCAGAAAGGAAAATGTCTAGAGATAGGAAGGTAAATCAACTCTGCCAGCCCCTACCATCAGGTCTGGGCCACCCCAAACTTGGGCTGCCTCCCTTAGACATAGGTTAGAGTGAGAGACCCAGCTGTTTCTCCCGAAGCCTCGTCTTCATGCCCCAGACACCTGATTGCCCCAATCAGGTGTCAGACTTGCTTGCTCTTCGAGGTCCCCCTGAGCTGCCAAGTGTTTTCATTGTAAACAGACACATCGCCATGTTTCAGGGCTTCAACGGCATTGTATTTTGGACTTTGACCGTATTTTTTTTCTCTTAACCTACTGAGACTCTTCCTTAAGAACAGGATCTATAGCTTTAAAATGTCTTCTTCTATGGGAAATTTCCTGCCAAGCCAGGGCACTAAATTCTTTCATCATTAGAGCTTTCCTGAAGTCCGGCCATATACTGAGTACCTGCTCTGAGTTCTGGGCAGCTTACAATATCTTAAACAGATTTTCAGAAAAATAATGCAACTATATTTTCTAGTGTCAACTGTATGCAAACAGTGTGGTAAATACCTTTTAATTAGTCCTCCACCCACCTGGAGTACAGGGGGTGCGTTTATTATTCTGATTTCACTGATGAGGAAATGGGCTCAGAAAGGTTAAGTCCCTTCCTGAAATCTCACAGCCAGGAGAAGCTAGGATGATTTAAAACAAAGTTTGGAGAGGCACTGGGCATAGACCCTGGCTGTACAGCCTCTAACATGCGGCACTGCATCTTGGCAGTCTCTATGCCTGTCTGTGATGTGTGTGTGCACGTGTAACTACACACACACACACACACACACACACACACACACACAGCTATCACACATCTCAGAGCCTAAGAAATAGGACTAAGCCCAGAACTCCTAGAATCACCTATAAATGCTAGGCATAGATGGAAATTATTGTGTTCCACCAGAAGCACAGCTCCAAACTATACCTAAAAAATATTTCTGCACTTCCCAGAGACCTGGACTTCAAACTTTCCCAGTGGAGCCTGATTATAGAACTTGAGGGTCCTATCTCAGGATGAAGGGGAGAGGCCCTGGCTTCACGGGAAGGTATTCCAGCATTGTTCTGCTTCACCCTTGACTGCGTTGTCTGGCAGTTTCTGTGTGCTGCCAGGATATTATATGGAACTGGAGAAGTTGGAGTCAGGTCTCTGAAGCTAGAGTTTCACTAATTAGATGCCTCTGTACATGAGAACTATTACTGTCTGCAGGTCCATATAGCTAAGCTGCCAGGAAAAACACATTATCTTCCAAAACTTTCAGAGCATGTGCAGAACCCTTTCTTAGCGTTTTCTTCTCAGCATTTTCTCTGCCTCCCAGAGGCTGGCAGCCAGTGACACTGCAGAGTTCAGCATGTTCTAACCATGCACGCAGGGCAGGGGCTGCCTTGGCCCTCCTCAGGCTTTCGTTGGGAGAGCAGGCAGTGGTGGAGCCCTTCTGGGTGCAGTCCTCTGGGGTTGCTCTTTGGAACTCATGTATGAGTTTGACTCCACAAGGCTTGGCATGGATACCAAAACAGTTGCAACAAATTAGTTCTGAACCTGGAACAGAGAATTCAGTGCTTCTGTTACTCAGGAAGGAGGTGTTCAGAATGCCCCGTGCAGAGCAGCCAGTCATTACTCTTGTTTGTTCTCACCTGGGTGCGCACCCTCATGATGCAGTGGCTGTAGCACCTTCATGCCAGGTGCTGAGAGAATGGGAAATTCTTCCTCCCCATTGACCTGAGTCCCAGAGACTTAGGGACACAGACTTCAGGTGAGGCTGCGGACCTCAGAAGCAGTGGATAATAGATTGGGGCATTAAAAGCTTTTGAGGCAGGGGGCTCATGTTTTGACTGCAGGGAGTTATGCTGAGCAAAGAGATGTGTTTTTCAAAACCAGGGTTCAAAACCAGTGTCCACGCTGGAGTAAGTGGAGCATGCTTCTCTGTGTTCTCTGAATGATCTTGCACTCCTCTTAAGCAAAGGAGTACCATGACCATAGTCAGTGGGATCCCACAAATGTTCTTAAATGGGTAAGGCTTTAAGTAGCCAGAGAGTATCCAGCCTACCATTGGCTTCTCCACATCCTAAAACCTGAGACAGCCTTGGTATATGCTTTATAAATGTTTCTTTTCTTGTTGTTTAAGTAATTAAAGTGTTTAAAATGTCTTCATTAGATGTGACGATTGTTTAATGAGTTTGCCTCTGACGTGTGGCTCCATGGGAGATAGGCAAAGTAATTAAGAAGTTACCAGAAATTGGTCGGCTGGGGAAATGCAAAAGTTAGCATTTCAGTAGTGAATTTCTCCTGGAACAAATGAGCAATTTTTCCTCTTTCTCTTAAGTAGTATACCCTTTTCTCACTTAGTAATTTAATGGTATATAAAGACATGTGTATAAGTGAGTGCATACATATGAGGTATGACTATAGGGTTGTTTGTGGGAATTTCTTTTCCTAACATACAGAAGATCAAAGTGTTCATCTCACCCCGCCCTCCTTAAAAGGTGTCTTTTGGGAGACTATGTGCTCATTGACTATAGTGCTGCCAAGTAAAAATATCTTGGGAACTCTTCTACTAGAATGGCCTTCAGGGCTTGGCATGTTCCTTTGGTTTACCCTTAGAGATGAGAAATCCTCCTCCTTTGAGGATGGATTTAAGTTCTGGAAATAATCTCAAGTGCTTGATAGCACAGTTGGATGAAAAAAGATGGCAATTAAGGTAAGTTACACCATTTTTGTTTCTAAAAAAATCCCTAAGAAATTTCTTGGAATGAGTCTTTGGCCTCAGAGCCTCTCAAAGTGTCCACTTCAAGGGGGGATCATCCTCATTAGCACACAGATTTTTAAAAATCAATTCTCTTGCCATGCCTCCTATGTGTTCACATCTCTGCATACACTACAGATATAAGTGCATAATCATTCATATAAACATCTGGTAGGTATTCTGTAAAACTGTGTTTACTTTAGTGCATGTTATTGTCATGTTATGATGTGACTGGGGTGTTTCTTTGTCATGAAACTTTGCTTCTTCACAGAATTAGAATACTGCTCTCTCTATATTGAACTACATATACAGCGTTTTCTTGTATCAGCCCCCAAAGTCTGGATGCCCGGTGTTGTGTTTACATGTGATTGTGCCTAGGAGTCTGTTCACATAGAGACACCTGTAAGTATTTATTACAAAACGGAATGTAAGCAAATATATCCACATTGGTTTTATTTGAATCAAGGTGTTTTTTTGTTTTTTGTTTTTTTTCCTTTTGAGGAGGAACAGGGAGCCTCCTCCTCCATGAGCACTTACAGAATTGTGTAAAATTCTGTGAAACAGTGGTAAGCATGGGCACCCGATTTCAGCTGTCCTGCTGCCGCTGCCCTCCAACCTGCTCTGTGTGTGTGTGTCGCTGTGCTTGGTGGCAGTGTGCCGTGCTCGTGCCGGCTCTTCCCAGCAGACTGGTATCTGGCTGTAACGTTTGACGTCTTCATATTGCCAGTCTGTATTGAGGGGTGATGTACATGGCCATACAGCCAAATGGGTCTGTGTACCAGTGTGGGGATTCCAAGAACACTGCCTGTCCCCCACAGCAAATATTGATGCTGTTGGTCAGCCAAAGATTTTCCTCTCCTTTGCTGCTTAAACTTGTGCCTTAATATTGTACATAATAAATGGATAAAATGGCAAAATGACTCTTTTCTCTCGCTTGCTCCTTTCTTCCTTAAAGAACTTATAAACTGATGCTCAATAAATGTTTCATTTCATTGTACCCCACTTAATGTTTTGCTTCAGAGGCCCTCGGCTCCCCCCTTGTGGGCCTCACGCTGACACCAACACGCAGCTCTTGACTCTGAGGAGGAAATGAATCATCCAGACCATCGCAGCTTGCAGCCCGCCCACTCCTGGCTCCTCCAGACAAATAAGGAGAAAGGAAACGCAGGGAGACTGTGTGCCTGGGTGTCCACTTTGATCACATGTGAGTGTCCACTTTTGAGGTTCCTTAGTTCAGAGCCTGCAAATGATCACTGTAAACTGGCTCTGTCTCAGGAATTCACCCAGGCAGCCTGGAGTCAGCCATGGCTCTCTGAGCCTGAGGATGGAAATGGGAGATGGGAGCTGTTTTGTCAGTGTCTTGGGGTCACAGGAGAAGAAAGCGGGACTTTGGTGGGAAGGAGTCACACGGTAAATGGGCGAAATCCAGGCCAGGAGCCTCAGAGACTGAAGCAGAACAGAGTAAGACTCATGAGAATCTCCACATGAAGGCCCCTCCCCTGGGATCACTGTGTTTAAGAGAGAGTGGTTCCTGCTGTTTATTCTCTGGTCATGCCTTTTCAGCGAAAGCCTGTCTCCTCACCCACCCCCAGCCCTAGCATAGGAAAAGCTTCCTTGATGTGAGCTCTGGGGGAGTGTGAAGGATGCATCTCTAGCCCCCGAGTAATCATCAGTGTGATTTATATGCATTATCTTCTTCAGTCACAACAACCTCGTCATCATCCCCACTTTAAACCCCAGGAGACTGAAACTCAAACAACCCTGGGCAAGTAATGTGCAAAAGATGGCAGGGTGGGGATTTGAACCCAGGTCTACCTGTTGCAGAGTCAAGGGACTTGCATGTGCAAGTTGGGTGGATGCTGGGAGGCAGGAGGCTCATGCTCCTGTCTGCCTGGCTTCTTGTCTGTCCTGCTTCTACCCCGAGGACTCCTCTGCAGGGAGCGCCATCTGTGTGCGTGTGCAAATATGACTCAATTCACGTAAAGATGCACTCTTGCAGCTCCCCAGTCTCTACCTGTCAGGATGACTCCAGGAAGACAGCTGGAGTACTGCATTTGTGTTTAGGGTTTGTATGACCCTTCCGAGTTGTCACCTTCCCACGCTGATCCCACATGTGTACATCATGCGAGCCACCCCCTGAGCTCTGACCTTTCTCTTGGCCCCTTGTACACCCCAGGAGAGAAGTTCTCAATCCCAGCAGTTCTTTGTAGTCATTCCAAGTGGTACACGTCTGTGCCCTGAAGGAACACTGGCCTCCATTCTGACATCTGGGCTGGGGCCTCAGGAACCACAAGAGATAGCAATGTGTTTTAAGTTGCGCAGGCCCATCGTGATAAGGAATTAGGTCACAAATGGGAAATAAATCAGAAGCAATGAAATTCCTTTCTTAAAGTTCTGTGTTGTCAAAATAAAAGAAGCTTTCTGTCATAAAAAAATGTCATTATGGTTTACTGTTTCTGTTGCCTTTTTATCAAGCATGACAGGGTATCTTTGATGTGCTTCCTTTATCTGCCTCTGTTCCTGGCAGGTAGACATCCCGAGACCATTCCAAGTGAGCCAGGACTCCCTCTCTTGGTGAGTCTATCATCCTCAAAGTTCCTCTCTTTTTAGAATATTGAGAGATATATAGGTAATTTTTTAAATTGAATCTGGAGTTTATGGGAACCTGGGAAGCCCTCCATATCTGATGTGGAGTTCTATCAAAGGGTAACTCTCCCCAAGTTTTTGGAGACTCATAATGTGTATACAGATAATATAAGGATCATAGACTACATCGTTGAGTGCTTTGGAGTATAGTAATATGAATTATAGTCCTATTGTTAGAAACTAACAGTGCCTAACTTTGTGTCCTGATGGGTTTTGCCTCTCTGAATGTGCAAGGGAGGCAGGATCTAAGTTTTATTGAATTGGCTTTGGAATAATATTTCATCTTAAGAACCCCAGAGGTAGGTATTATGGGACATTATTACCCCTGCACGTCAAATGAGGAAACAGACTCAAGAGAAGTGAGGTGTGCACTTGGGCTCTGCAGTAGAAGCCAGGCCTGCTCATTTCTAAAGCTTTTGTTCTCTCTCTGCACTGAATTGTTGCCTTTGACTTTAGTTGTGTGTTTTTGTTTTTTTTTATGGTTTGCTTGTGTTTGTTTTTAATCGCTCTAAAGAGAATTGGTAAGCAGATGGCTAACTGAAAAAACATTATTGAGGCCCTTGTTGGAAATGTGACTTTTTTTTCGGCCAAAGTCATATACCGGACAGAAAGTCTGGATCAGTAGCTCTGGTCCGTGAGATGTATACTTAATCTTTACCTGCTAGATTTTGTTTACTAACATTCACCTGGTAGGTAGCATGGTGGAGAAGGGACCAACAGGCAGAAGCTGTGTCAGGTCTGCACAGGGGCTGGGGACCTGCTCTTGGTTTTCCCCAGGTACCTTGTGAAGCCACAGAACTTGTGGCCCAGGAGTGCTGAGTGTAAAATGGAAGTGTCTGTGAGTCTAATGAAATTCTTGATTGTACCTGACAGGCATCTATGCCTGGTTTCCCGATCACCTGAACCTTGGTGCCTTCCCTTCCATATACATGGCTCTGCTTCTGCCCCATCTACTCAGTCATCTCTGCTAGGGTCCCCAGTCACCTTGGGCTCCTCCCCCACTCTCTCCTTTAGCTAGTTGGTCACCTGTTCCTGCCTACTTCACCCTCCCATGTTGCTTCTGTACTTTTATTTTCTCCATCCCCATGGCCTTAGTTCAAGACTTCATCTCTCTCATGGACAATTACAGTAGCCTTCTGCCTACTGTCTCATCCTACTCTATTCTTGACAAGGACACCAGAGAAACAAGAGTAATAATGACATTGATTCATTGTCATTATGCACCCAACCTCCCGTGAGCCTTTCCCATATTAGCACATTGAATTCTTACAATCACTGTTATTATAGTTCCATTGTACTGATGGAGAAACTAAGAAGTAGGGAATTTAAGCCTCTTGCCCAAAGTCCTAGAGCTTGTGAGTGCAGGGCTGGGATCCAAGCCCAGATAGACTGGCTCCAGAGCCTCCAGACCACACTGTTCTTCCCCAACCCGAGTTTCTAGAGGGATGTCTGATAATGTCACTCTTTTGAGGGAAATTGCCACAGCACTATTAGCCCCCTGTGGCCTTCAGGATAAAGCTGTGGCATTCATGCCCTGCACAGTCTGACCCCTGCCCTCTTCCCTGACTAGTTTCTCTCCACTTCCCTTTCCACCCCTACCTTCAAGTTGCTCTAGGAACCACACTGTGTCCATAATCTACTTTGTGTGTTTCCATTTCTGCACCTATCCGTGGGGTCCCTGGGATTGGGATGCCTCTGGGATTGCGATGTCCATCTGTCCAATCTAACTCATTCTTCAAGGTGAGGCTCAAATGTCACTTTTCTCAGGAAGGTATTTCCCGTCACCAGGGTCAAAATTAATTGCTCCTCTTCCATTATTAGCTGAGTCACCTGGAGAAAGTTGTTGAACTTCTGAAAACTTCTTCTTTGCAAGATGTCATGGAGCAAGTACCATGTCTGTTTTTTCATTAATGTGAATCAGGCACCTAATGCAGTTGCTGGCATACCACAGGTGCTTGAGTGTTGACTGAATGAGTCAACCCTTGAGTGTTGACTGAATGAGTCAAGGATTTAATGAGAGAAGAGTTGTAATGTATCTAAAATGACAGTGCTGTGCATCATAGCATCCATCCAGCTCTTGCCCCAAGCCGTCTCCTGTTATAGTGAACTACGTACACAAGTGTCTGTCAGCTCATCTGTTTGGGGTAGGAACCCCGACTTGTACCTAGAGTAGATGCTCATTAAAAGTTAAACCGACTGTGAATTCTCCCAAGCTTCTTATTGCATATGTTCAGTGACTGTTGTCAGGGGAACTGGAAGCAGAGATCCTTAAGTAAAATTTTATTTAAAAATTACTGTGCAAGTAATGCTATTTGTTTTTAAAAACAATCAAATGAGAATACAGAGGAGAATACGAAGAAGCCACTACCTCCTCTAAATTGCTGCATGTAGCCATTCTGTTAAGTCTGGAGGATTTCCTTCTAGGCTCCTCTACAGATATGTACAACCAAATAAATAGATATGAGTGAATGAATATAAGACCATGCTACTCATACAACTAGGTTTTTTTCATTCAACAGTAGGTCATAGACAGGTTTCCTAGGCAGCACGTGTAGATCTCTCTTATTGTGGTTTATGGTGGTATGTGTTCCTTTGTGTGGAGGAAGGGGAGTTTACTGAAACCTGAGGGTGCTCCTGCACCACCACCCAGCTCCGCAGAGCATTTCCCCAGCAATAAGGGAGAGCTAAGAGCATGGGGAATCTGGGGAGATGTTTTCTCTCCTAAGAAAGAGGCCAAAACTTGCAATATATAAGTCAGGCCTGGCCAAATGCTGGCCCTGTGTTCCTCCAGTGCATCAAAATGTTTCCATTCGCCTGTCCAGGCACTAAAAAAATTGATGATTTTCATGATGACATTGGGATCCCAAGGACTCAACAGCACCATGGCCCCAGCTTGATGGCTCAGCCCAGTCTGGCCTGGAATGCCCTGTTTCCATCCAGAAACCCTCTTTCAGCTCTCTGAGGGGCTGATTTTTCCATCCAGTGCCCTACCCTTTGGCCTAGAGAACACATTTTCCTGGCATAATTCGACTCAGCCCTAGTCCAGTCTGACTTTGTTCAGTGAGTTGATGACATTGATCCTTCCCTTGTCCCTGGCACTTCCATTTTGCAGAGCATCTATCAGAGTTTTACAAATATTTAGCTTTAGGAATAGCCTGTAAAAAGAAGCCCAGTTTATGATTCACTCATCAGGTTACTACTAAAAATTAATTATGTGCCCAGCATGCTTCAGATCTTGGGGGGAAGCCAGATAATACAGAATGCCATGGTGATCCTGCCCTGAAGGTAGACGAGGGGCAGGGAAGTGGACTGATTTCCTACTGTGCGCCAAGCATTTTATGTCATCCGTGGCATTTGGTCCTCATAACAGCAAGGACAGTGAGATTCAGAGAGGCTAAGAAGATTACCAAGGTCTACACTTACCCAAGTAAGCAGCAGGGTGGCATTTGAGCCCAGGCCTGGATGACTTTAAAAGTCAGGACGTTTCCACAGCATCATGCAACCTCCATGTTCAAGTCTAATTGAGGTCACAAGTATGATAAACAATTTGATCTTTGTCCTTGTTGGAGGATGTACACCAGGATCTCTGGACATATCTATCAAGCCCCCGCCACCCTCGGCATTTGGAGGGAAATTGGCTGATGGTACCCTGCCATGTACTGCAGGCCCCAGCTCTGAGACAGCACGGTAGACGACCCGCCTGGGTAGAGCAGACAGAGGCCCCACCAAAGTTTGCATGTGGAAGTCTCACATTTGGATACATTTAGAGAACCCAATCTGAATCTTCCCCCACTTCTATCTCTGAGCGCTCCGTTGCCGCCAGCAGGGGCCATCTACTGCCTTGTCCCAAGCCTCTCCAGAAAAGACACTGAGAGGGGCTCCTCAGAAGAGCCAGTGGTGTCCCCTGTGCTCCTCTCTTGCTAGTCTATGTAATTTCTCAATCTAATTTTACCTGGAAGAGAGTTAGTTAGAGGTGGTAACCATACTTTTTACCTTTAAAAAAATTAGATGTCAATACTTCATATATTGATTAATAACAAATATGTTTTGTTGCATCACTGCTCCTCATCGCCATGAAATTCACAGGCTCAGGCTTGGGTACGTGATATAACTTTCCAGGCATGTACAACTTATGTTGGACATCAGTCATAAACAAGTAATGAGCAGAAACTGCAAAGCCAGCCACTTCTTTAAGTCTTAAGTGCCTCTCAGTCAAGACCATCACAGTGTTCTGGAGGGGAAGATGAAAGCCCACTAAATTAGGGCTTCTGGTAACAAGCAAACAAAAAACAGACTCCTGTTTCCTGTTTTCTGTAGAGTAACACTGGGCATTCAATGAGTGTCCAATGAATGTGAAATCTCTGCTTAGTAACATCCCCAGCCTGTGCATAATGCCCTTCTTCTAAACAGCACAGGTATGTGTTTTATGCTATTCACACTGCTGGGAGAAACAGCTAGGGATGGCTGCCATGATTCCTTTTAACATAACTGGGAGAAAGGCAAACAGAGAGCTTGGGTGCTTTCCGAAGGTCATGGTGAAAGGCCAGCAGAGCCAATTAGAGGCGGGCCCTCTTGCAGCCCTGTTGGTGCTTTCTGGCCAAAGTAGGCCATCTATGCTAAAGTTTTGTGGGCATTGGGTCTTTTCTGAGCCCTGCACCTTACCCTGCCTGTGGATCAGTAAACTGACAAGTGATGGGCTTGGCCTGGATTGGCCAGGGAGTCACCTCAGAAGAGCTTCATGTTCTTACTTGTATGTCTAATGAGCCAACTGCTTCCACAAAGCCATTGTTCAGGGCTGAGGAGTTGGGATTTCCCCCAGTGGCAGAGCCAGGAGGGGTGGGCCCAGTATTGTGAGATCACAGCAGAAAATGCGTTGGGACTCTTTCTTTGACAACCTTGAAACCCTTTACCTTACATCAGGGCTGAGATCTGAATGGTCATGGCAGCAAGGTGGCCGATTAAAACTAAAGGGGATCTTTCCCAGGGATAAAAGGGCTCATGGCAAATACAGTGCCCTTTTGCTTTTGAGATATAGAGTTGGAGAGATGCTACCTGTCACAGTCTGATCAATCCAGGTCACTTGGGACCACAAGTAGCAGCTGGTTCCTTAGGAATCTCAGCATTTGAAAAATGTACAAGGCATCACAAATAATTCATGATGTAAATAATTCATACTGAGAAACACACTTAAAAGTAACAGACACACAGACACACACATTAGTTTAACATTTTCATTATGTTAGATGAAGGGTGCAAAGATGAATAAGATGCTATGTCTGACCCCCCAGAAGCTCACAGTCTTGGCAAAAAGACAAGAAAGGTCCACAATATGGTGTTTACTGTCAAACTCATGAAATGTAGACTGTTCTATTGGTCTAAAAGAGTGGGGAAATAGAAAAGCAGGTGACATTTGAGTTGAACTTGGAAGAATGAGAAGGGAAATGGGGCTGAAGCTAGAGAGCGAGGGAACAGCATGCCCAGATGCATTTATTTTGCTTATAACTGCAATTTGAGCAGGGCTTGATGGGGGTAGTTCATCTCTGCTGGGCCCCACTGGGGTGGCTCAAAGACCAGGGGCTAGAACAGTGGGGGGTCCTGGGGCATCTTCATTTCATTGTGGTCTCTTCTCAGGGTCCCTCTGGCATAGTCCAGGGAAGCTGGACTTGCTGCATGATAGCTCAGGATGTCAAAGGGACATGTTGAGAACACAAGGCAGGAGATTTCTCCTTTCATGACCTAGCCTCAGAGGTCACTCAGCCTCACTTCTGCCACATCTACTGCCAAGATAGTTACAAAGGCCTGCCTGGGTTTGAGAGGTGAGGGTAAGGGGATAAACTTCATCTCTTTACATGAAAATGGCAAGGTTCCAGAAAAGTACACAGGACCAGAAACACTGCTGTGCCCACTTTGGAAAACAAAGTCTGCTACAGTGGTATCAGCTGTGGGCCAGATGCAGCATCAGAAGTTTTACATACATTTTCTCATTTTCCTCTCCCTTCTGCCTGTGAGGCAGGCGTCATTCTCCTCATCTCATCTATCAGGAAGTTGAGGCTTGCAGATGGGAAGTGGCCTGCCTGAAGTCACACAGCCAAGAAGCGGAGAAGCCAGCCCCAAGTGCAAGACTGAGGGCCCCAAAGCCTCTTACCCTCTCACTGCTGCTGCTTCAGCCTTAGGAAGGAAAGCACGGAGACAGTCCCAGAATGTTGCTACTACTACATAGGGAAGAAGATTTATGAGCTGTACAGGCAGTTGAATCAACCGATCTTGCTGACCAATTGAATTCATACCGTATCTGCATCAGATACGCTATAGGGCAGACTTTTTATTGTGTGAGCCATTGTAAAGCACTGCAAATCCACTCCCCACATTCACACCAGGGACTTAGAGCTGACAATTACAGATCACTTACCAAGGGGCTGGGCTTTGTGCTAAGCCCTTTGCAGGCATCATCTAATTTAATATTCACAGTAACCGTTGAGATGGATATTATTATTGTTATTACTCTTAGGCTTAAAGACATTAATAGATGTGACATGAGAGGACATCACCCCAAGGGATCCATCCACCCACATGAAATCTTTCCACATCCAGCAGTGTGATAGCCTGAATGGATGCACTCTCGGCCATGGAGTGGTTAGGAAAGTCTCTCTCTCTGGAGTCAGACTGGGAGAGTTGGAAACCAGCTCCACTAGCTGTGTAACCTTGGGCCAGTCACTTAACCTTTCAGTGCATCAGTGTCCTCACCTATCAAATGGGAATAACGGTCCCCTTCTGACAGAGGTTCCCATGAGGAGCATGAGACAAGCCTGAACAGTATTCAGTGCAACCTTGGCACAGAAAGAGCTCTCCATCTGTTCAGCTATCATTATTAACATGGAGCTGATGCCCGTGGCTGCTTGGGCTTGACTCACAGACCACGAGATTTCATGGTTCAGTGATCGGCACTGTTTTCTACAGAGGGCCAGGAAGCAACTTGTTTACACTCGCCTTGTTGGGGTGGAGGTGGGGGTAAATCTTCCTAGGCACACACAAAGGATCAACCAACCAGTGAAATGGGCAATGAGGTCAGGGTGTGAAGGGAGGAATTTGCAGATGCACTGCAGCTTCTTGGATGCTGGAACCTGCAGAGAGCTGGCCCCAACCCCAGGGGTGCAACTGATGCACTGAGTCAGGGCCTGCACCCTTGTGCCTGGTGAGGGCAGGAGGCCCTGGATTTAGGCTTATGTGGTCTTTCTTAGCAAAGCAAGGACCTTCATTTTTAGCCAAACTCACTTCTGCTTTGAGGAGAAAAGAAGGGAGGTATCTTGATTATACACAGGGAGGCACAATGGAGCAAGGACCTGCTTCAAACTTTGAATTAGGTCCAATTTTTTTACCAGCTGGGACTCTATCCAGAGTCTTCTGTCACATGGGAAAATCATCCTGGCTGGGGTATCATCCTACTGTTAATAAAGCTGCACAGAGAGTCCCAGTACAGTGGCTACTGCCTGTAATTCCAGCACTTTGGGAGACCAAGGTGGGAGGATCACTGAGGCCAGGAGTTTGAGACCAGCCCAGGCAACATAGTGAAACCCCATCTCTACAAAAAATTTAAAAATTAGCTGTGTGGGGGCACTCATGCCTGTAATCCCAGCACTTTGGGAGGTCAAGGCAGGAGGATCACTTGAGCCCAGGAGTTTGAGGCTATAGTGAGCCATGATTGTGCCACTGCACTTCAACCTAAGCAACAAAGAGAGATGTGGTCTTAAATAAATAAATATATATATAAATAAATAGAGCTACAATGGAGAGGCTTCTATTAAGATCAGCAGGCAAGTGCCTCCAAGGAATCAGCCCACAGCCAGACTGAAGGGAGCTGGGCAGGGAGCTCCTCAGAAGAGCTTTACAGTCTTCATAAAAGCTTTTACAGGTACTTTCAGAAGAGTGAATAGAGAACCAAGACCCAGAGCTCCAGAATGTCCCTATTTTTTGGCTTACCTACCCTGGGGGACATCCATTGTTGCATTGCGGGGGTGCCCAGCAACTTTCCCCCTTTGTCTGGCCCTCTAACCTGATGGCTGGACTAGGGGCTGCTGTCCTCTTACAGACCACACTTCCTGTCTGTTACTGGCAGGCTCAGGCTACTTCCTTCACCACTCACCTCCTCTTTACCGCAGGTGACGCAGGTATCTATGCTGGACCTGTTAGGCAGAAAGTCCTCTGCTGGCATTCTGCATCCCCTCCATACAGAATTGTTCAGCTTGAACCAGGTTCCAGTCCTCTCTGGCAGAAGAGCTGGAATCAGCCATTGGACAGGTACCCAGCATTATGGAAGCAGGTCTGAGAGAGAATACAGCAGACAGAAGTGGAGAGGAGAAGCTAGGAGTATCCTGGCTGTGTTCCTGCCCATAGTTCCCATCATCCTAAGCCCAGGTGCAACCAGGTGTCCTAGTTGATTTGGTTATGTGAACCAATACATCACTCCTTTAGCCTTAGCTAGCATGTTGGCTTACTCTCCTTTGGTGCCAGAAAAGGCCCAAGTAAGGCAAACATATGGAGGGCTGTATTAGTCTGTTCTCACACTGCTAATAAAGACATATCCAAGACTGGATAATTTATAAATAAAAAGAGGTTTAATGGACTCTCATTTCCACATGGCTAGGGAGGCCTCACAATCATGCCGGAAGGTGAATGAGGAGCAAAGTCATGTCTTACATGGCGGCAGGCAAGGCAAGAGAGCTTGTTCAGGGAAACTCCCCTTTATAAAACCATCAGCTCTCGTGAGACTTACTATCATGAGAATAGCACGGGAAAGACCCGCCTCCATGATTCAATTACGTCCGACCAGGTCCCTCCCATGACATGAGGGAATTGTGAGAGCTACAATTCAAGATGAGATTTGGGTGGGGACACAGTCAAACCATATCAAGGGCTCACGATAAAGGGTAATTAGAAGATACATTATATGTCCTTGCCCCTCAGGCTTCCATAAAACCTCCCTTCCAAACACTTCAACACCAGTCCATCATGTGTAATCACAGTGGACTTCCTGTTGGAAGACCTGCTGAAGTAGCACTCCAAAGGCTCCAAAGGTGGGATACCCATCCCCTCCTTATGTATCAGCAACTCCTCAGGCTTTCTGTTCAACTACATCTACTTTTTGTTCCTTCCCTTTCTTCTCCTATTCCCATCCCTTCCTTTCCTTTCTGAAAAGAAAAAAAAACAAAAACAAAACAACAACAATAAAGAATATAGACATGCCTGGCTTAAAAACTCAGCCTTCCTAACAGGTGGCCACATGCTTCCTGAGATCTGGTGACAAGGAATGATCCTTTACTTCCTACAGTGCATTTCAAGTAGGAGTTTTAAAAGACTCTGTTTACCCAAAACTTTCAAAGAGCTCATCAATTTTGTGTTCTGAAAATCTGTCACTCCTTTTTCTTATCTCCTTTGAACTTCACTAGCATTTTGCTCAGTATATCCAAATATGGGCATTTTTGCCTCTCTCACATTTGATTGCTTGCTTGTGTTTTCTTTCCTTTTTAGTTGACATGTACTAATTGCAAATATTTACAGAAGAGATATATTTTGATTCTTGTATACAACATGTAATGATCAAAACAGTAATTAGTACATCCATCACTTCAGACACTTCTCATTTGTGTTGGGAACAATCAAAATCCTCTTTTCTAGCTTTTTGAAAATATACAATAAATTATTGATAACTACATTCACCATACAGTGCTATAGAACACTAGAATTTATTCCTGTGATTTTGTATTCGTTTACCAACCTCTTTCTAGCCTTTCTTTTCCCCTTCCCCTTCCTAGCCTCTAATAACTGCAATTCTGTTCTCTACTTCAATGAGCTTGACCTTTTTTAGCCGCCACATGAGTGAGAACATACTATATTTATCTTTCTGTGCCTGACTTATTTCACTTAATTATAATTCACTTAACTATGAACTCTAGGCTTATCCATCTTGCTGCAAATGACAGGATTTCATTTTTTATGGCTGAATAGTATTCCATTGCATATATGTGCCACATTTTCTTTACCCATTCATCTGCTCATGAACATTTAGGTTAATTCCATGTCTTGGCTATCATGAATACTGCCATGATAAACATGGGGTGCAGGTATTCCTTTAGTATATCTATTTCTTTTCCTTTGGATAAATACCAGTGGTGAGATTGCTAGATCATATGGTAGTTCTATATATTTTTTTGAGAAAACTTCATACTGTTTTCCACAATGTCTGTAATGAATTTACACTTCCACCAACAATGTAGAAGATGTCCCTTTTCTCCATATCTTCACCAGCATTTTTTTTTGTCTTTTTGATAAAAGCCATTCTAACTGGGGTAAGATAATATCTCATTGTGGTTTTGATTTGTATTTCCCTGATGATATGTTTAGAAGTGTTTTTTGTATACTTGGCCATTTGTATGTCTTTTTTAGAGAAATGTTTATTCAGATCCTTCGCCCATTTTTCAATTTGAATTTTATTTGCAATTGAGTTGTTTGATTTTCTTATATATTTTGAATATTAGTCCCTTGTCAGATGTCTACTTTGCAAATACTTTTTTCCATTCTACAGATTGTGTCTTTACTCTGTTGATTCCTTTGCTGTGCAGAAGCTTGCTAGTTTGATATGGTCCCATTTGTCTATTTTAGTTTTTGTTGTCTGTGCTTTTGAAGTCTTACACATAAAATATTTGCCTAGATAAATGCCGTGACACATTTTCCCTATGTTTTCTTCCAGTAGTTTTACAGTGTTAAGCCTTACATTTATGTCTTTAATCCATTTGGGGTTGATTTTTGTATGTGGTGGTACATATTCTTCTGCATAAGAATATCCAGTTTTCCTAGCACCAGCAACTGAAGAGGGTGTCTTTTCCCCAGTGTATGTTCTTGGCATCTTGGTCAAAAATCAGTTGGCTGTAAACACATGGATTTCTAGGTTCTCTATTCTGTTCCATTGGTCTATGTGTCTGTTTTTATACCAATACCATGTTGTTTTGGTTACTATACTAGCTTTGTAGTATATTTTGAAGTTAGGTAGTGTTAGGCTTCTAGCTTTGCTATTTTTGCTCAGTATTGCTTTGGCAATTTCGGTTTTTATGTGGTTCCATACAAATATTAAGATTGCTTTTCTATTTCTGTAAAGAATGTCATTGGTGGCCAGGTGCGGTGACTCACCCTCTAATCCCAGCAGTTTGGGAAGCTGAGGCGGGCAGATCATGAGGTCAGGAGATTGAGACCATCCTGGCTAACATGGCGAAACCCTGTCTCTACTAAAAAAAATACAAAAAAAATTAGCCAGGTGTGGTGGTGGGCGCCTGTAGTCCCAGCTACTCGGGAGGCTGAGGCAGGAGAATGGCATAAACCTGGGAGGTGGAGCTTGCAGTGAGCCAAGATAGCGCCACTGCACTCCAGACTGGGTGACAGAGCAAGACTCCATCAAAAAAAAAAAAAAAGGAATGTCATTGGTATTTTGATAGGGATTGCATTGAACCTGTAGATTTCGGCGGCATGGTCATTTTAGCAATATTAATTCTTCTAATCCATGAGCATGGAGTGGCTTTTTATTTCTTGATATCCTCTTTAATTTTTTAAAATTATTTATTTTTATTTTACTTTAAACTCCAGGATACATGTGCAGATCGTGCAGGTTTATTACATAGGTGTATATGTGTCATGGTGGTCTGCTACACCTATTAACCCATCATCTAGGTTCCACCCCCTCACCCTCCGACCCCCCAACAGGCCCTGGTGTGTGTTATTCCCCTCGCTGTGTCCATGTGTTCTCATTGTTCAACTCCCAGTTATGAATGAGAACGTGGTATTTGGTTTTCTGTTCATGTATTAGTTTGTTGCATCCTTTTTAATTTCATTCATCAGTGATTTGTAATTTTCATTATAGAGATCTTTCACCTCCTTGGTTAAATTTATTCCTAAGTCTTTTTTTGATAATTATTATAAATGAGATTGCCTTTTTGAAATCTTTTTTAGCCAATTTGTTATTAGTATATAGAAATACTATTTTTGTATGTTGATTTCGTATCCCACAATTTTTCTCAGTTCATTTATCAGTTCTGAAAGGTGTTGTTGTTGTTTTTTTTTTTGGTAGAGTCTTTAGGTATTTCTATATGTAAGATTATGTTGTCTGCAAAGAGGAACCATTTGACTTATTCTTTTCCAATTTGGATGCACTTTATTTTATTATCTTGCCTAATTGCTCTGGCTAGGACTTTCATTACTATGTTGAATAAAAGTGGTGGAAATAGGCATTTATGTCTTGTTCAGGTTTTTACCTTTTCTTTGTTCAGTATGATGTCAGCTGTGGGCTTGTCATATATGGCTTTTGTTGTGCTGATGTATGTTCCTAATGTGCCTAATTTTCTGAGAATTTTTTTAAGATGAAAGAATGTTGGATTTTATCAAATGCTTTTTCTGCATCTATTGAGATTATCATATGATTTTGGTCCTTCATTCTGCTGATGTATCACATTTATTGATTTGTGTATGTTGAACCACCCTTGTTTCCTTGGGATAAATCCCACTTGATCATGTTGTATTATCTTTTTGATGTGCTGCTGGATTTAGTTTGCTAGTATTTTATTGGAGATTTTTGTGTTTATGTTTATCAGGGGTATTAGCCTGTAATTTTCTTTTTTATTGTGTCTTTGTCTGGTTTTGGTATTAGGGTAATACTGGCCTTGTAGAATTAAAAAAAAATTCCTATCTCTTCATTTTTTGGGAATAGTTTGAGAGGAAGTGGCGTTACTTCTTATTTAAATGTTTGATAGAATTCAGCAGTAAAGCCGTCCACTCCTGGGCATTTATTGGGAGACTGTTTATTACTGAATGAATCTTGTTACTTATTATTGGTCTGTTCACATATTCTATTTATTCATGGTTCAATCTTGGTAGGTTATATTTGCCCAAGAATTTATCCATTTCTAGGTTTTCCAATTTGTTGACATACAGTTGTTCATAATAGTCTCAGATGAAACTTTGTATTTCTGTGGTATCAGTTATGAGGTCTCCTTTTTCTCTGATGTTTTTTATTTAGGCCTTCTCTCTTATTTCTTCATCTAGTTAGTGATTTTTCAATTTTGTTTATTTTTTCAGCAAACCAACTTTTCATTTTATGTATCTTTTTGCATTTTTTCCTATTTCTCTTTTTTGATTAGTTCTTCTCTGATCTTTATAATTCCTTTCTTTCTAATTTGGGGTTTGGTTTGTTCTTTTTTTTCTACTTCCCTGAGGTGCATTGTTAGCTTGTTTATTTGAAATCTTTCCACTTTTCTGATGTAGGCATTTGCTGTGAACTTCCCTCTTAGTACTGATTTTGATGTATCTCATAGGTTTGGGTATGTTGTGTTTCTAGTTTCACTTGTTTTAAGAAATGTTTTGATATCTTTCTCAATTTCATCATAGACCCATTGGTTGTTCAGGAGCACGTTGTTTAACTTTTAATTATTTGTACAACTTCCAAAGTTCTTATTATTGATTTTCAGTTTTGGTACATTGTAGTCTGAAAAGACACTTGATATAATTTCAGTTTTTAAAAATTTGTTGAGACTTGTTTTGTAGCCTAACGTACAGTCTATCCTAGAGAATGTTCATGTGCTGATGAAAAGAGCGTATTCTGCAGCTGTTGGATGAAATGTTCTATAAATGTCTGTTAGGTTCATTTTGTTGATAGTACAGTTTAAGTTTCATGTTTCTGTTGATTTTGTCTAGATGAGCTAACCAGTTCTGAAAGTGGGGTGCTGAAGTCCCCAACTATTATTGTATTGAGGTATCTCTAACTCTAATAACATTTGCTTTATATATCTGGGTGCTCTGATGTTGGGTGCACATAATTTACAATTGCTATCTTCTCTTGCTGAGTTTATCTCTTTATCATTATATGATGGCCTTTTCTGCCTCTTTTTATGCTTTTGATTTAAAGTCTACTTTGTCTGATATAAGCGTAACTACTCCTGCACACTTTTTTCTGCTTGCATGGAATATCTTTTTTCATCCCTTCACATTCGGTCTGTGTGTCTTTACAGGTGAAGTGAATTTCTTGCAGTCAGCATATAGTTGAGTCTTGCTTTTTAAAAATTCATTCAGCCAGTCTATATCTTTTAGCTGAGAGCTTTAAACAATTTACATGTAAGGTTGCTATTGGCAGATGAGGACTTACTGCTGTATTTAGTTAATTATTTTCTGATAGTTTTGCATATCATTTTCTTTTTCTTCCTCTTATTGTTTATCTTTTGTGCTTGGTAGTTTTTTATAATAATAACATTTGATTCTTTTTTTCTCACTTGTATATCTGTTCTACCAGTGAGTTTTATACTTCTGTGTGTTTTCATGAGGATAGATATTGTTCTTTTGTTTCCAGATGCTCACTTAAGCATTTCTTGTAGGACTGGTCTAGTGGTGTTAAATTCCCTCAGTTTTTGTCTGAGAAAAGAGTTTATTTCTTTTTCATTTCTGAAGGATAGCTTTCTCTGTGTAGCATTCTTGGCTGGCAGGGTTTTTTTAAAAACAAAACAAAACAAAACAAAAACCACTTTGACTTTATTATCTCCTGGCCTATAAGGTTTCTTCTTAGAAATATGCTGTTAGTTTGGTGGAAATTCTCTTACATGTGACTTGATTATTTTCTTTTGCTATTATTAGAATCCTCTTTGTCTTTGACTTTTCATAGTTTAAGTGTAATATGCCTCTGGGAGGACCTTTTTGGGTTGAATCTATTTAGGAATCTTTTAAGCTTCTTGTATTTAGATGTATCTCTCTGAAGACTTGGGAACTGTTCAGCTATTATTTTATTATATAGGTTTTCTATGCACTTTCCTATCTCTTCTCCCTCTGGAACTCCCAAAATGTGAATATTTGTTGCATAAGGGTGTTCTATATGTCATGTAGGCCTTCTTTATTCTTTTTTCTTTGTCAAATTGGGTTATTTCAAAAGAACTGTGAGTTCAGAAATTTTTTTCTGCTTGATGTGGTATATTGTTGAAGCTATCCATTGTATTTTTCATTTTATTCATTGAATTCTTCAGCTCCAAAATTCTGCTTGGTTTTTTAAAAATTATATACATCTCGATTGGATTTCTCATTCAGATCATGAGTTGTTTTCATGTTTTTTTTTTTGTATTATCTACCTGTGTTCTCATATCTCACTAAGTTTCCTTAGGATTATTATTTTGAATTCCTTTCCAGGCATTTCATAGATTTTCTTTTCTTTGGGGTCTGTTACTGGAGAATTATGTTCCTTTGGAGGTGTCATATTCCTTGAATTTTCATTTTTTTGTGTGTCCTTATGTTGACATCTGCACATATAGTGTAACAGTCACTTCTTCCAATTTGATGGAGTAGCTTTTGTAGGAAAAGATGTTTTCCCATAGATGTATCTATAGTGTTGGTTGGTTGGGGCACTTTGGTTTTGGTTCTGGGTGAACACAGTAGTATAGTCTTTGTATGATTTCTTTGGCTGTATCCAACATCAGTGGTGTCTGCGAGCTCCTCAGTGGCTTAGTCTGTGTTTGTGGAAGCCATCAGGTAATTTTTCTGGGGTTGGGGCCCCTGGGCAGGCTTATCCTTTCGTCCCGGGTGGGGCACACGTGGGCATATAGTAGCCCTGACACTGCAGGGGGCAGGATCACTGCTAGCAGTGGTAGCTCCAGGCAAGTGGCTCTCGGGTTCTGAGGAGCCCATGCTTTGCCTTCCTATATCCTGTGGGCAGCTTCCCTGATGTGCTGGACCACCTGTTACCCAGGAGGTAGGGCACTGAATGGGCTTAGACGCCAGCAACACAAATTCACCACTGGGTCCAGCTAGTGTCATAATGCTGCAGCTCTTTGGATGAGTGATAGGGTGGATATCATTGGTGTCCCAGTGGTGTGGAGAGGCAGGGGGCTATTGGGGCTCAGGTCAAGATGAAGTTTGGTGGTGGCTCAGCTCTTAAAATTGTACCATACTGTAGCAGCCTGGGTCCCAAAGGGTGAGGGGCACCTGATGTAGATTCCCACTCTGGGGCAATGCAGTCATGTGGAGTCCGGGAAGCTCCCTATATCAGGCTCAGGGCCTGTGAGGGCTGTGGCGCTCTCCTGTAGTCAGGATTTCAGGTGTCTGTGGTGGGAATGTGGACTGCTGGGGATCTCCTGCCTACCTTTTTCCTGCAATAAGGGGGCAGGGGGCTCTCAGCTCCAAGCCAGTTCTGGCTGGCTGCTTTACTTCCCATCCTATACATCTCAAGTTTCCATGCCTCAGAGTGTCTTTATCTCTTCTTTGCTGAATTCTTAGATGCTGTATTTAATGTGTGGTTATCTATTTGTTGTTTGATCCTTCTTTGTAGAGAAGGCAAGTGTTGGGTGGTCCATCAGCCATCTTGATCTTGCTTGCTTGTTTTTTATCTTTTATCTTTTCCACAAGGAATTGAGGGGGCTACCAGCAAAGTATACATACAACATGGTTAATAAAATAGAAACAGAAGATCCTTGTTGTTTGTGACTTAAAATCCCCAATTTCAGCTCTTCTTTAATAATACTAAAGATCAGTAACTTAATTTTGAAATCTCTTAAAATTTGAGCCACTCAGCCTCAGCCCTCTATTCCCAGGAGGTAGGAGAAACTGTATACTCCATCATTAATATACTGTTGCACCCCACCCCTCAAGCCAAAGCCACCCTGTAGGATAGAGCTGGTAGCCTGACCAGGGGTACAACTCCTGATCCAACTCCCCTGCCTGCCTGCACTCATAAAGTCCCATCCAAGGCTATGTTAATGTCAAAGGGGACTTTTAGGGAGAGGGGCAGGTATTTTAATAGATTTCAATAAATTCTTTTTCTTTTACCCAACCCCTCATGTGTTTGATAGTCAAATGCAACTTCAAAATTAAAAGTTTTTAAATGACAAGTTCCTGTAGTCCCTCCTCTGAACCAGAAGATTCTGAAAGTCTCCCATCAGGGTCTGGAATTTTACCCTACTTCCAAAGTAATAAGCAAGTTTGTTAATGTGTTATGAATGTTTTTGGAAGACATGATACTCCTAGGTCTCTTTGTTATTCATAACATAGCCAGCAGCATGAGTACCATGTTGGCATCAGTTTTCCATTCCCCCAAGTCATACAGGGCAATGCAGGGGGCCCCTGGTAGATGCTATACATGCAGTGAGTTTGCATTATTGCTGAGGGACACTGAGTTTAAGAAATCTACTGCTTTTATAATGAGTGGTAAGCAAGCCTGCTCGTTGTCCAAAGGAAGACATTACCTCATCCCTCAAGACTGCTGGCTGCAAACACAACTCTGAGAAATGATCTGGGTAAAGAGCACTCAGGGACTTGTGTTCTTGGCATATCTAGTGGAAACTTGCAGGGATGCTTAGCACCCATATCAGATCATTTCTTCCCAAACCCTCCTGTTAATAATTGAGGGTGGGATGCGTGGATGGCCAGTTTTCCCCCAGCTGCCTAGTCTCTTTGGGCTACAACCAGGAATGCAGAGGGTTTCTTGGCTCTACGTCTGCGACTTCTCTATCCCCAGCCCAGCCCTCCAGGCTGACATCTCTGACTGCTGACCTGACATCAAATAGCAATACAGTGGCTGAATTTTAAAAAACCCTGACCATGCCTGGTACCATGTCAGATCCTCTACATGTATTATTTCATTTAATCATCACAACAACCTTTGAAAGAGCATGCAGCCAACCACCCATCATTTACAGATGAGGAAACAGGCTCAGAGAAATAAGGTGACTCACTGCCTGTCAACCAGCTAGTGAGTAACGGAGCCTGGATTTGACCCACTGTCTGGCTGGCTCTAGAGTCCATGTATTTTTGTCACCCTACTGTGCTTCTGCTCCTTCCTGGTCAAGAGGGAGTGGATTTTTTGTTCTTGTTTGGTAGATTTTTTTTTTTCAAATTCTTCTTCACCAATGGCATCTTTCTCTGACCTCTAGCCTCTTTCCGTACCCAAAGGCCTGGCTTGGAGTCAGAAGGTTCTCAGTAGACCTTGAAATTAGTCTGCACAAATGTGCATGAGGACGCTGACTGAGCAGGAGCAGCCCTCAAGGCTGAGTTCCTGGGCTTTTGGAACAGCCTGTCATAGCTTCGCTTCCTTGTGGATAGAGGAGTGACAGCAGCCATACCAGGGCTACTGAGAGCTCAAATGGTATCTTTTGCAAATTAGACAATGGGTATTCCTCCCTCAAGTCAGTTGATTGCCATTTGCTGGAAAATAGCGAATATATATATATATATATATATGGAGATACCTATGTACATGTCACTTCCTGCTACTAGATAGAGAATAACCTGCACAACTGTACATTGTCAGGCTAAGTCACATAGACCCGGCTGTAAATCTGGTTCTCCTATTTACTAGCTCAGTGGTCTTGGGCAGGTCATCGGGCAATCCAAGGCTCAGTTTCTGATAGAATGCAAGCAGTGTTGCCTCCCTGTCTACCTTGTTTATAATTTTGAACAGGAAAATAGGCAAGAAGTGTTGCTTAAGTCCTGGGGGAGAGTGTCTCCTCTTGGGATAAGATGGAAGTATTAAAAATCAGAGACTGTGGCCTTGTCCCAGGGGGACATGCAGTCCTCCCTATCCAGCCACAGGTAAGATAATTGGAGTGCCTTTAAATTCTTGTGTGTTTTTCTTGTTACAGTGAAAGAGGAATTAAACTAATAATAAGGCTTATCTTCATTTTCCTCTTCTCCTTTTTCAGTGACCTAATTTTTCCATAAATTTTACCTCTTCACAACTCTGTTCCTCTTCCCATTACTCACTTGTTCTTTTTTCCTCCTATTCAAGCCTGCTTTCAGAAAATGGCTGGTAAGGCTTAATGATATTTTGGAAATTTGCCTCTAAATAACTTTAGGCCAAAAAACTGAACTTAATCAGTACATTTGGACCTCAAGGAAAGGTATTTTTGAGCCAACATCTGCAAATGACATAGAAATATTGCCAAGAAGTTAACCATCTGTTCCACCTTGAAAAGATGTGCTGCAAAGTCTTGGCACCCTGAACTATAAAGGTAATAACTAAAAAGAAATAACCTCGTGTTAGAGCAGCAAGCCCCCTCTAGTGGCCCATCATGGGAATGACCACCATTCTCCCTAGGATCTGGACTTGGAAATTCTGCTACTCCAATGCTAGCTCCAGGCATCTGCTCAATCCTTTATACACTCATAGCAATGAGACAAGACATTATTTGGGCCTTACAGTCATCCTCTGATGGCTGGAGGGCAAGAACACCAGTCTCCTTAATTGTTCAGGATCCCAGGACTCCAGGCCCAGATCAGTCTTTAGCTGGGAACCTCTCTGGGCCTCAGATTCCTTATCTGTAAAATGAGATGAATGGTGCCTGGTATACATCTTTCACAGGACTGTTGTGAGGATCAAGTGACAATAAGGGATAAGAGAGGTAAAGCTCTTTGAAAAGTGCATTCATAATGCACTTTTAGTAGCAACAGTGTTTCTGCTGTTCTATTCAACACGGTAGCCACTAGTCACATCTGACTGCTTGAATTGAAATTAATTAAAATTAAATAAAATTTAAAACTGAGTGACTCGGTCACACTAGCCACATTTCAAGCACTCAGTAGCTACTTGTGGCTAGTGACTATCATGTAAGAGATCACAAGTCTAGAACGTTTCTGTCATCACAGAAATTTCTACTGGACAGCCCTGCAGTTTAGATAACTGATTTGAAGAACAAGCTTTATATTCTCTAATTCATCTCTGCTCTTGAAAAAGAAAAATCTCTTATCAGCGGTTTGCAAATCTAGGAAGACACCTAGATTACAATGAACTGGGGTGGGTGTACAGTTAGGTTTACCGTGGATTCATTATGTATATATGTGTGTATACACACACACACAAACACACACACACACAGAGCACCTGTTCTGTGTCTGCCAAGCACCGTGTTAAACTCATTTTGGGCAGTTCTATCAAAAGATGGACCCGGGTTTTGAAATTCATTGCTCCATCAGGGTTCCTAGATAAAGAACTCAATGTTGCAGGGTAGTTTCACCCCCACATCAACCCCCTACCTCACCAATACACAATTGAAGTTCTTCTGTAGCTCCCATTGCCTCTGGGAAGACTTCCGGCCCTCTCCCCACTGGGTGGTGAGCCCTCCTCTTTGCTCCCATAGGCCCCTGTTCTTCCATTTGCATTGTAGCTATCATACTGTGTGGAAATTTGCCTGTTTGGTTGTTTTCTGTTAAAATGTAAGCTCTCAGAAGGTAGAGACCAGGTCTGTCTTACATTCATTTGAATTTTCAGCCTCCCTCACACAGGGCCTGGCCCATATGCAGTAGATGCTCAAAAACTATTAGTTAATGAATGAATGAAGTATATGGATGGATGGATGGATGGATGGATGGATGGATGGATGGATGGATGGATTTCTTTGTTCCTTTATTTAGGGTCCTGTATTCCCCTGCATAAAGCCCTCAGGTATGAAACTGCTAGAGATTCTCTTTATGCTAGGCCACCACATCCTTTGACCACATTCCTTGCTCCAATTAGGTAGTACAAGCTCAGTGAGAAAAGCAAAATTTGATTTATGTTTCTGGCAATTCAGCTGATGAAAACAACTAAAGTGCTAGATAAAAATCTGCTGCAAATATCATTTTAAAAACAAAACATTGCTAATCCATACAAAAACTTTTACACAAATGTTCATAGCAGGATTATTTATCATAGGCAAATGTGAGAACAACCCAAATGTCTCTCAACAGACGATAAACAAAATGTGGTATATTCATGCAGTGGAATACGATTCAGCAGCTAAAATGAATGAAGTAGTGACACACGGATTGATGAACCTTGAAAACAGTCTTCTAAGTGAAAGAAACTGGTCATAAAGTGCTGCATATTATATGATTTAACTTATATAAAATGTCTAGGATAGGCAAATCTACAAGGAGAGAAAATAAAGTAGTGGTTGCCTGAGGCTGAGGGAAGTGAGGTGTTACTGCTAGTGACTACAGGGTTTCTTTGGGGAGTGACAGAAATGCTCTAAAATTAAATTCTAGTGAGTTTTGCACAACTCTGTGAATATACTAAAAACTTGATGCCTTCTCTGATGAATTCTACCCAACATTTAAAAAAGAGTTAATACCAATCCTTCACAAACTCTTCCAAAAAATGAATAAGGTGGGAACATTTCCCAACTCATCCCATGAGGCTAGTATTACCCTGATGCCAAAACCAGACCAAGACATCACAAGAAAAAAAAAAAACTGCAGAACAATATCGCTTTTGAATATGGAGGCAAAAATCCTCAACAAAATACTAGGAAACTAAATTCAGCAACCTTTAAGAAGGATTATATACCATGACTAACTGAGGTTTATTCTAGGAATGCGAGGTTGTTCAAAATTCAAAAGCAATCAATGTAATAAACCATATCAGTAGAACAAAAGACAAAAACAGCATGATCATCTAAATACATGTAGAAAAAGCATTTGACAAAATCTAGCACCCTTTCATGAAAAATACACTAAACAAAATCAGAATAGAAGGGAAACTTCCTCAACCTGTAAGAACTACGAAAAAAAAAAAAGTCCACAGCTAACATTGTACTTATGATGAAAGAATAAATGCTTTTTCCCTAAGATTATGGACAAGACAAGAATGATAGATCTTGCCACATCTCTTCAATATTGTATTCTAGCCAGGGCAATCAGGCAAGAATGAGAAATAAAAGACATCCAGATTGGAAAGGAAGTAAAATTATTTTTGTTCACAAATGACACGATCATGTATATAGAATATTCTAAGTAATCCACCATCACAAAAACAAATATTAAAATTAACAAATGAGTTTAGCTAGGTGCAGGATAGAAGATAAATATACAAAGATTGATAGTATTTCTATATACCAGCAATAAATAAGCTGAAAATGAAATTAAGAATATGATTCTATATACAATAGCATCAAGAAGAATAAACTACTTAGGAATAAATATAACAAAATAATTGTAAGATTTTTATACTGAAAACTACAAAACATTGTTGAAAGAAATTAAATAAGGCCTAAATAAATAGGAAAATGTACTGTGTTTATGGATCCAAAGACTTAAAATTGTTAAGATGGCAATACAAGGAGATATTGTGGGTTTGGTTCCAGACCACCACAATAAAGCAAATACTGCCATAAATCAAGTCACACAAATTTTTTGTTTTCTCAATGCATATAAAAGTTATGTTTGCACTCTAACCTACTAAGTGTGTAATAACATGTCTAAAAACACAACGTACATGCCTTAATTAGAAATACTTTGCTAGAAAATGTTAATTAACTGAGCATGCAGCAAGCTGTATTTTTTTTGTTGGTTGAGGGTCTTGCCTTGATGTTGATGGCTGGTGACTGATCAGGGTGGTAGTTGCTCAAGATTGGAGTGTCTGTGGCATTTTCTTAAAATAAGACAACAATGAGGTTTGCTGCATTGATTGACTTCATTTCATGAAAGATTTCTCTGTAGCATGTCACGCTGTTTGACAGCATTTTACCCACAGTAGAACTTCTTTCAAAATCAAAGTCAACCCTCTCATATCCTGCCACTGCTTTATCAACTAAGTTTATATAATATTCTAAATATTTGGTTGGCATTTCAACAATTTCACAGCATTTTCACCAACAGATTCCATCTCAAGGAACCACTTTCTTTGCTTATGCATAAGAAGCAACTCATTTATCCAAGTTGTATTATGAGATTGCAGCAATTCAATCAGATCTTCAGGCTCCACTTCTAATTCCAATTCTAGTTCTCCTGCTACTTCCACTATATTTTCAGTGACTTCCTCCACCGAAGTCTTTTACTTTTTTTAGTTTCCACTTTTATTTTAGATATGAGGCTACATGTACAGTGAGTGTAGTACCCAATAGGTAGCTTTTCAACCCACACCCCCATCTCTGCCTCTCTATTCTAGTGGTCTGCATTGTCTATTGTTCCCATGTTTATGTCCATGTGTGCTCAATGTTTACCTCTCACTTATAAGTAATCACATGCAGTATTTGGTTTTTTCCTCTTACATTAATTCACTTAGGTTTATGGCCTTCAGCTCTACCCATGTTGCTGTGAAGGACATGATTTCATTCTTTTTATGGCTGTATAGTATTCCATGGTGTATATGTACTACATTTTTTAATCCAATCCACCATTGATGGGCACTTAGGTTGAGTCCAGGCCTTTGCTACTGTGAATAGTGTGGTGAAGAGCATATGAGTGCATATATCTTTTTGGTAGAATGATCTATTTCCCTTTGGGTATATATCCAGTAATGGGATTGCTGGGTTGAATGGTAGCTCTATTTTAAGTTATTTGAGAAATCTCCAAGTGGCTTTTCACAGTGACTGAGCTAATTTACATTCCCACCAACAGTGTGTAAGCATTACTTTTTCTCTGCATCTTCACCAGTATGTGTTTTGACTTTTTAATGACAGCCATTCTGACTGGTGTGAGATGGTATCTCATTGGGGTGTTGATTTGCATTTCTCTGATGATTAGCAATGATGAACACTTTTCCATGTTTTGCTAGCGGCTTGAACGTGGTCTTTTGAGAACTGTCTATTCATGTCCTTTGCCCATTTTCTAATGGGATGATTTGGTTTTTGCTTGTTCAATTGTTTAAGTTCCTTAAAGGTTCTGGATATTAGGCCTTTGTTATATGCATAGTTTGCAAATATTTTTTCCCATTCTGTAGGTTGATAGAACAATAGTTTACTGTTAGTTATTACTCTATTGATAGTTTATTTTGCTGTGTAGAAGCTCTTTAGTTAAATTATTTCCCACTTGTCAATATATGTTTTTGTTGCAATCGCTTTTGAGGAAAACCAAAAATTGTTTGCCAAGGCCAGTGTTGAGAAGGGTATTTCCCAGGTTATCTTCTAGGATTTTTATGTTTGAGATCTTACATTTAAATTGCTAATCCATCTTGAGTTAATTTTTGTATATGGTGAAAGGCAAGGATCCAGTTTCATTCTTCTGCTAGCTAGTTATCCCAGCACCATTTACTGAATAGGGTAGTCCTTTCCCCATTGCTTGTTTCTGTCAGCCTTGTAGAAGATCAGATCCTACTGAAACTATTTCATAAAACTTGAGGAGGAGGGGCTCTTCTCCAACTCCTCCCTAATCAGCCTGATACCAAAATCTGGCAGAGACAAAATGAAAATAGAAAACTTCAGACCAATATCTCTGATTAACATAGATGCAAAAATCCTCAACAAAATACCAGCAAACAGAATTCAGCAGCACCATCCAGCACTAAAAAGTTAATACACCATGATAAAGTACACTTTATTCCAGAGATGCAAGACTGATTCAACATATGCAAATCAATAAATGTGGTTCCCCACATAAACAGAATTAAAAGCAATAACCATATGATCATCTCAATTGATATAGAAAAAGGTTTTGATAAAATTGAAAATGTTTTCATGATAAAAACCCTCAACAGACTAGGCACTGAAGGAACATACCACAAAATAATAGGAGCCATTTATGACAAACCCACAGCCAACATCATACTGAATGGGCAAAAGCTGGAACCATTCCCCTTGAGAAACAAAACAAGACAAGGATGCCCACTGTCACCACTCCTATTCAACATAGTGCTGGAAGTCTTGGTCGGAGCAATCAGGCAAGAGAAATAAATAAAAGGCATCCAAATAAGAAAAGAAGAAGTCCAACTATCTCTCTTCACTGATGATATGATTCTATATCTAGAAACCCTAAAGACTGCCAAAAGGCTACTAGAACTGATACTTTTAGTAAGGTTTTGAGATACAAAATCGATGTACAAAAATCAGTAGCATTTCTACATACCAATAATGTCCAGGCAGAGATTCAAATCAAGATAACAACCCCATTTATAATAGCCACAAAGAATATGAAATACCTAGGAATACAGCTAACCAAGGAGGTGAAAGATCTCTATAAGGAGAGGTACAAAACACTGCTGAAAGAAATCAGAGATGACACAAGTAAATGGAAAATCATTTTATGCTCATGGATTGGAAAAAATCATATTAAAATGGCCATACTGCCCAAAGCAATTTACAGATTCAATGCTATTTCTATCAAACTACTAATGATATTTTTCACAGAATTAGGAAAAAACTATTCTAAAATTCATATGGAACCAAAAACAGCCCAAACAGCCAAAGCAATCCTAAGCAAAAAGAACAAAGCTGGAATCATACTACCTGACTTCAAACTATACTGTAAGACTATAGTAACCAAAATAGCATGGTACTGGTACAAAAACAGACACATACACCAACGAAACAGAATAGAAAACTCAGAAATAAAGCTGCACACTTACATCTACTGAAGTCTTGAGCTCCTCATAGTTATTTATGAGGATTGAATGGAATCAACTTATTCCAGCTCCTGTTAATTTTGATATTTTGAACTCCTTCCATGAATCATGAATGTTCTTAATGGCACCTAGAATGGTGAATTCTTTCCAAAAGATTTTCAATTTACTTTGCTCAGAACAATCAAAATAATCACTACCTATGGCAGTGATAGGCTTACAAAATGAATTTCTTAAATAATAAGATTTGAAAGTTGGAATTAGAACTTGATCCATGGGCAGCAGAATGGATGTTGTGTCAGCAGGCATGAGAACAACATTCCTCTCCTTGTATGTTTCCAACAGAGCTCTTGGGTGGTCAGGTGCATTGTCAATGAGCAGTAATATTTTCAAAGAAATTTCCTTTTCTGAGCAGTAAGTCTCGACAGTAGGCTTGAAATATTCAGTAAGCTATGCTGTAAACAGATGTGCTGTCATTGAGACTTTGTTGTTCCATTGAGAGAGCACAGATAGTCAATTTAAGATAATTCTTAAGGGTCTTAGGAGTTTTAGAATGGCAAATGAGAACTGGCTTCAACTTAAAGTCACCAGCTGCATTAGCCCCTAATAAGAGAGTCAGTCTATCCTTTGAATCTGTGAAGCCAGGCATTGACTTCTCCTCTCTAGCTATGAAAGTCCTAGATGGCATCTTCCTCTTATAGAAGGCTGTTTTGTTTACATTGAAAATATGTTGTTTAGTGTAGATGACTTCATCAGTTATCTTAGATATCCCGGATAACTTCTGCAGCTTCTACATCAGCACTTGCTGCTTTGCCTTGCACTTTCATGTTAGGAAGGTGGCTTCTTTCCTTAAACTTCATGAACCAACATCTGCTTGCTTCAAATTTTTCTCCTTCAGCTTCTTCACCTCTTTCAGCCTCCACAGAATTGAAGAAAGTTAGAGCATTGCTCTGGATTAGGCTTTGGCTTAAGGGAATGCTGTGGATGATTTGATCTTCTTTCCAGACCACTAACTTTCTCCATATCAGCAATAAGGCTGTTTTGCTTTCTTATCATTTGTGTTCACTGGAATAACACTTTTCATTTTCTTCAAGAACTTTTCCTTTGCATTCACAACTTGGTTAACTATTTGGCACAAGAGGCCTAGCTTTCAGCCTGTCTGGGCTTTTGATATGCCTTCCTCACTAAGCTTAATCATTTCTAGCTTTTGATTTAAAGTAAGAGATGTGTAACTTTCCCTTTCACTTGAACACTTAGAGGCCATTGTAGGCTTATTAGTTGGCCTAATTTCAATATTCCTGGAGAATATTGAAAGGAGATTGAGAGAAACAGGAGAATGGCTGGTCAGTGGAACAATCAGAACACACATAACATTTATTGGAACCAGTTTTAACATTTAATAGATGTTATTTACACATAACATTTATTAAAGTTTGTAACCTTTAATGGACACAGTTCATGGCATCCCAAAACAATCACAATAGTAACATCAAAGATCACTGATTATAGATCACCATAACACATATAATAATGATGAAAAAATTAAAATATTGTGAAAATTACCAAAATGTGACAAAGATAGGAAGTCAGCACATGTTGGAAAAATGGCACCAATAGACTTGCTCAAAACAGGGTTGCTGCAAACCTTCAATTTGTGGCAAAAAACTGCATTCAAAAATGTAGTCTTTGCAAAGTGCAATAAAATGAAACACAAAAAAATGAGGTATGTCTGTACCCCCAAATTTATTTACAGATTCAATATTATTCTTATCAAAACTCCAGTTACGGTTTTCTTTTGCAGAAATTGACAGGCTGACCATAAAATTCATATAAAAATGCCAGAGACCTAGAGCAGTTCAAACAACCTTGAAAAAGAAAAAAAGTAGGAGGACTCATACTTCTCATTTCAAAAGTTACTACAAAGCTATAGTAATCAAAACAGTGTGTTACAGGCCTAAATACAGACATGTAGGTCAATGGAATAGAATTGCAAATCTAAAAATAAACCCTTGTATTTATGGTCAATTAATTTTTGACAAGAGTTAAAGACAATTCAGTAGGGGAAGACGAGTCTTCTCAACAAATGATACTGGGACAACTGGATATCATATGCAAAAGAATGAAGTTAAATCCATATCTCACAGCATATACAAAAATTAACTAAAAATGGATCAAAAACCCAATGTAAGAGCCAAAACTCATAAACTCTTAGAAGAAATGATAGAAGCAAATTTTTGTGACCTTGGTTTAGGCCATAGTGTTTTAGATATGACACAAAAAGCAAAAGCAGTAAAATAAAAAAATAAATTGGACTTCATCAAAATGTAAAACTTTTGTGCTTCAGACACTATCAAGAAAGTGAAAAGACAACCAATAAAATGGGAGAAGATATCTGCAAAAAATATATCTGATATATCTGATTAATAACCCAATTAAAAATAGGCAAATGATTTGAATAGACATTTTTCCCAAGAAGATATACAATGGCCAGTAAACATAGGAAAAGATGCTCAGCATCAGCAGTCATTAAGGAATCAAAACCACAATGAAATGCCCCTTCACACCCACTAGGTTGACTAATATAAAAAGACCGACAATAACGAATATGGTAAGGATATAGAAAAACTGGAACCCTCGTACATTGCTAGTGGGACTGTAAAATGGTGCAGTCACTTTGGAAATCAGTATGGCAGTTACTCAAATGGATGAACATAGAGTTAGCATATGACCCAGCAATTCCACTCTTAAATATCCATCCAAGAGAAATAAGAGCATGTATCTGCAGAAAACTTGTACAAAAATGGTAATTGTGGCATGATTTATAATAGCTAACAAGTGGAAACAATACAAAGGTCTAACAACTGATAAATGGATAAACAACATGTGGTATATTCATACAATGGAATATTATATGGCAATAAAAAGGAATGAAGTACTAATACCTGCTACCTCAATAATCCTTGAAAATATTATGCTAAGTGAAAGAAGCCAGTGACAAAAGACTATGTATTTTGTATGATTCCATTTATAGGAAATATCCAGAATAGGCAAATCTGTTCAGACTGAAGGAAGCTTAGTGATTGCCAGGGACTGAGGGCAGAGGGGAATAGGAAATGACTGGTCATGAATACAGAGTTTCTTTTTAGGGTGATGAAAATGTTCTTAAATTTGATACTCCTGATGGCTGCATAACCATGTGAATATACTAAAAACTACTGAAATGTATACTTTGAATGTACAGTTTTATGGTATGTGCATTATATTTCATTAAAGCTGTTATTTTTAAAAACTACATACCACTATTAAAAAATGACAGTGAACAATAAATATGCTAAATATTGTATACATCCAAACATTGCTTGTACTAAAAGACAGTGATAATAATGAATAATGACATCTAATTTGTATTGTGGAAAAAAAGGGATACAACTTAAATATTAGACAAAAATAGCAGTAAGTTGGGAGAGGGTGACTACAGTTAATTAACTCTACAATTCTGTAATAGTTTGGGAGGAAGGTAATGAATGATACTATCATTAGGGTCTATTAAATATGCATGAAAAAAGGGCCAGGCTAACTACTTAAAGGACAGACATATGCATAAAACTTCAAAACTAGTAAAGGGAAAAAATGAGGGGTGGTAATAGTATCTTCCTGTCTCTTTCCCACAGTCCCCAAGAGGCCCATCCTCATCCAAGTCTTCATTGCTTTGTCACTGCTAAGATTTCCCTGGGGCTTCGGAGGGTATATTATGTGGAGGAAAAGGGAATCTACATTTATGATTCATTTAACATGCATTACTTCAGTGATTTAAACCTCTCCATCCCTTGTGTTATGTACAAAACCATCTTCCATTTACAGAGAAGACGAGGCAAGGCCAGAGTGCTTAAGTCACTTGTCCAAGGACACACAGCCAGGAATTGGCTGGACTGGGATTTGAACTAGGTCTAATGCTAGAATCTGTGTTCTTTTCCATTGTATTGTGCCAGTTGTCTTGGCTGCTCTTAGCCAATTGCTCTTACTCCATCTGCATCTAAAGATGCAGTTGGCATGCTTCAGAAAGCACAGAAGCCCGCTCCCTGGGACCTTGTCGACAGGGCCTCTCCTGACACCACAGAACACACACCTGTGAAGTGGCTGCATTGTTGCCCCACATCTCTTTCTCCTGCCCTTGAGAGCAGCCTCAGTCAGTGGATATAGGCGCCATGTTTGCAAGGTGACATTGTTTTGGCCTAGAGGATGGGCTATGGGGTCAGAGAGAACTGGATTCAAACCTTGGTTCTGATGTTCCTATAAGCTTTCAGCAACTTAATCTGCATTTCAGCTTCCTCATTTGTTTGGAGACATTTGTTTCCCAGGGCTGCTGTGAGATTTACACAGATAGCCAACTTCAAGTTCCCAGAACAGCCCTGGCATGAATTGAAGATGCAGTAAATGTCAGTTTGTTTGTTTTGAGATGGAGTCTCACTCTGTTGCCCAGGCTGGAGTGCAGTGGTGCCATCTTGGCTCACTGCAACTTCCGCCTCCTGGGTTCAAGCGATTCTCCTGCCTCAGCCTCCTTAGTAGCTGGGACTACAGGCACACACCACCACAGCCGGCTAATTTTTGTATTTTTAGTAGAGACGGGGTTTCACCGTGGTGGCCAGGATGGTCTCGAAATCCTGGCTTCAGGTGATCCACCTGCCTCAGCCTCCCAAAGTGCTGGGATTACAGACGTGAGCCACCATACCTGGCCCAGATATTCTTATTACTTTTGCTCTACAGAGATTTGGCAAATCTGCTTGATGGCAGAGGGATGGCATCGGAAAGAGAGAAGAAAGCATAATGAGATGGATAAGTTGCTTTTTTCTCTCTGTGCTCTGATTATGCTGCAGCTACTAATGAAGGGAATCCAGACAGTCTTTTCCTGGCTGCAGATTACTTATACAAAATGGGCCTAAAATGATCTCAGGTAGGCCCTTGGCTATTACAAGAAGTAAGTGCCCAAAAGTCTACCATATGTGTGTATATATATATATATATATATATATATATATATATATATATATATGCACACACACAATATATATATAGTATATATGTATAATATATATATTAGTTTTATATACACACACACACACACACACACACACACATATTATTCTCAGTCCCTCCATATCCCAGGGAATACCAGTTTCCATTCAGTGTTCAGTTTGAGTATTTTTAAAACCTCCTTTTGAACATATCTGTAGGAAAATATCCCTAAATGTCTTGAGTATTCCAAAGAATGGCTTCACCCATTGAATACCTCATTGTAACATGTTTCTCTTAATGATCCACCCATTTAAAAATGGTGCTGCTTCTTTAAAATATTTGCAGCTCTGAAATGTTGCTGCTTTCATTAATAAACAATGGCTTTTCAAGCCAAACCTTGGGAAATCTCTAGAAAGGGGCATTCATTTATGAATACTGTCAGTGGTGGGATTCTGATATTGATTTCCAATTCCCTGCCCACCTAAGATTTCTATTCATTGATTAAATGTCAATTACATCCCAAGAATTGTGCTATACCCTGAGCATACAAAGATGAGCAAGATATGCTCACATCCTACCCTGTGGAGTCTAGGTGGGGGATACAGACTCTCACATAAACAGTTGCAATGCAGAGTGATGACATGGTAGGGTGGGAAAAGAAGGCATGTTATCAGATTAGCCAGAAGAGGCATTTACCCAGAATGGGGCAGAAGGAGGTGTGAGATGGGAATGTACTGCAGATGGAAGTCTCAGGAAAAAGTTGCTGAGACAGAGTCTAGGGTACAAGATGTTTAGTAGGGATCAACCTCTGTGAAAGGAACAGGATGAAGCCCAATCAGACAGAGGAAGAAACTGAACTGCAGTACAATCCTGAAGAAGCTGTGGCCAACCAGGCAGGGGTTCTGGAGAGAAGATTGCCTGCAAGAGGGTTATGAGTCAGGCTAAAACTGTGGGCTTCCCTGTCCCAACTGCCAGTCGCTGGATGTGGAGCTGACAGCCACAGCCACATGCTGCCTCCTGACGCTTTCCTCATGACTCGGCAGCAAGTCCTTCCTTGATGTGGGATCTGGGTCGTCCAGTGTCATGTCTTCCTCAGAGAGAGGCGTCCTAGAGTAGGGAGCATCTAAACCAAGATTTGAGGGACAAACCACCAGGTAATAAGGTGGGATGGGTGGGGAGTGGGAAGTGGCAGAGGCGATAGCCTGTGTGACAGCTTGGAGGAGCCAGACAGGTTGCATGGAAGGGACTGAAACAGAGCTTAGGCAAGTGGTGGGGTGCAGTGTGCAGAGATGATACTGGAAAGGTAGGAAGAGGAAGAACCTTGCAGGGTCTTGTGGGCCACATTAATGAGTTTGGACTTGATCCAATAGTAGCTTGTAAGATGCACTTAGGGATGAGTTTTAGAACATCCTCTGTGGGTTCTATGAGGGAGGATAGGTAGAGAGGTGAGAAGGATGGGGCTTGGAGGGAAGGCAGGAGGCCCTGTTGGAATAGTGTGGGTCTCTGAGGACTGCCTCAGTGGCAGGTGCCTCCTGAGAACAGTGCCTCCCTCCCCACTGAGGGAGGACTGGCCTGTGACTCCCTTTGACTATGAGAAAGAGGAAGAGGCAGAGGCCCCCTAAGCCTTTGGAAGGCCTGGCAAGCTTTCGCTCTTGCACTCTAGGAAGAAGTCCGGCTACTCCACAATTAACAACTCACAGCCAATCTCACTTCATCGGTATCCTCATCAGTTTCCCCATCCTGCATTGTTCTGAAGCAAATCCCAGACATGATGTCATTTAACCCATAAATATTTCAAGATATATCCCTAAAAGATAAGGACATACCTTAAAAAATATAACCACAATTGTACTATCACTTAAGGGAACTGCACTGTTTCTTGATGTAAATAAATGGTCAGTGTTCAAGATTCCAATTGTGTCAGAAGTGTAATAAATGTTTATTTTTTACATTTGGTTTGAATCTGGATCCAAGCAGGGTTCGCTCACTGTAATTAGTTGGTATATCTTTTAAATGTCTTTTAATCTATAGATTCCTCTTCCATCTTCTACCATTCTCTTCCCTTCCCGCAACCCCTGCAATTTATGTTTTGAAGAGACTGGGTCATTTGTTTTATGTCATTTCCTTAAAGTCTGGATTTTGCTGATTGCATGCCCAAGGTATGTGTTTAACATGTTCTCTGTATTTTCTCTGAATCATCAGTTGGATGAGGAAAGTTTTAAATCATATGAGATGGAGTTTTCCACAGGACTAGGCTGGACTGGACTTTGAATGCCTCAAATTCACAGCTACACCACAGAATCTGCCTAGCATGCTGTTAACAGATGGGAAAGTTGGATTTCATGGTACACCAGTGAAGGCAGAGATGGGGATAATTAAAGCTAAAACATGTTTGTATTCTGTACAACTGTTCAAGCAGCTCATAAAAATAACTATGAATACCATAACATTGTGGTATTGATTTCCAAGTCAATTCTAATTGATTTCTTGGACAGGCTCTATGGATTCTTTCCTCTGAGTTCTGCCCTATTGCCCCCACTGGCATGCCCTGGGCAGCTATTTCCCTGTAGCAGAGCCCGTGTTACTAAATGAAGTTTTGCATCCATTATTAATCAAAATTCATTTTATGTAGCAAATATTATTATCTTGTTGCTCAGGAGGTTTGTTTCTCCCTGATACCCTTTGCATAAAGCTCCTATTGTGCTCATGGCAAGATCGTGGCTCTCCCTAAGCCCGCACTCTAGTTTTGTGATGACTTTGTTCTGCTTGCTTTTGATCAGGAAGGGTAATTGTCTAGACCAAATGTGAACTTAAAATGAATGAAGGCCGGACGCGGTAGCTCACGCCTGTAATCCTAGCACTTTGCGGGGCCGAAGCGGGCAGATTGCTTGAGCTCAGGAGTTCGAGACCAGCCTGGGCAACACGGTGAAACTCTGTCTCTACTAAAATACAAAAAATCAGCCAGGCATGGTGGCGGGTGCCTGTAGTCCCAGCTACTCGGGAGGCTGAGGCAGGAGAATTGCTTGAACCTGGGAGGCGGAGGTTGCAGTGAGCCGAGATCGTGCCACTGCACTCTAGCCTGGGTGACAGAGCGAGACTCTGTCTCAAAAATAATAAAAATGAAAATAAAATAAAATAAAATGAATGAATCCTATTCTTATCATGAATGGAGCTTGCAGGACTAGAAGTTGTTCTGGGTGAGTCAGTGCGTAGTGAGTAAATATGAAGGCCCAGGACATTACTGTATACTACTGTAGACTTTATAAACAATGTACACTAAATTTATAGAAAAAGGCTTTTTTCTTCAATAATAAATTAACCTTAGCTTGCTATAATTTTACTTTATAAACATCAATTTTTTAAAACTTTGACTTTTTTGTAGTAACACTTAGAACACAAACACTTTATATAGTTGTACAAATGTATTTTCTTTCTTTATATACTTATTCTATAATTTTTTCTACTTTAAAATGCTTTATTGTTATTTTTTACTTTTTCAACTGTTTTGTTAAAACCTAAGACACAAACACCCACAGTATCCTAAGCCTACACAGGTCAATATCACTGTCTTCCACCTCCACATCATGTCCCATTGGAAGGTCTTCAGGGGCAGTACCATGCATGGAGCTGTCATCTCCCATAACAATGCTGTCTTCTGAAATACCCCATGAAGGATCTGCCTGAGGCTGTTTTACAGTTAACTTTTTTTTTGATAAGTAGAAGGAGTACACTCTAAAATAACAATGAAAAGTATAGTATAGTAAATATATAAACCAGTAAGTCATTTATTATCATTATCAAGTATTATGTGCTGTGCCTAATTGCATGTGCTATAGTTTTTAATATGACTGGCCATCAAGTAGATGTCTTTACAACAGCGTCATCACAAACATGTGAGTAATAGCTTGTTCTGTGCCCTTAAGAAAGTTACAATGTCAGCCGGCATTTTGGCAACAGGGAATTTTACCACTCTGTCATAATCTTATGGGACCACCTTTGTATGTGTAATTAGTCCTTGAACAAAATGTCATCATGCAGGGCATGACTGTACTGATGTGCTTCAGCCACTTACTTAACTGATGTCTGTTGCCTGCAGTAGTAAGAGATCCCCAGCAATCAAACTACTGTTTAGTGAATCAGTCAAAAGAAGACTTGATCTTGTGCTTCTCTTTCTTTGTATCTCTCAAACACAGTTTTGCTACAATAAACCCCTTTAAAAATAGTTACAGCTAGCCGCCCACTTCTGCGCAGTCACGCCGAGCCAGCGCCTGGGCCTGGAACTGGGCCGCAGCCCCTCAGCTTCACCCACCGCCTCCCCACCATGAACGAGCTTCAGGCCTTTGTAAAAATGTGTAAGTAGGATCCGAGAGTTCTGCACACTGAGGAAAAGCACTTCCTGAGGGAGTGGGTGGAAAGCATGGGGGGTAAAGTACCACCTGCTACTCAGAAAGCTAAATCAGAAGAAAATACCAAGGAAGAAAAACCTGAAAGCAAGAAGGTGGAGGAAGACTTAAAGGCATACGAAACATCAAGTGAGGAAAGTGATCTAGAAATTAATAATTAAGGTGTGATTGAACTAGACACTGATGCCCCTCAAGAAATGGCAGATGAAAATGCAGAGATAACAGAGGAGATGATGGATCAGGCAAATGATAAGAAACTGGCTGCTGTTGAAGCCCTAAATGATGGTGAACTGCAGAAAGCCATTGATTTATTCACAGATGCCATCAAGCTGAATCTTCACTTGGCCATTTTGTATGCCAAGAGGGCCAGTGTCTTTGTCAAATTACAGAAGCCAAATGCTGCCATCTGAGACTGTGACAGAGCCATTGAAATAAATCCTGATTCAGCTCAGCCTTGCAAATGGCGAGGGAAAGCACACAGACTTCTAGGCCACTGGGAAGAAGCAGCCCATGATCTTGCCCTTGCCTGTAGATTGGATTAGGATGAAGATGCTAGTGCAATGCTGAAAGAAGTTCAACCTAGGGCACAGAAAATTGCAGAACATCAGAGAAAGTATGAGCAAAAACATGAAGACTGAGAGATCAAAGAAAGAATAGAACGAGTTAAGAAGGCTGGAGAAGAGCATGAGAGAGCCCAGAGCAAGGAATAAGCCAGAGACAGTCAGGAGCTCAGTATGGGTCTTTTCCAGGTGACTTTCCTGGGGGAATGCCTGGTAATTTTCCTGGAAGAATGCCTGGAATGGGAGGGGGCATACCTGGAATGGCTGAAATGCCTGGACTCAATAAAATTCTTAGTGATCCAGAGGTTCTTGCAGCCATGTAGGGTCCAGAAGTTATGAAGGCCTTCTAGGATGTGGCTCAGAACCCAGCAAATATGTCAAAATACCAGAGCAACCCAAAGGTTATGAATCTTACCAGTAAATTGTCAGCCAAATTTGGAGGTCAAGCCTAATGCCCTTCTGATAAATAAAGCCCTTGCTGAAGGAAAAGCAACCTAGATCACCTTATGGATGTCGCAATAATACAAACCAGTGTACCTCTAACCTTCTCATCAAGAGAGCTGGGGTGCTTTGAAGATAATCCCTACCCCTCTCCCCCAAATGCAGCTGAAGCATTTTACAGTGGTTTGCCATTAGGGTATTCATTCAGATAATGTTTCCCTACTAGGAATTACAAACTTTAAACACTTTCTAAACCTTAAAAATATTTTAAACAAATTTAAAGGGTCTGTTAATTCTTACATTTTTCTTTACTAATCATTTTGGATTTTTGTATTTGAATTATTGGGCAGGGAAGATATTTATGTATGGAAGATTATTGCTCTAATTTGAGTGAAAAAAGTTTATTACTGCGAGGCAAATATAACTCATTTGAGGATAAAGTTTGTGTTGGATATGTGGTTCCTGAAGCATTTTGACTTGTCTTTTTAAATGCTTTATCTTTTTCTTTAAAGATTTATTTCAATAAAACTAAATGGGACCACCAGTATTTCAGTAGGACCTGGGTAGGGACAGGAAATACTTGGCAGGGCAGCAGCAATCTTGCTGTGTTTTATATAATATGCATCCTTGGGCAGGTTGCCCTTAAATCTTACATTGTGGTGAAGGGATGATTTTTCTGTAATGCTGCAGTAGAGTTGGAGTACTTAGTTCTGTTCTTGTCCAGTATATCTAATAAATGTTTCATATTATCTCCACATAGGGGAAATAAGGGAGTACTTTTCTTTTTATACTTCTATGCTTAAAATTCTCTTTCCTAGTCAAAAAATGCCCAACTCTGTGTTTACTTTCTGCTTGTTACATTTTTCCTCCCTTACTTTTCTTGGGCTAAAGACAGGCTTTTTCCACCAGCATCATCACTGCTATCATAATTATACAAGTATATTTAATGCTGATTTTAGTATGTAATACGTATGGTAATTGTAGGGTAGTACCCACAACAACTGTAGTTTCTTACTTGGCCATGAGAATGCTTACTTAAGTGTTAAACTTCCACTCTGGCAAAATCTTGTCATATCAAAAGACATTGGAAAGAGGGATTCCCTTTGGTGTTTGGTCTTCTACTTAGAAAATACCTATTGCAATTAGAGTTTATCTTATGGTATTCATCTTTGTATTTTGAAGGTAATAAGGTTTGAATTCAATTGATATACACAGAGGGGAACCAATTTTTTTTTATCCAATGTAAATTATAAATGAGATAATCCACAGTTATTCATTGTGGAGTTCCACTGTTGAGACTGTGGAAGACTCATTGTCTTTGTATTCAGCTCTTCCTTAAATAGTGTAACCATACCCCCACCTCTGCTTGCTTTCTTTCTCTCCCCTCCAATGATAAAGAAAATGATAAGTTAAAAAAATAGTTATAGCTACTGAAAATTAGCACTAGAGAGTAATTCCAGGCTCTTTTTGCTTTAAACTTTTCCTAGCTTAACTCACATATAACAATAGTACTATGCTTTTATATTATAGATCTTCCCAGTTTTCAAACTACATTTGAAATCCCCATGGCATGAAAATGAAATGATTAAACTAAAAAAATTCAAACGATTAAACTAAAAAATTATTCACATTTTATTGAAAGGACACAATTTTTTAGCTGCAGTTGCTGCATTTAAGGAGAACATTCAATGTCCAGCAAAGAAAAAGGCTCCTGAGAAATGGGGCAGCGCCCAGAAGTCTGGACTTCTTCCACTGTGGCTGTAGCCAACACTTGTGGTGGGGTTATTTGTAAGCATTTTGTAGGAGGCATTTTTCAATAACATTATTCATTCATTCAGTAAATACTCATGAAGCACCTCTTTTAATCCGGGCGTTCTCTGGGCAAAACACTAAAGACATCTCCAACATTCTCTTTTAATGCATGATGTTCTCTGTGCAATTGCAAACAGAAACTGAACTAGCCAGAGCAATTGAATTTTTTGCAGTTGAAAGCATCATCATGGCTAAGACAAGAAGTCTTTGAGCAATCCAGAGACTGAAACTATCTGTAGTAGCAGATCTACCATGACTCAAAGAAGTCCTCTGTGCTGTAGACTGATATGTACCAAAATGGGATCTGGCCTGGAGAGGGTGACCCAGAAATGGGATATTGAGAGGCAAGAGTTCCAACCTGGACATGCACAACCCTAGCCACTTGCATAACCAATTACAGGGGAGCCTTATTTCTAAGGCTTCGTACTAGGTATGCTTGTTCACTGTATGTAGATGGTTGTATGTTTCAATAACGATAGCTAATGTTGAATCAGCTAAGCACTATGGAAATACCATCATATTTAATATTCACAAAAACCCTACGAAAGTATTTATTATTATTATTTCCATTTTAGAGAACAGGAAACTGTGACTTAAGTAGGTAAATAACTGGCCCAAGGAGGTACAATTGCAGAGCTGACACTCAGCCCAGACCTCAGTGCCTCCCAGGCTTATGCTCTACACCACCATGCAGATTGCCATCTCAGACTTAAAAAACCAACTGAAATTGATTTCTTAATATGTGTTTTTTCTCTGCCCAATTAATCCTTTTGCATTTCTCATAATGTCCTGAATTAAAAGAGCCCTTTTAGACATTATTCAGGAAAATTTACAGACAGGATGGACCAACAACTATAAAAATCAACAAACAGCTAGAGTTGCCATCCCAGGGCCAAGATGGACAGCAGACAATGTAAACAGTGCCCCTTTCAGAACAATTCTGAACAAACGTGTTTCATCACTTTCACGTGTATTTAGTCCTCCCAAGACTTTATGAGGTTGATCCTACTATCACCAATGTGACAGCCAAGTAGGCTGAGGCTCAGAAAATAAATTCCACTGCTGGTAAATGGTAGCACTGGGTTGATAACTCAAGTCTTTACCTCTAGAGTGGCTCCCTTTGCACATAGTGAATAACAGATGCCTGTCATTTACATGTGTTACATGTGGAGAGAAAGTCCCCAAACACATAAATGTGTAGCAAGCCAGGTGGGCTTTCTTTTTGTTTCCTTTAAAACTTAGAGATGAATATTGGGGAGTGTCTCCTGAATCTGAGCATGAATGAAGCTTTGGAAGAGATAAGTTTGGGGCTAAATTGAGGCACAGCTGGGTTAGTGCTCACTAAGACTTGGATATTTGTGCTTGGGCCGGTTATATAATCTTGGTAAATGCTGTACCGTACTGGGTATGGGTATTGGAGCCTATGAATTATAGGTGTCTTATTTTTCACAATTCAAAAATATACATCTTGGGGCGGCTAACTCTTCACCTGGGGGCTTTTCCTGCAGTGTGTTTGTCCATGGCTCTGTGCAGAGTCTGGAGCTTGTCCTGAGGCCTCACTTGACAGATTTACTTATTCAGTCAACCAATTTGTCACCACATATTGGCTGAACACCTACTTGAGGCAGTATAAGTAGACACCAGACCCCATCTGCCTAAGCTGGAGTCCTGGCTTGGCTACTTCCTGTGCAAATTGGGTAAGTTTCTTAAACTCTCTGTGCCTCAGTCTCCACATTTGTAAAATGGCGATAATAATATATTCTACCTTGTGAACTGGTTTGAAGACTAAATGAGTTATCGGGGAAGTGTTCAGAATTAAAAGAGTGCTTTTAGACATTATTCAGAGCACTATTTGTGTTGTGGGCACTGTTTGAGTGCTTGCTATCTCTACTGCTGCGTGACAGGCTCTGTGTAACACAGGGAAGTACAACACAGTGTACCTGCCTCCAGGGAGCTGAGCTGCGGAGCTAACACAATGTAAATACTATCATACAAGTGTCAAATCAATGCATATCCTAAGACAGGAACAACAGAGTATTGTAGGGGGGATACTGAATTCGATGGGTTCTTTTTGTATATGTGTGTGAGAGAGACAAGATCTTGCTCTGTCCACCCAGGCTGAAGTGCAGTGGCTCAATCATAGCTCGCTGCAATTTCAAACTCCTGGGCTCAAGAAATCCTCCCACCTCAGCCTCCCGAGTAAGCAGGAATACAGGCATGTGCCACCATGCCCGGCTTCTTTTGTTTTTTCTAGAGACGAGATCTTACTTTGTTGCCCAGGCTGGTCTCAAACTCCTGGGCTCAAGTGATCCTCCCACCTCGGCCTCCCAAAGTGCTGGGATTACAGGCATGAGCCACTGTACCAGGCCAGCTGTTTCTTTCTCTATAATTTATTTTTCATAACTGTTCTGCTATTCTCTTGCAGTTTCCATGATGCCATTTTCTGAAGCACAGCATTGTAGATGTTTAGAAAAAGCCAGTGATCTCCTAGTCCAAGTCCCTTAATTTACAGCTAAGGTAGCTGAGGCCCAGAGAGGTAGAGTGAATTGTCGAAGGTCATAGAGCTTCTGATGGTAGAACTGACTCTCAGACTACTGCTCCTTTCCGCTATTCTAAACAGCTTTTTAACGTGCAGAATTTCTAATGTGTAGAGCCTCAGAGTTCACCTTCATAGCCATCTTCAGCTGGGATATGATGTTAAAGGGAGACAGACACTTAAAATCTGTGGAACATCCACAGTCCTCATTTTGATTCAGAGGTTTATCCAGCACCCTAGGGGAAGCCATTTTCAAGACCTCTAAGGACATAATGGACCCTGGAAGGGAAGAAGCCATTGTATATAGGAACCCCAGCCTAGAAGGCAGGTAGAACAACCTAGTGGTTACAAAGGCCTGGTGTAAAGAACAAACTTTTTTCTCCTACTATATTCTCACTCACAGCACTCAATACTTCATTTCTGACCTAATAGAAGTATGAGTTTTTTCCCCCCATACATCAATTTTCTGCCCAATACCAGCTGTGTGTCCTACAATTTAATTTAATTCTGACACTACCTGGAGTTAGCATCAGATCCCACAGCTTAAGGGCTCAGTCCCCCAAGACTGAATTGCCCCCACTTTACATGCCGATCACAAGTCCAGACCTCCAGTACTTGTGACCAAGCAGTTGTAAATTGGAGGTTCCCACAACCCCTTCCCCAGGTTCAATCATTTGCTAAAATGGCTCACAGAACTCAGGAAACTGTTTGACCTACATCTACTGGTTCATTATAAAGGACATTGCAAAGGACCAGATGAAGAGCCAGATGGAAGAGATGCATAGGGCAAGGTATAGGGGAAGGGGCATGGAGTTTTCAAGTCCTCTTGGGGCACAGCGTCCTCCGTGTGTTCAGCATCCCAGATGCTCTCCAAACTCCATAGGTGAGGAATTTTTATGGAGGCTTCATCACATAGGCAAGATATATTATTAACTTAATCTCCAGCTCCTCTCACCTCCCCAGAGGATGGGGAATGGGAGCTGAAATTTCCAGGCTTCTGATCGTGACTTGGTCTTTCAAGTGACCAGCCCCCCATCCAGAAACCCACCAAGAGTTGCCTCATTAGAACTAAAGATGCTCCCAGCCAGGCATAGTGGCTCACGCTTGTAATTTCAGTGCTTTGGGAGGCCAAGGGAGGATCATTTGAGCCCAGGAATTCGAGACCAGCCTGGGCAACACAGCAAGACCCCATCTCTACAAAAAGAAAATAACTAAAGATGCCCCTATCACCCAGGAAATTCCAAGGGATAGAAGCTCTGTGTCAGGAGCCAGGGTCAAAGGCCAAATACCAGGAAAAAAAGGTATACCTGGCACCCCTATCTCTCAGGAAATTTTAAATGCTTTGGGAGCTCTGTGTCAGGAACTGGGGTTAGATCCCAAACATATATTTCTTACTACATCACAATGTCACAACTAGGCACCCATGAGTTTTAATTGCTCAATTAGTTATTAGTACCCACTGTGGCCCAAGTACTTGGCTAGGCATTGGGAATACCAAAGTAAATGAGGTAGTCATAGCTCTGTTGCAGAGAGGTGGTTCTCAACATGGAGCGGTTTTGGCTCCCAAGGGCCATTTGCCAATGTCTGGATACATTTTTGATGGTCTTGACTTGGGATGAGGTTGCTACAGGGATGTTGCTGAACATCCTATAACACATAGAACAGCCCCCACAATAAAGAACTACACAACAAAGAAGCCACAGAATCCGCTTGTCAGACTGTCTCTTCTGCACTCCCCCTTTCAAGAAGACACACCAAGTTCCCATGATCACATACTCCCTTCCCCCGACCACACATGGCCTGGGCCCACTGAAGGCCCAGGAGGCTGGACATGAGGCAGTGAGGTGGAATACAAGGCCCCAAATGTCAACAGTGTTGAGGTTGAGATCTTATTATTGAGCATAAGGTCTATGACAATTAAACACATAGTTAAAATGAAGTATGAACAGTGTTATGGTGGAGGAAGTTCAAGACACTGTCTGATTCTATAATAAGGGAACTCAGTCTAGGAATTAGGGCAAGTCTCAGAGTAGAGGATGTTTGAACTGAATCCTCAATGATGAGTGGGTGTTAGTAATGCAAGGAAATCAGGGCTAAATATCAAGACAACAGGAATGTACAAATGCTTGAAGGACAAGCAGAACTCTTGCAAGGAATCAAGAAATTTTTAGTATGTCTGGAGCAGAAGTGGTGGTTGCAAAAGATAAGACATAGAAATTTTTGTAAGATGTTTAGTTAGTATGCAAAGATGTCTACCAGGCACATGCCCTGTTCTCATGCTGGTGAGTCTTCTGAACCAACAAATATCACTGTCCTTGAGGACGGGCTAGCCTAGACAAGTGAAGGATCTTGGCTTTAAGGGAAATGGGAAGCCAGGGAAAGGCTTTTATCTAGGAGATGACAGAGTAACATCAACATTTTGGAAAGCATGTAGAGGATGCGTTTGAGGGTAGCAAGAGCAAAGGCAGGAGGACCAGTTGGAGTTGTTACCGCAATCCAGGTAACAGATGAAGATGGCTGAATTAGGAGAGACACATGGATGTGAAGGAAAGACAGCTTCCAGAGACATGCAGTATACACATGTGCATGTGCATAAGTAGTTGTTATTACATTAAAATTCAAGAATGTAACTATTCATTTCCAGACTTTATGGCCACCCCACATTTAGAAAGTGATCATTGACAAGATTTGTTAATGAGCACTGACAATATTGACATCCCTTCTTTGTTCTATTTTCCGGCCCCAACTGTTTGCATGGGCTGAGAAAGCTACTTGAGACCTCTGACCATGGCTGAGGTTCTAAAAGACCTGAAGTTCATGTTCCCTTTTCCCATCCCCCTCACCCCTGCCCTAGATATTCCATGGAAAAGAGGAGAAGGCTCTGTGTTCCTGAACACTGTATGCCTCCCCCGAAGTCTGGGCTCTTCCTCTCCTCCAGGCATCTCTTCTTCCATGATCCAGCACAGGCGTACTCATTTCAAGGGGCCTGTCCTGCTGTCAGGGGCCAGGCACATAGAGGTTTGGAGACTATGATCACTCACTGGCAGATTATTGTTTTCTGGTCCCTTTATTTCAACAATGATGACTGATGTCATTATAGAAATCAGTCCTGATGTGAGTTTCCTATTGCTGCCACATCAAATGACCATAAACTTAGTAGCTTAAAATACCATGCACTTATTCCCTGGCAGTTCTGGAGGTCAGAAGTATAAAATCAAGGTGTCAGCAGGGCTGCCTTCCTTCTGGAGGCTCTAGGGGAGAACCCATTGCATTGACTTTTTCAACTTCTCGAGGCTATGGCCTCTGCCTCCACCGTCACATCTCTGTTTTCCTCAGCTTCCATTGACACATCACCTTCTCTGGCTCTGATCCTCCTGCCTTCTCCTTATAATGATCCTTGTGATTATGTTGAGCCATGGGTGTAACCTAGCATTAGCTCCCCATCTCAAGGTTCTCAATTACATCTGCAAAGTTCCCTTTGCCATATAAAGTAACATATTCATAGATTCCAGGGATTAGGACATAGACATCATTATTTAGCCTATCACAGGTCCCACACAGCTTGCTATATTGTTGTCCATTGTGGTGAGCACCACCCCCAACCCTTGCAGGTGAGTGAGCCCTATTGGTTCTTCTGGAAAGGCCAATCCCACCTCTCCACAGTCGCTCCCTGCATGGGCTCTCAGGATTGGATCTTTTGGTTCCCACTAGCCTGACCAAGTGTTTTCAGAAGGATGCTCTGAGTCAGGGTGACTAAATGAGGGACTTCTTGGCTCAGATCCACATTTGCCCCCAAGATTCTATACCTGTGTGTTGAGTTGGGCCGTACACTCCCCCTTCCACGCATCTATTCCAGATTATGGAAGAGGCTGGGATCTAGTATGTCTTCATGTGTTTAAAAAAAAAAAAAGCCTCTGACTTGAAATGATCAGTTATCCTTTTTTTAAAAAGGTGCCATTGTTGCCATGGTGACCAGAGGCTTGAAAGAGATCTCACCTCTTTTCCATTTCCCACCCCTCTGTGCATTTTCTTTGCAAATTACATTGCATTCATTTATGCATATCTCCGGGGTACTCTCCTACCTAAGGAAAATCTTCTTTCTGCTTTCTTTTTGTGGATATCTGTATGGCCAGCAAATCCAGCTCCCAGGAGTGACAGGGCACAGGTCGGCACATCTTGACCTGCCTCCTCCAGGCAGATAGAGAAGGAATCAGCTGATGTGCTCTCAATGAATAAATAAGCATCTTGCAGCCCTGTGTCTGCATGCTGTGGGTGTTAATGCCTGCATAGAGGAGGGACAGAGGGAGAGAGCAAGGGAGGACAACTGATGCAGAGCCCAGACAGAAACAGGAACCACCGAATCCGCTTGTCAGACTGTCTCTTCTGCACTTCTCCTTTCAAGAAGACACACCAAGTTCCCATGATCACATACTCCCTTCCCCTGACCACACATGGCCCAGGCCCACTGAAGGCCCAGGAGGCTGGACGCAAGGCAGTGAGGTGGAATACAAGATCTAGGAAGGAATGATCTGATTTTGTGTACCAGCTGTGTAACCTCAAGCAGAGCAATCTTCCAATCACAGCTTCCCCATCTGCCAGCTGGGAGCAAGACCTCACCCCACCCGCTTAGTGAGACTGTGGTGAGGGTCCAATCAGATCCTCAGTGTGAAGGTGCTTTCTGAATTCTGTGGGGTGGTAAACAAGCTGTGGCTGCTGCTACTGGAGACAGTGGCAATACTAAGAGTCACCTGCATATGTGGAGTTCTCTCCATGCGCCAGGCACTGGTGCTTTACATGCATTGTCTCATTTAACCTATCTGAAGCAGGTACAATTGGAGCCCCCCTCTTTTATTAGCTGAAGCAACCATGGCCAAGATCATGGGGTTAGTAAATGGCAGAGCCAGAAGCCATGCTCCAAATTTGGTCTGCAGAGACCCCTGAAATGTGGAGGGCAAACAAACCTAAGGCATTGCCCAAAGAATATTTCCACATAGACCAAAATAGAAGCTGAAAATAATGACTCTGGTAAGACTGAACTGAGGGGAGGGATACCCTCTAGTTCCAGGCAGACATGGGGGTTAATACAGCAAAGGGCCATGCAATGCAGGAATTCAGGGCTCTGGACTCATCCTATTGACTAGAGTTGGAGGGCAGCCTAGCAGGAAAAAGGGCACCCTCACCACGTATCAGAGGGTGTTGCTGGACTGAGGGCTGGGCCATGGTGGAGGACAGGTGCTCAAGCCTAGGGCAAGGATGCAAGGTCTGGATCCCGCTTAGCCCTGGCAATGGTGCGCATTCCACTGCCAGCTGCCCTCTGGCTGAAAGAGTTGGTGGAGGTAGAGGCATGCTGCAAACTTTGCGTGTATCTGTATTTTCTTCTGGACCTCTGGAATGGGCTGAGGACTAACACTCCCAGAGACTAGCCTGAACCACTGTTAGAAGAATTGACATGTGTGCCTTGGGCCAGGTTGCCCGGAAGCAGAGCCCAGTGCAGGGATTTGGGCCCACGTCATTTAATGAGGGAGTCTTCTCGGGTGAAACCCATAAGGGAGAGAGGCTAGGGAGAAGGACTAGGGTGGGGAATGAGAAAGGGCTGGGCAAAGATGTGATGTCAGGTGAAGTCTGTCCTCAGCCTGATGCAAAGGTCGGCTCTGGAGCATCAGCTGCACCGCAGAATTGTCCTTCCCCAACCCTAAGGCAAGAGGGCTGCCTTCGGTTTCCCACTTTAGTCGATTGTTGGCTGTCAGCCCCAAGTTGGGGGACTTCCTGAGCCTGGGCTTCTGCTGGACAGGGCAACGTTTTGTAGAATGAGGCAGCTGCAAGCTGTTAGCAGCCAGCACTCGCTGCAGGAGGGTGGGTGAATGGGATCTGGGACAGACATGACAGCATGCATGACAGAGATGGTGAAGAGAGTTGATGTAATTATGCCTGACAGGCTATACCAATCTAAAGTTTCTTAACATCCTCAAATCATGCACAGCCTGTTGCATCTTAAACACATTCAGTCACCTGTCACACACCCCCTGTAAAGGCCACACACGCTCTCACATGCATGTGAGCTTTAGCACCTGCGTTTAACCCATTTCCCATTTGCCCTGAGAATACTCTTGTCTCTAATCTTAATGTAACATTGTATACATTTCTGTTACATTAGGATTAGAGACAAGTTCTGTTTAGAAATAACTCCAAGAACAGTTTTTATATTTCATTTTCACTTCGAAAAATTAGTCAGATTTGCTTCAGCCTCAAAGAGCCTGTTTATGTAAAATTAAATTAGCACTGGCAGCGAGCTGCATTTTTTTTTTCTAAACAGGAAATGGGTTAAATAAGACCGTTTGGGGCCTATAAACATCCTAGGCAGCCCTGTGCAGGCAGAACAGAGGGCGACTCTGCAGCTACGCAGCTTTGTTCCTTGAGGTGTTATTATTCTCTTTCTTCATCCCCCTCCTTTCTTTTCCTTGCACTTTTCACTACTCATATGGATTTTCTTACCTTGCTTTATCCCACCATGGTGCCTAGGTGCCTTCAAGCTGAGACATCAGTCTTCTTCTGCCTTTGGACTTGGACTGCAACCCACATCATCAACTCTCCTGATTCTCAAGCCTTCACTCTCAGACCAGAACTATACCATTGGCCCTCCTGGCTCTCCAGCTTGCCAACTGCAGGTCTTGAACTTCTCAGCTCCCTGCCATATTACCCTGTTTTATCATCTCCATGGTACCTATTACCAGAAATTACCTGCTTTGTTTACTTGGTTATTGTCTCTCTCCTCTATCAAAGACAAAAAACAAACAACTAAAGAAATCAACTTCATTTAAGATATTGCAACAGGGAGAATACCCCAGAACCGAGGCCAGAGCACTGCTGTAGCAGTCCGTTTTCACACTGCTATAAAGAATTACCAGGGACTGGGTAATTTATAAAGGAAAGAGGTTTAATTGACTCACAGTTCCATATGGCTGGGGTGGCCTCAGGAAACTTATGATTATGGAGGAAGGTGAGAGGAGGCAGGCACCTTCTTCACAAGGCAGCAGGAGAGAGAAGAGCGAAGGAGGAACTTTCAAACACTTATAAAACCGTCAGATCTCGTGAGAACTCAGTCACTATCCTGAGAACAGCATGGGGAAACCACAACCATGATCTAATCACCTCCCTCCCTCAATACGTGGGGATTACAATTCGAGATGAGATTTGGGTGGGGACACAGAGCCAAACCATATCAATTGCAGAAGGTGGCTTTGCCTTAGGTTTTTATAGGGAGGAGTAGGTGGGTTACAGGTGGGGTGGTTTACAGATGAGATGATTTTGCCATCGAGGGAGGCTCTGTGAGCTGAACAGGAAATGCTTATCTCTGTGCCTAATTAGTTTCAGGGAGACAAACTCCTAGTCTCAGTTAATCATTCATGAGACAAAAAACAGGGAGTTGGAGGGTCTGTGTCTGGCCTTTCAGTAGATTTCATCTCACTGAGAGTCTTAAGGGAGTCATGAGAAAGAGTGGACAGCAAGTCTTAGCTAAGTGTGGGGAAGGTAGGAGGGAATTTCTTAACCATTGCTGTTTTCAGGGCTCTGGTTAAGTTAAATTGAAGACTGCTGTGCCCCAGCACTTAGTGAATGATTATATAGGACAGTTGAATGACACAAGTATACAGGATGTCAGCATGACAGGCGGCTAATACAATTTGAGGAGGAGACCAGATGAGGTAGAGTCAATACTAAAATGATTCCTGGAGGAGGTGAGCCCTACACAAGGCTGAAGAAGGTGGGTGTGTGCAGGGGTGGGTTTGAGTCCTTACAAATAGCTAAAGCCCTGCTGAGGTTGGTGGAGAGCCTGCTTTCTTGTTCAGTGTTTAGCAGCAAAGGGGGTGTCAGGCACCACATGCAGAGCTGGGCTTGCAGATCCCTCAAATGAACACACAGAGAGACCCTCAGGGGAAGCAGGATGCCATGACTGTGTAGTCACCTAGAACTGTGTTCTAAATCCAGCCCCAGCACTTCATGGCTGTGTGTGAGTTCTCACATTGCATCTGTCCCAGCCCTGAGCCTCAGTTTTCTCATTTCTGAAATGGAAATAAAGTTATCTTCCTTGTAGGGCTCATGCATATACTATATAATATAAAATATATGAAGTACTCAGCCCAGGGCCTAAAACAACAGAAGATCAGAAAATGAGAGTGTTCTCCCCAACACACATACACACCCCTCCTCCTGCTTTCCCCATAGGCAGGGCCACTGCTACACACAGACTCTCCTTCATCTTCTTCCCCACCCCCAACTCAAGATCCAGAGGCCAGAGGAGGGCACTGCCCTTGCAGGAGGAAGTGGGACGTCAGTGTGGGAACGGCCCCAGGGTGGAAAGGATTTCCTGAGTCTGGAGATGAGAAGCTGGTGACAGAGGAGATTTGGACCAGCTTCCTGACCCCCTAACCCCACTCCCCATGGGAGCTCCAGTTTCTCCACCCCGGCTATTTCTGGGAACCATGCCACCAAATATTTCTCCCTGCTTTCAAAGCCTCTGAATTAAAGTGTGCTAAACTACTGTGAACTAAGAACCCAGCTGGCTCCTTGTTTAAAGGTCATCTTAAAACCTTTAAAAGCAAAGAAATTTGACTTTCCTCTGAACACTGCGTCACTACTAATAATAACGCTCCTGGACAATTGTCTTGATGCCGTGCTTTTAAAAATGGCTTCACTGACCTAATCTCATGTGATTCTCACATAGCTCCACAAAGTAGCTGGGGCCTGTGTCACCAGCCACCATTTACAGATGAAAAAACCAAAGCTCAGAAAGTTTGTATCTTGCAGAGGTGCTCAGTGGCAGAAATGAAATCATTCCAGGGCTCATTCCCTCTGCACAGGACAGGACCCAGGCCCACACAGCCATGTGGCAGTGAGAGCCAAACACCTTTCTGGGTAGCTGCACTGCAAAGGGAGCCCAAACCTTGGAGGCAGACAGTGCAGGGATATTCAAGTCTCAGTATGATCTGTGCGACCCTAAACAAGATGCTGTGTAGGGCTCAGTGTTCTCTTTATAAAATGGGAACGATGGATGCCCCATGCCTATCTCTAAAAATCAAACAAGAAGATGCCAATGTGAGTGCTTTCAGAATGTGGCATGCCAGCTCTATCATGGGATGAGGATGGTTTGGGTTGTTGTTGAAGCCCTTATGAGTAACAGCTGCTTTGCTGGCTAGTTGGAGGATTGAATATATGCAGAGAGCCTGGTACAGAACCTGGCACACAGCAGGTACCCAGTAAATGGCAGTTATTTTCATTATATGCTGCAACGTGGTAACTGCCCATTTGGCTTCTAGTTTTATGTCCCCCAGGGCCGATTGGAGATCCTGATTATCAGCTGGAGACAGCCTGGTGTGGCCCTCACAGCCTACATTGACGGAAATATTGACAATTTAGCAGCCAGTTGAGCAGTGATCCACACCCCTGATCCTTCAGAGAGACCAGCTGACCTGAGACCACGTCTGCTGGGCTAAGCGGAGTTTTCTTAGCTTCAGAATCCATAGAGTGAAATAATGTCCTCTAGTTACTCTGGATTTGTGGAAAATCTGCCCTTGGCGGTGCTTCATCCTCCTCCCAGCTTGCAGGTCTTATGGTGGCTCCTTGGCCTCTGTGATTTGGTTTACAGAGACAGGGGAAGTATCTATCTGAAAGATAAATCTCTCTCTCTGACATGAATGGCTTTACTATTTTGGGAGGCTTTGAAATTCTGGGCTTACATGAGGCTCTGGATGTCTCTGGAATTTTCCCTATTTGTGCCCCAATTAGCAGGAACAATCAAGAGCTGTTTCTCTTTGCTCTTCCTCATAGCCATGCTGGAGGCATTCATAGGCACATCCTGGTGGAGGGTGATTTGGGTGGGTAGGAATGGACTTGTTCTGTTGACATTGGCATGAAAGGACTAGAGTGCATCCATCATTCTATGGGTATTTAATGGGCCCTATGTTGAGCTGTGTTCTGGTAATACATTAGTAAAAATAGAGTCCCTGGCCCTATTCAGTTTCCTGTGGAATGCCAATAACTAGGCAAGCAAGTATAATACAGTAGGATAGGTGCTCTAGAAACAGCAAAGTGGTGTTTTACTCAACTTTGGGGTGTGTGTCAGGAAAGGCCTGGGTGAAGAGTGAGTATAAAAGGAACTAAAAATAGAATCCAATGGCATAGTCAAGAGACAAGAAGAGCTCAGAAAGCCACAAAGGAAACTGAAGAGTAGCAGGAAAACCAGGGGGCAATAAGATGTATAAGCAAGGAAGGAGTGAAAATCAAAGGGCAAAATGGCTCATAGGAAACTACAAACTGAGAAGTGCCTCCTAGATGTGGCCATCAGATCAATGGAGCTACCTGAGCGCACTTTCACTAAGGCAGTGAGGGGAAACCCACATCTCAGGGTTAAAGATGGAGTAGAATTTACATATCAGCAGCTCTTTCAAGAACTCTGGCTGGAAATGTGGCAAAATATTGAATCTGGGTGAATCAGGTACATGGGTATATATTATACTCTTCTATTTTGGTTTGAAAATTTTTATAATATGAATTTTATTGTATTGGCTGAAGGAAAGGATGGCAGTAGAGCAGTGGCTAAGTTGAATATAAGTTTGGGCAGAGGGTTGTTTGTTTTAATGAAAGAGACTCAAACATGTTTAAATCCTGGTAAAAAGATGTGGCTAGAAAGGGAAAGGAATGAGGATGATTGAGGTAGGAGGGGATGGAGTCACAAAGACGTGGGGGGAGGATTTGTCTTAATGAGGAGAAGAGACTCTTGAGAATGGGGGACAATCTGTTCTCAAATGGGGGACAATCTGTTCTCAAATGGGGATGTAGATACAGGTAAGTTTTTAAAGGTTGGGAACCAGAAATTTGTGGAGCTAACCCTTGATTATCTTTGTTTTATCTGTCAAGTAGAGGCAAGATTGCCAGTAGAAATGATGGCCAGAGGAAATTTCTAGAACAGTTATTGAAGGGAACCAGAAAGGCAAAAGACGTTCTTCCAAAGCACTTGCAGCCCTGCACTAAGCCCTGAGTTCTGCATAGCCCAGGAGAAGGGGCCCTTTGTCATTTGCACCAGTGTTTTGGTGTGATAGCTGTGACCCTGGCACCAGGCTGCTGACCAGGGACCTCTGAAAGGCTTGGCAGAGAGCACTGAGGCCCTTCTAAACGTGAAAACCTTGTGCCCACTTGTGATGACCTCAATCTGCACATGCATGTGACAGTCTCTTGCCATGTTTAGAAGTCTGAGTATAAGAAGGAAGAAAGCAGATAGGTTAAAATCATCCATAGTTGAAGATTTGCCAGGTCAGTGCAAATCTTGTCAATGGCATAAAGGAGTTGGAAGTGTTAAGACAAAAGCTGGCTGGGCCCAGTGGCTCACGCCTGTAATCCCAGCATTTTGGGAGGCTGAGGCGGGCGGATCACCTGAGGTCAGGAGTTCGAGACATCCTGGTCAACATGGCGAAACCCTGTCTCTACTGAAAAAAAACATACAAAAATTAGCTGGGCATGGTGGCAGGTGCCTGTACTCCCAGCTTCTCGGGAGGCTGAGGCAGGAAAATCACTTGAACTCGGGAGGCAGAGGTTGCAGTGAGCTGAGATCATGCCACTGCACTCCAGCCTGGGTGACAGAGCGAGACTCTGTCTCCAAAAAAAAAAAAGATGAAAATTAGCAATAGAGCTGAGTGAGGTGGCTGTGCTTATTATCCCAGCTACTCAGGAGGCTGAAGCAGGAGAATTGCTTGAGCCCAGGAGTTTTAGACTAGCCTGGGCAATATAGTGAGATCCTGTCTCTAAAAAGAAATGTTAGTGATGGGCCACAGGATCAACACTGCAAAATGGGGAATGGGAAGACAGGCTGATAGATGGGGAGGTGGGAGAATGAAGGAGTGGTGGAAGGTGAGATTTTGGTGAGGTCAAAGAAAAGGTGAGGGTGTGCAATCAAGTGAAAGTTCAGGAAGGATGCAAGATTAGGATGAGAGATTGTAATTATTTAACAGGTAGGAGCTGTGATATTCCTTTCATAGAAGAGTTCCAGGTATGGCAAGTTCTAGGTGTGGCCATGGAGTAAAGGGGCTAAAGTGGGCTAAGGAGGTGAACAGTGATGAGATTGTTAGTGTTGTGAGCTGGGCATTGGATGTTTGTCTACAGTGACATCAAGCTTCCCTGGTGATGGTGGGAAGGGAGCAATGAGTAAGACCTGGGATTAGATGCAAAGTTGTGTGTGTGTGTGTGTGTGTGTGTGTGTGTGTGCGTGTGTGTGTAGACCATATAAAGGTTGAAGATGTTTCTTGACCTTTCCATGGAAAAAGTATTAGTCACACAGGTGGGAGAGCTGGAAGTCAAATCCAGGTATGTGTGATCCCTAAAATTGAGCTGTTATTTCAGAAAACTGCAAAGTAGAAAATACTTGTTTTTGGAGTACTCTGCTGTTCTTTTAAAACATGATTAGTTTTGAGTATAGTCCTATAACTATGACCTTTATCCAAGGGTTAGGACATATCTCTTGCGGGGCCAACATTCAACACAATACAGGAGGCTAAGGCAGAAATTCAAGCACAGGGTGGGATGAGCTTGATATGAGCAGCCAGAGAGCAGCCAGCAAGCCTACCAAAGAAGAAGAGAGCCTCTGAGAAAACCTTCAGCCAGGCTCCTAGAACTTATCATCTTCCACCATAGCTTGCTATTCATCAGTCTCTGCAATAATTGATGCTTGCTATTCATCAGGCTCTGTTGGCACCCAAGAAAGGATTCACCAGGCAAGCCCCCAAGGTCCCTTCCAATTCTGAGATTCTGTAAGACTTCTGAGATTGATAAATGTTTTGAACAGATAATGAATTCGGGGGATAGGGAACTGAGAGAAAGCTGGCAAACAATTGTCTAAAAAGATGAAAACCCCTGTGTTTGCCGTCTAGCTTAGGTGAGACTCCTGAATAAGGGAGCTCACTTCTGGGAGGGACGTTGAGGACAGGTGGGCCTTTCAACAGCCATTGAAAGCACCAGGTGGGGTTTCTTGGCTGGCCAGCATGGCCACCTCCAGTGCTTCTTGGCTGTATGCGTGGTGGTATGCCACAGCTCGCTGGTTTTCCACTGTGTCTTCTGGGGCCAGCAGCAGCAGCAGCACCATTACCTGGGGACTTGTTAGAAATGCACATTCTCAGGGCCACCCAAGACCAACTGAATCAAATACTGTGGGTGCAAGGCCCAGAAATTGTTGGTGCAGCAAGGTTTTCAGGTGATTGTAATGGCTGGGACAGGCTGGGGACCAGTGGCACACTGGCTAACAGCTCAGTTTTAGGATCACACATACCTGGATTTGATTTCCAGTTCCCTCACCTGTGTGACTCCGGGCATGTTACCGCCTGGAATCAGTCTAAGCTCTAATTTTATTTTTATAAGTAAAATAGCAATAGCTACTTTATAGGCTTTTCAGAGAATCAAAAGAGGTAATAATATTTGTAAAGAACTTTCCACAATGCCTGGCATGTAATAAGCAGTCAACAAGCAATTCTAATAACAACAAAGTATTATTGCAACAACAGTGACTATTATGATTAGGCCATTAGTAGTCATCAGTTTCTTCTACACTGTGTCCTTAGAATGACTGCCTTTAAATCTGTGGCTCCACTATTCACAATAGTGAAGACATGGAATCAACTTAAGTGTCCATCAACAATGGATTGGATAAATCAAATGTGGTACATATATACCATGGAATACTATGCAGCCATAAAAAGAATGAAATCAACTGGATAAAAAAAATGTGGTACATATACACCATGGAATACTATGCAGCCATAAAAAGGAACAAGATCATGTCCTTTGCAGGGACATGGGTGGAGCTTAAAGCCATTATCCTCAGCAAACTAATGGAGGGAGGGACAGAAAATCAAACAACAAATGTTTTCACTTATAAGTGGGAGCTGAACAATGAGAACACATGGACAAAGGGAGGAGAAGAACACACACTGGGGCCTGTCAGGGGATGGAGAGTGGGGAGGAAGAGCATTAGGAAAAATAGCTTATTACCTGGGTGATGGGTTGATAGATGCAGCAAACCACCACGGCACACATTTATCTATGTAACAAACCTGCACATCCTGCGCATATATCCTGGAACTTAAAATAAAATTAAATTAAATTTTAAAAAAAGAATGGAATCATGTCCCTTGCAGCAGCATGGATGCAGCTGGAGGCCATAATCCTAAGCAAATTAACTCAGGAACAGGAACCCAAATACCACATGTTTTTACTTATAAGTGGGAGCTAAACGATGAGTACTCATAGACATAAAGATGGCAACAATAGACACTGGGGACTACTAGAGTGGGGAGGGAGGTGGGGCAAGGGCTGAAAAACTAACTGTTGGGTACTATGCTTACTTTCTGAGTGATGGGATCAATCAATCCCAAACCTCAGCATCGCGCAGTATACCCAGGTACCAAACCTGCACATGTACCCCCAGAATCTAAAATAAAAGTTGAAATTATTTTAAAAATTAAAAAAGAATGGTAACAAATAAAAAAAAAAAAAACCTTTTAAGCATCTGTGGCTCCAGCTACCAGGTTCCAGGCTTTTCTATGCCTCTGGGGCTGTTTCAGACAAGGCTTCCTGGCTGATACTCGACCTGCCAATTCAATTCTGCCTAAAATTCAACTTGACTTTGTCCATAGGTGGAAAGCAGTTGGCCTGAACTATCTCGATAAATTATTAAGTTGGTGCAAAAGCAATTGCCATCACTTTCAATGGCAAAAGCCACAATTACATTTGCACCAACCTCATAGTTGTGAAGGGGCTGCTTCTCCTGGGTCCTACACAGAGTTACAAGCCAGTGTTGTGAGTCAAGAATCGGTAGCCAGCACCAAGCAAAACAGCAAGGCCAGACTGTGACTAGGCAACCAAACTGCTGCTGCTCAGAGTGGCTTTTGCTTCCTGCTACCAGATTTATTATCATCTGTTTTTAATAACACATTTTCTTTGAGTGATTCAAAGCGCTTGAAAAATCTGTTTTGTTTGTAACAGACATCCACAAAGAACTTCAGTGCACATTTTTTTCTTGTTTGATCATCATCTTGACCACTTCATTAAACAGGCAAAACAAGACATATTTTCTCCATTTCATAGATGAGGAAACTGAGTCCTTGAGAGGTTTAGTGGCTTGTCTAATCTAAAGTCGCGCAGCTAGTAGGTGGTAGAACCAGATCTAGAACCCACTTTTCCTGACTTCTGGTCTAATTCTCCTTCAAGTATTGCATGTGTCTTCCTAAAACAGAAATGAAAGCTCCCCCAAACCAGGTGAACTGAGCTCTAGAAAGTCCTCATTTTTTTGGTCTGAAATTCCCTTTTCTCTAATGGAAATCACTTCTTGCTGCTATTTGACCTAATTTCCTCTGGCTTGGGTCTCAGTGGGGAAGAGGAAGCCCTTTGGGACAAGAAAACAAGAAATTCCTTCCCAGCACGTCAGATCTGGGTCACCATCTGCTCCCCTCACCCCATGACCTTTGACTCCCTGGAGAGCTTAGGAAGGGTCAGGCCAGCCACAGGAGATGAGGTAAAAAGTGAGAAACTTCTTCTGGAGGTCTGTTTGCTTTGCAAGGAGCCCCTGGGACAAGGGGGCCCTATGATCTTATTTTGCATGAATTCAACATCTCATGGGTGAGATTTTTTTTTTTTTTTTTTTTTTTTTTACTGGATCCATATAATGCTCTTCTCTGTAACAACCTTTCTGAACTTACCTGAATCCCTGCAGTGATGTGGGGTCTGGTGGGGTGAAAGGGCTGAGGAGCACAGCTCAGCCTGTGCTGACAGAGAGACACTGTCTATTCCTTGGAACAGACATTGGCATCCAGGAACATGCCAAGCCAGGTTATCAGCCTCCCTAGAACCCACTGGAAAGGCAGGAACTGAAAGTTGCTGATTTTGTGTGCAACCTCTTCAATCTCCCACTTCTCTCAAACATACACTATCAGCTCCTTGGCTCAAAAAGCCAGAGGGAGCCTGGCTCTAGGCTGTTCTATAGCAAGATATCTGAGGATGAGTTGCAGGGTTGGGGCTGGCACATGACCATCCTGGTTAGCAGGCGGTGGGTGAGTCTCGGTTCAGGCCTGAGCCTGAGCCTGCAGTGCTGTTGCCATAGCAACTACTACTTCCAGCTGCTAAGAAAACCCAGGCCTAGGTCTACACAGGCCAGGAGGAAGGTGGTTTCGGAGCTGAGTCCTGGGTCTTACCCTCTCAATTTCACTCCCGTCTTTGTCCTTGATTGCCCTAATCCTTCCAGGCTAGGGGGTAACGTGTCAGTCAGGAGACTTGTTCTCTATCATCCGAATTTGACAATTACTGAGAATTTGTTACGAACATTTTAGTAAATGTTAAAAACGCCAACTTTAAAAATTAAACCCAATTGTAGTCATTTATTCATTTTTAAAGACATAGCAAAGTTCTTAATGTATATCCAGATGAAAGAGAAAATGCTTCCTGTCCTGCGGTCAGACATGCATCCTTCCTGCAGAAGGAAACTCTCTCACAGGATGTGAAAGGATAAAAGGAAACAGCTCACTTGATCAAATTAATTGAATGCAGTTGATTTCCGCCTCAATCCCCTTCCTTCCTTCTAAGAGTCCTGGCAGTGAGAGTCAGGTTAAAGTACCCATGAGATAAAACAACTGGGCAGAAAACTCCAAGGCCAACAGCAAACTTGTAGCTACTGAGATTTGATATTCTGAGTCTGGGGCAGTGAACTTGGGGCTGGTTTAGTCACATTTTTCCTTACCCAGGAAGTTGTATTACCAACTGGATGCTGCCCCATCCTGGGCTCTGGGAATCTGTGACTCCAGCTGCTCCCTGGTAGGAGGAGAAGAAAATCAGGAACCTGCTATGCATGTGCCCCTCCCCCAGCAGGACCAGGCCCTGTTCTGCCCCAGTTGTAAAGGGTGACATTGAGCTGAGCTGCCACTCTGAGCCCCGGTAACCAGACCACTATGGTTTGGATGTTTGTCCCCACAAACCTTACGTTGAAATTTGATCCCGATGTTGGAGGAAAGGCCTAATGAGAGATGTTTAGATCATGGGGGCAGATCTGTCATCAATAGATTAGTGCCTTCCCTGAGCAGGAGTGAGTGAGTTCTTGATCTCCTAGTTCTCAAGAGAGCCGGCTGTTCAAAAGAGCCTGGCACCTTCCTCCTCCCCTAACTCTCTTCCTTGCCATGTGATTTCTGCACTCACAGACTCCCTTCTGCCTTTCACCTTTCCCCAAGAGGGGAAGCAGCCTGAGGCCCTCACCAGATGGCCAACCTTCCAGCCAGCAGAATTGTGGGCTAAATAAACCTGTTTTCTGTATAAATTATCCAGCCTCAGGTATTCTTTTATAGCAACACATATGAACTAAGACATAGACTGACCTCCACTGCCTGCTGGGCTCATGCAGGTAAGATACCTCCCTCCCCATGCCAATGACTGACTCCCATCATTTAACAAGCATTTCTTCAACACTTGTTGTGTATCTGTGAACATCTATTAAGAGCTCATAGTCTAGAGAAGGAGACAAATCCGTAAACAATTTGATACAGTGCAGGAATGCATGCAATAGGAACAAAGGGAAGAGCCAACCAACCCAGGAGGAGGTGACACCTGACATGAATAGAAGGAGAGAAAGGCCTTCCAGAAAAAGCAGAGGTAGAGGGGTAACCTCATGGTGTGTTACCATGGTACATCTTATAACAAAATGGCTTCTTGAGGATGACTGAACTCTCTAAGGAATAAAAAGCATAATTAGTTATAAACATACACACACACGCACACACACCCTACACACATACCTATCATAAACTGTAACGTGTTCCCAAGGTGCCTTCCATAATGGAAAGCCATCCAGAGGAAGTCATCCAAGCTGACCAAGTGCCACATTCATTCTGGCGCCTTGTCTCCTTGTCAGCTCCTGCCTCCTGGGGTCTAAATTTACCCAAGGACTCTGTCCTCCATTCATCCCCTCTCACCTTTGCATTTCAGCCAGTTTAGGCTAGCCTAGTCCTGGATCTTGCTCCTGCTCCCACTGGGCGTGGCTTGCTACACTGACTAGGTTGCTGTATAGTCTGTGTTAATGGTGCCCCTGATCCCACCAGGGCCGCCCTGCTATTTTATTAGCATTCTCCCATCCCTCACTGGCAGCTTTAAGTGGTCTTGCCCTGGCATAGGGCTAAAACATGACCTGCAGCTCTGTTAATCCACTTTATAGAATCACAGCTCCAATGAAGCTAAGTATATGGTTTCTCTAAATGACTCAGGGGCCACTGCAGTAGGGTCAGGGCACCCCAGCCCCTCAGTCAGAGCTTTTCTCTGTTCCCTCGTTGTATATGACTCCATGTAAAATTTCATTCAAAAATCACTGCTCTGTACAATGATCATTTGTTAGTATACAATTTATAAAAAGAAAAAGAAAAGCATAATTCTGCTGCAGTGTTGGAATCTTTTATAAACCTCCCCAACTAGCTAGAAGAAAACCTGTCAGAGCTGAGGGCTGCTTGGAAGGTGATTTCTGACCCTGCTTTTCTGCCTCTTTCCTTCTCATTCTACTGCTCATGCTGCCCCTGCCCCTGCAAATTCATTATTGTTTATAAACCCTTTATCTTAGGGGTATCAAATAGCTTCAGATCCTCACTACAATGGTTCAAGTTGAATACTTTTCATTCACCATTTTTATGTAACTATTTAATTATATATAGTTTATATCAATGTTCTCAAACTTGAGTGAGCATCGGAATCACCTGCAGAACTTGTTAGAACCCTGAGCACTGGGCTGCACTCAGGTCGGAGGTGGGGCATGGGTTTGCAATTCTAAGTTTCCAGTTGACTCTGATGGTGCTAGTCCAGGGACCACACTTTAAGAAACACGAGTTTTCATGAATACAATCTAAAGTTAGCACAAATCATTCTTAAGGCACCAAGAACACAGATGAATTTAAGAACACAAGGAAAGGATGACCCTGAGCAGTAGATAGTAATTTTGCTCAGCTTGGGGTGGACCTGCAAGGGTGAGATTGTGAGAAGAAGGTTAATAGAGACAGGTTGCAGGGGGGTGAGGTTGGGGCAGGGGATAGGAGGTAAGGTGAAAGGTTAAACGTAATATTCTAGAGAAAGTGCTTGCACAGCACCCTTTACATTGTAGACACTCAACTTGCACTAGGTCATATCCTTGTCATAAAATTATGTACAGCTAAAGATGATTTTAAAATATTATTGGGCGTGTTTATTCATTCACTTATTCCACAAAATATTTGTGTCTACTACTACTTTCAGAGCTTAGTGAGCAGCACTGTGGATACAAAGATACAAAGTCACTTTCCCTGCCTTTGAGTTGTGCTTCCTGCAGTAGGTGAGCCAAGTACATGAATGGATGAATGCCATGTGGGATGGCACAGGAGGTGGTGGTGCAGGTGGAAGTGGTGATAAAGATGAAAATAGTGGTAGAGGTAGTATGGGTGGTAGTGTTGGTGGAGGTTGTGTTGTTTTTATTGCAGGTGGTGTTGATGGTAGTAATAATTTTCTCTACCAGGCTCTACCTATGTGCCAGGTATTGGGATAACACCTTCTGTGTCTTATGTACTCACTCCCCCGACAACATACCAAGAGACAGGCATTCTTATCCATGTTTGATAGATGTGGGGACCCAACTTGTCTGTAGTCAGTTAGCTCATAATTAAGTGGCATATCAAGATTCACAGACAGGTCTGTCCAACTTCAAGGTACCAGCCCTTAACCCTCTTGACTGCCACATTGGTCTGTGCTACACCGTTTGCTATGGGCAGAAGACCTTGAACTGTGTCTGGAGAAGATTATGTTAGGTCACCTCTCCCAAAGAATGTACTGCTTCTGCTGTGGCTCTGAAAGACAAAGTGGAGGAAGGCACTCCAACAAAAATGCAGCATTTAGTTTGAGACTTAAGTCTACGTAATAAAAATAAAAGTAACTTTTCGCTCACTAAAAAATAAATAATGCACATATGACTTGGCTAAATAAAGAATGCAAATATGACTTGGCTAGTCAGGACAGACTTATTTATAGAGACAGTTGGGAGTCGGCTTTGGTGCGTGACGAGAGAGGTCCCTGGGAAAGCAGAGAGGAGCTGAAGGTGGCCCAGAGCCAGCCGTGCTCACATGAAGAACAATCAGAGCATCCATCAAAGTGAATGTGGCAGTCCTGGAGAGGCCCGGAACTCAGAGCCACAGGAGACTCAGTAAGGACACCAGCCAAAGAAAATAGTAATCTAAAATGATCCCAGAGAGAAAAGATCTTTCTAAAAGATGTGTTCCACAGATGAATTTGCTGAAGCACTTCCATATTTGTGAATGGAAATTCAGTTACTGTGACTGCCTAACAAATCACTTTAACCTAATAGCAAAAAGCAGCCATTATTATGCTCTCAGTCTGCAGGTCAAGAATTTGGACAAGGCATGGCAGGAACAGCTTGTCTCTGCTCCATGCTATCTGAGGTCTTAGTTGCAAGCTCAAAGGCTCAGGGCTTAGAATCATTTGAAGGTTCTTCCTCATACATGTTTGGGGGATGATGCTGTTTCGGGGGCTTCAGTTCCTCTCCACTTAAATATTTCCCTGTGATCTCTGCATGGGTTAGTTTGGGCTTCCTTCCAGCCTGGGTTCTGGGTTCCAAGGGTGAGCGTCCTGAGTGAGAAAGAATTAGGTAGAAACCGTATCACTATGTGGACCTGATCTTAGAAGTTGTGCAGCACCACATCGGCCACGTTCTATTTGTCAAGGTAGTTACAAAGGCTTCCCAGGTTCCCGATTTACTTGGTGTGAATGTCAAGATTTTGAAAAAATACGTGGGACTGGAAATATTGCTTTGCTCATCTTTGGAAAATACAATTTGTTGAAATGATAAAAAGAGTTTTAAAGGGAACACTATACTGAAATTAATCCATAAACATACCTTTGTCTTCCCTCTGACTTGACATAGGTTAGGTCTTCTAACCACATGCAGGCTGCTGCTTATATATTTTGGTTAGCCTGTATGAAAGGCAAGATTTTGGATTATCTTGAACAATCAGAAATTCTAGCAATGCTGAGCTGAAATTCTTGCATATCAGCAATTTGCTGAAGCAGAGTAATAGCTGCTCTTTTAAAAGCGTGTGTACTCTCCCCTTTACCTTTTTACTGTAGACCTGTTTACTCGGTGGTTTTCCATGCATTTCAGCCCCTTTCATTACATGCCTGGTCCCCACAGATTTTTAATTTAGATCCTTGCCTAGGGGACTTGGCTGTCCCTAGTCCCACCACCTATGATGGTGAGAAAAAAAAATCAGATCTCAAGTTGGGCTAAGAAGGTATAATATAAGTGAAACTGTTACATTTACTACATTTTAGAATGGGTTACGGGTCTACTGATGTTTGTTCTAAGTTTGCCTCCCTGAGAGCTTGTAGTGAGAACATTATTTGCTGTTAGCTCTAATTGTCTTTAATTTGAACAATGATCTGAGGAGGCTTTTTGGCATGGGTGTGACAAACTGGGGCTTCAAGACCTGAGTTGCTAGAGGTGAAGGAAATTAGTTTGGTGAACTTAGAGCAAGGCTTTGTTAACCTGGGACCGGGAATTAGGGAGTCCATGAATCCCTGAAATTATATACATAATATTATGTATATATAAGTGTATGTATATACATTTATATATAATTTTATGTATGTGGATAGAGAGCACATATTTATACAGATTTCTCAAAGGGTCCTTGACCCCAAATGGTTAAGAATGTCTGTAATATCTAGAGGCAGAAATCAAAGCAGTGACAAAAGGCCTCAAGGATATTTGTTGCATGGAGAAGCTGAATGAGACCTAGTAGGCAAAGGGCTGGAATCCAGGAGGTTAGCACACCAGAAATGTAGGCCTAGAAGCCAGAGAAAACTTACCTGAAGTTGCTCTTGTCAAGGTCACCAATAACTTCCGTGTTGCTAAATCCAATGGTCAATTCTCAGCCCCCGCCTCACTTGACCTATCAGCCAGTTGATCATTCTTCCTTCTGGAAATGATGCTTTCTTTTGGCTTCCAGGACTCCAAGTTCTCCTAGATTTTCTGTGTTTCACTGGCCACTCCTTGTTAATCTTCTTTAACTGGGTACTCTTCTATTCCCGGACTATAGAAGGTCCTGGGGCTTTTCTTCTCTATAAACATTCATGTCCTTATCTAGCCCCATGGATTTAAGTAAGACTTACATCCTAAAGGTTTCCAAATTTCTCTCTTTCTGTAAATATTAGCTACAATAACTTTAACCTTTTTCATAACTTCATATTTAGATACCTAACTGCCTACTCTTTACCTCTACTTGGGATGATTTAAAAGGATCCCAATCTTTTCCAGACTGAATTCTTCTTCCCCCTGCTCATCCCACCATGAGCTCCCCATCTCAGTGAAAGGGACCTCCAGACAGCATTGCCAAGAGTTCAGTGCCCGCACTTGCCTCACAAAACACTGCAGGCTTCCCTGCATTTTCCTTTGATTGAGTCAGGACTGTCACAATCAAATCTGGGAGCCTAAATGAGATCCCCTGGCCAGTTCAATGTCTCCCACAGTTATTAATGGTGGACAGAAAAAACCCTGAGTTTCCTGCCCTTCCACAAAAGGGACCCCAAATAGGGGCAATTAAAATGTGGTCAGTAGCTGGCCCATGGTGCTGGAAATGTCAACCACAGCAGTCACCAAGAGGAGACTTTGAAGGACAGACACAAGTGATGTGAGCCCTCGGATTGCATTTATTTCAGAAGAAGCCTAGTGGGGGAGGAGTGTGAGGTGGAGGCTGTGAAGGCAGAATACGAACAAATCCAGAGTGTAACAGAATTTGAGGCAAATTCAGGCTGCGCAGGAGGCAGGCACCATTCCCCTGAGGGATGGTGTCAACATCCTTAATTGGGCACCGGCACCTCCTACAATTATTCTGCTAATGATCTGCAACAAAAGAAAAGAAAGGGCCCTGATGCACTTCTCCATGTGTCCCAGAAAAGCAAGCTTTCAGAGGTGAACATTACTTATAGAATGCTTAAAGGAACAGATGACAGGCTTGACGCAATCATTGTTATTATTTCTGATTCTCTGTGTAATTCTGCCATTTATAATGTGATTTGAGAGGTTGCTATAAAGCAACACCTTCCTGTAACACATATAATATTCCTCTAGTCCAGGGTACAGCAAATGATAAATGTGATGCCCAGTGTTTTCCCCTTTCAGAAGGGCTCCTTACCTGCCGTTGTCCAGGCCCTGTGGGTTTAGAGCTTGGCATTTAAAAACCAGGTGGAAGTAATTTCTCTCTCTACCCTCTTAGCATGTTATCTAGCCCTCTACTAAATTCTCATGACTTTGCACTCTTTATTATAGTTACTTTTTTTTTTTTTTGCTCTTGTTCCTGTACCTTCTCTCTTCTTACAGTTTGGACTTGTGGAAAGCAAGGACCATGTCTGATTTATCTTTGATTCTCTGGTATTTACCACAGTGCCTGAAACCCACAGATGCTTAATAAATGTTTGCTGTGTAAATGAAAGAACGAAAAAGAATAAGTGAAGGCAGAGACTAAGTTTTAACAGTGAACATAATAGAAATAGCTACCATTTTCAAGTTCTTTCTACATGTTAGGGGTTATGCTAACATGTTGGACTCCAAAGCCAGGCAGAATAATCACTAGCCTGCATGAAATGGTCTGAAGAGTTCCTGAAAGCCCTTGGCCAGTCTGTCTGAAATGCATACTCTAAGTTTGCAAATGTGATACTCAAGTTGAAAGGCAAAATTGCAAAGGCAAAAGTGTTAACAGGAGATATGTCATATTAGCTTTGACTGAGAACATATTATTACCAAAGCTCTATACTAAGTGCTTCTGTGCTTTTTTTTTTTTTTTTTTTTTTTTTTTTTTAAGGCATAGCCTCGCTCTGTCCCCCAGGCTGGAGTGCAGTGGCACAATCTCGGCTCACTGCAACCTCCACCTCCTGGGTTCAAGTGATTCTCCTGCCTCAGCCTCCCCAGTAGCTATGATTACAAGGATGCACCACCACACCTGGATAATTTTTTTTATTTTTAGTAGAGACAGGGTTTTGCCATGTTGGCCAGGCTGGTCTCGAACTCCTGACCTCAAATGATCCACCGACTTGGGCTCCCAAACTGTTAGGATTACAGGCATGAGCCACCGTGCCCACTCAACTTTATAAATTAGGAAATTGAGACACAAAGTTCAGTACTTTGCTCATGTTCCCGCAGCTAGTGGGTGGTAAAGTCCAGGCTATGAACCCAGGCAGTCTGGCTCCAGACTCCTAACCACTCACTGTCTTAGGGCAGTCATTTCCTGGAGAAGGCATCAATGTACCCAGAAAATGGTACACCAGTGGTACCCAACCTCTTTGGTACCAGGGACCAGTTTCATGGAAGACGATTTTTCCACAGATGGTGGGTGGGATGGTTTTGGGATGAAACTGTTACATCTCAGATTATCAGATATTAGATTCTCATCAGGAGCGTGCAACCTAGATCCCTCACATGCACAGTTCACAATAGGGTTCACACTCCTATAAGAATCCAATGCCACCACCAATTTGACAGGAGGCGGGGCTCAGGCATTAATGCTCACTCACCCTCTGCTCACCTCCTGGGTGCGGCCCGGTTCCTAACAGGCCACAGACCAGTAGCCCAGGAATTGGGGACCCCTGTGGTACACAATATCTTAAAAGAACTGTGTACAAAACAACTCAGTCTTGATGCTAAGGGGAAACGGAAAGGTGGGACGCTTGGGCATTGCTTGAAGTGACTTCTGAGTCAGAGTGTGTTGAGTTAGGAGGCTCTGTAGGGGTGGCAGCCACTGTGGTGTGCAGCTCGGATCTCCTCAAGAGGACCTGCCATGGGGAGGTCGCTGGTCAACGGCTTTCATCCATACATATTTAGGTCCATCCAAGCCTTCATGCTGCAGCCATGCTCTCCCAGGCTGCTCCCAGCCAGTGATGTAGGCATGGCAGGGGGACTGTGGCCTGGCCATCCCTGTTCAGTGCAGATTTCTCTGGTGAGAAGGGTCTCCTTTCACCTGGTGCTGCCTCCTTCCTTCCCTCTCTCCTTTCATAGGTGTCAGACCTGTACCAGGGACTGAAGCCTTCCCCACCTGCTCCTGCTCCTCTCCTTATATCCTTTACAGTGTTTCCCAAATAAACCTCCTGTACATCTCATTCTCTCTTGACATTGGCTTCTCAGAGAACCTGAACTGACACATGAGAGACATAAAAGAAGTGAAAAAAATATATGGCTTTCTTGTTTTAATGATAATCTATTTAAGAAGATTAAATGTACATATTTAATGTAAGAAACCATTAGTGGCTGGGCATGGTGGCTCATGCCTGTAATCCCAGCACTTTGGGAGGCCAAGGTGGGTAGATTGCTTGAGGCCATGAGTTAGAAACCAGCCTGGGCAACATGGCAAAGCCCCGTCTCTACTAAAAATACAAAAATTAGCCAGGCATGGTGGTGCACACCTATTGTCCCGGCTACTGGGGAGGCTGAGGTGGGAGAACCATTTGAACCCAGAAGGCAGAGGATGCAGTGAGCCGAGATCACACCACTGCATTCCAACGTGGGCGACAGAGCCAGACTCTGTCTCAAAAAGAAAAAGAAAAAGAAAAGAAAGAAAGAAAGAAAGAAAGAAAGAAAGAAAGAAAGAAAGAAAGAAAGAAACGATTAGAAACCATTCAAGGCATCCTCTAATTTCTGAAATGTAGCATTTATTCTTTTTACCATAAAGGTTGTATGCTACTTACAAAAATACATATGACTCAAAAGACAAAAATAGTGGAGGGAATCCAGGCAAAGGGAAAATAAGGCTGGAGAGTGACTAGCAAAGGAAGACTGGGATGAGTGGGTGAGGCGTGAGGATCCACTTGGAACCCCATAGCTGGTATGAAGATTATTTTAAGCTGAAGATGTTTGAAATTCAACAGATGCAGAAATAAGTTTTCTTGGAGCTTCCTTTATCTGATTAAAATCAGCAACTTCTGGGAAATGAGGCTGCCATAAATTCCCTCTTCAGGAGGGTCTACTTTCAGAAGGAAGAACTGAAATATACCTACCATAAATCCCCTGGAGTTTTATGGCCCTGAAAAAGACCACTTGTAAGTACCTACAGAAACAAACATTGTCACAAACTTTCTTTTTCTTGTTCTCCTAAAAACCCAATTTGTCTTTCTTAAGAAAACGATTTGTTCTTCCCATAGGAAGAACTTCCCACTTCCTCCCCACCCCAACTTTAACTTTAATGAGCTAGTTACTTTAGTTACTTCTTTCGTTAGCTCATATGCATGTGAATAAACCTTTTTTCTCCTGTTAATCTGTATTTTATTATTTTAGTTTGCAGGCCCCAGCTCCTGAATCTAAAAGAGTCGTAGATTTTGCAAAAATCTTTGCATATGAAAAAATAAAAAATAAATTAAAAAAATAAAAGAGTGGTAGAAAAAGTTTTCTACCTCATGACAAAAAGATCCATAGAGATTTGAGACCTTCTTAGTGACTGAGCAAAGAGGAGCATCTAGCCTTTATAGGACTCATTGAGTCTGTGGAGTAAAACCAATCTGGTTTCTCTAGAAGATGCACTAATTTTCCTGTTGGAAAGACCTGGCGCCATGGGAAATACTCCCATGACTCCTCATCAGAAAGACCTTGTTGTATGCAGTGTGGAAGATGGTCCTAAACAATACCCCATAAAAGCTACCATAGGATTTTGCCCAGGGCTGCTTTTCATGATATTCCACAGTGGAGAACAATTGCCTACCCTTGGGCAACTGTTCAGCAAAAGTGAATCTGTGGGCATCCAACTTATTGGTCTAAGAGCACAGCTATTTCATGTCCTAGTTTCATCCAGTGATAAAATTCATAATATGTAGATGAATGAAGAAATAAGGTATTTTTATTCATTGCTCCATTAACTTGATTTTTCATAAATCAGGCTCTCATATTGACTAAAATGTGGAAAAGCTCATGGTGGTAGCCTTTGGCAGGACCTTGAGGTATAACTACTACAAGTGACTACAAGGGGTAAATTCTTGTGCTTTGCCAATTCTTGTGCTGCCTGGAGAGGGCAGGGCTAAATTTATCCTTTGAACATTAAGAGATTGAATTAAGACATGTGTCTGGAAGGGCCTTATGTGCCTGGGAGAACACATAAGCACTAAATCTGCATTTACAGGAGATGTGAAGTGAAAGAAGGGGGACGGGAACAAACCTTAGCCAACCTCACTACTGAAGATCTGTTTGGGGTTACAGTGAACCTAAGGGTAAAAATGGTATCTGGGGACTTAAGACTATGAGTTAAGCACTGTCCCACTGTCGTTCATAATGTAGAAAATGGTTGCATTGCTCTTTTTCTCATGCACCCAAAATATGAAGAAGCCAAACAGAAACTGATGCAAATTGATTTTGCTTGTGTCTTAGTCTGTTCTGTGCTGCTATAAAAGAATATTACAGACTGGGTAATTTATAAAAGAATATAAATTTATTTCTCACAGTTCTTGAGGCTGAGAAGTCCAAAATCAAGGTACCAACATCTGATGAGCTGCTCCTTGCTTTCACAATGGCGACTTGAATGCCATGTTCTCCTGTGGGGAATGCTGTGTCCTCACACGGCAGAAGATGGAAGGGTAAGAAGAGGGATCGGCTCCCTCTGTCAAGGCCTTTTTTAAGGGCATCTAATTCCATTCATGAGGGCAGAGCCCTTAAGACTCAATCACCTCCCAAAGGTCACATCTGCCAGTACATTGCTTTGAGGATTCAATTTCAACATGAATTTTGAAGGGAGACAAAAACATTCAAACCATAGCAGCTTGCTTGTTTTTTGTTTGTTTGTTTGTTTTGAAAGGGGAAGACAGTATGGAATCACTTGCCATATTCAAGCAATTAATCAAATATTGAGGACCCTCTATTTTTCTTAGGGATGGGAGGAGGTGAGAATAAATAACACTAGGACTCTGTGAAAGGTCAGGAGCTCATAATGTGGTATGGAAGAGTTAGACCCATGAGATCCCTGATACACCAAAAAAGAAAATACTGTGGAAATATGAAAGGAAAGGTGCTGATTGTGTAAATGGCATCTAGGAAAGTTCCTGAGAAGATAATAGATTTAAGCTGGACCATGGAGGAATGAGCATAACTTGGAAAGACAGTTTGGGATGAGTGAGTTGGCAATCAAAGGAGAAGGAATAGTTTGAGTGAGGTCAAGAAGCAGGGAGAGTGACAGAATACCTGAGAAACTACAAGCAGACCAACATAGGGCCTGAGTTAAATGGTGGTATTATTATCTTGAAGAACATTCTTTAGGAAGCAGGGAATAGAGAGGCTTGGAATAAGCCACAAGTGGCAAACACTGGCCTCCCTAGACAACTGTTCCTAATGTAGCAGGATTCTCAAAATCAAAGCCTTTAGGGTTGAAAGGGGTAAAGATCCTCTCTCCCCTCCCCAGCACGCTACACTTGAGCGCCCTCGCCCAGAAACCTGACCTGAAACCATTTAGCCCACATTCTCACTCCTTGCCAGCACACAACACTGCCTCCCTGCACCTTGACAGCCCTGCCCTCGGATGGTGCTTTCTTCCCCCAGGCTGAAATCTGTCTTTAAGTCCAGACTCATCAAGGCTCATTGCCCATCCACACAACAGTCTTCCAGACAGATGAGTACAGGCATCAGTTCCCTTCTAGCCAACCCCTGAATGTTCTATTTTCTGGATTAAATATGAGATTTCTTCAACAGTCCCCTAAGTGGTAAAATTTTAAATCCATTCTCCATTCTTCTTGTACTTTCTAATTTACTTATTTTTAAACTTTTATTCAAGCCAGGTGCAGTGGCTCATGCCCGTAATCTCATCACTTTGGGAGGGAAAGGTGGGAAGATCTGTTGAGACCAGGAGTTCAAGAGTAGCCTGGGCCACACATAGTGAGACCCCAACTCCAAAAAAAATTAAAATTAAAAAATCAGCCAGGCATAGTGGCATGGGCCTGAAGTCCCTCCCAGCTACTCAGGAGGCTGAGGCGGGAGGATTGCTCGAGCCCGGGAGTTCCAGGCTGCAGTGAGCTGCAATCACACCACTGTACTCCATCCTGGGAGACAGCAAGACCCAGTCTCTTAAAATTTTTTTTGTCTATATTTTACTTATTTGTGTATTAGAGACCTGGTTTTGCTATGTTGCCCAGGCCAGAGTGCAGATGCTATTCGCAGGCTCGATTATAGCTCACTACAGTCTTGAACTCCTGGTCTCAAGCCATCCTCCCACTTCAGCCTCCTATGTAGCTGGGACTATAGGCGAGTGTCATCGCACCCAGCTTCTTGTACATTCTTGTTCTCCTCTGAATATGTTCATTTATTTCTCCTAAAGTGAAGCTTTACTGTTTGACACTCTGCCTTCCTCCTGCATGCTACTTTGCACTCCTTTAAGCACTGGGAATACAGCAGTGAAGAAAATAGATATGGCTATTGTTAATATGAGGGGTGGGAGTAGGTGGGGTGGAGGCAGGAGCGAACTAAGATTTGCTGATCATTTACTAAATACCAGACAGTATATACAGTATGCAAATAGCTGTATATATGTTATGTCTTATTCTTACAAGGATGGGATAATTATACCCATTTTGCAGATCAGTAAACTGAGGGTGAGGGAGATAAAATGGCTGGGCCAGTAAGTGGTGGAGCTGCGACTTGAACCCATCTCTGTTTGATCCAAGACAGGCTGACAGTCATGTCAGAAGACAGCATTATGTCTTAAACATCTTTCCCCGCATTTAGCATGGTGTCTTGCATATAGTAGATGCTCAGTTTTAGAACACATTTTTAGGCCTGCCCTCTAAAGAGAGTGGTGACTCACTGTTATAAGCAAAGCCCCATTCCAACTGCATTTCCTCTCTCTTTCTCCTGCTCTCTTCCTCTTTCTCCCTCTGTCTCCCTCCCTCCCTCTGCTTCAAAACCACAAACTTTTCCACACGAATGATCTTTCACTTTTCTTGGTATGCTGCTGGGCCTCGATACTCTCAGCCTTCTGACAACCTATTAAATTATTATGTTCTGCCTTCACATGTTTTATGAGCTCTTTTCCAATGACCCAGCTCAAGAGATAATGGGAGGGTGGATATAGTTATGTTCATCCAGGACTGACGGTTGGGTCTGCTAGTCTTCAGTAATTTTCAACTGTAAGAAAAACAGAAACTCAACGGAACCCTTTTTTTTTTCTCCGATTTACATGGCCTCAAACAACTCTATTTCCCTCAGCCAGGCTAGAGTCCTAAGCTGCATAATTGCCTCCAGGCTGCTCTGACCTGGAGCCCCTTGTTGCTGGTGGCAAGAGAGTCAAGAAGAGCCCAGTCTGCTTCTCACTACACATCCACCTCATCGCCTGCCTCATCTTGCCTCTCACTTGAGTCTTGGTCAATGACAAAGTGGTAAAAGATATCAATTCTGAGTGTCACTTTCCTCTCAAGGCTCTCAGACTTGGTTTATCTCTAAAGAACATTTTTTACCTTAAGTGCCAGCACATTGTCTTTGACAATTCTATGAACTTTTCCCCTAAATTGAGGGTTTTCTTACTTTAGAAAGGAGAGAAGAAGGAAGGAAAGGAAGGAAGTGAGAGGGAAGAAGGGCAAGAGAACTAACATTTGCTGAACACCTAAGCTTCTTACGTGCGTAAGATCATTTAAATCCCCACAAAAATTCACGTTCCCAGGATAAATACAAATGAAAGAAATGGCAGTGCTGCACAAAGTCATGATACCGGATGGAGAGATGAGGGGTTATATTTTGGAGATGTTTATTGAATTTTCAGGGCTTTTGGGCCATAAGTGGAGATGCTCATTAGATAATTGGAAATAAAGAATAGGAGTTTGGAATATAGATCTGGGCTGGAGACATAGAGATCAGCAGCATAAAGCCTGTGTCATCGTCTTCTGAAACAGCTTAAACCAAGCGGAGGAAACTTCTTCCCATTTCCACTCAACCTCCCTATCACCCACAATTCCCTAAGTTGCTGAATTTTCTTTCTTTCTTTCTTTCTTTCTTTCTTTCTTTTTTTTTTTTTTTCTGAGATGGAGTTTCCCTCTTGTTGCCCAGGCTGGAGTGCAATGGCGCGATCTCCGCTCACTACAACCTCCGCCTCCCGGGTTCAAGCGATTCTCCTGCCTCAGCCTCCTGATTAGCTGGCTTTACAAGCATGGGCCACCATGCCCAGCTAATTTTTTTGTATTTTTAATAGAGACGGGGTTTCTCCATGTTGGTCAGGCTGGTCTTGAACTCCCAACCTCAGGTGATCTGCCTGCCTCGGCCTCCCAAAGTGTTGGGTTTACAGGCATGAGCCACCGCATCTGGCCAGTTGCTGAATTTTCAAAACCCCGGGGACTGTGACCTGGCTATCCTATATGGATCTTGCTCACAATGTTAAGGGTAGGGGAGGCAGCCTAGGGAAACAGGCAGGAAGAGCTTAAGTGGAAGAGGCAATGAAATGAAAGGAAGAAATGAAAGGTCAACATCATGGAAAACCCTCATTGGAAGTGTCCATGCAGGGCATTCTCAAAACTTGAGGCAGCAAGTCCCCTTGTTTGTAGCATGAAAGGGAACAAGAAGGTTGTCGCAGCTGGGGGTGATGCCTGACATTCTTCTGTTCTCTTGTCCAGCCAGTACTTAGTATGACTTTGTGGTGACTGCCCAAACCTCTTCAGTACAGCACTGCTCAAATCCTCTTTGAGTTTATTACCACACTGTTCATATGAGGGGGAAACAGAAAAGAAATAGAAAAAAGAAATAAAATGAGCACTTAATCAACAGGTGATTGCTTGCGTAAATTATTGTAAACTTGCTCCAGTGATATACTGGCTCCCTGAAAAAACTGAAGACCCTGATTTATAGTGTTTTCATTATATAAAAACTGAAAAGCAAAAAGAAGGTGAAGGATCTAAAGCTGAAGAATATAATGCCAGGAAAGGATGGTTTAATAATTTTAGAAAGACAGTTGGCTTTAAAATGCCAAGAAAACAAGAGAAGCAGCTTCTGCCTGCCAAGAGGCAGCAGACGAGTTTCCAGACCCTGTTAAGAACATCACTGAGGGCCGGGCACGGTGGCTCATGCGTGTAATCCCAGCACTTTGGGAGGCCAAGGCGGGAGGATTACCTGAGGTCAGGAGTTCGAGACCAGCCTGGCCAGCATTGTAAAACCCCGCCTCTACTAAAAATACAAAAATTAGCTGGGCATGGTGGCAGGCGCCTGTAATCCCAGCTACTTGGAAGGCGGAGGCAGGAGAATTGCTTGATCCTGGGAGATGGAGGTTGCAGTGAGCTGAGATGACGCCACTGGACTCCAGTCTGGGCAACAGAGTAAGACTCCATCTCAAAAAAACAAAAACAAAACCCCCCCACACACTTTTAAATGGACTATAACATTATTAAAAATACATTTGTAGATATGGGGCTGGGCATGATTGCTCATGCCTGTAATTCCAGTACTTTGGGAAGCCGAGGCAGGTGGATCACCTGAGGTCAGGAGTTGGGAGACCAGCCTGGCCAACATGGCGAAACCCATCTGTACTAAAAATACAAAACTTAGCTGGGCATGGTGGTAGATGCCTGTAGTCCCAGCTACTTGGAAGGCTGATGCAGGAGAATCACTTGAACGGTGGGGCGGAGGTTGCAGTGAGGCGAGGTCATGCCACTTCACTCCAACCTGGGAAAAAGAGTGAAACTCCACCTCAAAAAAAAAAAAAAAAAAGAATCCGTAAATATGAAAAATCAATCTGCATAGTCACAACATCACTAAATTCCAGAACTGAATTTTTGAGAACAAATCACTTAGTTGCCTTAGGTACAACATGAGTGAGAGAATGCAGCCGCAATAAAATTTTTCCCCTGACCTTAGGACATTCTCTCAGGGTCAGAAACACAGATCTCCTAAGGCCTTTGGGCTTCCCTGTGGATCCAGAATTCCCACACAAAATGTAGTCAGTGTACCTCTGGACGAGCTATACTTGGGGTTTAACCAGTGAATTAACTTTGAAGAATGCCTCAACGTGAGTTAAAAATACATTCAGAACCTGTATGTTTTTCTAACATGATAGAGCATCTTATCCTTGCTGTTCTAAAAAATATATTAAAATACCAAAAGTGCATGAATTGCTGGAGGGAAAGGCAGAGTTGAGTTTGATTTTCCGCCTTGCCAACTCTAACCTCACCATCCTCCCTGGGGTCTGGGGAGTCCTTTCTCTCTGTCCTTTCTTAGGGAGTAGTTAGTGCAGCTGTGACATCATGCCACCTCCCAGATCGTGGAGAAACAACTGGGATGGTAAGATCTTCATGCACTGTGGCAATTTGGGGTAGGTTGAGGAAAACAGATTGTGTATGTATGTGCATGTATGTGCAGGGGTGTGTGTGTGTGTGTGTGTGTGTGTAGAGAGACAAAAAACAAGTGTATATGTGCACATGGGTGTGTGTGCCTGTGAGAGTATTTTATGATGTCTACTTTGAACCCAGACTAGCCTGTGTACACTTGCCCTGATATATAGACAGAAACATGCAGAATTCAATTTTTTAAAAAATGACTTATGGGTAAGATATAGTGCTGGGAACTTTAGAAGGATAACATGGGATTTCTTCTTTCAAGAGGGAAAAATACAGTCTACTATATGACGAAAGCACAAATAAACTTTTATAAAAGACAGAATTTATGTGTTAATATGTGTATCGTATCTGAACCAATGAGATCCCATTTCTGGACTGCATAAAGAAAGTTAAAATGAAAACCAAAATGTTGATGACCTCACTTCAAAATGAATAATTTATTCAATAGATGTCTTGGTTTAAAAATAATGACCAAGCATTTTATCTCCTCTTTCTAATAAGTAATGTGAGAAAGATTTTTTAAAATTACATGTCTAAACCCAGAACTGAAATAAGTTTGAATTGACTAAGACTGCATTTCTTATTTTGGAGAATAGGGGTAGGAAACACAAATTACGTTGAATTATGGTAAAGCAAAAGTAAATATATTTTTGCATGCCTGAGTGTGTGGCCTGAGAATTATTTACCATATAGAGTGCAGGAATTGTGTTTAAATAGATATTAATTTTATATATGTATAGTATATACACACACATACACACACAACACTGAAGAAAAAGATTTTGGTGGTTTAAAACATAGGCAAAATTATGCAAGTTTTCAAACTAGGAAATGACGCAGTGGTTTTCAAACTAGGATAAGTATTGGTATTAACTGGAGAGCTTTATAAAATATTGATGCCTGGGTCTTATCCCCAAAGATTCTGATTTACAGTTGACCCCCTCCCTCCCCTGTGCAGTTAGAAATCTGCATATAATTTTAACTCTTCTAAAACTTAACTACTAATGAGCCTACTGTTGACTGGAAGCCTTACCAATAATGTAAATAGTCGATAAACACATATTTTGTATGTTATATGTATTATATAGTGTATTCTTACAATAAAGCAAGCTAGAGAAAAGAAAATCATAAGAAAGAGAAAATATGTTTACTGTTAAGTGGAAGTGGACTGCTATAAAGGTCCTCATCCTTGTCATCTTCATGTAGAGTAGGATGAGGAGGAGGAAGAGGAGAGGTTGGTCTTGCTGTCTCAGGGATGGCAGAGGCAAAAGATGTGGAGGAAGTGGAAAGGGAGGCAGGAAAGGTGGGCACATTAGGTGTAACTTTGTGGAAATACAGTGTAATTTCTGTCTGACTTTTTTGCTTGTATGTGTCTTTAAAAATGTTTCTACACCATACTGATCCTTTCACCGTTTGCTTTAGTTTTGGTACCCATATCATAGAAGGGTCCACGTTGTAAAAGAAGTCAAAAGCAGTCTTGAATAATGAGAACTCTTCTGACGGATTGCTTAATGTCAATTTATTTTTTGGCTCTGCTTCTTCTACATCTTTCTCATCATCTGGCACTAGTTCAGAAGCTCTCACCTCCATCAAATTGTCTCCTGTTAATTCCTCTGGTGTCTATTAGCTCTTGAATTGCCCCAAGATCCACATCTTGAAACCCTACCCCCCACTGCCCCCAACCTTTTTTGCTATATCCACAATCTCTTTCATGATTTCCTTGATTGACTTTGTCATAAATCCTGTCATGCACAACATCTGGACACTTCTTTTTCCAGCAGGAATTTATTGTTTTGGGCTTAATAGCTTTCATGCTTATGCTTTTTTTCTGTAAGAATAACATCTCCAATGGTATAATCCTTCCAGATTTTCATGATGTTCTCGATCAGGATTTTCTTCTGTAGCATTGACCGTCCTTTCCATAGTGTACCCTGTGAAATTAACCTTAAAGGTCCTGATGACCCTCAATTTAAAGGCTGAATGAGAGATGTTGTATTTGGGGGCAAGTAGACCACTTTCGGTGTTGAACTCATGGAGTTCTGGGTGGCCAGGGGCATTGTCTAATATCAAAAGAATTTTAAAAGGTTGCCCCTTACTGGCAAGGTACTTCCTGACTTTAGTGACAAAGCATCAATGGAATCAATTCAGAAAAAGCGTTCTGCTTGTCCAGACCTTCCAGTCCAAAAGACTGGAAACTGGTGTTCATCTTTTCCCTTCAAGGCTTGGGGGTTAGCAGCTTTATAGATAAGGGCAGTCCTGATCATAAACCCAACTGCATTTGCGCAAAACAGTAGAGTTAGCCTACCCCTTCCTGCCTTAAATCCTGTTGCTGGCTTGTTTTCCTTACTAATAAACGTCCTTTGTGATACTTTTTTTTTTTTCTCAGAATAGGGCACTTTTGTCTGCATTAAAAACCTGTTCAGGCAGATATCCTTTCTCCTCAGTGAATTTTTTTTTTTTTTTTTTTTGAAGGAGTCTTGCTTTATCACTCAGGCTGGAGTGCAGTGGCACCATCTCAGCTTACTACAACCTCCGCCTCCTGGGGTCAAGCAGTTCTCCTGCCTCAGCCTTCGAGTAGATGGGATTACAGATGCCTGCCACCACACCCAGTTAATTTTTGTACTTTTAGTAGAGAGAGACAGGGTTTCACCATGTTGGCCAGGCTGGTCCCAAAATCCTGACCTAAGGTGATCTGCCTGCCTCAGCCTCCCAAAGTGCTGGGATTACAGGTGTAAGCCACCACACCCAGCCCTCAGTGATGTTCTTAACAGGTCTGGGAACTCGTCTGCTGCCTCTTGGCAGGCAGAAACTGCTTCTGCTATTATCCTGACATTTTAAAGCCAAATCTCTTTCTAAAATTATCAAACCATCCTTTCCTGGCATTACATTCTCCAGCTTTAGATCTTTCACCATCCTTTTGCTTTTAAGTTATCATATAATGACTTTGCTTTTTCTCAAATCATTAGAGTCTATATGTATGCCTTTCTTATAGCAACCCTGTACCCACATAAAAGCAGCATTTTCAATATGAAATGAAGGAGTACTTCACAAAAAGTTCAAGGTTGTTGCACTTGGTGTCATAGCAACAGCCACAACTTCACAAATTGCTCTTTCTTTTTATGTACCTACGCTGTATTCATTCATCTTGAAATGGCTGGTAAGTGCAGCTGCAGACCTCAATCTACAGTGCATATCAAGACATTCAACTTTTTCTTGTAATGTCATCACTTTGCTTCTTGAGAACACTTCCAGCACTGTTAGTGGCACTTTGTATGGGTCATATATTCAAGCTTTATGGTACTGCACTAAACATGATGAAAAATATTCAAGAACTGAGAGATTATTTTTTATTGCAACCTGCAATTTACTGGAGAGATGAATTGTTCAAGAGGAGATGATCAGCATCACACAGCACTTTAGGTGGATACTAGCAACACTTGGGCTCACTGCAGTAGCAGCAGGAAGTGACTAAAAAATTATTACAGTAGTTCAGTATATACTACAACTAATTTTATGCAGCTGTAATTTAATACTACATCTTTATGTTTGTTTACATTTCTCTTAACTGTGAATGGCATAATGTATGGTCTGTTTGTGTGCGTAAGTTTTGATCAATTTTAACTTTTTAAAATAGATTCGTGTATAATTTTTTGTAGTAATTTATAAAATAGACTAGTTTTTATCTATATGTATTTATGACACATGTAACATCTTCTTAATTTTTTGGTATTTCTAGGCTACACAGTTCATCTGGGAGTTTTTTCAGATTGTTACATATCTCTACAATTTTTTCCAATATACTTATTGAGAAAAACCTGTGTATATATGGACCTGGGCAGTTCAAACCTGTGTTGTAATCAGTTGACCTGGGATGTGGCCTGAGCATCAGAATTTTTTAAAGTTCCCAGGTAGTTTAAATATGCAGTCAACGTTGAGAATCACTGGAATAATAGGAGAGGTTCAAAGAATAAGAAAGAAGTCTTGGCAATTTTAAATCTGAGTACAAAACTTAATTGAAATAATTAATTAGGTGAAATAATTGGAATAATTAGAAAATACACTAGAAAGTAGAACAAAATGATAGAGACCAAAACATGGGAAAAAAAAGAAAGACAGATGTTAATCTACAAACCAAGTGAAGTTCTGAAAGAGAGAACAGAGGAAATGGAGGAGATATTATCAAAAAAATGAGAATTTTTCCCAGAGCTGAAGCCTATGAATCCTTGAAGAGTTCACTGGGAACCAAACATAGTAAGTGGTAAAAGACTCACGACTAAAAAAAAGAGATGATCCCAACAGATTACAGATTCAAAACAAAACTAGAATATATATATATTCTAGGAGAGCATTAAAGGCAGTCGCATAAATGACACTCATCCCTAGGCCACAGCTTAGATTGGATGGTTCTGGAAAAGAGAGGACTCGAATATATATAGAATATACAAAGAAATATAAAGGAGGTTGACATCAGCTTTCAAGAGCAATTCTGAAATTTAGAAGAAAACATAGCAAAAGCTTTCAATAACAGGATAAATTTATTTTTAACCTATATTCAGGAAAACTATCGTGTGTGTGTGTGTGTGTGTGTGCGCGTGTGATGGAGGAGGGGTGGCAGAATAAAGTTAGATGTACACATACAAGGGCTCAATATGTTAAGTCTCCTTCATTCTTTCTTAGAAAGTTATTTTAGGATGTACTCCATGAAAAGAAAGGAGCAAATCAGGAAAGAAGAAAACATGGAACACTGGAAATTTAGGGGATTCTACATAGGAGAGCATTAAAGGCAGTTGTATAAATGACACTCATCTCCAGGCCACTGCTCAGACTGGATGGCTGGAAAAGAGAGGACTTGATTGTGTATCTGATATAATGAAACAATCTTTTAAAATAAAGATAATATATGAAGAAATTACAAGAAAGCCAATCATTCTAAGAAAAAAAATCTGAAAAGGAAATTTAATCATAATACTGGCATTTTAAATTCTTTGATCTACAAAATCTTTCTGTGTAATCAATTTACCTGTTTTGTTTTTCTCTTATGATTTCTGCTTTTGATACCATGCTTAGAAAGGCCATCCCAGCTCAATATTAACACATATTTACCTATTTTTTCTCCAGTACAGTTTTTTTCCTTCAAATTTTTTAGACCACATGCAACTTATCCTAGAGAACTTGTGAGGTAGCAGTAGGAGAACAGCCCTGTGCTGGCACCCATGACTTCATAGCCATCTCTACAGGCGGCATAGGCAAGATGTGACCTACAGCTGGTCTGAATCTTGGCAGAACACTTTGTATCTCTCCTGGACCCTAAGAACATAGGATGCTTAGGAGGAGCTGCCGCAAGGGGCATTCCTTACTTGTTTCTCATCTCCTGGTTCTGGCGAGGTAGGAGGTGTTCTTCCTCACCACCCTTAGGGTACACCTGGAAGCTATAAAACGTTAGCTGCAGTGTCACACTAGGGTGTCCAATCATTAAGTCACTGTCACTTGGTCTCTTTTGTTTCTGTGTTGCCCTACACCAGGGTCACAGGGACTAGCACCTTTGGCTACTTTCTTCTGAGTCTGACAGTACCCAACGATCTAAATCTAAAAGGATTTTGTTGTTTCCTTATTCACTGAATCTATCAGCCTTGCTTGGCCTTGTGCTTGACAGTAGCAACCTATTTTCTAGCAAATTGTTGGTAAATTTTCCTGACACTATTTACTAAATAGTTCATTCTCTTTTCCATTGTTTTTCTTATTTCTTCTCCTTTTAGAATTTTTTTTCCTATGTACTAAATTATTTTGTAGCTGTGCTAGTATCTGACCTTTTATTATGGTCCATTTTTCCTTCATCTCTTTATTCTGGGGACAGAACCACACTAATTTTTGTACATTTATAATGCATTTAAAAATTGGTAGAGAAAACCCCTCTCATTATTCTTGCTTGCAAGATTTTTTTTTTCTGGATGTTCTTACAAATTTATTCTAATGAAAAATTCTAAAAGAATTTGGTCAAAACACCAATTACATGGGTTAAAAAATATCCCAACCCATTTCGTAATTTCTTTTGGATAGAGAACTGGTATCTTTATACCACTGAGTCTTCTCATCCAGACATATGTATTCCTCCACATTTATTAAAGTCTTATTTAATGCCCCACAAGAGAGTACTGGCATTTTCTTCAAAGAGGTCCTGTACATTTCGTCTTCAGTTTATGCCTATGCATTTTACATTCTCTGTAGCTATCATGAATGGGATTGTCTGTCCATTATATTTCCTAAATGGTTATTGTTTATTACAGGGATGGTGGGGTCAGGGTGGCCTAGCAGGAGGCACAAAGCCAGCTCAGGAACTGGGGCATCTGTGGGGCCTGCTGCCACAGGGAACATGCTTGGATGCTCTGCAAGCTTTGCCATGTCTGCTATCCCAGTTTTCTTCTCGTTAGCAGCTTCTTCCTCCCTTGTGACTTGTTTGAAGTAAACTCTTCAAGAGAGTGACTCACCTCCCAGTTCTTACTGAAAATACTCTCTGGAAATAGGCCTCTGAGACCAAGAGTTAGACTTTGAAGGTGTGAGTGCAGAGGAAATCTCAAGATGCATTAGAATTCTCTTCTCTGAAAAAGTCAAAATATTATTTAAGCCCCCACCCCTCTTTCCCCCTTTCTTGGGCTCCAGCACATACAGAGATGGCTGAGCTCCCAGAAAGCTGCTTCCAATTAGTCTAGGACTTTTAGGAGCCATTTCTCTGCCTCTTTCTGAAAAGGGAGGCTGTTTGAGACCACCCTAGAGAGGAAACCTGGCAGACGCCTCTCTCAGGAGTGTGAACACAACAGGTTTCTTCCTTCTCCTCTCACCTCCTAAAGTGCCTCTGAGAGCTAGGTCAGGTGAGAGAGAACAGGACATTTTAAAAAATACAAAACTCCTAAAAGGGCCCTGCATAAAGATTTCAGGAACATAGATGTATGTGGAGGCTCTGTGGGAGTGTAATTTAGGAAAGATGCTGGTGACACATCTACAACATCACCACAAATAACAACAGCACCACAAATAAAATGACACCAAGCATTTACTAAAAGATGACTCCGAGGTGGATCCCATTTTTTCCATGCTTGACCTTGGCCAATATCCCACCCTTCCAAAGCTCTACCTGTCTCCTCTCCCAACATGAGTGGCTTAATTTAATTAGTCCTATTTCTTTTCTTTCTTTTTTTTTTTGTACTTTTAGTAGAGACGGGGTTTCACCATGTTGACCAGGCTGATCTCGAACTCCTGACCTCATGATCTGCCCACCTCAGCCTCCCAAAGTGCTGGGATTACAGGCATGAGCCACCGCGTCCGGCCTGATTGCCCTATTTCTAAGAAGGTGCCCTAAAGACAGGACAAGCCCTCCCCTGCCCACTGGTGCCTGTGCTTCCGGTATCCAGCAGGAAACTGACCCAGCAGGACCTGATCCTGGCAGGACTCCCCAGGCCTCTGCTCTTTAAGTTGCAGCTTTTCCACCCTGCCTGTATGGGTACCTGCCCCTCCCCAAGCCTGTGCCCATGCCTGCACCAGAAGTAGGCAGTAGAGAACCTGTCCTGGGGAGTCCAGGAGGCAGGGACCTCATGTGACCCAAGCCTCCAAGCCCTGACACATGCTCCACTGTTCCATAACATTTTATTACAAAACACACATTCAAAGATAAAATTATGAACAATTTTAAGACAGCAACGGCTGAGCATTATACCCTGAAGGTGGGCTCCTCCTGAGTGTGGGGCCTGAGCAACTGCACTGGAGCCAGGATGCTGATTTGGATCCTCAGTTAATACTTTTCCTCTGTTTTAGATGATTGGAAATTTGGGTGAGGAAGACAAAGGAATAATCACCCCCACCCTCCAAGAGCGCCCAACAATTCTATAAACTAGGTACTTGTATCACCTCTAATCTTCAGCTTTTTGGGGGAAGTGTTGTTATTGTCACTGTACAAAGGAGGAAACAGGCTTAGAGATTTAAATAATTTGTTAAGGCCATAAGGCTGTCAAGTGGCAGAACTAAAATTTAATCCAGTTTCTTCAGGCTCTTGTGCTGTTTCTACTCTATTATAATGTTTCCTCCAAAATAGCAAATATTTGAAGCCACCCAGTTTTTAGACAGGCCTTGCTGTGTGCCCAGCTTGGTGGAGAAGATGCAGGTACTGCCCCTGAGGAGTCCGGATTTACAGCTGCAGTATCTTTGGTTTCCAGGTTTTATGTAACATGTACAGCTGAATATGTCAAGAGATTGTACTGTCAATGTCTTCCTGTCCGTGCCCACATTTGTTCCAGGTAGCCGGGTTCCTGCCCACTGCTCACAGGACCAGCTTTGTCTCAGGACACAGAGGCTCTATTGGCCAGTGGAGCTATAAAGACATGAAGTCCTTCTATCAAGGAAGCCAGAAGCATGAATGAGTGACCTCCATTTTTGTGGTACAGAAACCAAGTCTTGCAGAAAAAGTGGAACAGACAAATACAGGGAAACCAAGAAAGAGCTGAACAGAGGAAATGCCTTTTAAGTCTTCTAAAGGTAAGTCTTCATTTTACTTGAGTGCTATGACTGAGTTTCTAATCCTAGTGACCAGGCAATTCCTGTCTCGGCCATACCTATGGCCCAACCAAAGTTCTGAGGGGTCAGGGAGCCTCTTAATTCAGAATCAAACTTTATGACAGAACAAAACAATAGGCTTTTGAACTTTTACACAGCCTCTGCTAAATGCTACTAGAGATAGATGAATAGACATGCATGAAGTTTACTATGTGCCTGCCAGATATTTAAACCTTGTTATTTAATCCTCACAAAACTCCCTCATGATTGTCCTATTACTATTGTTCCATAGGAGAGAAAACAGTCAAAAGGGCTCATTAACAGAGAAGCAGTCAAGCAAAGCAATAAAGTGGATGGGCTTAGAATAGAGTTCTAGGTTTCAATCTTGGCCCACCGCCCTTACGTTTATGACTTTGCTTGTTTTTAAACTTCTTACAAATGACAGTTTCCTTATCTATAAAATGGGGAAAATAATATCAGCTACCTAATAGGGAGTGGTGTCAATTAGATGAGTAAAGTACAAATGCAGCTGGTGAACATTCAATAAATCTTAGTTCTTTTTTTTTTAAAATTTTTTTTTTTTTGAGACGGAGTCTCACTCTGTCATGCAGGCTGGAGTGCAGTGGCACCATCTCGGCTCACTACAACCTCCGCCTCCTGTGTTCAAGCAATTCTCTTGCCTCAGCCTCAGTAGCTGGGATTACAGGCACCAGTCACCACGCCTGGCTAATTTTTTTTGTATTTTTAGTAAAGATGGGGTTTTGCCATGTTGGCCAGGCTGGTCTTTAACTCCTGACCTCAAGTGATCTGCCGGCCTTGATCTCCCAAAGTGCTGGGATTACAGACGTGAGCCACCACACCTGGCCAATAAATGTTAGTTTGAATAAAGCTTGAAGTGGCACAGATGGCTTCACACCATGTCCTCCTGGTTTCAAAGACCTCTCTTTCCAATCAGCATCAGCTTTTGAAGGGATAAGACAGATTCCACAACCACTCCAACAAGAGGTATTTTACAAGGAGGGTGCAAGGCAATTTAGCTAAGTATGTTGTTACTTGCGCTGTAAATCTGAAAGCTAACAACACATTTATGTATCTCCTGGGTCTGACTCAGGTTATAGGATGTTTTACATTGAGAAACCACAGGGAAAGGAAGAAAGAAATCAATGAAATCAGCTTTACTCTGATTCTTCCTAAACCTTTCAGGCTCAAAGAGGGAATCTGAAACAAGTGGACCCTGGAGAAATAGTGCACCTAAGTCAGACCCCTGGCCCTTGAGATGCTAAAAAGTACAATTCCAAGAACCACAGTTTTAGAAGTCTGATAATGCCCATTACATCTATAAGCATATTTTTATGTAATTGTAAGGTGCTCATACATGATCCATCATGTATTAATCCTAAACAAGTTACTTGGCTTGAGCTTCATTTTCCTCAACTTTGAATAACACAGCACTTCCTACCTAAGGTTGCTATGAAGATAACCAAAAATGAATGTAAATTCATTTTCTTTTTTAAATTTTTATTATTTTTGAGATGGAGTTTCACTCTTGTCGTCCAGGCTGGAGTGCAATGGCACAATCTTAGCTCACTGCAACCTCCGCCTCCTGGGTTCAAGCAATTCTCCTGCCTTAGCCTCCCAAGGAGCTGGGATTATAGGCGCCTGCCACCACACCTGGCTAATTCTTGTATTTTTAGTAGAGACAGGGTTTTACCATGTGTAAATTCATTTTCTAAGTTGTAAAGTTGGAGATAAAAAGGTTTTAATATTAAAAGCTTCTTAAAAACACTAGCTGAAGTATCCAAAATTTTGTTTAGGAGCTCAGTTTGAAAAAATGTAGAATATAAATGTGGAATCCAGACCTGGGCTCCATTTCCAGCTCTCCACCGGACTCAGGATAGTTATAACCAATGTCCAGGCTTCCACTGGGAAAATGGAACTTCCCATTTAATTAGGAAATGAGGTATTAAAGGACTTAAATAGTAACATATTATTTTGCTTTAAAACTTCTATCTTTAACCTTAGGAACCTCAGTATTTTTCATGGCTGAGGAAGCCTATGAATGAGTCTCTATCTATAAAAGGCTCAATTTCTGGTCTCAAATTTTCTATCAAAAGTGGCCTTCTTAAATCACAGCCTAGGTTCACAAAAACTTCATTTTCCAGAACTACTGCTTTTAGTATAGCCTAGTCTTCCTCTCACTTCGCATAGATACATCCTCCAAGATAACAAAACTGTTATTTCCAAAGGTTTTATTTTATATATTGTTTGAAGCTTTCTCAGGCTTTGCACTAAATGCATGTCAGGTGCATATTCAATCTCTTTCAAAGGAAACATGGCAGTTGAGTATCCAGAACACAAGTGAGTACCGTATACTTTAAAAGAATGCTTACAGAGCTCTCCTCTTCGGCCATGAGAAAAAAAAACAAGTACCTGCAGAAGTGAGCGATACCCAATGCTCTCCCAGACACACGCCTGGGGTGCTTACTGTCAATGACACTCCTCCACACCAACATGTGGTCCAAAATAGAATCCCTCTCATCTTCCATTACACTCTTTTAAAAAATGCAGAGAAAATATGAATTAACTCATCTTAAATGTGAGAGAAACAGGGGGAAAAGGACAAGTTAATGCACAAGCACAATACACAATGGTAATTTTTCTTTTCAAAAGATATTATGGAATGTATTACTAGCAGCATAAATTCCAACAAAAAGTTGGGCACCCAGATTTGGTTATTTAGATTAAAAATATTTATTACAGGCAGATTTGCTTTTCCCAGGAAAACATATCACTGGAAACATTTGGAGAATGCAAACTGGGTTAAACCTATTCCCAAGTCCATTATCAAGTAAGGTATCACTAAAGAAAAAGATAGGAGTTTAAAACTGGGGAAGCCCACACACAATTTAGACAGGGGAAAAGAAAAAAAAAACTCATAAAAAAAGTCAGAATGATCCTTTACGTTTTACAGTCTTTAATTAAGCACATAAAACTGTACTATTTAATATATTTCTCCATGAACTTTTTGTGAAATTCAGATCGCAGTGTGTCATTTACAAATCTTTTGTCTTTCTTCTGGTCATCTACACCTTTTGCACAGTTCTTGAAGACAACGTCATCATCCCACCTGAGGAAAAAAAAGCAAACAGAACGTCTGAAAATGTTTGTATCAGGAGACAAGAATACTACATGCACTGCAAGGCTTAGTCAGTTACACAGAAAGATGCTCAACATGTGTATCATCTGATGCAGCAATTACACTCAAAAGAATAATGTCATCCTTAATATATAATCTTGCTTTCTTATAGCAAGAATGGCAATTCCTACTTAGAACATTAAAACATTCTTATTATTTCTCCAGTAAAAGAAACTTTTGAGTTAAAAAATAGAAATATATAGATTTTAATTGCATAAATATTTAATGTTTTTAGGTCTAATAGAAAGAAGCAGCACCGAGGACTACCCTAATATTAGTGTAGGCATCTGTACATGATAGTAGCCAATCAATTTAATGTAGTTTATGTGGTTTTGGGGATTGTAGATATTCCTCTTTTATCAGTTAATGTTTAGTAATCATCTACTGTAATATCCACATTATAGGCCAACAAAAGGAGAAGGAATCATTGGGGTATAATAATTAAGGCTCAGATATGGCCCACATATACATTAACCAAGGAGAAGTACCAGCTGAAGAGCTCAGAGCAGAACTCTGGTTGGATTCCATAATGTATAAGCACGAAAAAAAAACACCCATAAATAAGTTATAAAATACATGTGTTATAGAAAATAAAGAGCATGATTTCAGAATATCACCTAGCATATAAAACACAGGCCCATATACATAATATTGATACCCTCACAAATATATATATAACACAAGCCCATATGTGTGTGTTTATGTGTGCATGCGCTTACACGTCAGGAGAAACTGCACATGGGAACAAATGTGGGAAAGTGCACAATGAGCAACAAACGTGGGCACCTTTGGAAAACAGTGCAGTAAAGTCATCACTGATGCAGTACACAGAAGCATAACAAGCTGAGCAGATCAATATGACTGGGATATAAGACATGTTTCTATCTCCAATTCCATTTACATTCAAAAAAGGCAAAAGAACAAACTATATAGCTTTATTTTTGTATATAATCAGTACAGTTTTTTCTGTATCCAGTCTTTCCTCAACTCCAAACAGGCTTTTTGTCCCTCCTTCCCAACACCAAAATGCTCTTTCCTGACATTAGTATTTGTCCTCGATGATCACTCCTCTCCTCCTGAAACACTTTGTTTCACTTCTTTCAGTTCTCCTCCCTTCCCAACTGGCTGCTCCTTGTTAGCCTAGACTTTTTCATTCAAAATTAACTCAATCAATATTTATCAGGCACTTGTATAATGTTTAGAGGCTGGCTAGATGATTAGAACAGGTACTGGTAACTAATAATCTACCTAACCTCTAAACATACCAAGCTCAGTTCTGACTTCTCCTCTCTAGCTATACCCTTCCCTAGGTGACTTCATCCTGTCTTATGGCTTTAAAAAGTTTATCTGAGCTGATAACTTCCAAATCTACTATCTCCAGCTTGGACTAATTCCCGAACTGTATCAGGAGTACTGCATCACTCCAGAGGGGAGAGCAGTCAGCAGTACTGCATCACTCCAGAGGGGAAAGCGGTCAGCAGTACTACATCACTCCAAAGGGGAGGGCAGGTAGCAGTAATGCATCACTCCAGAGGGGAAAGCATTCAGCAGTACTGCATCACTCCAGAGAGGAGGGCAGGTAGCAGTACTGCATCACTCCAGAAGGGAAAGCAGTCAGCAGTACTGCATCACTCCAGATGGCAGATAACAGCAGTAGAGGTGGTGAAAAATAACGAATATGGTTTAAAAATTAAGCACTGTGGTTCCTTGACGAATGCATATAAAATAACAACCAATCTTCCTCCCTCAGCATTTCCTGTAAGCTTTTCTGTTTTATTTTATATATCACCATCTGAAGGATTTACAGTATTTACAACTTATATTTTCTCCCTTTTCAGCCCTCCTTTTTTACCCCTCCAAACACACACACACTGTACAGAATTTAAAAAGCAGGCCTAGTACTACAATCCTTAGAAATGCCTGCTTGCAAGGCTGGCCCCTGGCTGGCATTTGAAAATTTGGATCTAAGAAATCTTCTGTCACTGTGCCTATAATTTACAAATAATGTGGTTTACACTGAACACCTACTATCCTTTTAGGAGTCTGGACTTTGGTATGTGCTAAGCAAAAGCTGCGTACATGACTAGCCACTCCCAGTAAAAACCTTGGGCGCGGGATCTTTAATGGGCTTCCCTGGGCAGAAGCACTGCACACGTTGCTGCACTGTCCTTGCTGGGGGAAACAATGTGCTGTGTGACCACTCATGGAAGGGACAGAGCATAGTGACACCTGCACATGGATTCCTCTATTCTCTGTGTGTGTCTTTTCCCTTTATAATCTAGCTGTGTGTCTTTATTACCTTAGCCAAGCATATTAACTATACACCAAGTCCCCTGAGTTCTTCTAGTGAGTGTCTGAATGTGAGAGGCCATCTTGAGGACCCTTGATATGCACACCTAAAATGTAAGGGCCTCAGTTTATTACTCTGTCCCTAGTGCTTACATCATTATCTAGTACACAGCTGGTTATTGCAACTATCTATTGAAAATAAGTTTATTTTCTTTCATTTGGCTTCTTCCATTATTCCTAATTGAACAGAGAAGAGTATCAGTGAATGGACGGTGGACTTTTAGAAGCTTTTTACAATGCACCTTGCTATCCAACTTATAATCTGCATGCCTGTGTGTATACACATACACATATACACACACACACACACACACACACACACACACACACACACACTCCATTACTCCGTTACTGTATAGTACCTTCTTTTAACTTTGAAGTTGGCCTGAGGCTGGGATGGGCCAGTGAGATTAAGGAGAGGGTTTCCGCTCAGAATGTTTTCCATACGAATCCTCTCTTCTTCAGCTTTTTGTTCTTGTTCCTGTCAATGATAAAGGAAGATTAACACTTACTTATTTTAACTCTGGGTTCAATTTTTTTTATATTAGCTCACTGAAAAAAAAAACAAAACTGATCATTAGGATTTTATGGCAACAAAAGCATCAAGGCAGGCTTTTTTTTTTTTTTTTTGGTTTTTGAGGCATACTAGAAAAGTCTCCCTCATCAAAATAAAATAATTTAGCATTTTTATTATAAATATTTCATGGTTGATATCATACAGTAATTAGTCTCTTCCAACTGTGAAATGCTACAGATCCATATTTAAATCTATTTTCTTTCTTGAAGTACATGTCAAATTAATTGCTTTAAATTTTAAGCATATATCAATAAGCATATTCTAATAATTTAAGAACATATTGAATATCAAAAAGACACATTTAGCAAAACTATTACCTTCATTTTAAAGGGTCATACCTAACTGTGATTAATTTTAATCTTATTTTGAATTACTAATAATGTAAACTTGTGTCTCTAGGTTTGGTGACAAGTTATGAATGAAGAAGTAACTCCTAAAATAGGACAAACTACCATATACAAAATTATATCCAGTTAACATGAATTTCTACTAATTTACCTGAGGTTGATCTATTTTGTTTTTATTGTCTTACTGAGTTTTTCTTTTTTTTTTTTTTGAGACGGAGTCTCACTGTTGCCCAGGCTGGAGTGCAATGGCATGATCTCAGCTCACTGCAACCTCCACCTCCCAGGTTCAAGTGATTCTCCTGCCTCAGCCTCTGGCACGTGCCATCATGCCCGGCTAATTTTTGTATTTTTAGTAGAGACGTCATTTCACCATGTTGGCCAGGCTGGTCTCGAACTCCTGACCTCGTGATCCGTTCACCTCGGCCTCCCAAAGTGCTGAGATTACAGGCGTGAGCCACCGTGCCCGGCCTCAGTTTCTATTTTTATACCTCCCATCCTTTATCAGTTACAACACTGTCTTTCTTCACTTTTATTTTAGCATCAACTTCTTCAAAGTCAAATCACCCTGAGTTTCCTTCTCAGAATGTGGAATATAAAATGTCTAAAATCCTTAGCTATCACTTCTAGATCTACCTGTTAACATGTTATCTTAAGCCAAATATAAATCCCATTTTGCTGTGTTTTGGGGATAACAGAAATTGATGACTTAATAGATCAAGGAAAAACAGATGGTGTGGAAGTCATTTAAAAAAAGTTATTATTTTAATAATCTAATTTTTCATACAGGTTACTGATACTTCATTTCAATATTCAAATGTAAACAATGAATTTCATTTTTATGAAGAAAAATAAAAATCAAAATGGGAGGTGAAAAGATCTAACTTGTAAGGAAATAGGAAAATTCCTTTATGTCACTGGTCAGAACTTAAATCAGGAACTATACATCACAGAACAGGTGGCTTTCTAAAAGCTATATATTTATTTGTAACAAATTATACCGATGCTTAAAGGGAAAAGATATTTCTCTGAAATACTAGAAAAATAGGAGCTTAAGTATACCATATATCCAAACTTATAATGTGTATGACATATAAAGGTTATGGACATTTTATGTTTGGAATATTATTTCCTTTGGGGTTACTGAATGATTGCCACACAGAGCACTAGGAAAAAAGGCATAAACTCTTTCTATATTCAAACAGCAGGCATACTATGTTTCATAATATAGGCTAGTCATCAGATGGCATGTAGGTCAAATCCTAACTAACTGTTTTTGTAAATATTTTATTGAAACATTGCCACACTTGTTCACTTATGTACTCTGTGGGTGTTTTTATGTTATAACAGTGGAGGTGAGTAGGTGTGATAGAGGCTCCATGACCAGCCAGCCTAAAATATTTACTACCTGGCCCTTTACAGAAAGGGTGCTGACCCCTGACAAGGGCTAAATGGTTTGAAAATCTTAAATTTGGAACATGGCAAAAACCAGCCAATAGAAAGGGAAACAGGGATAAAAGAAACTATCATTCAACCGCAAGAAATATCAACACATTTTAATACAGATATTAGATGAAACTCACAAAACTGCAAGGCCTTCTGTCTAAAATGTTTATCCTCCCTCAAGGTCAACCAAAAGCATTTAAATTGCTCATCTCTATGTGTCCAGAACTATTAGGCAAGCTAAAAAAATTTGGAACAATTGCCCTCTAGTGGTATGCAAGTGGGACTGGGAATGTTTTTATAATTCTTTGACTTTTAAAAACTAGATGTAAAAACTATAAGCTATTACAGGAATTATGCTCTCTTATACAAAACTTTGATGAGAATTGTATTTTGAAATGCTTTTCTTCTTCCAATCTGAATTCTAAGTCTTCAAAGTCTATCCCAAATTCTACCTGTTTTCTGAATTCTTCCCTGGCCCTCCTGATTCACATGAAGTCTACTTCCCTAGATTCCTGGTATTGACCATGCAGTATATTTTCTTACTTTCTTTTTTAAAAACAGAACAATTCTTGCCTCAAATAAAATTTTACACAGAAATCTATGAAAAAGCTGTGCTGCTCTGGTTGAAAACAGGGGCAGACAACCCTACCTGAATGTCTCACAATGTGTCAAATTTAACATGTTCAAAACAGAACTCATCAACTACCTCTTCTCTCTGCCTAAATATGGCAATTCTTTTGCATTCCCTGTATTGATGGCACCAACATTTACCTAGAAAGTGAGGGTCCTCTCTGCTGCTACAATCAATCAGTCACTATCTGTCAACTCAACCTCCTTTTTTATTTTTTCCTGCTCCCCTTCCCACTTTGACCTCCTTGATAATCAGCTTTATCAGCATCTAATTACTTACCTCAATTCCAACTCCTATCATACAAGCTAAGAGTCTCTTAATTGGGAGGATTACTGGAACAGCCTCCTAACTCAGTTTTTTTCCAATCCATCCTCCATATTTTGCCAGAGTAATCTTTCTAAAATGCGTATCCAGTTTTATCAATCTCCTGCTGAAATCAACCAGCTCTTCATGTCCTTTAGAAAAAATCTAGACTCCTTCAGTATTGTTTTGCAAACCTCTAATGCTCTGACTTGCACTTGCCTCCTCAGTTTCACCTCTTATTATCACTCTGGGTAATTTATTCAGAATTTTAACTATCTTTGAGTTTTATATTTTTTCCTCATATTGTGTAAACAGAGAGACTGTGGGGGCTCAGAGAAGTTAGGTAGCTTGACCTAGGTTATATAATATCTACTGACTGATTGCCTTAATAGTACCTAGGCAGTAGACAAGCAGAGAGATAATCTTTGTAGACCACAACTATATCTTGATCATCTTTGATTCTCCTGTCAATTAACAGATATCGACTAAATGTTGAACAAATGAATAAACAAGTAAATGACTAGCAAGCCTGTGAATATTACTCAGTGCATCTGAACTATTTGGAAAGAATTTCTTACATAACCAGGATACCTAGGATGTCATAAAAATAATCATTTATAGATCTACAAGTGCTATAATATTTAGACACGGTAAAGGAGATTTCTAATATAAGAAGATATTACTTATATTCAAAAAAATTTCTACCTTAGTGTATGTGAGAAGATAGATGTAAATATTTAATACTTTGGTTTTACCTTCCTGGCCTGCTCTTCAGCTCTTTCTTTTTTAATTTTTTCCAGTTCTGCAAGAAGAGCTGCAGTATCATCATCATCACTTTCTTCTTCAAAATCTTCATCTTCCTCCTAAAAGAACAGTGAGAGCCCAGAAGATTGGAGGGAAAATACACACTACCAAAACACAGTACATATGTACAACGTATCACCCTAAGAAAGTCAAAACAATTTTATGTAGCTCAAAACAACTTTAAGCTAGCAGCAAAGATACTCAAAAGTGCAAAAAAGTGTGCTAAATTCTCAGAAGAAAATAATTTCAAATGAATAATCATTAAATTTCAGTTGAAATTAGGTTTCCTGTTTTAACTATTATGAGTAACTCCATCAATTAACTCTAGAATTAACTGCTGATATGTATACATAGTTAGATATTACTCATTGGATGCCACTCAGGTTTTTCACTGTCCTGTATGTAGAAAACTGCAAATTGATTATAGGCTCTAGGGTCCCACAGAATTTTAACATTAACTGATGTGCTAATCCTTAAAAACCTTCTGCTTAGATTACTTCCCTCCCTAAGCACAGAGGGAACCATTAAGTGTATTGCACTTATAGAAGGGGACATATCTAATATGGAAAGGCCTCCAGGTACAACTCTAGAGGGCACTGTTTATAGGAAGCCCAGTATGAAGAGTGCCCTGGAGAGGTGTGTAACACAGCAGTAGTGCAGTAGTTTAGTACAGGACATTATTTTGGGGGAAAGCATATCCTTTTATAGATTCCTTCCATATTTGGTTCTCTAGAGATCAAACTTGTTCTTAAAGTCCCACAAAATAATACTTTTGATTTTAAAATCAACTATAAAGTTTAGCACTGAGGTCAGGGCTATATTTGAATAACAGTAACTAAACATAAATATATGTCACTTCTTAAAGCAAAGACATAACAAGTATTTTAGAATAGCATGGTAAATCAATTATTAGAGATGAAAGGAGGAAACAAAACATACATCTGTTAGAGGGTCATCTGCATCAAGGTTGGCGGCAGGAATCTGGTCTAACCGTGGCTTTTTTGACACTGAAGAGGAGGTTGTATGTTCTGGGGGGAAACAAAAATCATTTAACTTAGTAAAACAAATACTTCATTTCTTAAAATGTTTTAGGGACCTGTGAGCACAAGGAGCCCACATTAAAAGCATTATCCACAGTGAACTCACATCCACAGTGCCTGGGCAAATAAGCCTTTGGTAAATATTTGTTGTTATTATCTCTAATGACCTAAGAAAGTAGTACAGCTCACATCAATCTGTAAAAGTAAACAAATGGTTAACATTTTCCAATTGCTACATAAAGAAAAACTATCAACAACATAATTTTATGAGACAAATGTCTTGGATAGTGTTGGTACCTCGGGTTGGACGATCCCTATTTTTCTCTCTTGCAGCAGCTCTCTCTCTTTCTTCCAACTCTCTCCTGAAGTCACGGTTACGAACCTCTTCAGGGGCATCCTGAGTAGTCTGTCTAAAGTAGAAACAAACCAGGGCAAAAATGTTACTTAAACACACACACACACACACACAGAGACTGTAGTAATGGAAGACAATTCAGGAATGAGACTTTGTCCTTCAAGCAGAAAAAAGGGAAGTAGACAAGATCATAATTTAATCTGAAGGTTACTAACAGCCACTCTTGTGATGTTCCCAATATTTCAAGAAGTCCAAATTCAATCACATATTTTCCTATAATAAGGCTTTACAGTGATTAAAATGTCTTTAATTTTTATTAGGATTATATCAACTCAGAACTTAACAGTAATACTTTTAATATACTGACTGGTGCTCATAGTGCATACTCTGAGGCATTATTATTTCTATTATTTATTGTTCTATCTACATATGAAAATTCCTGGTTAGTAGGAATTTCACATTTTAAAATCACAGCAGAATTTTAGTGTTAAACATCCTATTGCATTCTATTCCTATGAAAATAGATAAGTGACATAACTCAAACATACTACTATATCATGACCATGCCATTTAACAGATCTGGTCTTGTTTTGTGAACAATAAAAAAAGAAAGTCTTACTACCTGTATTTTATCTTTGTATGAGAGGGTAGGTCTCTGCTTGAATACTGCTTTGAAAGTTGGCTCAAATCACCTTCTCCTTTTCCCCTTCCACCTCTGGCAGGTTCAAAGGTTGGCCTGGCTGCTGTTGTCATCTTTTATGCTTTGAAGAAAAATATAATCAAGTTATTTCCAACATTACAAACACTCATTTTATAGAGTATTAATCAATATCCATACTGGTAAAATAAGTTCTAAAACTCATTCCCCAAAACCTGCTTAATCTTCTTAAACAAAAGTTTTCAAGAAAACAAATTATGAGGCTTAGGCTGTACAAGGAATATGGCTTCTCAGGCTTGCCTTAGTACAAAAAATTCTGTCATGAAGATCTGAGTTTGCATCCCTATTCTCCTTCTGACTATATGGGCTTGAGCAAGTCACCTGGCTTAACTTTGTCATCTGTGGAATGGAGATATTCCTCATAGATTATAAGAATTATGACACTTGACATGTCAAAACCCTAGTAAAATACAGTACTGCCATGACTGAGTTTTAAAAATTTCCAACTCAACCTTACTCTACCAGACTCTGTAAGGTTTGCATTTTATCTAAACTTCACACAATAGCAAATAGGCTAGTAGAAACAAAAGCTAAAAACAAACAAAAAATATCACTGACAAAGTTACTAAATGTCCCAGAGAAAAGTGTGTTAAACTTCAATGACAGTTACACAGAAAAAAATTCTTAAACAACCGTTTGTTGAGCCAATTTTCTCCTACAACAGGCATCATACTATAAATTAGATCGTTTGTGGGTTATAATTTAAGGCCTGTTCAAAAAAAACAGGAACCTCACCCCCAGAGGATTCTGATGCCAAAAATCAGGGACTCATTCCTCAAGTTACTTTCTGCTTGGAGCAGTCACAAGAATACTGTGCAGCAGATGCAGTCACTAAAACCCTGTTAGTGTCGGAAAAGCAAGTGTGTGGGGAGGGTGGGCGAATTGGGAGGATTTTTTGGGGGGGGGGCGATGCTAATTCTCTCAACTTTCAAAAAGGGTAGAGACATGTATACAAAGAAGAAAACAGGGTTATCTGGCGCTGGGGGCGCCGCCCCTTCCCACACACCCACGGAATTATCACTCCGGCCTCCCGTGAGCTAGTCTTTGGCTATAACCAGAAACTCGCTGCCTCTTCACCCGTGCCCAGCACTGCAGGGGTGCGAAGGGTAGTGAAGGGAGGACCTGGGGTTCGCTTTACGCAGTAGGCGAGCTGCCTGTACGCTGCGATCTCCTCGGCGGGCCCAAGAGCTCCAGACGCGCCTGACAGGCACTCGGTTCCGCCCCTAGCCCGCTGCTCCAGGGCCTCCACCGCCCGCGCTCTGCACTCTGCCGCCGACTCCGACCCCAACTGCCCTTTCCCGTCCCATCGCGATAAGAAAGATAATCTCCTATCCTCTTGCCGCTCACACTGGCCGAGGTCCGATGCAGCAGGCTCCGAAGATCATACAGACGCCATTACCACTCTTGGCTCCCAGAAACCTCTGCGCCCAGAGCTAGCGCCTACGACCCGGAAGCAAAATCCAAGCGCTTCGGGGGCGGAAGCAACGACCAATCCGCAGTGGCCGAAGTGGAAGTCGGCGTAACGGCACTAAGGGGCGGGGCCGAAGCGGCCCAGGGGGCGGGCGTTTGAAATCAGTGCCTTAGAGTAGACCCTAAACCTCATTTTATACCTTCAAGAACCAATTACTTAATGTCTCTTCCGTCTTTTCCGTCCCCGACCCCCTCCCAGACTCCTTCATTCCGGTACTGCGTGGACGGAAAGCCCCGGGTAGCCGACACCACGTCCCCGGCTAGCGGGAGAGAGCGTGGAAAAGGATTACACCAAACTGTTTAAATCCAACGACTCCTGCTTCCATCCTTTCTCCTGAGCTAGAACCAACAAACCTAGAGAGTTGGGCTTCGGAAAAACTAGTGTTTTCATTTAATTGGATATGAAGAAAGAACAAATATGTACGGGGCAACCACGATCTTTACAAAGGTACCATTCCTGCAAAAATATTAACACTTCAAAGCAAAGGTTGTATTCGTAATGTTTGCTAAAATTTCTTATTTAAAAAACGTTAGTTTTAGTGGGAGGGGAGATGTCAGTATTTACGAGAGCGTTTACAATGGTGGGCCCAACTACCAGGAGCACAAGATGTAATTATTAAGATGGCTACTTAAGTGTTAAGTTTTAATAAGACAACGAAAAGTAGAAAACCCGAAAACCAAAAACCTACCAGTCGTCTCTCCTCCCTTCCATAAAAACAAATTCTGAGAATAGAGATCTTGGTTGTTTAGCTCATCTTGGTATCTCATCACATAGACCTTGACGTATAGTAGCTGCTCAATTAATATTTGTTAAACAAATGAAAATTCAACTTCCCCAACTTAGTTTAAAATGTAAGGAACTCACAAAATTGAATATTTAAATGCTTTCTTACCCCTAAATTCTTTGCAACTTTTTAATGAAGAAAGAAAAGCAGAAAAAGCCCTTTCAGTCATAGAGTTCAAGATGAAAATCCTGATTTTTCTTACCGAAGGTATCCCTCCTCCAGTCTTAACAAGTCTCACTAAAAGACGCGATCATCATGCTAGTTACTCAAACCAAAATCCCGGAGTGCCTACTTAAATTCCTTTTCATTCACTCTTCACATACGGTTCATTTACAGGTCTTAACAATTCTACTTTTAAAACTCACCCGCAATTTTATTCTACTGCCACTACCCTTGCCTTTGCCAACACCATCTCCTACCTGGATTGTAATTGCTTCCTATTATATCTTCCTGCGTCATCTTTTATCCTACAGTCAGTGTTGCATATAGCCAAGAGAGTGATCTTTTAAAATTAATAAAATGGTGTTACTATCCTGTGTACAATTTCACTGCACTTAGAATAAAAATCACATTTCTTAATGTGACCTGAGACCCCACGGAGTCTGGTTCCTGCCTACCTTCCAGACTTCACTTCCAATCAGTCACTCGCTTACGCACTAAGCTCTAGACACAGCCAAGTGGGCATTTCTGTTTTATAAAACAGGGCAAGATTCCTTCTATTTTAGGGCCTTTGCACTAGCTTTTCTCTGTTGCCTGTGCCCCAAAGTAACTGTATCACCATCCTTCATGTCTCAGGTATCACAGTGAGGTTTTCCTACCCCCACCCCTCCAACACTTGTGTTTGTACACCATCACATCACCCTGTTTCATTTTTCATACCACTAAACATTACCAGAGTCTATTCTATTCATTTTTTATTTCCATGTCTCTCAGGAGACAGCATGCGAAGGTCATTAAGAGAAAAGGATCTTCAGCCTGCCCATTTTTGTTCTAAATTCCAGTTCTGCCCTTTCCTAGCTCTATAACCTTAGGCAAGTCATTTTCCCTTTCTGTGCTTTCAGTTTCCTCACGTGTAAAATGGGCGTAATTCTAGTCCCTAACTTGTAATACTACTCTAAGGATTAAGTGAATTAATACTTGTAAAGTGCTTAGAACTGTCTCAGCAAATAGTACTTGCTAAATAAATGTTAGCTATTATTATTATTATTAATATTATTTTTATTATTATTGTCTATCTTCCTATATTAGAACATAAGTTCCAGGAAAGCAGGAACCTTGTCTCTCTTGTTCACTGGGTGTATCCTCTGCATATAGAACAGTGCCTGGCACATAATAGGTGCTGAGTAAGTATTTGTTGAATGAATGAATGAATGAATGATGCACTATGAAGTAGAGGAATGACGTAACAATGGCAAGATGGTAACACAATTATAGGAGATACCCACAGTTTTTATGTTCCAACTGTCCTCATTAGCCTGGAGTGAATCACTTCATTGATTTAACTCCCAGCCCACTAACCTAATCTTTTGGTTGCCAGTGGTGATAAATAGCCACCCTATAATTTCATTAACACCAATATACAATATAGTCAATCCACAAAATTAAAAGCTTTTGACTTAAATGAAAGTGCTAATAAGAAAATGAAACTAAAGCTTTTGACTTAAATGGTTTGAAAGTATTAAGAAAAAGAAACTTAAGTTTACTAAAATCTTGAAATTCATCTGATCAGTTAACCTAGCTGGCAAAAATCATATAACCTCCCAAGAATTCTTATGTTAAACCTGTTACCACAAAATCTAGTTTGGCCCTTAATTCTGCCTGCCAGTCCTCTTATGCTCTCCTAATTGTTTATTTTCCCCCTCTACAATAATATAATTTCCCACATTCCCCTTTCTTCAAGTCTACATGCCTCTTTCACCTCCTTTTCCCTCTGCATTCTCTTTCCTGGCAGTAGATCTTCTCAGTTCTCTGAGAAAACAGAAGCTCTTAAACAAGGACTTCTCATCTCCTTTTTTCCGCAGATCTATCGAGCTGCCTTTGGCTATTCCTGTATCCTCAGATTCTCATTATTACTGGAGATGAGGTGACCCACACTCTCCCTTGTGCTCTGGGTCCTAATTCCTCCAGGTTTCTTAGTGGCTGGCATTTTGCTATATATTTTCTCTTTCTTATGATCTATGAGGCCATCCCTTTCAGATCATTTTTATCAGCTTTTGGACATGGTATAGTATATCTTAACCTTAAAAAAGGCTCTTTCATTTTAGTATGCCAAAGGTAGCATTTAATTAAATGTGAAAGGGATGTAGTTTGGCCCTTGATTGCAAAACTTTCTATTTTTATGGCAGGAGTAGCATAGGAATTCCAGTTTAAAGCTTAAACAAAATCAACACCTAAAAGGGAAAATAGAAACCATAAAAACCTAAGAAGAAAATTTAAGAAACTATTTATAGAACCTAGAATTTGGAAAGACCTTTCAATCAAAGCAGAACACCTTAAGAGCTTTAAAAGAAATACTTTTAAAAATTCATTTATCCAACAATTAATTTTATAGCTGTAGATGCCAAAAACAAGTCAATAAATTCTAGATTCGCAAATAAATTTTGTAATGCCTATAACATATAAAGGATTACTGCTACTGCTAGTGATACACATAATATAAAAATCACAAATTACCCAATTAAAAAATGGACAAAAGATATAAGCAGGCCATTCAGAAAAAGCAATTTCAAATAGACAAGTCAATAAACATGAAAGACACTCAACCTTCTAATGAGGAAAATGAAAGTAAACTAAAAATGGATTATCACATTACAGCATCCGATTGGCAACAATTAAAAAAATTAATAACATAGTTGGATGGGATTGAGAGAAAAGGGGATCCAGTCAGACAGCGGGGGGCATTGGTCCCCCATTACCCTCACAGTAAAAGCCAAGGTGTTCACAATGGTTTCCAAAGTTTTCTATGGTCTACCCTTTCCCCTACCTCTTTGACCTCATCACTTGCTCATGCTTTTCATGGCTACCTCCTTCATATTGTTGCTTGGACACGCACACAGCTGCTCCTGCTTTAGGGCCCTCACACTAGCTATTTTCTCTGCCAAGGCTATTCTTTCCTGTCTTACTCAAGTCTTTGTTCAAATGGAGTCCAACGAACCTTGGGCATCTCTACTTAAAATTGCAACTGTTCTCCCTCTCTGTCCCCTAACATTCTGTACTCCGTATCTCCCTTCCCCTCTTTCTTCTTTTTATCTTTTAAAATTATATTATATATAATTACATGGCATTTATCATCTTCCATGACCCTATATAATTTAGTTATGTTACATTTATTGTCTCTTTCTCTACTTCTCCCATGTAGAATATAAGTTCTAAAAGGGCAGAGATCTTTGTTTTGCTCAGTAATATAGGTCAAGCATTAAAACAATGCCTGGCACCAATAGCTACCCAATAAACAGTTTCCATATGAGTGAATAAAAGAAAGAATGAATGGACGAATGAAAGAATGAATTAGTTTTAAGAGGAAAAAATTGTGTTCTGTTGTAAAAAGTTATTGCCTTAATCTATTTTATATTTTAAAGGAAAAAAGTAACTTACATTGTATTAGTCTGAAATCCCGATTTCAAATGAAGATATGATAAGACCCAGAAATATGACTTTCTTTCGGGAGAGAATCTCTAAATGAAAAAAATCATATGAGATCAGGCTTTATATGTACCATCAAAATCCTAATTAAATCAGCCCTAATCCAATCACAACTCTAATCCAACTCTCTCCATCTCTTCCAGTTGAATCACTGTCTCCAATTCTACTAAACTCTCATTTACCAAGTTATTGGCCCACAAAATGTGAACATTTTGCTTAAAAATGTTTCTTTGTGGCTTTTAAATAGGAATACGAAAAAAAAAATGCCCACATGTCAGAAATTACATTTTAAAATAAAGTAACATAAATAATGAAATCTACTTCAAATTTTTAACCTGAAAATGACACATTTTCTAATATAAAAAACTAGTGCTTTCTTTGATGTTTTGACAAGTGAGAATATAAAAATAAAGTGTCTAGCCCTCTACCAACAAAATCTTGATTTTAAATGAAGACATTCTAGGGCTTAGAGAGATTATTTCCTGGAGACAGCCTCCAAATGAAATATCATTTGCTGATGGTCCAGGCTGGGTTACTGGATAATGTCATAAGTTACTCACCTCTCATCTAATCTAATCACATAAATACCTCACCAGCTGACCAGTGTACTACTGCGAAGACAATTAAAATCAAACATATTAAAAATAGTTAAAACTAAAAAACTAAAATGTAGAAAATAGAGATAGAAAAAGACATGCCAGGCAAATTCTAATTTAAAAACCTTGATGTAGCAATGTTAGTTAGCAAAAGTATTCTTAGGTTGAATAACATTAATAGGGACAAAGAAGTGCATGTATTATATTACGAAGAAAAATCCACTAGGAAAATTACTATCGGACATGTATGCAGCTAATGACATAACTTGAGAAAATATGAAGCAAAAGTAAGAAAAAGTGACAAATCTAAAATCATGGTGGGAATTTTTTTAAGATAAATTTCTCTCAGACGAGCAGATCAAGCAAACAACAACATTGATCTACTATATAAGTTATATGTGTGTACATATATGTGTGCATTATATATGTATGCTTATTGTATTTCTATGTGCATGTAAAAAGTTCACTGTAATCAGAGCAGAATATATATTCTTTTCAATAAACATTGAATATTTACAAAAAGTAATCAAGTATAAAGCCCTCCCCAAATTTCAACAAATGCCAATGTATGCATTTCCTTTTTTATTTATTTATTTATTTTTTTGAGACAGAGTCTCACTCTGTCACCCAGGCTGGACTGCAGTGGCACAATCTTAGCTCACTGCAACCTCCTTCTCTCAGGCTCAATGGATTCTCCTGCCTCAGCCTCCCGAGTAGCTAGGATTACAGGTGCGTGCCACCATGCCTGGCTAATTTTTGTATTTTTAGTAGAGATGGAGTTTCACCATGTTGGCCAGGCTGGCCTCGAACTCCTGACCTCAAGTGATACACCTGCCTCGGCCTTCCAAAGTGCTGGGATTACAGGTGTGAGCCAGCGCACCTGGCCCAATGTGTGCATTTCTAAATGATAATAGTCTTGCCAATTTTTAAATTTTATATAAATGTTCAAAATGTTTATGTAAATGAATATGTATTCCTTTATGTTTTTGCTTTATTCCTCCCACTTAATGTGTGCTATCTGTAGCTCTGATATACTATTTAGAGTTTCATTGTATAAAAATACACACCATAACTTGTTAATTCTAGTAATTATCTTTTCGTTGTAGTGATAATTGCAAATAATGCCACAATGAACATTTCTGTAAATGTGCAAAGGTGCATGTGTGTGCATTTTTCATATATATATTTCATCAACAGGAGATGAGAGTTCTTGTTCTATAATCTCACCACACTTGATTGTCCGGCTTTTCAATTTTAGCTCATTTGGTGGGTATATAGTGATATATCATTGAGGTCTCAGTTTGCATTTCCCTGATTATTAATTCACATGTTAATTGTCCATTTGGATTTCTTCTTCTGTGAGGTATCTGTTTAAATCTTTCTATTGAATCATCTTTTCTTTATGGATTTCTATGATTTCTTAAGTTTAGGCATAGTTCTCTGTCACTTATTTGTGCTGCATATACAATTTGCCACTTCTCTGCTTCTCTTTTTGGAACCACTTTTAGAGTGGTTCAATTATCATTCTTTTCCTTTTTGCTTAATGCATGGTATTTCTTGATTATGAATGTCCCTACTTGGGAAGTCATAATGATATTCTCAGGTATTATCTTCTAAAGGTTTCATAGCTGCACATGAAATTCATTTTTGTGCGTGGCATGCTGGAGAAGGGGCCTTGAAATCCGATGGAGCAGATATTCTTACCTTGTCCCACTTTTATAAGAGTGGCTTTGCTATTCTTGGCCCTTTGGACTTTACTATAAAATTCAGGAGCCAATTGTCAAGTTCCACAAAAATACTTTTGGAATTTTAATTGTGATAATATTTAATTTACAGATTAAGAAAACATTCTTAAAAATGTAATGACATTTTTACAATACTAAGTCTTCAAATCTATTAACAGGTTATATTTTTCCATTTGTTTAGGATGTCTTTAGTTTATATTAATATGCTTCTCTAAGTACATTCATATTGTTGTCTTCATAGAAATTTTGCAAATTTTTGTTAGCATTAGTCTTGTTACTTAATGCTTAATGCTATTATAAATGGCGTCTTCCTTAAATTTTGGTTGTCTCATTGTTGCTGGTGTGTAGAAATATCATTGATTTTTATATGTAGCTATTTTAAATTCAGAGAACTTGCTAAGCTCTCTTATTAATTCAAAGGGTCTATTCAGAGATCTTTCAGATTTTGTCACATGTACAATCATGTCATCTGCCAATAGTGACAGCTTTGTTTCTTCCTTTTCTGTTTTCCTTCTTTTTTCCTTGCCTTCTTATGTTGGTTAGGACTTCCAAGATAATGTTGAATAAAAATGCTGATAGCAAGCATCCTTGTCTTTTTCCTGATCTGCAAGGGAAAACGTATAACTTTCATTATTAAGTATGATTTGGCTGAAGGTTTTGGATAGATGCACTTCATTAAGATTTTTGCCTACTATTTTTAATTTGCTGAAAGAATGATGAATTGATGAATTTTATCAAATACTTTCTCTGCATCTAATGAGATTCTCTTTAGTTTGTTAATATGTGCTATTACACTATTATTTTTTAAAGTTTCATCCTTTCATTACTGGAATAAACCCATCTAGGTCATGATGTATATATTGCTGGAATCAATTTGCTCAGATTTCAGTTAGGATTTTTCCATCTATGTTCATAAGCGAGATTGACCTATTTTCTTTTCTCATAGTATCCTTGTTGGGGATTCGTACCATAAAATGAATTGGGAAGTATTCTTTCTTTTTCTATTCTCTGAGAAAATTTATCTAAGATTGGAATATCTTTCTTGAATGTTGACTAAAATTTCTTGGTGTAGCCATCTGGGCCTCGAGTATATTTTCTGGGAAGAGTTTTACCTACTGCGTCAGTGTCCTTGAGGGTTATGGATATATTTATTGTTCTGTTTATTCTTTTGTCAGTATCACTGTTATATTTTTCTAAAAATGTATTTACTTCATTGAAATGTTAAACTGTATTGGCATAAAGTTGTTTATACTTCTTTGTTGTCTCTTTTATGTCTGCAGCATCTGTAGTGATGACTTCTTTATCTTTGTTGATATTGGTTATTTGTGCCTTCTATTTTTGTTCTTCCTCATTTTCACCAGTCTTTTAAATTTTATTAGACTTTTTTAAAAAAGCCCAACTTTTGGTTTTGTTCATCATATTTTATATTGGCTTTTTATTTCATCAGTTTCTGGTCTCTTATTATTTCTCTTCTTTTTCTTTCTTTGCTGTTACTTTTTTCTGACTTCCTCAGATGGGTGCTTAGCTCATTTAGTTTTTTTAACCTTTTTCCTTTTCTTAAATATTTATTTAAATTTATAAATTTCCCTTTTAATGCTATTTACCTGCATCCTACAAGATTTGAAATGTAGTATTTTCATTTAGTTCAAAATATTTTCTAATTTCCATTTTTTATTTTCTCATTAAAAATTTATTTAGAAATATACTTTTTATTTTATAAATTTGGGAATTTTTTAGTTATCATTTTGATATTACTAACTTCATTGTTTGTGGTCAAATAACATATTCTGACTGTTCTCAACCGTTTGACATTTGTTAAAGCTTGTTTTATGGCCACAGTTATGGTTAATTTTGTAAATTTTTTATAGAACTTGGAAAAATATATATTCTGCAGCTCGGCAGAACTGAATTTTATATGACTATTGCTTTTTAACTGCTTGATCAGTAGGGTCCAGGTTTATGCCTGTCATCCTTGGGTCTCTGTTATTCTCAAAAGTGTCTCAGCTTAGATGGTAAATGATAGGATATAATTAATGTCAAAGTTTAGAGCCACTCTTATTAAAATCTTAGATGAGTATAGAATTTCTACCAACTCAGTCAACATTCAGCATTTTGCTAGAGATCATATCTAGTTACTTAAGACTTCCCTATTTCTAAAAAAAAAAAAAAAAGAGACATGACTATTAAAAAAAGAAGAGATATAATTTTTATGATTTTTTCCTAGAAAATATTATCTACGTGGAAAATTCTAGAATTAATGGCCAAGCTAATAGTACTAATAGGAAATAAGAGGTACAAGGTTTGAAAAGGGATGTAAGATCAATAAATAATAAGAAAACTTAATAGAAAAAAATTTCCATGTACAGTACACTCAAAAAATTATAAAGTTCCTAAGGTTTTATCTAAGAAAACAGATTCATTATCTTTTTGATGCAAATCTGAAGCTTCATTGATATACATGCAACAAGATCTGAATAAATGTATAAATATACCAGTTAATTGGTGGGAATGATCAATGCAGGAGCTATGAAAATACACCTCTAATTTTCCTTTAATTTCAATGCATTCCCAATTTAAATTAACAGTATTTGACAGAACCTGACAGATTTATTCTAAAATGAATACTGAAGTTTTACTCTATAAATATACCCAAGATAATTTTGAAAAAAGTTGAATAAGTACATGGAGACTTGCCTTACCAATTATCCTAAGTATAAAGCTTTAGTAATTAAAACAATCTAACATTGGCATAGAAATGTACAAATAAATAAATGGACCAGATGAAGAGTTTAGAAAGACATCTATCCTTACATTGTAACTTAGCATATGTGAGAAAAGGATTCCAACTGAATGGGGAAAATGGTGGCAAACAACTGGATTTCTTAAAAAAAAAAAAAAGTTCTGTTTCTTACAATAACACACAGTATTCTAAATAGGCAAAACAAATAAAAGTGAAAAGCAAAGAAAACAATGACAAGAAAATATGATCTTTTTGACCCCCAAAGAATACATGGATTACTTAAATAGTACACAAAGGCACAAATCATAATGGAAAAGATCAATAAATTTGACTACATTTAATTTTTTCAAATATCAAAAAAACATAAACAGTAAATGGAGGTGGTGTGCTGAGATAAGTTATTTGCAACAATACAATAGACATAAAATTATCCCAAACATTTAAAGAACTTTTAAAAATCACTAGAAAAAGAAAGCAATTTAACTGGAAAAAATCGGCAAAAGGTATAACTGGTAATTCAGAAAACCGAAACCCACAAAAGAAATAAATCAGTGAAAAATTACTTGACTTCACCAGTAAACAAGTCACACAATAATAACAACAACAACAACAACTACAATAATAAAATAAAAGGAGATAAATCATTTTACCAAATTGCCAACAACTGAAAAGTTGACATTATCAAATGCACCTGGAGGTGTGGAGAAACAGAAACTCCTATTAGTACATAGGTTTATTAGGATAGCCACTAGGTAGAGCAATTTGACATTGCCTAGTAAAATTAAAATGTTGTTTCTTTATCATTTAGAAATGATAATTCAAAGTATCTACCCTAGATAAATTGTCACATATAAGAAAGAGAACACACACAGCACTGAAAGTAATAGGAAACACTGGAAGTAATGTAAATACCCACCAATAGGAAAGTGCAATAATAAAATATATTTTTATAACAGACCATATATAGTGTATGTATGTGTATGTATGTATATATACATATGTGTACCTATGCATATGTGCGTGTATGTATATATGAATATATCTTGAAACTGTTAATGTTGAATTTAAAAATTGCAGAAAATGAGGCCAGGCACAGTGGCTCATGCCTGTAACCCCAGCACTTTGGGAGTCTGAAGCTGGCAGATTGCTTGAGCTCAGGAGTTTGAGACCAGCCTGGGCAACATGGCAAATCCCTGTCTCTACAAAAAATAGAAAAATTAACTGGGCATGGTAGCCTGCGCCTATGGTCCAAACTACTTAAGAGGCTGAGGTGGGAGGATGGCTTGAGCCTTGGAGAGGGAGGCTGCAGTGAGCCAAGACTGCACCACTGCAGTCCACCCTGGGCAACAGAACCAGTCCCTTTCTCATAATAAATGAATAAAAATAAAAATTGTAGAAAATGGGCATATTTAGCCTAAAATTATTTATATGAAATAAAAATAGCAGGCCAGGCATGGTGGCTCACACCTCTCATCCCAGCACTTTGGGAAGCCGAGGAGGGCAGATCACCTGAGGTCAGGAGTTCGAGACCACCCTAACCAACATGGTGAAACCCCATCTCTACTAAAAAAAAAAAAAAAAAAAAAAAATTAGCCAGGCTTGGTGGCAGGCACCTGTAATCCCAGCTACTTGGGAGGCTGAGGCAGGAGAATCACTTGAACCCGGGAGGTGGAGGTTGCAGTGATCCGAGATCGTGCCATTGCACTCCAGCCTGGGCAACACAGCAAGACTCCGTCTCAAAAAAAAAATAGCAGATACACAAAACAGTATTATTGATGGACACCCAAACATGGACAGTGTAGCCTATTCATGACTGTAGTTGCTTATAGGCAGGGGGAGAGAGAACAGGATTTAAGATTCAGATCAGAGAAGGAATCCCATTTCATCTGAAATATTTATTTATTTCTACTTAAAAATACTTGTAGCAGGAGCAAGATTTTTAATGGATATCTGTTTTTACTACTTTATGCAGCATTACACTGCCAGGGTAATTAGGCACGAGAAAGAAGACATTCAGACTGAAAAGGAAGAACTAAAACTATCTTTATTGACAGATTGCATGATCTTATATATAGAAAGTCCTAGGTAGCTTGCTAAAAACCACTAAAACTAAAAACGAAGTCCAGCAAGGTTGCAGGATACAAGATCAATATACATAAATTGATTTCTGTGCATTAGTAGTGAACAATGTGAAAACGAAATTTAGAAAACAGTTCCATTCACAATAGTGTCAAAAAGATCAAAATGCTTAGGAATAAATTTAACAAAAGAAGTGCAAGACATATACTGGGAACTAGAAAATATTGTTAAGCTAAATGGAAAGACATTCCATGTCAATGGATCAGAAAACTTAATATTATTAAGATGGTAATGCTCTACAAATTGATCTCCAGATTGATGCAATCCTACCATCATTCCTACTGGCTTTTTTCCCCCAGAAATTAAAAATCGGTCCTAAAATTCATATAGAAATATAAAGGAACCAGTATAGCCAAAACAATCTTGAAAAAAAAGAAAAGAATTTGGAGGGCTCACACTTTTCTATTTCAGACCTTACTACAGAGCTCTAATAGACATTGCTAATTGCTATAAGGATAAACGGTTCAATGGAATAGAATTGAAAGTCCAAAATAAACCCTTAGGTTTATGGTTAACTGATTTTCAACAAAAGTTTCAAGACAGTCAATGGAGAAAGAAAACAAATGGTGCTGGAACAACTCGATATCCACATACAAAAGAATGAACTTGGATTCCTACCTCACAGCATACACAAAAATTAAGATTGATTGTGAGCCTGAATGTGAGCTAAAACTATAAAACACCTAGAAGAAAACAGGAAAAATCTTTATGACATTGAGCTGGGCAATAACTTCTTAGACACAAAGCCAAAAGCACAAGCAACAACAAAAATTGATAAGACGGGCTTCATCAAAATTCAATTCTTGTGCACTTCGAAAGACATAGTCAAGAAAGTGAAAAGAACACCTGCAGACCTGGAGACCACATTTTCAAATCATATATCCAGTAAAGGACTTGCAACACAGTAATAAGAAAACAAAGAATAAGCAAAGGATTTGAATAGAAATTTCTCCAAATATATATATGAATGGCCAATAAGCTTATGAAAAGATGTGCAATATCATGAGTCATTAAGGAAAGGCAAATGAAAATCACAATGAGGCCAGCCTTGGTGGCTCGCACCTGTAATCCCAACACTTTGGGAGGCCAAGGTGAGAGGATTGCTTGAGCCCAGAAGTTCAAGACCAGCCTGGGCAACATAGTGAGACCCTGTCTCTACCAAAAATTTAAAAAAAAAATTAGCCAGGCATGGTGATGTGCACCTGTTAGTGCCAGCTACTTGGGAGGCTGAGGCAGGGGGATTACCTGAGCCTGGAAGGTCGAGGCTGCAGTAAGCTGTGATTATGCCACTGCACTCCAACCTGGGCAACAGAGTGAGACCCTGTCTTAAAAAACAAAAAATTAAAAACCACAAAAATTACGACTTTTTACCTGCTAGAATTGCTGTAATGAAAAAGACAATAACAAGTATTGATGTGGATGTTGAGAAATTGGAACCCTCATATATTGCTGGTTATAAATGTTACATTTACTTTGAAAAACTGTGTAGCAATTTCTTAAAACGTTAAACATGGAGTTATCACATGGCTCAGCAATTATACTCCTACGTATCTACCCAAGATAAATAAAAACACGTTCACACATAAACTTGTACATGAATGTTCATAACAGTATTATTCGTAATAGTCCCAAAATGAAAACAACCCAATTGTCCATCAAATGATGAATGGATAAGTAAAATGCAGTATATCCATACCATAGATTATGATTTGGTCATAAGAAATAAAATACTGATATATACTACAACATGGTTGAACCTCAAAAACGTGGAGTAAAAGAAGCTGGACACAAAATATTACCTATTTTATTATTCCATTTATATTAAATGTCCAGAGTGGGCAAATCTGTAGAGATAGAAGGTAGATTAGTGGTTGCCTGGAGTTGGGGGTGGAAATGAGCTGTGAATGCAAATGGAACAAGGTTTGATTTTGAAGTGATAGAAGTATTCTAAAATTAGGTTTTGGTGATGGTCACACAGCATTGTAAATATACAAAAAATCATTGAAGTGTACACTTAAAATTGATGAATTTTGTGTTGTGTAAATTATATCTCAATAAAGTTGTTTAAAAACTACTTGAAGCAAATTTGATAAAATATTAAGGTTTCAGTTCTGGCTGGTTGGAATGCAGGTTTTTGTTTCTCAAAACAAAAACTCGGACACCACAAATTTGGGCCCCAATATCAAAGGAGATAAACATATAAATGTAGAGTCTTTTCATTATAGTCTTATCTTCAACTACTGACAGGTGCCCCCATCTTCAAAGGAAATGAATAGGTTCCTGTAGGAGCACTCTCAGTGATGCCTACCAGTCATACATAGCAAACGCAACTCTTCAGTGCCTGACTCAAATACAAGCCAAGAATAACTAGACATACGAGGAAAACGTTTAACATGAAAGACAGAAACAAAGACATTGTGGAAGGGCAAACTCAGAGGAAACAGACACAATGTAGAGAGCAAATAAAACTTAAAAATTCTTATAATACTTAGAGAAGAGAAAATCTGCAGCCATGGAAAATTTCAGAAATATATGATGAAAGGAATATTCAGAGAACAAAAAAAATTCCTGGAAATTAAAAATAATTGCCAGAAGGTTTGGAAAATAGTAACAAAAGAAAAAGCATTAGGAAATGGAGAGTAAAGAAAATTAGAGGATCAATCAAGAGGTTGCTGTCTTAACAGTATTTGCTGTCTACTGGTATTTCCAGAGAAGGAGAAAACTGAAAATATAGAAAGGAATGCCAAAGGAATAATGTGAGGCAATTTCACAGCAAGGAACAACATGAGTTTCTATATTGAAAATTCTAGCACAATGATTGACAAAGAAGACTTACCAATTATATCTTAATGAAATCTTAGAAAACAAGGAACAGAAGAATATGCTAATACTGTTTAGAGAGTAAAGACAGATTACAAAAAGGAACAGAAAACAGGTTTTGGATTTTTGGAAGGTAGAATTCAGCAGAACAATGTCTTGAAAATCCTGAAAGAAAAGCATGAGGATAGAACAAAGACATTTTCAGACTCAGACATGCATACTTTGGGAGAGAGTTGTGATATTTGTGGCCATCAAATAACTTTAAATTCCCTTTTTATTTTTCGGTAAACCTCCAACTTTATGACCCCTGCCTCATCAAGGTCAAAGCCGGAACTCAATTATCCAGCACCTATTGCAGTGAAGACATAGAGATATGACCTAGACTCTTCCAATCAGACATTCCCATGGAGGACTATAATGTAAAGAAATATGAGGAAGTAGATTTCATGAAGGATCTGTTCCTGGAGAAGGGCAGTGAGAGACAGTGACCTTTCAGAGGCAGCAGTAGCTTAGACTCTAATTGGAAATGTCCCTTGCCCAGAGTCTTTGGTGTCTTTGACCAGAGGATATATAGGAATATCTAACTATTGTTTGTTGGGTAATCTGGATATTGTTCCTGGATACACAGGCTCCAATCCCTAGTCTCTGGTCCTGCTGAAGATTCTGTGAGCTACTTAATAATCTCTAATGAAGCTTCTAAGGATGCTTCTGGTAGATATGCTTTACCAACACAAGGGAGTAAACCAGGAAGGAGACTTGAGATGGGGGGAATCAGGATCTAACATAATAGAGAGGGAAAGGGAACCCCCAGGATTACAATGACTAGAAACCTCAAGATGCACGTCATGCAACAACCTGAAGACTCATCAGTCTAGATTTAAGTAAGCATCTGAGGGCTCCAGTAAGAATATTTCTGAGAAAAGAAATCTGATTCAGTACCAGATGTGTTTTATGCATTTAGAAGAGATTTACCTTTCTGGAAATGAATCTGGGAATGAATTAATATAAAGTGTAAAGCCAAGCAAATGAAAGAATGAGACAGTTATTAACTGCAGAATAAAGAAAAATTTATACATGTATATAGAATTCACTTTAAGCCAAAGGGGATTTTTTTAAAAAGCTAAAAAGGTTATTGAGTAGTTTACAGAATCTCTGGGAGAGTCCATGTAAGTCCAAACTTACATGCTACTCAAGACATGTATTTAAAATGTATTGACAGTCCAAAGAAGCATATATTAGATAATTCCTTAAAACTCAATGGAGTGGTGTGTCCTTGTAGATGGATTCAGCAGGAAGACTTCTGGCTCCTGCCTCTCTCTGCTGCCAGATACCACTGTTACTGCTGCAGTATCCATGCAACAGATGAAAATAAAGATGATTTGAATGAGGTTAATAATCCCATGTTCAATTTATTATATGTCAGAATGAAATAATAATGCTGCACTTAAGATGCTGGATTTAAAGGCCAAGTCCCAAACTTTGGGTTTTATGTCACAGTTTATGCTGTCCATGCCTGATACTTGCTGCCGTGTGTCTTTCTCCTTTATATCCACACTCCTCTAGATGTTCATAAAAAGAAGTCCACACCAAATATTGGCATTTGTAGGCACAAAAGGTACAGGAAAAGTTGCCCTTTAACCTTCTTTCTCTCTCTCTCTCTCTTTCTTTTTTTTTTTTTTTTTTGACAGAGTTTCACTCTTCTTGCCCAGGCTGGAGTGCAGTGGCGTGATCTCAGCTCACTGCAACCTCCGCCAGGTTGAACCTCCCAGGTTCAAGTGATTCTTCTGCCTCAGCCTCCCAAGTAGCTGGGATTACAGGCCACCACCACGTCCAGCTAATTTTTGTATTTTAAGTAGAGACAGGGTTTCACCATGTTGGCCAGACTGGTCTTGAACTCCTCACCTCAGGTGTCCCACCCACCTCGGCCTCCCAAAGTGCTGGGATTACAGGCGTGAGCCACCATGCCCAGCCTTACCTTCCTTTTCTCATGCAGCTTATGAGGAAAGGTCTGTCAAAGCTTTTGGGTCAGAGACATGCAGATATTTTGGAGAGAGAAGCAAGCACATCTCATGGAAGAGACTTATTCCCTTAAGGCAAGTGCCCATTAGAGATGAAAGCTGCTTGTCAAGTAAGACACATTCTGGAGAGCTGCCACCTCAACAGCTTGTATTAAGCACCAAATAAATGTAGCACTCATGGAGTATAGAAGATAGAATTCTCACCAAGGTCTGAGGTTGGTATAGAAGGAACCCTGATGTAGGAGAGCCTCAGATTGGTCTGGAAGGCAGAGTTTATAACTTAGAAAAGAGAAGGAAGAGATAAGTGAAGCAAGGGAAGAAAAGCATAGAGTCAAGGACAGTGATTAGGACCATTTGACTGGAACTACGTTTGTATAAGAAAATTGAGAGAGAAATTTGGGAAACAAGAAGCAATAAAGATGTGGTTTAAACACAATCATTTACTTTGTTCCCTTTCCAAACCTCACTAAAGTGACAGTAACAGGATTTTTGTTTTAAGAAATGAACTTACAAAGACAGAAAATGGTAAAGGAAAACAGGTAGTGGCCAGTTTTGGAAATTGGAAAGCAGATGGACAAGTGTAAACTGATTTATCAAACACTGGAAAGTTGAGTCCTAAATTGGCAATGAGGAAAGCCAAGAAGCAACACAATTGTCTCTACAGAACCCAAAAGGCTTAGGATGTCATGGCATTAGGTACCTCTGGGAGTGACAGTTAAAATGAGGCTAAGGAGAATTTGTTGAAATCTGTCTAACAAAACAGAGCCCTAGGTTCCCACCCTCCTCTAAGCAGCTGGATAAACTGCCCCTCTTACACCCTGGCAGAAGATTGAGCTTCATTTTTTCTAGAGTGAGGAAAAAGGTGGCCTCTGGACTGGGAATTTCCAGATACTTTTGAGAGTGTGGTTGTCATAGGGAAAATAAGTTGATAAAGTGAACTGTACAAGTAGGGTACTTTTAGAAATGTGTAGCCTCTTTTGCCATTTGGGAGGGAAGTCAGACCTGTACTCTCCAGGAGAAAGACTGAAGCATCTTTTGCATTGAATATGACCAGCTCTAGAAATATCAGTGTTAGGAGTTCACCTAGGAAACAGCCCAGTTAGAATATCATTCAGGGAAGCATAATCACTAAAACAATTCATGTACCCTGAGCTTCTAATCTGCCTTTTTTGTGCTGTACTTTTTTATATAAGGCAATTACTAAAGGCTACCAGACATGTGAGGAAAGCCTTAAATATGAAAGAGACCAAAGCAAAAAAAAGAAAGAAAGATAAAAAGGACAAAAGTCAATTTCAAAGAAACAGACCATGCAGGGAGAAAAACAAAACAGAATTTCAAAAACCATTGAGATTTTAGTATTTCTAGAGAGGTAAAAGAAGAAATGCTCCCATGAAGCAAGAATAAGACAATAAGAAAGAAAAGCAATGTACATACATGCAGGAACTCTCAGGTAACAGAAATGATCACTGGAAATTAAAAATTTGATTGGAGAAATGAAAAAGACAAAGAGAAAGGAAGTTTAGAGATAAAGATGAAGAAATTTTTTAGAAGATAAAATATAGTGATAAAGGAATAGAAAACTTGGGGGAGGGGAAAACAGGTGAACATTAGAGGTCTAATCCATGAAAGGTCCAATATCTAAATAAGAGGAGTTAATACACAGACGAAAAGGAGTAGAGGAAATCAAAGAAAGAACTAAAAAAAAAAAAATCCTAAAATTAAAGAACTTCATTTTTGAGATGGATAAAATGTAAGAATATGGGTTCAAAAAAAGCTTCTATAAACGTTGATAGAGAGACAAACAACCTAAAATAAACAACACACATAATGAACAGGTCATCTGTAAAGAACCAAGAATCATATTCATATCCTCTTCATACTCATGCTCACACCAATACCCACACAATAATTTCAAAAGTTAATAACCCCCCCTCTCCGAAATACAGAATTAAAGGTATAATTAAAATCAGAATTAAAGGTACAATTAGCATATACAAAGGAAAAAACTATAGGATAATATTTATCTCCATCTAGATGAAGAAGTATTATAACTTTCTAAACATGAAAAACATGAAAAATATTACAAAGGAAAATAAAATATTGTAAGTCAAAAACATTTTTGTTAAATAAATTTAAAGAAATACAAGTTAAATGACAAACTGGCAAAAAAAACTATTAACATATCTAACAAAAGGGTTTAATATGTAAAATATTCATGTAATTAATATGTAAAATGTTTATATAAGTAGGTAAGAAAACACCCTGGGACCCTATTAGAAAAAAACAGGCAAAGGATATGAACCAATACATAAGATGAAATCCAAAAGACTAATATTTATGAAAAAAATCAAAATCAACCTTAGTCGTTGTCCAAGAAATGTAAATTAAAACTTGATCTAACTTTTTAACTTACCAAAATTAGTAAAATATATATTTTTTCAAAGTAAATTTGATCAGTGTTCAGGATGTAAAATATATTTTTTCTTTAAAGTTTTGGCAACGTGTATTAAAGATCTTAAAATATTTAAATTCTATAATGTAATTTCATTTATAAGTATCTAATCTAAGAAATTTCATTCATTCAACCAATATTTTACGGGATGTACTGTTTTAGATACTGAAATACGGACTACATATTTAAGTAAAAGTGATTAGTAATAATCGTGCAAAAGTAAAAACAAAATAGCTGTCCAATAATACAGGATAAGTTTAATCACTTGTCTACACAGAGTAGAATTTTTTCAGTTATCAAATATATTATGCTTATAAATTATTTTAAATAAGTAGTAGATTTTCTAACTGAGAAAAAAATTTGATTAAACATAGCATTTAGATATTGACTGTCAGAAGAAACAAGGGCTGATGTCTGAGGCATTTTGTTAACAATCCCCCACTTGAAGTAATAGATTTGAAATACATATGCAGCAAGAAAGACAAACAGTTTGGGCAAGGGCTGCAGTGAAAGGGACTGTTAAACTTACTCAGCTTCACTTCTTAACTTGCCCAGTTTAACACCCCCCAACACACACACACAGCAAGAAGCTTAGGAGGCATTATTTCTAAAAGACCCGAAGAAAGACTTTCTAATTTCCAGAAATCCATTAATTTTAAGGGATCAAGTATTATTTTTTAATTATTCTGATAAGAAAATACTTTTCTTTGGTTGTCAGAACTGTCAAGTTTTCTTAGATGACGAATTCTGCCTTATTGTGATTACTGTGGGTAAGGGTAAAATGGAAGAGTATCAAGTGACAGTGTAATTATTCTCTACTGGTAGCTATGGTTCCAGTTGAAAGAAGCAAGTAGTCTCACAACAAAAGCAACCATTGAAGACTCATAGAGAAGTGACACATTTGGCTAGAACACTGAAGGATCTCTCCATCATTGTACCTGGCAAATTCTAAGCAGTTTTTTTTTTTTTTTTGGAGCGCAGTCACACTTACAAATTGTAGTATTTTCTTTTGATATGCAACATCTGAAGACTATATGTATAAGGAGACATTGCATCATTCTTCCTAGAATCCTTAGAAATGTAGAAAAGAAGTAACGCAGTTTATAAAACAGATACAAAGTGCTCAACCCAAAGCTTATTTTACTTGTATATTCAAAAAAATATATAGGTTTGTGTGATTTTCATAGTCAGCATTTTGTTACTTCTTGAGGGAAAGACCCTCAGCATGATATTTAAGTTTCTGATATTTAATTATCCTTCTAAATTGTCTCACTTTTCTCTTTTCTTTTCTTTAGAGCAAGTTTTCTAATAGAAAGAATGAAATATTTTATTTTATATTCCAAAAATATAAAGAATTTATAATAAAATCATTGTAGAATAATTTTTAAGATTAAAAAATTGGGATGAGATTGGGAGACTATCATATGATACAGGTAATCTTGTCACTTGTACATCCTCAGTGTCTCGCTTGAGTAGTGACAGCTTTAAGTAGGAGAGGAAGACAAGCTGGATTCTTGGGTTCTTCTATAAGGAAGATAAAGAGAACACACCCTGGGGTGTCTAGATGTCCTTGGGGCCTCATGGAAGACTATCATTGGATCCTCTGACAGGCACTGACCATATGTCTGGGAAAAGGGAGATGTAATAGTCAGTGGTGACTACGATAACACATTATTGCCCTTGATAGAAATAAAAGACATATAAAGGAGTAACTTAGTTTCAGGAGAAAGATCATCAATTTGTATTAAACCAGTTGACTTTCAGGGGCTCACTGGGCCATCTAAGTTGGAGAAGGAGAGCAGAAGCTTAGGAGAGAGTCAGTTATTGGAGAAAGTTATGACAATAAATAACATGTTTAAAGGGAAACAGCATGGTACTAACAGAAACCCTGAATATAAATAGGAAATTTTAAGAGAGAAAGAAAGTTAAGAGGGATAAAAATTGAACTTTGAGATGTCTGCATGTGTGTGGTAGAAGAGGAGGTAGAACCCAGAAGAAAGAAAAGAACCAGTGTTAAAAGAAGTATCAGTGCCCTGGAGGTTGTAGGAGTTTTAGGAGGAAGGGGGAGGTGTTCTGTGAACCAGTGATGTTCTGTGAACCAGATGTTCACAGAACCACTGGTTCTGTGAATCAGTGAAGTGTAACCCCTGGAGCAGAATTTGGGAGGCAGTTTGATGATTTATGGAGAACAATGTCAGTAGAAAGGTGGGGGCAGGACCTGGGGTTGGGTGGGAGAGAGAGAGAGAGGAGCCTGAGAGGAGGGAGAGAGGGAGTAAGGACAGTAGCTTAAATTAGGAAAGAGATTGATGACTGATGATTTAATAAAGAGAAAAATAACTGATTATTTAATTCAACATAGTCCTGGACCAAGTGGGAAATGTTGATTTAAGGAGTTCAAATGGAGAAATTAGCCCTAGAAAGCAGTGTTTTCTCCTGAGAGGACGGAGAACAGTGAGAAACATGGGGTGTAATCAATAGGTGACAGAGGGAAGTGTGTGCCAACTCATTTAATTAATAAAAATGTTTTGGGTGCCTACAATATATAAGAAAACCAATATTCTTGGAAAACACAATAGTGAACAAGACACAGATTATGTTCTCAATACTTTTATATGGAAGATAAGTCAAGGATAGACATAATTGTAGAGACTGAAAACACAAGCTATTGAGTTAGTTATAAATTTCTCTATACCTTGGTTTCTTCCTTCATAAAATTGGGATAATGATAGTACCAACTTCATAGATTAGTTGTGAGTTTTGAATAGGATACTATAAAGTGCTTAATAAGGGGTCTGTCTAAATGAAGTGCTAAATAAAAGTGACACTGTTCACATTATATAAGGTAGAAGTGATAAGTGGCAAGAGAACTACAGGATATGAAAGAAGATGTGCTGTTTTGTTGGGACAGTAAAGGAAGATGAACAGTCAAGTTCATCTACTTGGGAAGGAGTGGAACTTAAGAACTGACGAAGAAGGGAAAGTTTGGGAGAGAGAATGTGGGAGGGGAGAAACAGTTTGAAGTTGAATAATAGCATAAAGTCAAAACTCAGGAAGATGTCAAGACATCAGTAAAATAGGCACTCAGTTAAAAACTGCCCCTAGTTTAAAAAATCTGTTTCGAGCATCCCAATCTTTTTTGAGCTTCCCTTTCCTAGTGTCCTAACAGGACTATTTGACTAAATAGAGAAATCTAGCCCACGAACCTCCCTCAAGTTCTTATTTCCTTTTTTATCCAGGATAGATATAATGGTTCATTCTCCATTCAACCCATCAACAACCTTATCCCTTTCTCACTGAGGTATACTTGCCTGGAAAAATCCTAACCCTGATGGAACCTTACTATCTGCTTTCTTCATCTCTTTTGAATGGCCCTTCTCTATGGGGAAAATTCCTGTCATGCTAGATTGGTCCATGTAGGGCTGATACCAGTTGTGCGAGGGATAGGGGACACATACTGCAAAGTCACACGGTATGAGTTAAGGAAACACATCATCTTTATTCTTTGTTAGTTCCGTACCTTTCCTCTTTCTTTCCCTTAACTCTAATTTGCCTTTATCACTTGAATGTATAGTTTATTTTCAGTCGTTCTTTCTTTTCCTTTTAATACAATGAAATATGCCTCTTAGTTGTCTTTAACGCTTTTCCTCCTAAACCCTATTTTTAAATGAACATACAGAAATTTGTGAAAATCATCATACCTTGATGAGTTAACACAATGAGTTATTCTGATGGGTATGAAACCAGCACCCAGGTTCTGAACAGATTAACTTTACTCAAGAGATCCCCTCAAGCCCCCCTACACAACAACCCCTCTTTTCCCAAGGTAGCCACTACTCTGACTTCAAACATAGATTACTACACTTGATCTTAGCCAAAAGGCCAAGAAGCAATTCAAACATAGATTACTTTGCCTCCTTTTCATCTTTATATAAATGCAATTGTGTAATAGGTATTCTTCTGAGTCTTGATAATGTTACTCAATATTGATCTTTATAAAACTGCATTTTCATGTGGCTTTGGTTTATCTTCATTGCTATATGGTATTCTGTTGTGTGAATATACTGCAGTGTACTTATTCATTCTATTGCTGATGGACATTTGGGTTGTTTAAGTGTTTGGCTACCAGAAACAATGTTGTTATGAACATTACTGGATGTGACTTTCAGCTCACAACCATACACATTTCCTAGGCATGTGGAACAGTTGGATCACAGAACATATGTATGTTCAGTTTTAGAAGAAACTGTCCAAATAGTTTTCCAAAGTGATTATAGTGCTTCATATTCTCTGTAGTAGGGTATGAAAATTCCCACTGTTCCACATCCACACCTCCACTTGAATTATCAATCTTATAAAATTTTAGCCTCTCTTTGTAATATTATTATTCTATTCTGGTATTTAATTTCTGGATGCCTAATATTTTTTCCAAATATCAATTTTTAATCTCTGTGTATTCTTTCTTTTAGATTTTGTTCTAAACACTGAGGACATTCTCTGCTACATTTGGGTCGTACCCCCAGGTCTGAGTAATTCAATAGACTTAAGAAGACAGAGCCCAGCAGCAACCGAAACATAACAGAGTTGCAGGATCAGCTAACGTCAATGCCTGGGCAAAGCTGCTGCCCAGAGTGGAATCTCACTAGTGAATAAACAAGCCCAAGAAAGATTATCATCTCATTTGCAAAAAAAAAAGTACGCTGGTAGATCCTGCTACCTCATAGATAACACCAGTCAAATTTTTTTTTAAAGTAGCATTTTCCTACATTGTCAACTATCTAGAACATACCTAAAAACTAAGAGTTTACTGCTTATTAAATGGAAACTATGAAGTCTAAGGCCAACTGTGCCCAGAATCCAAATTGTAACATAATGATATTTCATCCAACCAAAGAAGAGTTTAATGATTTTGATAAATATATTGCTTACATGGAATCCCAAGGTGCACACAGAGCTGGCTTGGCTAAGATAATTCCACCCAAAGAATGGAAAGCCAGAGAGACCTATGATAATATCAGTGAAATCTTAATAGCCACTCCCCTCCAGCAGGTGGCCTCTGGGCGGGCAGGGGTGTTTACTCAATACCATAAAAAAAAGAAAGCCATGACTGTGGGGGAGTATCGCCATTTGGCAAACAGTAAAAAATATCAGACTCCACCACACCAGAATTTCGAAGATTTGGAGCGAAAATACTGGAAGAACCGCATCTATAATTCACCGATTTATGGTGCTGACATCAGTGGCTCCTTGTTTGATGAAAACACTAAACAATGGAATCTTGGGCACCTGGGAACAATTCAGGACCTGCTGGAAAAGGAATGTGGGGTTGTCATAGAAGGCGTCAATACACCCTACTTGTACTTTGGCATGTGGAAAACCACGTTTGCTTGGCATACAGAGGACATGGACCTTTACAGCATCAACTACCTGCACCTTGGGGAGCCCAAAACTTGGTATGTGGTGCCCCCAGAACATGGCCAGCGCCTGGAACGCCTGGCCAGGGAGCTCTTCCCAGGCAGTTCCCGGGGTTGTGGGGCCTTCCTGCGGCACAAGGTGGCCCTCATCTCGCCTACAGTTCTCAAGGAAAATGGGATTCCCTTCAATCGCATAACTCAGGAGGCTGGAGAGTTCATGGTGACCTTTCCCTATGGCTACCATGCTGGCTTCAACCATGGTTTCAACTGCGCAGAGGCCATCAATTTTGCCACTCCGCGATGGATTGATTATGGCAAAATGGCCTCCCAGTGTAGCTGTGGGGAGGCAAGGGTGACCTTTTCCATGGATGCCTTCGTGCGCATCCTGCAACCTGAACGCTATGACCTGTGGAAACGTGGGCAAGACCGGGCAGTTGTGGACCACATGGAGCCCAGGGTACCAGCCAGCCAAGAGCTGAGCACCCAGAAGGAAGTCCAGTTACCCAGGAGAGCAGCGCTGGGCCTGAGACAACTCCCTTCCCACTGGGCCCGGCATTCCCCTTGGCCTATGGCTGCCCGCAGTGGGACACGGTGCCACACCCTTGTGTGCTCTTCACTCCCACGCCGATCTGCAGTTAGTGGCACTGCTACGCAGCCCCGGGCTGCTGCTGTCCACAGCTCTAAGAAGCCCAGCTCAACTCCATCATCCACCCCTGGTCCATCTGCACAGATTATCCACCCGTCAAATGGCAGACGTGGTCGTGGTCGCCCTCCTCAGAAACTGAGAGCTCAGGAGCTGACCCTCCAGACTCCAGCCAAGAGGCCCCTCTTGGCGGGCACAACATGCACAGCTTCGGGCCCAGAACCTGAGCCCCTACCTGAGGATGGGGCTTTGATGGACAAGCCTGTACCACTGAGCCCAGGGCTCCAGCATCCTGTCAAGGCTTCTGGGTGCAGCTGGGCCCCTGTGCCCTAAGTCCACGGGCTGTCTTTATATCCCACTGCCCTGCTGTGTGACAGTTTGATGAAACTGGTTACATTTACATCCCAAAACTTTGGTTGAGTTTGCAGGACTCTAGGCATGCATGAAAGAGCCCCCCTGGTGATGCCCTTGGATGCTGCCAAGTCCATGGTAGTTTTCAATTTTGCCATACTTTTGTTCTTCCTACCGGACCCTGGAATGTCTTTGGATATTGCTAAAATCTATTTCTGCAGCTGAGGTTTTATCCACTGGACACATTTGTGTGTGAGAACTAGGTCTTGTTGAGGTTAGCGTAACCTGGTATATGCAACTACCATCCTCTGGGCCAACTGTGGAAGCTGCTGCACTTGTGAAGAATCCTGAGCTTTGATTCCTCTTCAGTCTACGCATTTCTCTCTTCCCCTCCCTCACCCCCTTTTTCTTATAAAACTAGGTTCTTTATACAGATAAGGTCAGTAGAGTTCCAGAATAAAAGATATGACTTTTCTGAGTTATTTATGTACTTAAAATATGTTGTCACAGTATTTGTTCCCAAATATATTAAAGGTAACCAAAATGTTAAAATCTGATTTTATTTCAAATATTGTGTTTTCAACCTGTGTGTGTATGTGTGTGTGTGTAGATTATTCTTTATGTACTTCATAATTATTTGAAAACATTTATGGCATTGTGTGGTGGTGAATGAGCTCAGGGGATGGTTGTCGCATTATGGCTGTCTGGCTGGGTAGGGGGGCTGGGTTGCAGTCATGCTTCGAGGATGGTGGATTTGTCTGTCCTTGCATTGCTGTAAAGAAATACCTGAAACTGGGTAATTTATAAATAAAACAGGTTTAATTGCCTTACAGTTTCACAGGCTATATGAGAAGCATGATGCCGGCATCTGCTCAGCTTCTGGGGAAGCCTCAGGAAACTTAGAATCATGGCAGAAGGTGGCCAGGCGCGGTGGCTCAGGCCTGTAATCCCAGCACTTTGGGAGGCCGAGGTGGGCAGATCACGAGGTCAGAAGATCGAGACCATACTGGCTAACATGGCGAAACCCCGTCTCTACTAAAAATACAAAAAAATTAGCCGGGTGTGGTGGCAGGCGCCTGTAGTCCCAGCTACTCAGGAGGCTGAGGCAGGAGAATGGCGTGAACCCGGGAGGCGGAGCTTGCAGTGAGCTGAGATGGCGCCACTGGACTCCAGCCTGGGCGACAGAGTGAGACTCTGTCTTAAAAAAAAAAAAATCATGGCAGAAGGCGAAGTGGAAGCAGGCACCTCATGTGGTTGGAGCAGGAGAAAGAGAGAGGGGGGTGGTGCCACACATTTTTAAATGACCAGGTCTCATGAGAACTCACTTACTATTGCAAGGACAGTACCAAGGAGGGATGATGGTAAACCATTCATGAGAAACCCAATCCCATGATCCAAGTACCTCCCACCAGGCCCCACCTCCAACACAAAGCTGGAGGCATCATAGTACTTTATTGCAAAATCTACTACAAATCTGTAGTATCAAAACAGCATGGCAGTGGCATAAAAACAGACACATAGACCAATGGAACAGCGTAATGAGCCAAGAAGTAAACCCATGCATTTATGGTCACTTGATCTTGTTAAAGGTGCCAAGAACACACAGTGGGGAAAGGACAATCTCTTCAGTGAATGGTTCTGGGAAAACTGGATAATCCACATGGGGAAGAATGAAATTAAATCCTCATCTCACACCATATACAGATATCAACTCTAAATAGTTGAAAGAGTTAAAACATAATACCAGAAACTGTAAAACTACTAGAAGAAAACGGGGAAAACTTCCTTTTTTTGGTGTGGTACAGATTTTTAATTTGATTTATTTATATTTTTAAATTTTTTATTTCCATAGGTAATTGGGAAATAGGTGGTGTTTGGTTACATGAGTTTTTTAGTGGTGATTTGTGAGATTTTGGTGCACCCATCACTCAAGCAGTATACACTGCACCCAATTTTTAGTCTTTTATCCCTCACCCCCTTCCCACCCTTTGCCCTTGAGTCCCCAACATCCATTGTGTCATTCTTATGCCTTTGCATCCTCATAGCTTAGCTCTCACTTATGAGTGAGAACATCTGATGTTTGGTTTCCCATTCCTGAGTTACTTCACTTAGAATAATAGTCTCTAATCCCATCCAGGTTGTTGTGAATGCTGTTAACTCATTCCTTTTTATGGGTGAGTAGTATTCCATTGTGTGTGTGTATATATATATATATATATATATATATACACACACACAATGTATATATATATATATACCACAGTTTGTTTATCCACTCATTGATTGATGGGCATTTGCATTGGTTCCACATTTTTGCAATTGCAATTTGTGCTGCTATAAATGTGCACATGTAAGACCTGAATAGATGTTTGTCCAAAGGAAACATTAAAATAGCCAACAAGTATATTAAAAGGTGCTCAGCATCATTAACCAGGGAAATGCACATCAAACCACTTTGAGATACCCCTTCACACCTGTTAGGTTGGCTATTATCAAAAAGTCAAAAAAGACAGCAAATGTTGACAATGGTATGGAGAAGAGGGAACTCTTATACACTGTTGATGGGAATATAGATTAGTACAGCCATTACAGAAAACAGTATGAAGGTTTCCAAAAGAAATTAAAAAGAAACCTATCATACAACTCATGAATCCCTCTCCTGGGCATATACCCAAAGGAAATGAAATCCTCACCTTGTAAAGATATCTGCATTTCTATGTTCATTGCGGCACTCTTCACAGTAGCCAAGATACGGAAACAGCCTGGCTGTTGACTGATGAATGGATAAAGTTTTTTCTTTTTAAGATGGAGTCTCGCTCTGTCACCCTGGCTGGAGTGCAGTGTCACCATCTCAGCTCACTGCAAGCTCTACTTCCCATGCTCAAGGGATCCTCCAGCCTCAGCCTCCTGAGTAGCTGGGATTATAGGCCTGCGCCACCACGCCCAGCTAATTTTTCTATTTTTAGTAGAGATGGGGTTTCACCATGTGGGCCAGGCTGGTCTTGAACTTCTGACCTCAAGTGATTGGCCCGCCTCGGCCTACCAAAGTGCTGGGGTTACAGGTGTGAGCCACCATGCTCAGCCAATAAATCCTGATACATAGACACTATGGAATATTTTTCAGTGCTAAAAATGAATAAAATCTTGCCATTTGCCACAATGTGGATGAGCCTGGAGGATGTTATGCTAAGTGACATAAGCCAGACACAGAAAGAAAAATATTGCATGATCTCATTTGTGGAATGTTAAAAAAAAAAAAGAAAAATTCAAATATACGGGGATAGAGAATAAAATAGTGGTCACCAATAGCAGGAGTGTGGGATGGAGGAAAAATGAGGAAATGATCAGAGGATAAAAGGTAACATATATAGGATGAACAAGTTGAGAGATTTCATGTATCACATGAAGACTATAGATAATAAAATTGTCCTGCCAGATGTGGTTGCAGAGGCCTGTAATCCCAGTGCTTTGGGAGGTCAAGGCAGAAGGATTGTTTGAGCACAGGAGTTCAAGACCTGCTTGGGTAACATAATGAGATCCCCTCTCTGCAAAATAAATAAATAAATAGTGCTAGATTCATGCTAAATGAGTAGATTTCAACTACTCTAGCCACAAAAACACAAAACAATGAAACAATGGGCATGTGAGATGATGGATATGTTGATTTCCTTCACTGTAGTAACCTTTTTATTGCCTATATATGTTCTGTAAAAGCATGTTTTATATCTTAAATATAAATAAAAAATTTTAATAAATAGAACTACCAGCAATCCCACTACCAGGTGTTAAAAGGAAAAAGCCTTAGACTTTTACGTTTAACATAGTTTATTTGAACAAAGCAAAAAACAACCCTTGAGTCAGGCAGTCCCCAGAGCCAAAACAGGTTCAGGGTACTCCGGCCAACAAGGTGATCTGGCAGCATTTATAAAAAATGTTAGTGAGGTCTAGGGACAATTTAATTGGTCACAGCTTCATTGGTTTATTGGTTACAGAACCTCCTACAATTAATTGAAATACAGCTACTATGATTAAACTCTATATTGGTTTGGACTGTTGAGCTGAATGCAGGAGCTGAGTCTAAATCAATGGCCTTTTACAATTTTGCTTAACAATTTCCCTCTTTTGGTCATGCTCTTAGCAACTGAAGTGTGACCAAAATTAGGGGAATTGGTGCTACTCTCAGTCACCATTGTCTTGGGTTTCTGGTCTCAACATGTCATTCATAGGTTATGGTGTCCGCATAATCATACATTTATTTAAGTTTTTGTCATTTCAGGCTGAAGGGAAACCATTTAGCATTCATCAGATGGCTGAGTGTAGACAATTGAGACTTTTTGAGAAAATGCAGTTCGTGAGGGAGACTATTGTGACTTTTAGGAGAATAATACCAAAAATTTGAAGTATGTTCCTTAGCCAGGGTCCTCATCAACCAAGCCAATCAAAATTGATTACCCAAAGAATGAGCCAGATTAGTCTATTCATTTTAGCCTAATAGCCTGTTCATTAATATTTTTGGTAACTGAGTCCCTACAATGCTCAAAGTATTTGTTCACAAGCAACAAAAAGTATTAGCAACTAGACAAACTCCTCCTTGTTCAGCTAGTATGTATTCTAGCATCCCATGAATTGGTTAAATTAAAACAGAGTGAGACCAAGTGAGTCTAGAAGTCTGATTACAGTATTGTCCTACTAAGGAAAAGAGGTAGCCATAATGAAGAAAAAATTAAGAAAAGTAAGAGTCTTGTTATGATTAGTCTTGTTCTTGCATTTTGGGAAAGGCTGTTCACATCTAAGATGCTGTCTACTTCTGGGGAAGCTTGTCCCTAGTCAGCTTTACCTTAAAGTCTCCAACAAGTATACAGTTCAAGAAGTCTGGAAGGATTCTCCTGAGTTATGAAATGAAGACCAAAGGCTTGAGGCAACAAACATCCACAGTAGTGTGGGATGAGGTTTTTGCATGACAAGACTTGAAATGTCCATAAATAAAGATCTGATGAGAGTTCATTACAATAATGATGCAATTGACAAGGAAATTCCATTATTTCTGTTGTATACAACATCTTAAGATAATAACTACAATTATGACTGACAGCATCCAGGATGATCAGATTTATATAAATTTTATACTATTTCTGAAATACATATGAATAACATCCATACAAATATAACTCAAAGAAGGTCTAGCATCACTTACTATTTGAAAATGCTTTCCATAAAGTTTAATATATCAAATAATCCTAATTAGTTTAATATATCTCTTTCAGATATTTCAGGGGCCCTTCTGGAATGCAACAAAGTCAATTCAAAGTCAAAAAACTTACAATTTAAAATTTAATTTTGGGAAGTTTTTCAAAAATCTCAAAATTTAAAACACTTGATAAAAATGAAGACACAGGCCACTGTGAATAATAGTCATTCTTTTAACAAAAATTACAAAATATTTCAAAGACAAATACAGAAAGCTACACAGTCACAGAAAAATCTCAGCTCTGTTAAGAGAAAACTGTTTTCTTAAGTGACTGAAAACCAAATAACATGAATCAGAAGAAATTATCTTGGTAAACATAGAATCTTTGTTTACCTAGGCCAGTTTCCTAAAATGTAAATGAAACTTCTCACGATTTTTTATTCAGAGCAGATCAATATGCTGACAAAAACTTTAACACAGGAACCAAATTCCAGTTTTTCATTCATGTACTTTTGATATTAATGCTCAATTATTAGAAAAACTTATAAATAATTCCCTTCTAATTGTAGCCAGCTTGATTACTTATAAAATTCCTTTCACAAGATTCATCTTCTGCAGGCTTCTTATGCATTCGACTTTATCTCTATCTTTCCTTCCTTCCTTTATTCATTCTGAAACAAGCTTTAAACAACTTCCAAACTAGACATAATTACTCTTTTCCTGGACAAGAACACATCTTTTATGACTTACAGCTTCACTTACATGTCTTACTTTCTTCAGATAAGGCATGATTATTTCTAGTTCTAATTACCATATGTTAGTTTTTGTTTGTTTGTTTGTTTGTTTGTTTGTTTGTTTTTTTGAGACAGAATCTCACTCTGTCACCCGGGCTGGAGTGCAGTGGCACGGTTTTGGCTCACTGCAACCTCCGCCTCCTGAGTTCAAGCAATTCTCCTGCCTCAGCCTCCCAAGTAGCTGGGATTACAGGCATGCACCACCATGCCCAGCTAATTTTTTTTTTTATTATTCTTAGTAGAGACAGGGTTTCACCATGTTGGCCAGGCTGGTCTTGAACTCCTGACATCAAGTGTTCCACCTGCCTTGGCCTCCCAATGTTAATTAGAATTTTAACTCTTAGTAACTTTAGTTTCTAGTGAAAACTTAGGGAGTAAGCATTCTCCTTTTTCCTTTCCTTTCCTTTCCTTCTTTCTTTTTTTTGTCTTGCTCTGTCACCCAGGCTAGAGTGCAGTGACCCAATCATAGTTCACTGAAGCCTCAACCTCCTGGGCTCAAGTGATCCTCCCACCTCAGCCTACTGAGTAGCTGGGACTACTCCCATCACACCCAGCTAATTTTTTACATTTGTAGAGATGGAGTCTCGCTATGTAGCAATCCTCCTGCGTCTGCCTCCCCAAATTCAGGGATTACAGGCATGAGCCATCATGTCCAGCCAGAGTGAGCAATTTTGAACTGTTTTATATCAGCATTTTGTAGATGAAGCCCATTTCATAATTTTAGAAAAATGTTTCCTCATAATACAATCCCTTTTATGTTTATTAATGCCCAGATACACCTAGCTTCTTTACATCATATAAAAAGATGTATCACTAGCAGAATTTATCTATTTTCAAACATTAACCTGTGATACTAGCACTATGTCTAATAAATGACATAGTGTCATAGCACTATGTCTAATAAATGACACTATGACAGATAAATGACAACAAAAATGGCTGACATGAGTTCAATTCAACCATTCATCTATTTGCAGATACTAACACAGAACACAGGGAGTGAATAATACTTTTTCTTCATAGCACTTAAAAAATGATTAATTTTCTGACTTATACTGCGTACATGTGTACATCTAGTTCTTCTGTGACACTGCATGATGGAAGAAACTACATCTACCTTGTTTGCCATTACTTCCCTGGCCCTGGTAGGATGTTACACATACTAAATGGTCAAATATCAGTTAAATAAATGAATATGGCCATGCATTGATTATCAGCCTCAACCAGCTCATCATTTCATTACTCAGTGTTTTCCAACTAGTTAAGACACATTCCATATTTTCTGAATGAAAGCAGTGAACGGTTATTTTCTCTTCATTACAATTTCTAGTAGCCTACCCCAATCATTAAAGCTAATTGAGAAATTCCCCACTAGTCAGTATCACATTTATCCTCTCTTCATCGGAGACCCTTCTTCCAAAACACAAAATCAGAATGGTTGAGCAGCATATTTCAGCATTTTAATTTACTTTAAAAGGGCTCAGAAACCATGTCAAGTTCATCCACAAACTTCCATCCCATTTATACTCCTCCTAATTTACTCATTCTAAACAATTATGCTTAAATTGCTCATTAAACAAAGCCAGCATTGAAGAAATTTAGGTAATGCTACCCTAAAAATATATTGCTTTATTATAGTGATTATTTTGAGCTGCAGGAACTTGAAAAACACAAGATGCAAGGCTCTCTGAGGGTCCCTCCATCTGCCTTAAGATAGCTTTTACAAAAGAAACTCAATTGTCATTAATCCTCTGAAAATTAACTCATTGCGGGAAAGGAGACTTCACCACACCCAGACAGACCTTGTTACAAACCATCATCTATCCTTCTAAGGGTCTATTCATCTTTCTCAAAATCTATTTATCTGAGGATATTTTCTTCAACCCCTGAGCGTTTTATTCATTTCAGCAAAAGACTTTAGTCAAAGGGTCCTTGTAATTTCCTTGACTGATGAGCCTAATTATTGTTGGTTAGGTTGTCATTGCATCAGATTTCAGGCCTAAACACCATTACCTCTTGAGAAAAAGAAAAGCATATAGGAAGCCTAGTTAGGACAAAATGGTCAAAGGTGAGACTCCTTACACAGACCTAAGTCTTTGACTTCTCCATTCTAAAAAGCTTCCAGTGATTTAATCGTCCTTCTCCTTCAGGTGCAGAGAAGGAGACTCCCTTACAAATGGAGATATACTTTTTAAATTTTTCTTACAACCAAGAAAGAGTTTGGAGGTGCAGAGCAAAGATCATTACAACACAGATCGTTGGCAGTGCATATAGTCAGCAGGGGACTGAGAAGAGAGATTTTAGTTGACTAAGAGGTTCCCATGGGAGAAGCAGGATCAACTAGAGAAAAGGTTCCTATGGGAGAAGCGGGAGCAAATAGAGAAGTAAAAGCAGAGAGGACTAATTAAATAAGTTGATTATTGCCCCAGCAGCAAAATCTTTAGGAGTTTCCTTTAGAGGGGAAATTTAGAGGGGAAATCCAGGCCAAAATGAGTGGATAAAGTAGACACTTTCTTTTCCAGTGGCATGACTGTTTACAATAAAGTCACACATACCAGGGCACAGGGATTTTTTAGTTTAGAAATCCTTGGTTTTGGTTCAAAATATGTACAAGAACCCTCTTGGACACTGTAGCTATTGAAGCTGTAAAAACATGCACCTGTTTGCCTTTTGTAAGGAGGCAACTTTTGATACATTTAATCTTTTAGATGCCAATGAAATAAATAAAAATGCCCAATAGTTTGCAAATCTTTTCTCCCATTCTGTAGGATTAATTTCAAAAGATACAGAAAAGCACTCAATTAAATTCAACAGGGTGTCTCTTCAGTTTGTTAATTGTTTCCTTTCCTATGCAGGAGCTTTTTAATTTGATATAACCTCATTTGTCTACTTTTGCTTTAGTTGCTTGTGCTTTTAAGATCTTACTCAGGAAATTTTTGCCCAGACCAATGTTCCAAAGTATTTCTCCAATTTTTTTCTAGTAGTTTTATAGTTTCAGGTCACACATTTAAGTCTTTAATCCATTTTGATTTGATTTTTGTGTATGGTGAGAGATGGGGCATAATTTCAATCTTCCACTTTTGGATATCCAGTTTTCCCAGCACCATTTATTGAAGAGTGTGTTCTTTCTCCAATGCACATTCTTATTGCCTTTGTTGAAAATGAGCTGGCTGTAAGTGCATAAATTTATTTCTGCATTCTCTATTGTGTTCTATTCGTTTGTATGTCTGTTTTTATACCAGTACCATGCTGTTTTGGTTACTATCCCTTTGTAGTATATTTTGAAGTCAAGAAATGTGATGCCTCCAGCTTTGTTCTTTTTGCTCAGAATTGCTTTGACTATTGGGTGTCTTTTGTGGCTCCATATAAATTTTAGGATTTTTTTTCTATTTCTCTGAAGAATATCACTGGTATTTTGAAAGGGATTGCAGTAAAGCTGTAGATCCCTTTGGGTAGCATGGACATTTTAGTAATATTAATTATTCTAATCCATGAACATGAAATATCTTTCCATTTTTTGTGTCCTGTATTTTTTTATCAGTGTTTTATAGTTTTAATTGTAGCGATCTGTCACTTCTTTGGTTAAATTTATCCCTAGGTATTTTATTTTATTTTTTGCAGCTATTGTAAATGGAACTGTTTTCTTGATTTCTTTTTCAGATTGTTTGCAGTTAGCGTATAGAAATGCTACTGATTTTTGCACGTTGATTTTGTATCCTGGAACTTTATTGAATTCATTTGTCAATTCAAACAGTTTTTTGGTGGTCTTTAGTTTCTTCTAAATAAAAGAGTATATAATCTGGAAACAAGGACTATTTGACTTCTTCCTCTCCAATACAAATGCCCTTTATTTCTTATTCTTGTCTAATAGCTGTAACTAGGATTTCTAGTACTATAAAGAATAAAAGTGGTGGAAGTGGGCATCCTTGTCTTGTTCCAGATCTTAGAGAAAAGGCTTTTAGCTTTTTCCCATTAAGTATGATGCTATCTGTGGCTTTGTCATATATGGCCTTGGGATGTTGAATTTTATTTAATGCTTTTTCTGTACCTTTTGAAATTAACCTTTGCTTTTCTAATGTGCCTCAAAATTGAAAAACTTTATCTGAATTAAAACTTCCCCACTGTGGCCACAGTAACCCTAACTTACCTTTGGTAAGGTTCATCCATTTATCTATAAAAGCATTCTTGTACTGTATATAAAATTAACTGGAGTTACAGATGGAGGAATTCTTGACTTTTTAGATTCATATGAACTCATGATTCCTGGTCTGCTAGGACAGAGAGTTCTAGACTCCTTAATCCAAATGAACTCCCTATCTTGTAGTCCAGTTTCTGTCTGATCTAGACACTGCAAACCCCAAAGGTTATATGCCTTCTTACAGCACAAGATAATCCTTGGTACCCAGCTCAAGTTCACGTGCTCTCTCATAGCACAAATTAACCTCGGATTTGGGCTCAAGGCAAAAAGAAAGATCCTTTATTCATGATTCTAGAATCAACTTCCAAATCTAGTCCAGATCAAAACTTTGCTCAAAGATAGCTCAAAGCACAAATCTGTGGAGCTTTGGAATCCAAGAGAGAACTTACTCATGAGCCCCAGATGCAGCAAGGAAAAAATAAGCACAGTGCAGGTAACTATACCTGGTTACCCAGTGCCCCTGGCAATCACTGGAGTTCTGCTTCAGATCCCGCTGACCACGCCAATCTGTTAAAAGAAAAAAAACCCTTAGACTTAAATTTACCGGAGTTTATTTGAGTAAAACAAAATAAAACAATACAAAAAACAATTCTCAAATTGGACAGCCCCCAAAACCAAAACAGGTTCAGAGGACTCTGGCCAAAAAAGTGATCTGGCAGCATTTAAACAGAAGTGAGGTATAGAGACAACTTAATTAGTTATAACTTAGTTGGTTAATTGGTTACAGAACCTTCTGTGATTAACTGAAGCTCAGCTATCATGATAAAACTCTATATTGGTTTGGTCTGTTGAGTCTTGTGCAGGAGCCCAGTCCAAATCCTCTTAGAATTTTATTTGACAGGTATATATCCAAAGGAAATGAAAGCAGCACGTTGAAGAGATAACGGCACACCTATGTTCATTTTCATTGCAGCATTTTTCACAATAGCCAAGATATGGTGTCAACCTGTGTCTCTCAGTGGATGAATGAATGGATAAAGAAACTGTGGCATATGTATAAAATAGAATTCTATTCAGCCTTAAAAAGATTGAAATCCTGTCATTTGCAACAACATCAATGAACCTGAAAGACATTATGCTAAGTTAAATAAGTCACACAGGAGAACAAATACTGCGTGAACTCATTTATATGTGGGAGCAAAGAGTCAAACTCATAGAAGCAGAGAGTTTAATAGTAGTTATCAGAAGCTGAAGGGTGGGAACATTGAGGAGATGTTCGTCAATGGGTACAAAATTTTAGTTTGAGAGGAGCAGGTTCTGGAGATTTATTATACAGCATGGTGACTATAGTTAATCATAATGTATTGTGCACTTTACAATTGCTAAGAGGGTAGATTTGTGCTCTCACTATAAAAGATATGTGAGATAATGCATATGTTAATTAGCTTTATTGACTTATTCCACAGTGTATACACATATCAAACTGTCATGTTGCACACCATCAATATACACAATTTTTATATGTCATTTGAAGAAAACAATTTAAAAAGGAGCAGGGTATTATTCTCCCTATTATTTAGGGTATAGCATTTATATAATTTATTTGGAATTCTGCTACAAGATAGATTTGTCTCTTTTCTTCAATTTGTCAATTTATTCAATCATTTATATCAGTATGAACTCATAGATATTTATTTTGTACTTTTGATTATAATTCAAGATGACTTTTTTTTTTTTTTTTGCTAAGTTTCTTCAAGCTTTGGCCATTGGGAGCTGTTTCTGTTCATTCCTGTGCCCCGTTGCCGTACCCCCATCAAGGTTTTTGTTTGCTTGTATTTAAAACATCCTTGTTTTCAAGCACTTCAAGATATCCCAGACTTGTCCAGTACATTTCCTTTCCTCGGTCTAGAAATTTCTTTTTCTCCATCAGTATTGCCAATTCTTTATTTTATTTTTCTTTAAAGGCATCAGATTTCAGTACCTTAATCATCTCTTTTTTTGTGTATCTTTGTTTTCTCTTTTGTTTATCATTCTGTCATTATTTTAATCTTTCATTTTTATTGCCTAATTCTGTTTTTTTTGGTTTTGGTTTTTACTAACTGCTGAGTTGAGCATCGAGATGAATAGACTTTTACAAACACGGATATTAATTTTGAAATAAATATGGTTGGGTTCAACTCCTTTTTGCTGACTTTAAATTATATTTAATTGTGGTCAAGATTGTGCTCAATATACTGATTGTATGGAATTTTAATTGATATTTATTTTGTACCCCGAATTGCTAAATTTTTGTAAATGTTTTATATCTGTTGTAAAGCATTTCTCTTTGCTTTATGGTGGTGGTGAGTCATATGATCAAAGTTGTTAAGTTTGTTCAAACTCTTATAGCATTATTAATTTTCTTCTCTCCTTTGTCACTTTCAGAGAGAATGGTGTTAAAGAAAAATCAAAACTCCTGCCATAATTGCAGAATCATCAGTTTTACCTTGTAATTCTCAGGATTCACTTTCTATGACTCAATGCCATATGGTTAGGTGTATGATGTTCATCACTGTAATATGTTTCTAGTGAAGTTTTCTTTTTGATAGTTATAAAATGTGCCACTTTGATCCTATAAATACATTGCTATCCCAGGTTTCTTTTTTTAATATTTGTCCTGTTGTGCCTTTTTCAACCTCTTAATTTTCAGCCTCTTAGTTAACTCTGTTTTAAAATTGCTTTTTAAAAAAGGACCTTTATAAGTCAAATCAGGAAACTAGCCCTTGGGTGAAGGACATCAGTTTCGTGACCCTGCTATGGATCGATTACAGCAAAGTGGCCTCCAGTGTGGCTGCCAGGGGACGAGGGTGACTTTTTCCCATGGACGTCTTTGTGCACATCCTGTAAACCGAGCCCTATGAGCTGCGGAAACACAGGCAAGACCAGGCAATTGTGGACCACATGGAGCCCAGGGCACTAGACAGCCAGCAGCTGAGCACCTAGAGGGAGGCCCAGTTGACCAGGAGAGCCGTGTTAGGCCTGAGGCATCTCCCTCTTCACTGAGCTCAAAGCCCCAGTTTGCCTGTGGCCGTGGGTGCCGTTATGTGCTCTCCACGCCTCCGTCCTTCAGTGGCCCTAGGGGCTGCTTCCCATAGCGAGGTCACCATGACCTGCAGCTCCCAGAAGCCTGGCTGGATCCCATTGCTGACCCTCATTCTGTCCACCCCAGATCTTCATCCCCAAACTGGCAGACATGGTCGTGGTCATAGTCGTTGTGCTCTGGAACTGGGGGCTCAGGAGCCGACCATTCTGGCTTAGGCCAGGAGGCCCCTCTTGGTGGGCACAGTGCACTTAGTTCTGGGCCCTGAGCCTCATCCGCTGTATACAGATGAAGCTTTGATGGACAAAGTTGCACCTTTGAACTTGGGGCTTCAGCATCTTGCCAAGGCTTCTGGGTGCTGCTGTGCCCCTGATCATCAACCCTTGGGGTCCCCACTGAATCATGATGAACCCATGCACCCTGGCCCCTATGCCTGCTAACCCAGGGTAGCACCACTCAGAATCTCTCTGACATTGTTCCCCTGACTCCTCCCAATGTCATTGTGTCTTTGAATAAGTTCTGCAGGGATGCTGCTCCAGATTGCACAGCCCCTGTGAATCTGGATGAGACTGAAGCAATGGACCACTCATGCCTCTAGGATCCTGGCCCCTACTGAGGTTGCCAGAATCTCCTAAGCCCCTGACTCATCTCCTGGTGCTAAAGGTAGACAGAGCTGCACCTCAGAATTTGGAGATATTTGCCTTCAATGCAAGATCTCAATCATCTGAACCCATGACTGTTGAATATGTTGCCAAATGTGGCTGCCCCTCTGACCTCAACTACAGAAGCCACAGAAGGCTCCCAGCCAAGCACAGTTCGGGTCTGGACCTGTGTATTAGATTCTTCGACCTTCAAGAACTGACACATTTTCAAGGTTACCAAATGCTGCCTCCTGTTTGTTAAATTTGACACTCCTAGTGTGTATCTGACATGTAAAAAAAGGAAAATCCTGAAAACATATTTTAAAATCACAATTATAAAAGAGATATATCTAAAACTAAGTGATTCAGAAAAATTGAAAACTAAAAGAATGGGGGAAACTGTACCAAGGAAAATGCAAAAGCAAAAGGAAACAGAGGTGGTAGATCTTAATATCAAACAAATGTAGACCAAAGGGACATAGAAGGACTCTTTATAATACTAAAGGCTAAATTTCACAATGAAAATACAGCCTTTATAAATAGCCATGCAACTTTTTCTTCCATTAAACTTTTAATTATTTTTGTTTTGGTATAGTATACATGTATAAATTACAATTTTCACCATTTTAAGTGTATAGTTTAGCTGCTTTAAGGACATTCCCATCGTTGTACAACCATCAACACCTTCTATCTCCAGAACGTTTTCATCATCACAGACTAGTACTCTACCCATTAAACAGTAACACCTCATTATAGCCTGCCCTGGCTGCTGGTATCCCTTGTTTTATTTCTCTAATAATTTCAGTATTTTAGGTACCTCATGTAAGTGCAATGATACAATATTTGTCCTTTCATGTCTAGCTTATTTGACTTAGCATGATGTCCTCCAGGTTCAACTACGTTGCAGCATGTGTCAGATTTCCTTCCTTTTCAAGGCTGAATAATATTCCACTGTAGGTATATACCACATTTTGTTGATCAGTTCTTCCACTGATGAACACTTATGTGGTTTCCACCTTTTGGCTCTGTGCATGGTGCTGTTATGAACACTGGTGTAAACATATCTTCATGTGTCCCTGGTAAAACCATTTAATCACCTTTTAGAGTAGGTTACACATTCTTCATTGAACATCATTAATACCCCTGTGCGTCTGCCTTGATTGGAGATCTGATTAAATACCTGCAGTAAATCAGTTTTTAATGTCATCTGAAATTCAAAAATTGTAATTAAATTTAATTAAAATTTTAGATTAAAACTTGTGTCACTTCTCCTGAATTTTAAGAGACTACTGACAGCTGCATACCAAATATATGCACACCAGCATCTATTACTATTTCAGGGAATTCATGGATCTCTCAGTTCTATCCTAAGTCCCAGGTTTAGGAGTCTAAAGTTTCTCTCAGTATCCCCTTATCACGGATGTCTCCTTGGCTTTGAAACAGCGTTTTCAGTCTTCACATAATCTGCAGAGTTTGGGGAGAGTTGTGCTCCATATCTTTTTATTCCTGCTGGCAGTAACTCACTATGGGCACAACATGGCTCTGTGGGAAGCTGGGCATGGTGACCAGGTGGCTGTGTGAAGCCAGGAAGCTCTTGCCAAACTCACAGCCAGCACTGTACATGCACTGAAGCTCACGGGATCCCTTTACCTGGCACAGGACGGGCAGTGCAAAGCTTGTGTGCTTCTGTCAGAGTGAGCGTGGGTGGGTAGTGGGCACTGCTTCTAGTGGGCTTCCTTCTTCATGGCCTTCTGGTCTCAGAGGCTGCCAAAGTCCTGACTGAATCCACATAGGGTGAGCGCTTGCACAGAGAATCCAGAGGCGGGTGTCCAAGGCCCCTGTGCTGGGCTCGAGCAGTGCTTGGGAGACGGTTACCCACGGAGCTTTCCGTGCTGGGCTTGTCTTTCTAGGGGGAAAACAGGAGGGGCGGGCATGGGCTGCAGGGTCCAAAGTGGAATTTACCACAGTTGGAAAAGAAAGTTCTGGTAAAGTATTATTTCTTTTCTCTTTTATGGTATAGGGCTCTCCTTTTTATGGTACAGATTTAGGCCAGAAATTTGAGATCCAGCCTAGAACCCATGTGAGTTTCATTAAGTATAAATTGCAGTTTCTATAAGACAAGTTTGAGTAGTACTTTTAAAACAGAAGAATTTAAGTAACTTTACTGTACTGAAGACAGAAAAAAAGGACAAATGTAGGGATATAGAAAACAAACAACATTAACCATAAGGTAGAATTATGTACCCAGTAATAGAGAATATCCCCTTATTTTCAAGTACCAATGGATAATTCACAACATTTGACAATATATTAGGGTTAAAAGAAAACATGAATAACTTATAATTTCAAAAGAATAAGAAAATATATATATTTTTTGAGACAGGATCTCGTTCTGTCACCCAGGCTGGAGTGCAGTGGTACAATCTCAGCTCACTGCAACTTCTGCCTCCCAGTTCAAGCAATTCTCCTGCCTCAGGCTCCCGAGTGAGTAGCTGGGATTACAGGCATGTGCCACCACGCCCAGCTAATTTTTTGTAGTTTTAGAACAAACAGGGTTTCACCATGTTGGCCAGGCTGGTCTCGAACTCCTGACTTCAGGTGAACTGCCCATCTCGGCCTCCCAAAATGCTGGGACTACAGGTGCGTGCCACTATGCCCAGCTAATTTTTGTATTTTTAGCAGAGATGGAATTTCGCCATTTGCCCAGGCTGGTCTCGAACTCCTGACCTCAGGTGATCTGCCTGTCTTGAACCCCCAGAGTGCTGGGATTACAGGCATGAGCCACCGCACCTGGCCAAACATTCTTTTTAGAAAAAAAAACAAAACTTTCATTTTAGGTTCAAGGGTACATGTGCAGCTTTTTTATATAGGTAAACTCATGTTATGGGGGTTTGTTGTACAGATTATTTAAACACCTAGGTACTAAGCTTAGTACTATATATATGTGTGTGTATATATATGTGTGTATATATATGTGTATATATATGTGTATATATATGTGTATATGTATGTGTATATATATGTGTATATATATGTGTATATATGTGTGTATATATATGTGTATATATATGTGTATATGTGTGTATGTATGTGTGTGTATATATGTGTGTATATATATATATGTGTGTGTGTGTGTGTGTATATATATATATATATATATATATATATATATATATTTGCTCCTCTCCCTCTTCCTACACCCTCCACCCTCAAGTAGACCCCAGGGTCTGTTGTTCCCTTCTTTGTGTCTATGAGTTCTCATAATTTAGCTCCCACTTATAAGTGAGAACATGCAGTATAATTACCATGAAATAAAACTAGAAATTGATTCAAAAACTCTGAAAATATAAAGATGCACTTTCCCTGAAAGTTTAAAATTCTCTGTTGAGCAAGTTTAGATAAGAGGGAAACATAAGCCAAAATAGCCAAACTCCACTGGCGTTTCGAAGCTATAGGTCTATTTGACATTGTTAATTCATTGACTCAGCCCAATAAACAAGTCCCCAGTAAGTGAACAAGACAGTTTCAATCAGGAATGTGTGCTGTGCAGAAACTTAAAGCAGGACTGGATGACAGAGCAGAATAGGGAGGGGCTGATGGAATTGCAGGTCCTGGAAGTCTTCACCAAACAAGAAACCTTTTTGGGATCAAACTGACAAAATTGGGAGGTCCAGGGTAGAGTTTCCCACCTTCAGGGAACAGCAAGTGCAACAGACCTACCATGGAACTTAGTGATTTTGTTTTTCCAGGAATACAAAGAAGCTCATTTGTGCCTGGGGCATAGACAGGGGCATAGACAGAAAGAGGGAGAGAGGGAGAGAGACAGGGGGCAAAGCATGTAGGGCCCTGAGTCTCATGTGAAGTACATTATTTGGTGTGTGTTCAACTTGAAATGAGAAGGCACTGGAAGTTTTAAACAGCAGTTGACGAAATGTGATTTATACATTTAAATAATCAGCTTGGTTGCTCTGTGGAGAGTGTGTAAGCAGAAGAAGCAGTTACACCATCTAAATAACACAAGTGAGAGTGACAGTTGCTTAGATTTATGTTAACATTGAAAATGCACAGCAGTGGCCAGGCGCAGTGGCTCATGCCTGTAATCCCAGCACTTTGGGAGGCTAAGGTGGGCAGATAACTTGAGGTCAGGAGTTTGAGACCAGCCTGATCAACATGGTGAAACCCTATCTCCACTAAAAATACAAAAATTAGCTGGGCATTGTGGTGCACGCTTGTAGTCCCAGCTACTTGGGAGGCTGAGGCAGAAGAATTGCTTGAACCTAGAAGGCAGAGGTTGCAGTGAGCTGAGATCACACCACTGCACTCCAGCCTGGGCGACAGAGCACGACTCTGTCTTAGGAAAAAAAAAAAAAAAAGAAGATAATGCACAGAAATGGACAAACTCACATATATTTTGTAAATTAAAATTATAGCAAGCCACCCCTCCCCTTAATACTAGCCTTCCTTAATTGCCCCCACAGAATTTTAGTAAGGCTCTCAATTTTAATTAATTTAATCCATTTAGAATTTTTTTTTTAGACAGTCTCGCTCTGTCACCCAGGCTGGGGTGCAATGGCACAATCTCAGCTCACTGCAACCTCTTCCAGTGTTTCTCTTGCCTCAGCCTCAGCCTCCTGAGTAGCTGGGATTACAGGCATGTGCCACCATGCCCGGCTAATTTTTGTATATTTATTAGAGATGTGGTTTCACCATATTGGCCAGGCTGGCCTCGAACTCCTGACCTCAAGTCATTCCAATCTCTGGAGGCCGATATCTCGTCCTCCCAAAGTGCTAGGATTACAGGCATGAGCCACCTCGCCCAGCCTAATTGTGCCTGGCCTAATTCATTTAGAATTCTTATGAAAAAGAATTTTGTCACTTCTCAGCTATTTGTTAATTTATTTAATTTTTAATTTACATCAGTACGAACTCATATTTATTTCATGCTTGGATTATAATTCAATTTATATATTTTCTTGCTCGGCTTGGAGATTTGGCTGTTGGAAGTTGTTTTCCTTGTGCCCCTCAAAGTAACCCCATTTTTGACTGTGTGTATTTACCAAGTTTTTATTTTTCACTACTGCTAATGCTTTGGGCTTTGTCTGTATATCACTTGCCTAGGCCTAGCAAGTGCTTTGTTATCAATACTGCTACTTATTTTTTATTTAAAAGTATCATATTTTAGTTTTATTAATCATTTCTATTTCAGTATACATTTTCCCTTTTGCTTATTTATCCATGATCATTTTTATATTTCATTCTCTTTTGCATATTTTTGTTTTGTTTCATTTTTACTCGCTGCTTGAGTGCAACCTGAAGATCAATAAGATTTTAGAAATGTGAATATAAATTTTCAAATAAATATGGTTGGATTCAGCTTTTGTATTGTTGACTTTCAATTTCATTTCATTTTGGTCAAGATTGTTTTCTGTATATGCATTCTATGGGATTTTAATTTGATATTTACTTTGTAGTCCTGTATTGGTAAATTTATCTATTATAAATGTTTCTTGTGTACTGAGAAGCATTTTCCATTTGCTTTTTAATTGTTGCAATTTTGTTCCTCAAAGTTCTTAAGCTTGTACATATTATTATAATATTATTAATTTTCTACTCTGCTCTATTGGTTTCTGAAAGAATAATGCTAAAAAAATTAAAAACTACATCACAATTGCATATTTTACTGTCTGACTTTACAACAACTCTCAGTCCTGGCTTTCCATGTGTCAGTGCTATGCGTAGGGTCATAAAGTTCATCACTGTATTATTCTGGTGAATTTTTCTATTCAATAACTGTAAAATGTGCCTTTTTAATTCTATAACTACATTGGATATTAACATAGCTGCTTTAGTTTTCTTTTGTTTGGTATTTGTCAGGGTTGCCTTTTTCCATTCCTTGATTTTTAACTACTTAGCTTCGTTTTCAGATTGGTTTAAAATGCAAAATGAAAGGGAGGGGCTTGGACGGGTGGGATGCCTAATCTGGACCAAGCCCAGTGATTACATTAGCTGGGCCCTGATTGGGTTAGGGTGTTGCCCAGGTATAAAGCCAGGGTCTTTGGAACGTGGGGCTTTATTTGGAGTTTAGCTACCAACAGGAAACCTTCTCTTTGGGTCCTGAAGTATTTTCATATGGAATTGTGAGTTTTTGACCGAAGGTAGGTCGTTTTATTTCTCTGTCGGAGCACTTTTGGATATTTGTCCTACTGAGAACCTTATTATCATCAATTTGTTCTAAGATTTTGTTAAATATTGTAAAACATCTCCACCAGATTTTTAGCTATGCTGCTTGTTTCTTACCTCAATGTGTTTTTGTTTGTACTTTCATTTATCTTCATGCCGATGGCTTTTTACTTCTCATCATATTTTTTGAAAACTCAGTTTTCATTCTTTGTCATTCCTGTTGGGTGTTCTGTTTCCTTTTGCAATGGTTTCTTCTTATGAATTTATTTTCATTGTTTCTATTGATGTTAATGCATCCAGTTTCTTGAATGGAGTGCTCAATTTATTCATTTTCAAACTTGATCATTTTTCATTTTAGTTTGATGCTGCTCTTTTTCTGTTTTATGATTTGACCTGATGTTTGTCTCATGTGACCGTGTGAAGAGACCCCCAAACAGGCTTTGTGTGAGCAACAAGGCTGTTTATTTCACCTGGGTGCAGGCGGGCTGAGTCCGAAAAGAGAATCAGCAAAGGGTGGTGGGATTATCATTAGTTCTTACAGGTTTTGGGATAGGCGGTGGAGTTAAGAGCAATGTTTTGGGGGCAGGGGGTGGATCTCACAAAGTACATTCTCAAGGGTGGGGGAGATTATAAAAAACTTTCTTAAGGGTGGGGGAGATTACAAAGTACATTGATCAATTAGGGTGGGGCAGAAACAAATCACAATGGTGGAATGTCATTAGTTAAGGCTATTTTCACTTTTGTGGATCTTCAGTTGCTTCAGGCCATCTGGATGTATATGTGCAGGTCACTGGGGATATGATGGCTTAGCTTGGGCTCAGAGGCCTGAAATTCCTGTCTTCTGATAATAAGAAAAATAAAACAAAATAGTGGTAAAGTGTTGGGACGGTGAAAATTTTTGGGGGTGGCATGGAGAAATAATGGGAGATGTTTCTCAGGGCTGCTTCGAGCAGGATTAGGGGTGGCGTGGGAACCTAGAGTGGGAGAGATTAAAGTGAAGAAAGATATTGGGGTAAGGGGTGATATTGTGGGGTTGTTAGAAGGAGCATTTGTTGTATAGAATGATTGGTGATGGTCTGGATGCAGTTTTTTATGAATTGAGAAACTAAACAGAAGACACAAGGTCCGAATAAGAGAAGGAGAAAAACAGGTATTAAAGGACTAAGAATTGGGAGGACCCAGGACATCCAATTAGAGAGTGCCCAAGGAGGTTCAGCATAGCCCTGCCAGCAAAGATTTATTTACTTTAAGAGGGAGTTAAGAGTGGCGGTTTGGGGATAGCACCAGGAGATATCAGCTGTGATGGCTTGGAGAAACAGTGTAAACCAGCAGTGTAAACAAGAGTAGGGCATTTATGAGTAGTTGAGAACAGTGAATAGGAGTATGACTAGAAAGAAGATAGTAGGGATGACTAGTTTTTGGGGCTCAGTCCAAGTAGTGGGGGTGACTGCATAAAGCCCTGTTGTAAAAAGTAGGGTAAGGATGAACAGACCTAATAGAATGAAGGGATGTATTAGGCTCATAAGGGTTATTACTGTTCTTCAGAAATACGAGTGAGTTTAAGGGAAGTAGGGGAGAGTACTTGTGACTTCCAGGAGGAAGAGGAGAGATTAGGCTGGCTGTCCAACAGACACAGCTTTATCCTGGAATGGTGAACCCAGTGGGGAGGATCCTGCAGGTGGACGGCAGTTGGGGTACTATAGATGACTAAGTAGGGTCCAGTCCATCAAGGTTGTAGAGTTTGAGGGGTCAGATTCTTAACAAGAACTGATCGTTCAGCTAGGGTGTCTTCATATGGCTGGGGATCTGGAGTAGGCAAGAGAAGATTAGCAGCCTGGTGAATTTCCTGTCTAGCCTGCTGGAGGACTGGAAGATAGTTGCCTAGAGGACTGGTGTCTGGGACGAGGTTGGGGCTGAGCAAGAAAGTGCATCCATATAAAAGTTCAAATGGACTGTACCCTGTAGCATCTTGAGGACAGGCTCTAATTCTGAGAAGGGCAAGAGGTAAAAGTATTGTCCAGTCCTTTTAAAGTTGGTGGCTGAGCTTGGTGAGGTGTGTTTTTAAAAGACCATTAGTCCGTTCTACCTTTCCTGAAGACTGAGGACCGTAAGGGATATAAAGGTTTCACTGAATACCAAGAGCCTGAAAAACTGCTTGGCTGATTTAACTAATAAAGGCTGGTCTGTTATCAGACTGTATAGAGGTGGGAAGGCTAAACTGAGGAATTATGTCTTATAGAAGGGAAGAAATGACTGTGGTGGCCTTCTCAGACCCTGTAGGAAAGGCCTCTACCTATCCAGTGAAAGTGTCTACCTAGACTAAGAGGTATTTTAGTTATCTGACTCGGGGCACATTGAGTAAAGCTAATTTGCCAGTCCTAGGTGGGGGCAAATCCTCGAGCTTGATGTGCAGGGAAGGGAGGGGGCCTGAACACTCCCTGAGGAGTAGTAGAATAGCAGATGGAACACTGAGAAGTTATTTCCTTGAGGATAGATTTCCACGATGGAAAGGAAATGAGAGGTTCTAAGAGATGGGCTAGCGGCTTGTGACCTACATGGAAGAGGTTATGAAATGACAACAGAATAGAATGGGCCTGTGAGGCTGGAAGGAGATATTTTCCTTGGTCTAAGAACCATTTGCTTTGTGTAGGAAGAGATTGATAGGTGGAAGTTTTAGTGGGCGAGTAGGTGGGAGTGGCCAGATAAGAAGGAGAAAAACTGCCGTGAGGGATAGATGTTGGAATGCTAGGCCTTGAGAAGAGTTTTTATTAAGGAGGCATTAATGATGGAGGACCCTTGCATAGTGAGGAAACCTCTTTCAGCCCGTATAATAGCATGGTGGTGCAGGATATGGAAGGCATATTTAGAGTCAGTATAAATATTGACGTGTAATTCCTTTGCAAGAGTGAGGGCTCGAGTTAAGGCAATGAGTTCAGCTTGCTGAGAGGTAGTGGAGGGGGGCAGAGCAGTAGCCTCAATGCTAGATGTGGAAGATACTATAAGCATAGCCTGCCTTTGCTGGTGTGTGGCGATTAGGCCTGGTGGAACTGCCATCAATAAACCAAGTGTGATTAGGGTGAGGAACAGGAAAGAAGGAAATATGGGGAAATAGAGTGAATGCCAGGTGGATCAGAGAGATACAGTCATGGGGGTCAGGTGTGGTATCCAGAATAACATGGGAGGCTGGATTGAAGACCCGGCCAGGAACAATGGTAATTGTGGGAGACTCAACAAAGAGTGAGTACAGCCGAAGGAGCTGGGGAGCAGAAAGTATATGTGTCAGGTGTGAGGAAGAAAATAGATTTTGGAAGTTATGAGAACTGTAGGGAGTGAATTGAGCATAGTCTGTGATTTTGAGGGCCTCTAAAAGTATTAGGGCAGCAGCAGCCACCACACGCAGACATGAGGGCTAGGCTAAAACAGTAAGGTCAAGTTGTTTGGACAGAAGGCTACAGGGTGCGGTCCTGGCTCTTGTGTAAGAACTCCGACTGCACAGCCCTGCACTTTGGCTGTGTGTAATGAAAAGGGTTGGGATGAGTTAGGGAGAGCTAGTGTGGGGGCAGCTTCTAGGGCTGTTTTTAAGGAACAGAAAGGAGTGGCGAAAGGATTTAGGATCTGTGGGATCAACTAGGTTTGCTTTTGTGAGTTTATATCATGGTTTAGTCAGGATGGTAAAGCTAGGTATCCAAAGGTGGAAGTACCTAACCATGCCGAGGAAGGAAAGGAGTTGTTGTTTTGTAGAAGGGATTGGGGTTTGGGAGATTAGCCAGACACAATGAGGAGGGAGAGCACGTGTGTCTTCCTGAGAATTATGCCGAGATAGATAACAGATGAGGAAGAAATTCGGGCTTGATTGAAGTAATGGGGGCTGTCCGTGAAGCCTTGTGGCAGTACAGCCCAGGTAATTTGCTGAGCCTGATGGGTGTCAGGGTCAGTCCAAGTGAAAGCGAAGAGAGGCTGGGATGAAGGGTGAAAAGGAATAGTAAAGAAAGCATGTTTGAGATCCAGAACAGAATAATGGGTTGTGGAGAGAGTTATTTAGGACAGGAGAGTATATGGGTTTGGCACCACGGGGTAGATAGGCAAAACAATTTGGTTGATAAGGCACAGATCCTGAACTAACCTGTAAGACTTGTCCGGTTTTTGGACAGGTAAAATGGGGGAATTGTAAGGAGAGTTTATAGGCTTTAAAAGGCCATGCTGTAACAGTCGAGTGATAACAGGCTTTAATCCTTTTAAAGCCTGCTGCGGGATGGGATATTGGCATTGAGCGGGGTAAGGGTGATTAGGTTTTAATGAGATGGTAAGGGGTGCATGATCGGTTGACAAGGAGGCAGTAGAGGTATCCCATACTTGTGGGTTAAGGTGGGGAGATACAAGGGGAGGATGCGAAGGAGGCTTTGAACTGAGGGAAAAGGCAGCAATGAGGTGTGGCTGTAGCCCAGGAATAGTGAAGGAAGCAGATAATTTAGTTAAAATGTCTCGACCTAATAAGGGAGCTGGGCAGGTGGGGATAACTAAAAATGAGTGCATTAAAGAATGTTGTCCAAGTTGGCACCAGAGTTGGGGAGTTTTAAGAGGTTTAGAAGCTTGGCTGTCAATACCCACAACAGTTATGGAGGCAAGGGAAACAGGATTGTCAGATGAGTCTGTAGAAAAGAAGGATTCAAAGGACTCAGAGCTTGGGGTGGAGACTGAAGGAACAGACAGGAGAGAAAGAAAAAAGATTTGGGACAAGTCTCTTTGGGAGCAGAGACTAGGGAGGGACCAATGTATAAAAGAATGCCTGGATGTCGGGCACCTCAGACCATTTTTGCCCATTTTTCGACAAAAATTGTCTAGGTCTCGTAGGATGGAGAAATCAAAAGTGCCATTTTCTGGCCATTTAGAACCATTGTCGAGTTTGTACTGGGGCCAGGTGGTGTTGCAGAAGAAAATAAGATGCTTAGATTTTGGGTCAGGTGAGAGTTGAAGAGGTTTTAAGTTCTTGAGAACACAGGCTAAGGGAGAAGAAGGAGGAATGGAGGGTGGAAGGTTGCCCATAGTGAAGGAGGCAAGTTTAAAAAATAAGGGTAGAGACACAGAGAAGGGGGGTGGGGAGCAGCCCTGAGCTGCAACGTAGGGGAGCAGCCAAAGCAGCTGTCCCCACAGTTGATTTGCCCATCAAGGGAATGTGGGTGAATGATAATGTGGGTGAATGCGGAGATCAGACACCAATGGAACATGGGTGAATAATCAGAGACACATCCCCACAATGATTAAACACCAAGGGAAGGCTGCCTTCCCGAGTCCGTGACCAGCGCCGGAGTTTTGGGTCCAGGGATAAAATGTGTCTCCTTTGTCTCTACCAGAAAATAAAAGGAATTGAAATTAAGAGAAGAAAGAGATTGAAGGGTGGCGCCAAGATTGAAAGAAGAAAGAGGTTGAGGGATAGTGAGAGAGGTTGGAGAAGACAGTAAAAAGAGCTGCTTGCCTGATTTAAAATCAGTGAGATGTTCCTTGGGCTGGTTGGTCTGAGGACTGGAGGTCGTATGTGGATCTTTTCACAGAGTGAGGGTGAGGACAGGGGACTGGTCTCCCGAAGGAGTCCCGCTGACCCAGGTCTTCGGCACGAAATGTCTCACGTGTCCGTGTCAAGAGACCCCCAAAGAGGCTTTGTGTGAGCAACAAGGCTGTTTATTTCTCCTGGGTGCAGGCGGGCTAAGTCCAAAAAGAGAGTCAGCAAAGGGTGGTGGGATTATCATTAGTTCTTACAGGTTTTGGGATAGGTGGTGGAGTTAAGAGCAATGTTTTGGGGGCAGGGGGTGGATCTCACAAAGTACATTCTCGAGGGTGGGGGGAATTACAAAGAAACTTCTTAAGGGTGGGGGAGATTATAAAGAAACTTCGTAAGGGTGGGGGAGATTACAAAGTACATTGATCAGTTAGGGTGGGGCAGAAACAAATCACAATGGTGGAATGTCATCAGTTAAGGCTATTTTCACTTCTTTTGTGGATCTTCAGTTGCTTCAGGCCATCTGGATGTGTATGTGCAGGTCACTGGGGATATGATGGCTTAGCTTGGGCTCAGAGGCCTGACAATGTTTACATATCCTGATGTTAGCATATGTTTTAGCTTAGCTTAATGCTAGCTGAATATTTCTTTTGTCTGGTTATATACTTATTTAAAAAATATGAATATTCTGTATCTTTTGTTGTTGTTGTTTAGGTGTATTGTTTCGACTTCCTAGAAGAGACCCCCAGGTACAGTGGGACACTAGCTGCTACTAGTGCACCCAAGCCTGAGAATCAGGAGAAGCCTCACAGTGACACCCCCAACTGAGGAAACTCACAGAGCTGGGACATACTCTACTTCTTCAGAAAAAAGTATACTGACTAGAGTGGAGTCCCCCTGGGGAGTCAGAAAGCCTGTGAAAGATCTCACTTGTTCAAAAGTCCAAGTGTGAATTACTGTCTCACAGATAAACCAAAGTATTTTGAAAAACAAAGGGGAGAAAAGAAATTACTCCCCAGAACTCTCAGGCATCTAGAGGACACCCAAGAACGTGGGAGTCAGCTGCTTCTTGTGTGCAGCCATGAAGTCTGTGCACTCCAGTCCCCAGAACACGAGTCATACCATCATGACGTTTTACCCAACCATGGAAGAATTTGCAGATTTCAACACATATGTTGCTTACATGGAGTCCCAAGGCGCACATCAAGCTGGCCTTGCCAAGGTAATTCCACCCAAGGAATGGAAAGCCAGACAGATGTATGATGATATCGAAGACATCTTAATAGCCACTCCCCTCCAGCAGGTGACCTCTGGGCAGGGAGGTGTGTTTACTCAATACCATAAAAAGAAGAAAGCCATGAGGGTGGGGCAGTATCGCCGCTTGGCAAACAGTAAAAAATATCAGACTCCGCCACACCAGAATTTTGCAGATTTGGAGCAACGATACTGGAAGAGCCACCCCGGTAATCCACCAATTTATGGTGCTGATATCAGCGGCTCCTTATTTGAAGAAAGCACTAAACAATGGAACCTAGGACACCTGGGAACAATTCTGGACCTGTTGGAGCAGGAATGTGGGGTTGTCATCGAGGGTGTCAACACACCCTACCTGTACTTTGGCATGTGGAAGACCACGTTTGCCTGGCACACAGAGGACATGGACCTTTACAGCATCAACTACCTGCACTTTGGGGAGCCCAAAACTTGGTACGTGGTGCCCCCAGAACATGGTCAGCACCTGGAACGCCTGGCCAGGGAGCTCTTCCCAGACATTTCTCGGGGCTGTGAGGCCTTCCTGCGGCACAAAGTGGCCCTCATCTCGCCTACAGTTCTCAAGGAAAATGGGATTCCCTTCAATTGCATGACTCAGGAGGCTGGGGAGTTCATGGTGACCTTTCCCTATGGCTACCATGCTGGCTTCAATCACGGCTTCAACTGCGCAGAAGCCATTAATTTTGCCACTCCACGATGGATTGATTATGGCAAAATGGCCTCTCAGTGTAGCTGTGGGGAGTCGACAGTGACCTTTTCCATGGACCCCTTTGTGCGCATTGTGCAACCCGAGAGTTATGAGCTCTGGAAACACAGGCAAGACTTGGCCATTGTGGAACACACAGAGCCCAGGGTTGCAGAAAGCCAAGAGCTGAGCAACTGGAGAGATGATATAGTACTTAGAAGAGCTGCTCTGGGCCTGAGGCTTCTCCCAAACCTCACAGCCCAGTGTCCCACACAGCCTGTGTCCTCAGGGCACTGTTACAACCCAAAAGGCTGTGGCACTGATGCTGTGCCTGGATCCGCATTCCAAAGCTCTGCATATCATACCCAGACCCAGTCACTTACCCTGGGGATGTCAGCCAGGGTTCTTCTCCCTTCCACTGGAAGCTGGGGTTCTGGTCGTGGTCGTGGTCGTGGTCAAGGTCAAGGTCGAGGTTGCAGTCGTGGTCGTGGTCATGGTTGTTGTACTCGAGAACTGGGGACTGAGGAGCCAACTGTTCAGCCTGCATCCAAGAGGCGCCTTTTAATGGGTACAAGGAGTAGAGCTCAAGGCCACAGGCCTCAGCTCCCGCTTGCCAATGATTTGATGACAAATCTGTCCCTTTGAGTGGTGGCCTTCAGCATCTTGCCAAGGCTTCTGGCTGCTGCTGTGTCCCTGATCTTCAACTCCTGGGGCCCCCACTGGATCGTGATGAAACCATGCACCCTGGCCTGTGCCTGCTATCCCTCAACAGCACTACTAGTAATCTCCCTGATGTTGTCTGCATGACTCCTCCCAATGTCATTGTGCCTTTGATTAAGTTTTCCAGGGACACTGGTGGGGACTGGAACTGATTAAGTTCACCAGGGACACTTGCCTGGTGAACATGGGCAAGGCTGTAGCAATGGACCACTTTTACGGCTCTAGGGTTCTGACTCCAACTAAGTTTTCCAGAATCTCCTGGGCTCCTGACTCATCTGCTGGGTCTAAAGACACTGAGTTTAGGGATATTTTCCTCCAATACATGATCAATCCTCTGGATCCACGGCTATGGAATATGGTGACAAATGTCAGTGTCTCTCTTATTCCAACCCCAGGATCAGAGAAGATTCTTTACCTGCAGTAACTGACACATTTCCAAGGCCCCCAGATGCTGTCTCCAACTGTGACAACCAGGGCTCCCAGAGGCCACTGAAGTCCCCTCCCCAAAGGTTGCCATAGGATGTTGTAGTACCTCTCAGGGATTCTCTGTCTACTCCACATATTTGCCTGTGGCCTTCACCATGGCCAGATGCCATGGACAGCACTTGTTTCTGATGTCCCCCTTAGGATACCTCCCTTATAGTGCTATGGGTCCAGATTCCATGGTAATTTGGGCCCACACTGGATGATGCTGAGAATCTTACTGAGCCTCTCATTTTTACTTCTCATCTGGTCCTCTATGTCTCTGACTCTGGATTCCACTGGACATTGCTACAACCCCAGTGAGGTTCAGGGCTTCCCACAATCCTTCAATTGCAACATGCCCTTTATCCTAGGCCACCGTCCACTGCTCATGTACAAACTAGACCTTTTGACCAACTGAGTTACTTAGCCAGTTATGGCTTCAGAGGTATTTTGTAACTATACTGATGTTAACTAAATTTGCTGTCTCTAATGTATATCTCCAAAGAAAATAAAAGTCTTAGTGCATGTTTTTTAAATTAGAATAATATAAAATAGATATATCAAAAAGAAAGTGATTTAGAAAAGTGATTGAGATAAAAGAATGGGGAAACTATACCAAGCAAAGAACAAACATAAAAGTAGATTTACAGATCTTAATATCAGGCAAACCTGAATTGAGACCAAAGGTACATAGCATGGATCTTCACAATGCAAAATACTAAATTTCACAATGACATTACAGCAGTCATGAATATTCAAGTTCGACATAGTATAAATTATAGTACATAAAAGACAAGTTTAAAGAAACAGATTAAAAATAGGAACATTTAAGTCACCAGTATGGTTTGGATATGTGTGACTTAATCTCATGTGAAATTTTAATCTCTAATGTTGGAGGTGGGGCCTGGTGGGAGATGACTGGATCATGGGGGTGGTTTGTCATGAATGATTTAGCACTATCTCCATAGTGCTATTCTTGTGATACAGTTCTAGGAGGATCTGGTTGTTTAAAAGTGTGTACGACCGTCCCCCTCTCTCTTCCTCCTGCTCCAGCTATTTATGATGTGCCTGTTTCCCCTTTCATCATGATTGTAAATTTCCAGAGGCTTTCCCAGAAGCAGAAGCTCCTATGCTCCCTGCACAGCCTGCAGAACCATAAGCCAAATAAAACTCTATAAATTACCCAATTTCAGGGATTTTTTTTTTTCGATGTAGTTTCACTCTTGCCCAGGCTGGAGTGCAGTGGCTCAATCTTAGCTCACTGCAACCTCTGCCTTCTGGGTTCAATCGATTCTCCTGCCTCAGCCTACTGAGTAGCTGGGATTACTGGTGCCTGCCACCACACCCAGCTAATTTTTCTATTTTTAGTGCAGATGGGGTTTAATCATGTTGGCCAGGCTGGTATCAAACTTCTGACCTCAGGTGATCCACCTGCCTCAGCCTCCCAAAGTGCTGGGATTACAGCCGTGAGGCACCACACCCAGCCTTCAGGCATTTCTTTACAGCAATGTGTGAATGAAATAGTCACTCATCCAAGGCAGAAAAAATGGAGAAATATAAGGATATGGAAAATTTAAACTACATTAACAATAAGGTAGTATTGGCATACTAGATGATAGAAAATACTTCCTCTCTTCAAGTGCCAAAAATGCTGAATTTTCACAAAACAATAAATATCTATTACATGCATAAACTCTGCAGCAAGAAAGCCTGATTTTGTTCCCAAGTTTCTCTTATCAGCTTGTATGACCTTGAAAATTACTTAACCTTATGACTCAGTTTCCTCAACATAAAATGAAGATAGCACCTACCTCATGTGTGTAGTTGACAGTTCTATGAATTAATATATGCAATTTGTTAACATCAATGCTTGGGATACAATAGCATTATTGGAGTGTTTCTAGATGTAAAACTTAATAAAATACATAAAGAAATATATGAGATTCATTTACAATAGTGCTGAGGAAAATCTGCAGCCTTAAGTATTTTCTCCATCATATTCAAATAATGAAATTAACTGGATTAAACTTCTAATGTACAAGTTAGGAAAAGATAAACTGAAAGTAGTTGGAAGGAATTGATACATGTATACACAGAAATTAATGAGTTAGAATAACTGTAAAATGTATACTAAATCAACACAAAGCACCAATAATATGGATTTTTTGTTAGAAAAATTAACTTACTAGACACAAAAAATTTAAGACTAAATTTCTGTGTCTGAAATATAGAAAGAGCAGAAGATCTGCCTATTCAAAAATGACAAGGATTAGACAAACTTGCAGAGGAATTGTGTGACATCTTCATTTCTAGTATACCTAGGCCTTTAAAATGAGAAAAAAAATTCACATTTTAAAATAAATACATCATTGACAGAAAATCCTGATGAATTGCAGAATGAGAGAAAGTTATGGACAAAACTTATTGAGGAACATCAAGGTAAAAATTTTAACTTAAATATTAGCTAAGAGAATCTAAATACGTTAAAAGAGTAACATATGATGACTACATGGGATTTATTGCAGGAAGGAAACAATAGTTTAAAGCAAGGAAATCTGGAAATATAACTTATCTTGTAAATATATCCAGAAGTTATATGATTATAGATGCTGATAGTCATTTGATAAAATTCAACAGTCAGTCTTGGTTTGCTCTCACCCACAAGGCAGCAATGAATCCTTCCATAAAATAAAATACAAAATTGTTTATCTAATAGTGAGATATTTTAGACCCAAGCCACCATTTTCCTTCATGTGAGGTATTTGAGGCACTTCAGTCAATAATTTATGGAATTTGCACTATTAACCACTGAAAATATTTTTAGAACTATAATTGATGGAAGGGAAGAGACAAAACTTATTTTGTTGTGGTTGCAGTTGATAAGGCTGAATGTGGGGAAAACTCAAGGAGGAGGTTAAACTTCTAAATGGTTTCTTTATGGTTACCATGCTGGCTTCAACCATGGCTTCAACTTCCAGGAGGCCATGAATTTTGCCACCATGGAATAGATCAATTCAGGCAAAGTGGAGTCTCAGTGCAGTGGTGGGAAAGCCATTGTGGGCATCCTGTAACCCAAGTGCTATGACCTGTGGAAACACAGTCATTTGGGGCAGTTGCAGAACCCATGGAGTCCAGGGCACATGCCAGCCTGGAGATGCCCACCTGGTGAAAGATCCAAGTGCTGGAGAGGACTAGCCTGGCCCCAGTCACCACCCATGTCAACAGGGTCATGACCCACACAACCTATGGCCTCAGGCTGTGGTTCCCATTGCCTTACCCTTGTGCCTGGTGTTCCCATGGCCTTTCCATCCTGCAGTGATGCTTCCCAGCCCACGAACTTAGCCTGGACCCACTGCCCACCCCAGCTATGCCAAGCCTGGTCTGAACCCCTCAACTGACAGACGTGGCCATGGTCCTTGCCCTCTGTAACTGGGGGCTCCGGAGCCAATACTCCAGGCTCCAGCCAGGAGGTGCCTCTTGATGGTCACAGGGCACACAGCTTTAGGCCCTCAGCCTCAGGCCCTGAGTCTAAGTCCTTGCCCACAGATGGAGCATTGATGAACAGGCCTGCACCACTAAGCCCAGGATCCAGCATCCTGCCAAGGATTCTAGGTGCTGCTGGGCCCCTGCCTCTGAGGCCATGGTCAGTCTTTATACCTCACTGCTCTACTAAGTGAGGGCTTCTTGATATTGCTCACATTTACATCTCAGGATTTTGGGCACATTTTCAGACCACTACAATTATAGAGCCTTCAGTGCTGAGATAGCCCCTCTGGTGAGGCACCTGCGTGCTGCTGAGTATATTAATCATATCTTCTTTATCCTGCAAGACCTTTTAATGTCTTGACACTTCTACTTCTGTGTCACCAGCTGAGATTTCATCCACTGGACATGAATATCTCTGAGAACGAGGTCTTCCTGGGTTTGCTGGGAACTCATCTATCCCAGCGTCCCAATTGCTGGAACAACTATGGAGGCTGCTGCACTTCTGAAGAATTCACAATGTGGTTCCCCTTCAATCTCCTTCCCTTACCTACCCCTGCCCCAACTCTCCCTTTCTAGCAAAACTAGCCTTTTATGAACAATTAGGTCAGTAGAGTTAGAAAAAAGGTATCATCTTTCTGAGTCATTGAGGTATTCAAAATGTGATGTCACCAGTATTTGTTCACAAATGAATTAAAAGTCACCAAAATGTAAGATCTGACTTTCTTTCTAATATTGTAGTTTCAAACAACTTGGAAAGGAGGTTATTCTCCATGCATTTTTCTTCATAGTTAGTTGAAAACTTTTAAAGCAAAATGTATTTTATGGGCTGGTTACATTGTGTGGTGATGCTGAGCTCAGGGCATGGTTGTGGGGTTCTGGCTGTCTGGCCAGGTGGGAGCACTGGGTTGCAGTCATACTTTGAGGCTGGCCTTATGCCCAGCCTGGTTCTCAGCTAAATAGCAGGACCCAAATTGCTGGGAAAGATGAGCAGCCCTAGGGTGAAGGTGCCATTATCTGACTATCTTCTCTCCCCGGGCTCCACTGCCTTTTCAAAGCTGTGTGTAGCTTTCACACTGATAACTCATTCACTCAACCCAATATCGTCCCCAAATAAGTGAGCAAGGTTTCAATCAGGAATGTGTGCTGTATAGAAACTAAAGAAGGATTGGACAACAGAGCAGAATGAGCTGGGGCTGGCTGAGTGGCCAGTCTCAGAAGGATTCACTGAGCAGGAGACTTTGGGGACACAATTACAAAATGGGGAGGTCCAGAGCAGAATTCTCCACTTGCAGGGACCAGCAAGTACAACAGACCTAGCATAGAATGTGGTGAGTTTGTGTTTCCAGGAAAACAAAAGAAGCTTATTTGTGTCTGGGACACAGAGAGGAAGGGAGAGAGGCAGGGGGCAGAATATGGAGGGCCTTGTGTCCCATGTCAGGTGCATTATGTGGTGTTCCTTCAACTTGAAATAAGGAGGCATTAAAACAGCAGCGGAAAAGATGTGAATGACATATTTAAGTAATCAGCTTAGTTGTTCTGTGGAGAATGTGTGAGTAGGAGAAGCAATTAGACTATTTATAATAAAAGTGAGAGTGACAGTTGCTTACACTTAATTGTTAGTATTGCAAATGCACAGAAATGGAAAAATTCAGAATATATTATTCACATTGAAAATGATAGTTTTGATGAAGAAGGAAACATTCAGAGAAGCAAACCACTCCTCACCTTAGTACCACCCTTCCTTAACTTCCCCACTCCCATCCAGAATTTCAGGAAGGCTGTAAATTTTGAAGCATGAGTAATAAAAACCTGGTGCTTGTCTAAAGTTCTCAATAAAGAGCAGAAAAACTCTTATCATCCTGTCTCTCCCATTCATTCAGGCAACTTTGTCTTTCTTAACATAACAAGAAGTTTATTCTTTGGAAAATTCAAGCTGAGGGAAAACATAGGGTCTCCAGGCATACAGGAGGATGGACTGAGATGCCTGGCTGAAAGGGGATTTAAGCTAATAGTGACATGGTGGAACCAAAGATGAAAGTACACTGCATTCACTGGAAGGGAGTAGCCCAAGAGAACTGTTGATCCCTGAGTACATCCTGCATGACCAAGGAATGAAATTTTATGTGATAGATAAAAGCCTCATTGGCCCTGGAGTGCAGTAGGCAGACAGCCTTCAGCTGCAGAGAGCTGCCTCACCCAAAGCCATGCCTCTTCCCAGTTTGGCCCACATCTCATGACTGTTCAGTGCTGGAGCATTAATCTTGGCCATCTTTGCTCAACTTAGCACATTGCTGAAGGGCCATTTGTGCTACAGATTTGCCGAGAGTATCTTTGGCCCTAATCCTCAGCTCCAATTTTCCCTGTGCTCAAACATGCTTCCTTCCTCTCCTTTTCTCAGATATGGATCCCAAGCACACTTGTTAAGAAAGATCTTGGTGCTGAAGTCTGTTCCATAACGGACTTGACCTACAACTTTACTTCAGGTTTCATTGTGTTTCAAAAGCCTAATTTTCTTGAGAGAATAAAGAGTACTCACCCCTACGGAAATCATAGTTCTTTGCATGGTTATTTAGTGATGTGAGGAGATAGGAATGGCCACATGAGAATTTCAGCTTTTAATTTATGGAATTATTGTTGTGACCCCTGGTGAAAACATGTCCCTTTGAATGTCATAAGTCACAAGGGCAAGAAGCAAATATCTTGCCATTGGCATGATGAATCAATACCAGTTTTACTCCTGGATTAACTGGAACCATGTACTCTGTTCTGAGCAAAACAGTATCATGTTCAGAGCAAGTGACTCTCACATACATTGCTTGTGGGAATGTTACATTATACAGCCCCACTGAAAAACTGTTTGTTAATGTTCTGTAAACTTGACCACTTATCTATCCATAGCCATTCTCTTCCTGAGTATTTACCCAACCATTAGAAATCAGGAACTGTGAATAATCCACGTGTCTGAACAGATGAGTGGAAAAACTATAGCATATTAAATAGTATTCAGTTATAAAAAGCAATGATTCATTTTATATTCATTCCAAAAAAAAAAAAAAGGCCAAAATAAGCTGTGCTCATAGAACTTAGGTCATGGTTGCCTCTGGTGAGAGTGGGAATTAACTGGAAAGTTCTAGGCATGTGAGAATGTTGTGGGGCTATGGGAATGTTCTGCATCTCATTTAGAGTGATGATTACATGGGTGTATATAAGTTTAAACTGGAGGAATTGGCAGAGCAAGATAGTATAATAGAAGGCTCTAAATCAGATTTAGTCTGCCTTATATCAAATGGATCTAATAGATATTGACAGGACACTTCATCCACCAGTTGTAAAATACAGATTCTTTTCCTCAGCACATGGATCATTCTCAAGAATAGACCACATGTTAGGTAACAAAATACAACTTAAAAAGTTCAAAAATTCAAATAATACCAAGCATCTTCTCTGGACACAGTGGAATAAAACTAGAAATAAAAATAAGAGGAATTTTGGAAATTACACAAACACATACAAATTAACCAATATGCACCTGAATCTCCAGTAGGTCAATGATGAAATTAAGAAGGAAATTGAGGAATTTCCTGAAACAAATCATAATGGAAACACAATATATTAAAACCTATAGGATACAGTAAAAGCAGTACTAACATGGAAGTTTATAGCTATAAGTCCCTACATCAAAAAAGAGGAGAAACTTAAAATAAACCACCTAATGATGACTCTTAAAGAAGTAGAAAGGTAAGAACAAAAATAATCCAAAATTAGTAGAAGAAAAGAAATAACAAAGATCAGAGCAGAAATTAATGAAATCAAAATGAGGAAAACAATGCAAAAGATCACTGAAACAAAGTTGTTTTGAAAAGTTAAACCAAATTGAGAAACCTTTAGCTGACTAAGAAAAAGAGACAGAAGATCTAAATCAATAAAATCAGAAATGAAAAGGCAGGCATTGCAATAGATGCTGCAGAAATTCAAAGTATCATTAGTGGCTACTATGAGCAACTATATGGCAATAAGTTGAAAAACCTAGAAGAAATGCACAAGTTGCTAGACACATACAACCTACCAAGATAGAACGAGGAAGAAATTCAAAACCTGAATAGACCAATAACAAATAATGAGATCCAAGCTGTAATAAAAAGTCTCCCAGTAAATTAAAGCTGAGGATCCGATGGCTTCACTGCTAAATTCCACCAAACATTTAAAGAAGAACTCATACCAGTCCTACTCAAGCTATTCTGAAAAGCAGAGGAAGAGGAATTACTTACAAACTCATTTTATTTTTTTTCTGAATATTTTTGACCTATAGTTGGTTGAATTCACTGATGCTGAGCCCAGAGGTTACAGAAGGCTGCCTGTATTCTATGACGAGGGATCCATTCACAGATAAGAGGACACATGAGCTCCAGTATACATGTCCAAGCGTGTTCTGAGCAACACTGTAAGAGGCCAAAGTGGAAACAATCCAAATGCCATCAACAGCAGAAACATTTATACTATTGGACACCTTACAGCAGGCAACAGGACCAAGTACAGATACACAGAACAACATAGATGAGGGAAATAAAACAAACAAAAAAACCATTAAACTGCATAAAGCAAAATTCTACTTATATAAGGTTATATAACATTTTCAAAATGAGCAACATTTTAGTAAATTTATTTAGAATTCTTCTGCAGAGGGGTTTTGTCTCTTCTCTCCAATTTGTTAAATTTACTCATTTATTCATAACAGCATGAACTCGCAGGTATTTATTTTATTCTTTGGATTATAATTCAATAATATTTTAGTTATTCTGTTGCTTAACTTGTTTAAGATTTGGCCATTGGGAGCTGTTTTCATTGGTTCTTGTGCTCTTCTAATATAACCCCATAAATGTTCTAACATAACCTCATCAATACTTTTGTTTGTTTTGTGTTTACCACATTCTTATTTTCCAACATTCCAAGATGGCTATAGGCTCTTTCTATATTTCCTGCACAGGTCTAGAAACTTTATTTCTTCATAAGTATTGCCACACCTTTTTTTTTTAACATTATCAGATTGCAGTTTTATTAATCATCTTTAGTCTAGATTGCCTTTTGTTTATAATTCTATCATTGTTTTAATATTTTATGTTATTTGTTTTTACTTACTAATTGCTGGATTTCAACACAAAGATTTATAGGTTTTTAGAAAATATGGATATTAATTTTCAAATAAATATAGTCAGATTAAGTTTTTAAATTTTTGACCTTTAATTTTATTTCAACAAGGTCAAGATTATGCTCAATTTATTAACTTATGGAATTGTAACTGATATTTATTTGTAGCTGCACTGGGAAATTTTTGTAAATGTGTTCTACATATTGAAAAGCATTTTCCATTTGGTTTTTGGTAGTTGCAGGTTACAATGATCACAGTTGTTAAGTTTGTTTGGCAAATTCTATAGCTTTTTTTTTTTGACAAAGTCTGGCTGTCCACCAGGCTGGAGTGCAGTGGCGCCATGTTGGCTCACTGCAACCCCCACCCCCAGGGTTCAAGCGATTCTCCTGTCTCAGCCTCCCCAGTAGCTGGGATTACAGGTGCCCTCAAGCACGCTCGGCTAATTTTCTGTATTTTTAGTAGAGACGGGGTTTCACCATATTGGCCAGGCTGGTCTCGAACTCCCGACCCCAGGTGATCCACCCACCTTGGCCTCCCAAAGTGCTGGGATTACAAAGTGCTTGGCCTCCCAAAGTGCTGGGTGAGCTACCGCGCCCAGCCAAATTATATAGGATTCCTAACTTTGTTCTCTGCACTATTGGTTTCGATTAAAATGCTGTTACATTAAAAAAAAACCAACATCTCCTATGATGATGGCAGACTTTTCAGTTTTACCATCTAAGTCTGAGTCTTGGCTCTCTATGGTCAGTGCCATGTGGTTAGGTGCATAAAGTTCATTACTGTAATATTGTAATATTTTCCTATGAAATTTCTTTTCATTAACTATAAAATGTGCTTCTTTGATCCTATCAATACACTGGATATTAATATTGCTACCCTAGGTTTCTTTTGTTTAATATTTGTTTGGATTGCCTGTTCCCATAAATTGACTTTTAATCACTTAGCGTTGTTTTAAGATTGATTTAAAATGTAGAATAAAAGGGAAGGTTATGGGAGGGTGGGACGTCTAATGTAAACCCAGCCCAGTGATTACATTGGCTGGGCGCTGATTAGGTTAGGATGTTGCCCAGGTATAAAGCCAGGATCTTCGGGACCTGGCTTCATTTGGAGTTCAGCTACCAAGAGGAAACCTTCCTCTGGGTCCTGGAGTATTCGGCCTGAAATTGGGAATTTGGGAATTGCTGCTCTAGAGCGCTCCCTGCGGAGCTCGGCCGCCCGCCTCTCCCCCAGGTCTCTCCTGGCGTCCCCACGCGGGGCGCAACCGCAAGAGAGGAACGCAGGTCGCCCCACCAGCGCCCAGTGCCGCGCCAGTTTCCAGGCCCGGGCTGCTCTCGGAGCCATGAGCTGCGGCCGCCCCCCTCCCGACGTGGATGGCATGATCACCCTCAAGGTGGACAACCTGACCTACCGCACCTCTCCCGACAGCTTGAGGCGCGTGTTCGAGAAGTACGGGCGCGTGGGCGACGTGTACATCCCGCTGGAGCCCCACACCAAGGCGCCCCGGGGCTTCGCCTTCGTCCGCTTTCACGACCGGAGCGACGCGCAAGACGCCGAGGCCGCCATGGACGGGGCGGTGCTGGACGAACGCGAGCTGCGTGTGCGGATGGCGCGCTATGGCCGCCGGGACCTGCCTCGCAGCAGCCAGGAAGAGCCACGCGGCAGGTCCTGGGGCGGCCGCTACGGACGGCGGAGCGGCAGCCCCAGGGGGCGACACCGCAGCCAATCCCGGGGTCCCAGCTACTCTAGGTCCCGCAGCAGATCTCACTATGGGGGGTCTCGCTATAGCCTGTCTATCTACAGGAGATCTCGCTACAGCCGATCTCCCTACAGACGATCTCATTACAGGGGATCTCGCTACGGCCGATCTCCCTACAGTCGATCTTACAGCCGGCATCACTACAGCCGATCTCCCTACAGGGAATCTCGCTACAGGAGGTCTCCCTACATCCGGTCTTCCCGCAGCAGGTCTCCCTACCGCCGCTCTCACTCGAAGTCTGGGTCTCACTCTGCATCTCCATCAACCTCCAAATCCAGCTCTCCGTGAAGATCCAAGTCCTCCTCCATCTCCAGATCTTGCTCATGGTCCAGGTCTAGATCTACGTCCGGGAGTCCTCCCCCGACATCCAAGAGGGAATCCAAGTCCAGGTCGCGATCCAAGAGTCCTCCCAAGTCTCCTGAAGGGGAAAAAGGACAAGTGCCCTCCTAGGAAAATGATCATCAGCTAACGCGTGATGGAGGACTTGGGGAAAAGGACTCCATACTCAGTCCATGGAAGCAGAGTCACTGGAAGAAGCGACTGCGTAATGAAACGGTTGGGTGATATTTGTCTACCTGTTTTACCAGTTTGAAGCGTTGCATCAGATGGCAAGATTCATTTTATGTGCCATTTTTTTGTTTTCAAATTTTCTTGTAATTTAGTGAGGTGAATGACTTTAGATTGGATTTGGGTATTAGAGGGGAAAATTTATATTTGTCTTTTTTGCTTGTTTTTTATTTTTGAGATGTAGTCGAGCTCTGCTGCCCACGCTGGAGTGCAGTGGCGCCATCTGCATCTTCCACCTCCTGGGTTCAAGCAATTCTCAGGCCTCAGCCTCTGGAGTAGCTGGAATTACAGACGCCAGCCACCACGGAGGGCTAATTGTTGGATTTTTGGATTTTTAGTAGAGACGGGGTTTCGCCATGTTGGCCAGCCTGCCCTCAAACTCCTGGGCTCAAGTGATCTGCTCACCTTGGCCTCCTAAAGTTCTGCGATTACAGGTGTGAGCCTCTTCGCCCAGCGTGTATTTGATTCTATAGTGCTGATATTTTTGGTTTGAAATGAACAGGTTGGTAACCTAATTTGTGGCCTCCTGTCTCTTAAGAAATGTGTGCAGCCATTACACACAGCCGAACGCTGTCACGGCATTGCCTCAAAACTGCCTTCATTCCTTAAAGTTAAAAACTTACAAAAGGCGGTATAAATGTATATGTGTAATGTTATTACCTTTATATCTAACTGGTAATATGACCCAAATTTGTATAAAGATTTTTCAGGTGAAAAGACCGGGTTTTGAGCAAACACAATTCTAATCTCTTCTGTGTTTTTGTGTACCAGGCCCGGCTGCATAGCAGTTGAGTGATGCTGGTTAGCTGTTAAGGTGGCCTGTTGCAGTGCAGAGTGCTGAGCTGTTTCCTGTTTTCTTCTGATTGCTCCTGAAAAAAGAAGCCCTGTCCTGAAGAACAAATGGCTGTTCAGTTTATTAAAATGCCTGTCAACTGCCCTTCCAGTCACCCAGGCCTGGAAGAGAAATAATAGAGCATGCAGTGAGCACATCTAGCTGATATGATAATCACACCTCTTCCCCCTCCCTATTCTGTTAAATGGCAAATCTGATCATGTCAACATACATGAACTTAAAATATGGGGAATGTTATGGAAGAAATGGTTTGTAACTGTAGGTACTTACAACATGGTGTATGTTTTTGATTATGAATATTTCTTACTATAACCGTGTTTCTATCATTGAATTAAAATGTTTTCTTGGTGTTACCTTTTCTCAAAATAAAACTAGAAATATTTTGTAGAAAGTTGGTGGTTTTATTTTGCTGTTGGATACTTTCTGCTATTTGTACTTTTGGGAAAATTATGTTACCAAGTTTCTCATAGGATTCAATTATAATTAAAAAAAACTCTACAAGGTTTAGCTATGTGCTTTATTATTTTATCACAATGTAGTTTCTTTGTACACTCTTTCTTTCCTCTTCCTCCCTGTGATTTTTAACTTCTAAAGGTCTTTTCAAAGAATCAGATTTTGATTTTCGTTATTACCTATACTGGGTGTAATATTTTCTTTTGTAATTGTTTCTGCTTATACCTTTATTTTCTTTCCTTTATTTTAATTCATCCCGCTTACTGAGTTGAGTGCTAAATTCAATCATTTTTGAACTTGCTGATTTTTTTCTTTCAGTTCAATTAGATACTCCTCTTTATATATGTTATGATTTGACCTTGAATCCTGATATTAACACACCATACCAATCTGCCATAATCGATCCATCCTGGGTGGTGGAACTGATGGCCTCTGTACAGTTAAAGCTGTGGTTGAAGCCTGCGTGGCGTCACTAAGTTACTAAGGTAGCTTAAATCTCAGCATTTTGTTTGTCACACATTTGTCTTCAAATATTCTGAAATATACTGGACTCGACCACACCAGACGTTTGAAGATTTGGAAAGAAAATACCGGAAGAACCTCAGCCTCCTATTTGATGAAAACAGTAAATAATGTAATCCTGGACACGTAGGAACAATTCAGGACTTTCTGGAGCAGGAATATGAGGTTTTCATCGAAGAGAGTGTCAACACACCCTACCTGTACTTTGGCAATGTGGATGACCACCTTTCCATAGCTCATGGAGGACATGGACCTTTACATCAACTACCATCACTTCAGAGAGCCCCTATATTGGTACGCAGTGCCCCAAAACCATAGTTGGCACCTGGAATGCTCAGTCAGGGAGCTTTTCCAGGTAGTTCTCAGGGTTATGAGGCCTTCCTGTGGCACTAGATGGCCCTCATCGTGCCCACCGTGCTCATGCAGAATGGGATTCCCTTCAATAGCATGAGTCAGGAGGCTGGAGAGTTCACAGTGACATTTCCCTATGACTACAACACAGGCTTCAACTGCAAAGAGGCCATCAATTTAACCACCCAGGATGGGTAGATTATGGCAATATGGCCCCTCAGTGTAGCTGTGGGGAGGACAGGGTGGCCTTTTCCATGGACGCCTTCATGCACATCATGAAACCTGATCATTATGACCTATGGAAAAGCTAGCAAGATGGGGCCATTGTGGATCAAAGGGAGCCCAGGGTGCTGGCCAGCCAGGAGCTCATTACCTGGCAGGAGGACATTGTACCCGGACTGAAGCTCCCCTGGACCTGACTTCTTCTAGGCCTGTGGTCCTGGATGGTGGGACCTACCACTGAGCCCATATGTACAGTTGCAGTTTCCCTGGTTCCCCGTGGCAGCCCAGGAAACTGATGCCCATCCAAAGGTCATTGACCCCAGAGGCTCCCAAGAACACACCGTGGCCCACCATCTATCTTGGGTCTGTTTGCCCTGGTTCTCTGCCTGTCAACTGGAAGAGGTGGTCATGGTGGTCTTCTTCAGGAACTAGGAGCTCAGGAGGGGATCCTCTAGTCTCCCACCAAGTGGCACAGCACACAGAGCTCTTGATCCTGGGGCTTTGCCCCTACTTGGGATGGAACTTTGATAGACAAGCCTGTATCTCTCATGCCTGCATCTCAGTATCCCATCAAGGCTTCCAGGAGCTGCAGTGCCCCCATCTTCAACCTTTGGAGAGACTTTGGATCTGATGCTTTGATGTGTGCGTATCCGACATCCCCAGACAGCATGACACTGAACCACCCTGACTATGTTCCACTGATTCCTCCCAACATCATTATGATGCTGAGAAGATTCTCCAGAGATGCTGCTGGAGAGTGCAAAGCCCCTTGAACCTGGCTGAGGTTGTAGCAATGGACCATTCTTATACCTCTGGGGTCTTGGCCCCAACTGATGTTGTCAGAATATGCTGGGCCCTGACTCATCTCCTGGGGCTGAAGCAAGACAGTGCCGCACCTCTGAATTTGGAGCTATGTGCCTCTGATACATTATCTTAATCCTTTGAACCCATGGCTACTGAATATATTGCCAAATGTGGCTGTCCCTCTGACCATAACCTAACCCTACTAGCCAAAGAAGGCTCCACCCAAGCACAATTTGAGCCTGGGATTGTCTCAGTCTCTTTTACCTTGAAGAACTAATATATACCCAAGGCTACCAGAGGCTGTCTCCTGTTTATTAAATTAATTTTTCCTAGTGTGTATCTACCAAGTAAAGAAAGGAATATCCTGAAAACATATTTTAAAATCACTATTATAAAAGAGATAAACCTAAAGCTAAGTGATTCAGAATGATTGAAAAACAAAAGAATGGGCAAAACTAGATCAAGGAAAATGCAAGCAAAAGAAAAGAGGGGTGGTAGATCTTAACATAAAATGAATAAATTTCAGGTATTTCATATAAGCGCAATGATATAATATCTGTCTTTTTATTTCTAGTTGTTTCACTTAGCATGGTGTCCTCAAGGTGCATCCATGTTGCAGCATGTGTCAGAATTTCCTTCATTTTCAAGGTTGAATAATATTGCATCATATGTATACACCACATTTTGCTTATTCCAATCATCCATGGATGGACACTTGGGTTGTTTCCTCCTTTTGGCTATGTGCATGGTGCTGTTATGAACACTGGTATAAAAGTGTCTGTGTGAGTCCCTGGTAAAACCATTTTAATCATCTTTTAGAAGTTCCATATTCTTCCTTGGACATCATTAATATGCCTTTGCATCTGCCTTGACTGGAGATCTGATATATATCTGTAGTAAATTAGTTTTTAATATCATCTTAATTTCAAAAATTGTAATTAAATTAAATTTAAACGAAATTAAAATGTTAGATTAAAAGTTAATTGTGTCACTTCTCATGAATTTGGGGAAACTTCTGACAGCAACATACCTTGTACTTCTCTACCAACTATATGCACACCAACATTTATTACTATGGGGGAGAATTCATGGATCTCTCAGTTCTATCCTATGTCCCAGGTTTAGGAGTCTAGAGTTTCTTTCAATATCCCCTTATCATGGATGTCTCTGTGGCTTTGAAACAGAATTTTCATTCTTCAAATAGTCAGTTAGAGCCTGGGGAAAGGTGTGCTCCACATCTTTTTATTCCTGCTAGTGGTAACTCACTATGGGTACCATGTGGCTCTGTGGGAAGCTGGGCATGGTGACCAGGTGGCTGTGTGGAGCCAGGAAGCTCTTGCCAAGCTCACAGCCAGCACTGTACATGCACTGAAGCTCACGAGATCCCTTTACCTGGCACAGGACGGGCAGTGCAAAGTTTGTGTGCTTCTGTCAGAGTGAGCGTGGGTGGGTAGTGGGCACTGCTTCTAGTGGGCTTCCTTCTCCCTGGCTTTCTGGTCTCAGAGGCTGCCAAAGTCCTGACTGTATCCACGTAGGGTGAGCACTTGCCCAGAGAATCCAGGGGTGGGTGTCCCAGGCCCCTGTGCTGGGCTCAGGCAGTACTTGGGAGAAGGTTACCCACGGAGTTTTCCGTGCTGGGCTTGTGTTTCTAGGAGGAAATCGGGAGGGGCGGGCATGGGCTGCAGGGTCCAGAGAGGATTGTACCACAGAGGTGGAGAAGAAAGTCCTGGTAAAGTCTCATTTCCCTCCTCTTTTCCTCCTCAGAACAAGCTCCACGAGGACATGGTGCAGGCTTAGGGCCAGAAGGTTGAGATCTAGCCTAGAACCCATGTGAGTTTGATTAAGGAAAAATTATAGTTGGTAAGAAACAAGTTGGAGTAGTGTTTGAAAAACCAGAGAATTTAAGTCACTTATTGTGTTGAGGACAGAAAAGAAATGGACACATATACAGATATAGAAAACAAACAAGTTTAACAAGGTACAATGTATGCACCTGGTAATAGAGAATACTCACCTTTTTCAAGTGCTAATGAATGATTCACAAAATTAGACAATATATTAGGATGAAAACAAAACATCAATAATTTATCAAAAGAAAAAGAAAAAATCAATACCATGCAATAAAACTAGAAATTAGTTTTAAAAATAGAAAATGTAGAGATGCTTTTTTCTGAAAGGTGAATATTCTTTATTGGGCAAGCTTTAGATAAGAGGAAAACACAAGCCAAAACAGCGAAATTCCACTGGCTTTTCAAAGCTGTGGGTTATTTGACATTGTTAATTCATTGGCTCAGTCCAATAAACAAGTCCTCACTAAGTAAGCAAGACAGTTTTTATCAGCAATGTGTGCTGTGCAGAAACTAAAACAGGATTAGATGACAGAGAAGAATGGGCAGGGGCTGCCTGAGCTGTGGGTTCCGGATGGATTCACAGAGCAGGAGACCTTTTTTGAGACCTAGTTGACCAAACGGAAAGTCCAGAGCAGAATTTTCCACTTACAGGGAACAGCAAGTACAATAGACCTACCATGGAAATTAGTGATTTTCTTTTTCCAGGAATACAAAAGAAGCTTACTTGTGTCTCGGGCAGAGAGGGGAAGGGAGAGAGTCTGGGGACAGAACATGTAGAGCTTCATGTTTCAAGTTAAATGCATTATTTGGTGTTCCTTCAACTTGAAGTGAGAAGGCATCAGAAGCTTAAAACAGCAGTTGACAAGATGTGATTGACACATTTAAATAATCAGCTTAGTGGCTCTATGGAGAGTTTGCAAGTAGGAGAAGCAGTTTGACCATTTATAATACAAGTGAGAGTGACAGTTGCTTAGGCTTAATTGTTAGTTTTGAAATTGCATAGCCAGCCTCATCAACATAGTGAAACTCAGTTTCTGCAGAAGAAAGTTAAAAAAAAAATTACCTGGGTGTGGTGGCACACGCCTGTATTCCCAGCTACTCAGGAGGCTGAGAGAGGAGGATCACTTGAGCCTGGGAGGTCAAAGTTGCAGTCAGCCATGATTGCAGCACTGCAATCTAGCCTGGGTGACAGAGCCAGACTCTGTCTTTAAAACCAGCAACAAAAAGGAAGTGCACAAAAGTGGACGGAACATATTTTGGAAATTGAAAATGATAGTTTTCATACAGAAAGAAACATTCTGAGAAGAAAGCCACCTTGCTCGTTAAGTACTATCCGTAATAGGACCCTTCTTTTCTTCCCCTATCAGCATTTCAGTAGGAAATTTTAAAGTTAGAGTAATCAGAAATTGGTGCTTCTCTAAAGTTTTCAATAAACAGCAGAAAAACCCATACCTTCCTGCCTCTTCCATTCATTCAGGCAACTTTGTCTTTCCTAATGTAACAAGAGAAGGAAGTTTATTCTTTGGAAAATTCAACCTGAGAGATGAACTCAGAGACTCCAGGCACAGAGGAGGATGGAGTGAGATGCCTGGCGGAAATGAGGTTAAAGCTAACACTGACATGGTGGAATCACAAGATGAAAGCATGCTGCATTCACAGGAAGGGAGTAGCCCTAGAGAGCTGCTGGACCCACAGCACATCTTGCATGACCAAGGAATAAACTTTTATGTGATAGGTAAAAGCCTCATTGCCTCTGGACTGCAGTCGGCAGACAGCCTTCAGCTGCAGAGAGCTGCCTCACCCAAGGCCATGCCTCTTCCCAATTCGGCTAACATCCCATGACTTCCCGGTAGTGGAAGATAAAGCTTCACCATCTCTGCTCAACCCAGGACAACCTGCAAAGCCATTTGAGCTCCAGAGCTCCCTGCAGGATCGGCTGCCTATCTTTGGCTCTAACCCACAGATCGACATTTCCCTGTGCTCACACCTGCTTCCCCCTCCTCCCTTTCTCAGATACGGATCCAAAGGACACTCTTTAAGAAAGATCTTGGTGCTGACGTCTTAGAGTATGCTCTATAGTAAACCTGACCTGCAAGTGTACTTTAGGTTTGTGTTTAAATGGCATATTTCCTTGAGAGAATAAAGATCAATCACCACCCTGCTGAAATTATATTCCTTCTTTGCATGGTTATTCAGTGATGTGAGGAGATTGAAATGGCCATTTGGGAATCTCAGCTTCCTATGTATGGCATTATTGTTGTGACTCCATTGAAAACATGTTCCTTTGAACACCAGAAGTCATGAGGACAAAAAGCAAACATCTTACATTGGCATGATGAATGAGTCCCTGTTTTATGCCTGGATTTACTGGAACCATGCACTCTGGCTCTGAGAGGAACAGTCTCATGTCCAGAGCAATGGTTTCTCACATGCATTGCTAGTGGGAATATGACATCATACAGCCCCTTTGAAAAACTGTGTCAGTCTTCTATAAACTTGCACACTCATCTGTCTCTGGCAAATCTCCTTCTAGGTATCTGCTCAATTGGTAAGAATGAAGAACTGTGAACAATCCATATATCTCTGAAAAGATGAGTAGAAAAACTATAGTGTATTAAAATATTATTCATCAATTGAAAGGAGTGAACTGCTGGTGCATGCAACAGGATAGATGATCTCACAAACATCCCATATGGGAAAAGTAGCAAAATCCAAGTGAATACATACTGTATGATTCCATTCCTATTCATTCCCAAATCAGGCCATAGTCCCCTGCAATCATAGAACTTAGAAAGTGGTTGCCTCTGGTGGCAAGTTGGGATTGGCTGGAAAGCTTCTGTCCTGCGAGAATCCTATGGGGCTGTGCTAATGTTCTACATCTTTTATGTGTTGATTACATGGGTGTATATAATTTTTAAAACTCACTAAAGTGGAGACCTAAGATCTATGTGTTTTACTGCCTGTATCTTAAACTGGAGAAAAGCAAATAGGAGACAAGACAAGGGCAGCTAGAAAAGTAAGAACCATCTTACTAAATTCTAGAAAGCTCAATCTTGGGTTAGCATGCCAGGCAAGTAGTTGTTTACTCTATTTTTTGTTGTTTTTATTGTACCATTATTTTTCACCGTTTCTTTCTTTTTATGAATGCATTTGATCCTCGGTTGGTTGAATCCACTGCTGCTGAACCCAGAGGATATGGAGGCCTGACTGCCTTCTGTGACCAAGATATCTATTCATAGACAGGAGTACATGTGAGCCCCAAGCGCTATCCATGTCCAAGCATTTTCAGAGCAACATTTTTTGTAAGAGGTCAAAAGTAGAAAGGAACTAAATACCCATTAAAAACGCAAACATTTATACCATTGAATAAATTACAGCAAGGAAACAAGACAAAGTACAGCTGTACAGAAGAACATAGATGAGGGAAATGCCACACAAAAAATACATGAAAATACATAAAACACAATTCTATTTATATTTATATAGGGTCATAACATTTTCAAAATAGACAATATTTTAATTAATTTAATTTGTTTAGAATTCTTAGGAAAGAGAGCTTTGTCACTTCTCAGCTGTTTGTTTACTTAATCTTTAATTTATATCAGTATGAACTCATAGATATTTATTTCATATTTAGGATTATAATTCAATTTACATATTTTCTTGCTCAATTTGTTGGAGATTTGGCCATTGGGAATTGTTTTCCTTCTGTCCCACTGGAAGTAACCGCATTTTTTATTGTGTGTATTTACGGAGTTTTTATTTTCCATGGCTACAAATGCTTTGGGCTCTTTCTGTATATTACTTGCCCAGGTCTAGAAAGTGTTCTTTATCAATACTTCCACTTATGTATTTTTTCTTTAAAAAACTATCAGATTTTAGTTTTATTAATCACCTTTTAGTATACATTTTCCCTTTTATCTTTCTATCATTACTTCTATCTTTCATTTTCTTCTGCAGAATTTTGTTCCATTTTGTTTTTACTCACTGCTTGAGTTCAAAGTGAAGATCAATAGGATTTTAGAAATGTGCATATTAATTTTCAAATAAATATGGATTCAAATAAATTTGGATTCAGGTTTTGTATTGTTGACTTTCAATTTCATTTCATTTTGGCCAGTATATTCATTTAATATAATTTTTATTTGATATTTACTTTGTAGTCCTATATTGGTAAATTTATCTATTATAAACGTTACCTATGTACCGAAAAGCATTTCACATTTGCTTTTTAATTGTTACAATCTCTATCCTCAAAGTTCTTAAGCTTGTACATATTACTAAACATTAATTTTCTGCTCTACCTTATTGGTTTCTGAAAGGATAATGTTAAACACACACACACACACACAACTCCCAGCACGATTGCAGATTTTACTGTTTGACCTTACAACAACTCTCAGTCTTGGCTTCAGTGTGTCACTGTTGTGTGGTTAGGTGCATAAAGTTCATCCCTATAATATTTTTCTATGAATTTTTTTTCGTTAACTATAAAATGTCCCTCTTGGATCTTATATATACACTGGATATTAATATTGTTACCCTCGGTTTCTTTTAGTATTTATTTAGATTCCCTGTTCCCATAACTTGACTTTTAATCACTTAGCATTGTTATAGGATTTAAATGTAAAACAAAAGGGAGAGGCACAAACGGGTGGGATGCCTAATCTGGACCCAGCCCAGTGATTACATTAGCTGGGCACTGATTGGGTTAGGATGCCGCCCAGGTATAAAGCCAGGGTCTTTGCAACGTGGGGCTGCATTTGGAGTTCAGCTACCAAGAGGAAACCTTCTCTCTGGGTCCTGGAGTATTTTCATCAGGAATTGTGAGTTTTTGGTGGAAGTTAGGTCATTTTATTTCTCTGTTGGAGCACTTTTTGATATTTGTCCTACTGAGAAAATTATTCTCACTCAAGTTGCTCATAAGTTTCAGTTAAAATTTTTAAAACATCTCAGCAAGATTTTTAGCTATGCCCCCTAAGTTATCTCAATTGTTTCATTTGTATTTTCTTTTCTCTTCATGCCTATGGCTTTTTACTTCTCACCATCTTTTTAAAAAGTCAAGTTTTAGCTTTTTGTCATCATTCCTATTGGAGGTTCTGTTTCCTTTTGCAATGGTTTCTGCTTGTGTCTTTATTTTCATTGTTTCCTTTGATGTTAATGCATCCAGTTTCTTGAGTGGATTGCTTAATTCATTCCTTTGCAAACTTGATCATTTTCACTCTTAGTTTGATTAGATGCTGCTCTTTTTCTGTTTTATTATTTGACCTTATATCCTGATGTTAACACAGCATACCCTTTAGTTTAGCTTAATACTAGCTGAGTATTTCTTTTGTCTGGTTATACATGTATTTTCAAATATTCTGTATTTTGTGTTGTTATTTAGGTTTACTGATTTGATTTCCTAGAAGAGACGCCCGGGTACAGTGCAGTTACCAGCAACTGGGGCACCCAAGCCTGAGAATCAAGAGAAGCCTCACAGTGACACCCCCAACTGAGGAAACTCACAGAGCTGCAGGTGGAGCTGGGACTCCAGCTGGGGTGCCTGCCCCACTGGGACATATTCTATTTTCTTTGGACAAAAAAATACTGACTACAGCAGAGTCCCCCTGGGAAGTCAGAAGCCTCTGAAAGATCTCACTTGTTCAAAAGTTCAAGTGTGAATTACTCCCTCACAGATAAACCAAAGTATTTTGAAAAAACAAAGCAGAGAAAAGAAATTCCTCCCCAGCACTCTCAGGCATTTGGAGGACACCGAAGAACTTGGGAGTCAGCTGCTTCTTGTGTGCAGCCATGAAGTCTGTGCACTCCAGTCCCCAGAACACGAGTCATACCATCATGACGTTTTACCCAACCATGGAAGAATTTGCAGATTTCAACACATATGTTGCTTACATGGAGTCCCAAGGCGCACACCGAGCTGGCCTCGCCAAGGTAATTCCACCCAAGGAATGGAAAGCCAGACAGATGTATGATGATATTGAAGACATCTTAATAGCCACTCCCCTCCAGCAGGTGACCTCTGGGCAGGGAGGTGTGTTTACTCAATACCATAAAAAGAAGAAAGCCATGAGGGTGGGGCAGTATCGCCACTTGGCAAACAGTAAAAAATATCAGACTCCGCCACACCAGAATTTTGCAGATTTGGAGCAACGATACTGGAAGAGCCACCCCGGTAATCCACCAATTTATGGTGCTGATATCAGCGGCTCCTTATTTGAAGAAAGCACTAAACAATGGAACCTAGGACACCTGGGAACAATTCTGGACCTGTTGGAGCAGGAATGTGGGGTTGTCATCGAGGGTGTCAACACACCCTACCTGTACTTTGGCATGTGGAAGACCACGTTTGCTTGGCACACGGAGGACATGGACCTTTACAGCATCAACTACCTGCACTTTGGGGAGCCCAAAACTTGGTACGTGGTGCCCCCAGAACATGGTCAGCGCCTGGAATGCCTGGCCAGGGAGCTCTTCCCAGGCAATTCCCGGGGCTGTGAGGGCTTCCTGCGGCACAAGGTGGCCCTCATCTCGCCTACAGTTCTCAAAAAGAATGGGATCCCCTTCAATCGCATGACTCAGGAGGCTGGGGAGTTCATGGTGACTTTTCCCTATGGCTACCATGCTGGCTTCAATCACGGCTTCAACTGCGCAGAGGCCATCAACTTTGCCACTCCACGATGGATTGATTATGGTAAAGTGGCTTCACAGTGTAGCTGTGGCGAGGCGAGAGTGACCTTTTCCATGGATGCCTTCGTGCGCATCCTGCAACCCGAGAGCTATGAGCTCTGGAAACACAGGCAAGACTTGACTGTTGTGGATTACATGGAGCCCAGGGTTGCAGAAAGCCAAGAGCCGAGCAACTGGAGGGAGGACATAGCACTTAGGAGAGCTGCTCTGGGCCTGAGGCATCTCCGGAACCACATAACCAGCTGTCCCACACGGACTGTGGCCCCAAGGCTCTGTTACAACCCAAAGGGCGGTGGTACCGATGCTGTGCCTGGATCTGCAATCCAAGCCCTGGAGACGTCAGCCTGGGTTCTTCCCCCTTCCACTGGAAGGTGGGGTCCTTGTCGTGGCTGTGGTCGTGGTCGAGGTCGTGGTCGAGGCCGTGGTCGTCGTCCTCGAGAACTGGGGACTGAGGAGACAACTGTTCAGTCTGCAGCTAAGAGGCGCCTCTCAGTGGGGACAGGGAGCAGAGCTCCAGGCCGCAAACCTCAGCTCCAGTTCGCCGATGAAGCTTTGACAGACAAACCCGCACCTTTGAGCGGTGGCCTTCCGCATTTTGCAAAGGCTTCTGGCTGCTGTTGTGCCCCTGATCTTCAACCCCTGGGGCCCCCACTGGATCCTGATGAACCCATGCACCCTGGCCCCTGCCTGCTATCCCTCGACAGCACTGCTAGTAGTCTTCCTCTTGTTGTCCCTATGACTCCTCCCAGTGTCACTGTGCCTTTGATTACATTGTCCAGGGACACTGGTGGAGACTGGAAATCCCCGGTGAATCTGGCCAAGGTTGTAGCAATGGACCATTCTTATGCCTCTAGGGTTCCGGTCCCAACTAAGTTTTCCAGGATCTCCTGGGCCCCTGACTCATCTGCTGGGGCTAAAGCCAGACAGAGATACGCCACTGAATTTGGAGATATTTTCCTCCAATGCATGATCAATCCTCTGGACCCATGGCCATTGAATATGGTGTCAAATGTCAAGTGATATCTACTTCTTATCCCAACCCCAGGAATCAGAGAAGATTCCTGCCAAGCACAATTCTGGCCTGGGCCTCTCCACAGTGAAGATTCTTTACCTCCAATAACTGACGAATTTCCAAGGCCCCCAGATGCTGTCTCCAATTGTGACAACCAGGGCTCCCAGAGGTCATTGAATTCCCCACCCCAAAGGTTGCCGTAGGATGTTGTAATATCTCTCAGGGACTCTCTGTCTCCTCCTAATCATTGTGCCTGTGGCCTTCACCATGGCCAGATGCCACAGACAGCACTTGTTGCTTTTGTGCCCTCAGGATACCTCCCTTACAGTGCTATGGGTCCAGATCCCACAGTAATTTGGACTCACATTGGATGATGCTGAGAATCTCACTGAATCCCTAATTTTTACCTTCCATTTGGTCCTCTGTTTCTCTGGCCCTGGATTCCACTGGACATTGCTACAGCCTCAGGGAGTTTTGGGGCTTCTCACAATCCTTCAACTGCAACATGCACTCCACCCCAGGCCACGATCCACTGTACATGCACAAAACTAGACCTGTAGACCAACTGAGTTTGCTAGCCATTCATGGCCCCAGAGATATTTTGTAATGTTTTTGATATGTATTAAATTTGCTATCTCTAGTGTGTATCTGCAAAGAAAAAAAATTCTTAATACATGTTTTTAATATTAGAATTATATAAAAGATGTATCAAAAAAAGTGATGAAGAAAAGTGATTGAGATAAAGGAATGGCAAAAGTATACCTAGGAAAGAACAAACATAAAAGTAGAGTCACAGATCTTAATGTCAGTCTAAGCTGAATGAAGACCAAAGGTACATAGAAGACTTCTCTTCAATGTAAAAGGCTAAATTTCGCAATGAAATTGCAGCAGTCATGAATATTGAAGTAAATTTGATAAAGTGTGACTCATATAAAACAGAAAGAGACTCATTAAACACAGGCACATTGAAGTCACTGACATGGTTTAAATCTCATGTGGAACTGTAATCCCCAGTGTTGGATTTAGGGCCTGGTGGGAGGTGATTGGATCATGGGGGCAGTTTCTCGTGAACGGTTTTGCACCATCACCCTGGTGTTGTTCTCCCATTAGAATTCTCACAAGATCTCATTGTTTAAAAGTCTGTAGCATGGCTGGGTGTGGTGGCTCATGCCTATAATCCCAGCACTTTGGGAGGCTGAGGCGGGCGGATCACCTGAGGTCAGGAGTTTTATACTGGCTTGGCCAACATGGTGAAAACCCATCTCTACTAAAAATACAAAAATTAGCTGGGCATGGTGGTGGGCACCTGTAATCCCAGCTACTTGGGATGCTGAGGTGGGAGAATCACTTGGACCTGGAAGGTGGAGGTTGCAGTGAGCCAAGATCATGCCACTGCACTCCAGCCTGGGTGACAGAGTGAGACTCCACCTATAAATAAATAAATAAATAAATAAATAAAAGTGTGTAGCACCTCCCCCCCATCTTTCTTCTTTCTGCTCCAGACATATGAGATGTGCCTGCTTCTCCTTCATCTTCTGCCATGATTGTAAATTTCCTGAGGCCTATCCAGAAGCAGAAGCTTCTATGCTTTCTGTATAGCCTTCAGAACCATGACCCAAATAAAACTGTTCTACATAAATTACCCAGTCTCAAGTATTTTTCCTACAGCAATGAGAGAACGAACTGATACAGCAAATTGGTACCAGGAATAGGTAATTGTTACAAAGATTTCTGAAAATGTAGAAGTGGCTTTGGAATTGGGTAATCAGCAGACGTTGGAAGAGTGTGGAGGGCCCAGAAGACTATAGGAGGTTGAGGGAAAGTTTGGAACTTCCTAGACACTTGTTACATTGTTGTGACCAAAATCATGATAGTGATATGGAAAATGAATTCCAGTGTGAGTAGGTCTCAGATTGAGAAGAAGAATTTATTGAGAACTGGAGCAAAGTTTACTTCTGTTATGTGTTAGCCAAGAGGTTGGCTGCACTGTGCCCCTTTCTAAGGATCTGTGGAACTTTGAACTTGAGAGTGATGATTTAGGGTATCTGGCAGAAGGAATTTTTAAGCAGCAAAGAGTTTAAGATCTGGCCTGTCTGCTTCTAACAGCCTAGGCTCACATTCATGAACAAAGAAATGACCTGAAAGTGGAACTTATATCCAGTTCCAGTGAAGCAGAGTACAAAAGGGCAGCAAAATGTAAAAGTTCAAGGAATTTGCAGCCTGGCCATGTAGCAGAAGAGAAAAGCACATTTTTAGGGGAAGAATTCAAGCTGGCTGCAGAAATGTACATCACTAAAAGGAAGACAAGTATTAGTAGCCAAAATATTAAGAAAAACATCTTGAAGGCATATCAGAGACCTTCGTGGCAATGCTTCCCATCACAAGCCTGGATGTCTAGGAGGACAGAATGGTTTTGTGGACCATGCTTAGAGCCCTGCTGTCCTGTACAGCCTGTGGACACTGCTGCCTGCATCCCAGTTGCTCCAGCTCTAGCTGTGGCTCAAGGGGCCCAGGTAGAGCTCAGACCATTTCTTCAGAGTGTGAAAGCCATAAGCCTTGGAGGCTTCCACGTGGTGTTAAGTTCAAGGGTGCACAGAATGCTAGAATTGAGGGTTGAGAGCTTCTGCTTAGATTTCAGAGGATGTATGGAAAAGCCTGCATGTGCAGGCAGGAGTCTGCTGCAGGGGCAAGGGTCTCACAGAGAACCTCCACTATAGCGGTACAGAGCAGAAATGTGAGGTTGGAACCCCCACACGGAGTCCCCACTGGGTACTGCCTAGCAGAGTTGTGAGAAAAGGATCACTTTCCTCCAGATCCCTGAATGGTAGACCAACCAGCAGTTTCCACCCTACTTCTGGAAAAGCTGCAGGCACTTAACACAAGCCCATGAGGGCAGCTGCAGGGGCTGAACCCTGCAAAGACACAGGAGCACAGCTATGCAAGTCCTTGGGAGTACACACCATGCACTATTGTGCTCTGGATATGAGACGTGGAGTCCAAGGAGCCTATTTTGGAAGTATAAGATTTAATGTCTGCCCTGCTAGGTTTCAGACTTGCTTGGGGTCTCTAGCTTCTTTCTTTTGGCCGATTTCTCCCTTTTGGAACAGGAGTCTTTACCCAATGCCTGTACCCCCACTCTATCTTGGAAGTAATTAACTTGTTTTTGATTTTACAGGCTTATAGTCAGAAGGGATTTGCCTTGTCTCAGATGAGACTTTGGACTTTGGACATTTCCGTTAATGCTGAAATGAGTTAAGACTTTGGGGAACATTTGAGAAGGCATGATTATATGTTGCAATGTGAGAAGGGCATGAGATTTAGGAGGGGGCCAGGGGAGGATTGATATGGTTTGGGTCTGTGTCCCCACTCAAATCTCACATAGAATTGAAATCCTCAGTTTTGGAGGTGGGCTCTGGTGGGAGGTGATTTGCTTGTAGCGGTGGTTTCTCATGAATGGTTCAGCACCATCCCCCTAGTGCTGTTCTTGTGATAGAGTTCTCACAAGATCTTGTTGTTTAAAAGTGTGTAACACCTCCCGCCGGCCTTCCTCCTGCTCCCACCATGAAAGATGTGCCTACTTCCCCTTTGCCTTCCATCATGATTGTAGGTTTCCTGAGTCCTCCCCCAAACCAGACACTGCTATGCTTCCTGTACAGTCCACAGACCTGTGAGCCAATTAAACCTCTTTTCTTTATAAATTACCTGGGTATATTCTTTATAGCAAAGTGAGAATGAACTAATATAGACACCTTATTCATCCAAGCCAGAAAAAATAGAGAAACCTAAGGATATGAAAAACTTAGATAACATTAACAATAAGGTAGAATTGACAAACCAGATGATAGAAAATACTTCCTCTCTTCAGGTGCTGTTGACAGCTGTTGTGATACCTCTGGTTCTTCTTAGTTTAAAATAAATTAAACAAGAGACATACAGCAAAAGAAGAACAGCATAGAGTAATTTATTGTGAAAGAAAAATAATATTTTGAAAGTTAAGTGCAGAATAGACTGTACACACTGAGAGTGAAGGAATTCAGGGAGGGCTGCTTGTTAGGGTGAGACAGCATTGATTATTGCTGGAGAAACCCCCATTATGGGAGTTTTACATGGTTATTCATAAGGAGGTGGTAACAGGTGTTACTAGTAAGCAGGTCCTGATGGTCTTCTGTACATGTACAGTAGCTGTACATGCTTATTCATACATCCCATGTCTCATTAGCATCTTAAATCTCCACCCATGGGTGTGTTTTTTACTATTGTAATGAGCAAAAGATCAGTTTGAGGACAGGTAAAATCAAAATGTGCATGCTCTCTGGAAGGGAAAGTCCCTACTAAAGATAGCTTTGCTTGAGTGAGCTCGGTTACAATATGACTGCTAAGGCTTATTGTATTGGCTCTATGGTCACCACGGTCACTGCATCCCAAGTATATGTCAGGTCCTTGACAACCTATCCTGCCAAAGAATCAATCACAAAATTTGACAATATATCAGTGTGAATAGAAAATATCAATATCTTCTTTAAACAAAATGAAAAAAATTCAAACATTCTGAATTATCATGCAATAAAATTTGAAATATTTTTGAAAGTCAGAAAATGTACAGGTCCTTTTCCTGGTAGGTTAAATTTTTTTATTGAATGGATCTCAGATTTGAGGGAAGCACAAATCATAAAAGCCAAATTTCCACAAAACAATAAATATCTATTAAGAATATGAACTGTAGAGCAAGATAGTCTGATTTTGAATTCCAGCTTCTCTTACCAGCTAGTGTGACCTTGAAAATTACTTAATGACTCAGTTTCCTCAATGTAAAATGGAGATAGCACCTACCTCATGTGTTTAGTTGACAGTTCTATGAGTGAATATAGTAATTTGTTAATGCCAATGCCTGGAATACAATAAGCATTTACTGGAGTGTTTTTAAATTTAAAACTTAATAACATACAAAAAGGAATATATGAAATTCATTTAGAACAGTGCTGAGGGGAAAACTTGCAGCCTTAATTATTTTCTTCATCACATTCAAATAATAAAATTAACTGGATTAAGCTTCTGATTTACAAGTTAGGAAAAGATCAATTATATGAAAGTAGCAAGAAGGAATTGATATGCATATACATAGAAAATGAGTCAGAATAACTAAAATAATAAATCAACATAAAGCTCCAATGATATGTATGTTTTTAGAAAAATTAACTTACTACATAGAAAGTTTAAGACATAAATTTCTGTGTATGAAATACAGAAAGAGGGCGGAAGATCTGACTCTTCAAAAATGCCAAGGATTAGACAATTTCACAGAGGAATTGTGTGAAAATTTTATTTCAAGTATAAATAGGCCTTTAAAATGAGAAAAAATTCAAGCTTTAAAATAAGCACATCATTGACAGAAAATCCTGATGAATTGCAGAATGAGAGAAAATGATGGACAAAACTTATTGATGAACATCGTAAAAATTTTAACTTAAATATTAGCTAAGAGAATCTAAATAAATTAAAAGAATGACATACAATGACTACATGGGGTTTATTGCAGGAAGGCAGTGATGGGTTAAAGAAGGAAATCTAGGAATATAATTTATCCTGTAAATACAACCAGAAGAAAAGTCATATGATCATGTTTATAGATGTTGATAGGCATTTGATATAATTCAACAGTCTTGTTTTACACACACCCACAAGGAAGCAATGAATCCTTCCTTAAAATAAAATTCAAAAATTCTCTATCTACTAGTTAGCTATTTTAGACCCAAGCCAGCATTTTCCTTAATGTGAGGTATTTGAGGCATTTCAGTCAATAATTTATGGAATTAGTGCTGTTAACCACTGCAAAAATTTTTAGAGCTATAATTAATGGAAGGGAAGAGACAAAATTTATTTTGTTGTAGTTGTAGTTGATAAGGCTGAATGCAGGGAAAACTCAAGGAGGGGGCTAAATATCTAAATGGCTTCCCTATGGCCACCATGCTGACTTCAGCCATGGCTTCAATTTCAAGGAGGCCATGAATTTTGCCACCATGTGATAAGCAAAGTGGCCTCAGTGCAGTGGTGAGGAAGCCATTGTGATCTCTTCCCTGGATGCTGTCATGGGCATCCTGTAACCCAAGTGCAATGAGCTGTGGAAACCCAGGCAAGAGGGATTAGTTGCAGACCCCATGGAATCCAGGGCACAAGCCAGCCTGGAGATGCCCACCTCGTAGAAGATCCAAGTGCCTGAGAGGGCTCTCTGGACTGAGGCACCACCTGTGTCACCAGGGCCATGACCCACTCAGCCTATGACCTCCAGCTGTGGTGCCTGTTGCCTCACATTTCTGTGCCCAGTGTTCCTGTGGCCAATTTAGCCTGCAGTGATGCTTCCTAGCCCAGGACCTTAGCTTGGACCCACTGCCCACCCTGGCTTTGTCAACCTTGGTCTGAACCTTTCAACTGGTAGATGTGGTTGTGGTCCTTATCCTTTGTAACTGGGGGTTCAGAAGCCAATCCTCCAGGCTCCATCTGGCCAGGAGGTGCCTTTTGGTGGTCACAGACTGCACACCTCCAGGCCCTGAACCTAAGCCTCTGCCCACAGATGCAGCTTTGATGGATAGGCCTGTACCACTGAGCCCAGGATCCAGCATCCTGCCAAGGATTCTGGGTGCTGCTGGAGCCCCGCCCCTGTGCCCATGGTCAGCTTTTATATCCCACTGCTCTGCTCTGTGGGGGCTTCTTGAGATTGGTCACATTTACAACTCAGAATTTTCGCGAATTTTCGCAAATTTTCCGGCCACTAAAATTGCAGTGCCTCCCAGTGCTTAGCTCCTGTGGTGAGGTCCCAGGCACTGCTGAGTCCAAGGTGGTTACCAAATTCACTATACTTTCTTCATCCTCTCAGACACTGTAATATCTTGAGACTTCTACTTCTGCGTCACCAGCTGAGATTTCATCCACTGGACATGAGTATCTCTGAGAACGAGGTCTTCCTGGGTTTGCCGAGAGCTCATCTACCCCAGTGTCCCAAACTCTGGACCAACTATAGAGGCTGCTGAACTTCTGAAGAATTTGGAGTGTGGTTCCCCTTCAATCTTCTTCCCTTATCTCTCCCTCCCTCCCTCCCTCAACTCTCCCCTTCTTGCAAAACTAGCCTTTTATGGCCAATTAGGTCAATAGAGTCAGAAAAAAAAGCATCATATTTCTAAGTCATTGAGATATTTACAATGTGATATCGCCAGTATTTGTTCACAAATATATTAAAGGTCACCAACATGTAAAATCTGACTTTCTTTCTAATATTGTAATTTCAAAAACATTGCAGGAAGAGGTTATTCTCCATGCATTTTTCTTCACAGTTATTTGAGAACATTTCAGGCAACACTTATGAATATTTTATGGGCTGGTTACATTTTGTGGTGGTGAGTGAGCTCAGCGTATGGTTATGAGGTTCTGGCTGTCTGGTTGTGTGGGAGCACTGGGTTGCAGTTATGCTTTGAGGATAGCTTGGTAGGACCAGCCTGGCACTCAGCCAAATAGCAGGACCCAAGTTGCTGAGAAAGATGAGCAGCCCTAGGATAAAAGTGTCATCATCTGACTCTCTTCTCTCCCAGGCTCCAAGCTGTGTGCATATTTCACACTGGTAATTCATTGACTCAGCCTAATAAATAAACCCCCAAATAAGTGAATAAGACAGTTTCAGTCAGGAATGTGTTTTGTGTAGGAACTAAAGCAGGATTGGACGACAGGGCAGAATGGGCAGAGGCTGGCCAAGCCGCTGGTCCAGGAAGGCTTCAGAGAACAGGAGATCTTCTGGGGCCCCAGCTGAGAAAAATAAGAAGGTCCATACTGGGATTTTCCACCTGCAGGGAACTGTAAGTGCAATAGGCCTAATATAGAACTTGGTGAGTTTGTTTTTCCAGCGATACGATAGAGGCTTATTTATATCTGGGGCACACAGAAGAAGAAGACGCGGAGATCAGACCACTTAGGCCCTGTGACTCATGTTAATTGCATTATTGGGTAGTCTATCAACTTGAATTGAGAAGGCACTGGAAGTGTAAAACGGCAGTGAAGATGTGATTTATACATTTAAACAATCAGTTTAGTTGCTCTGTGGAGAATGTGCCAGAAGGAGAAACAGACCATCTAAAAGTGAGAGTGACAGTTGCTTAGACTCAGTTGTTCATATTGCAAATGCACAGAAGTGGACAAATTCAAAACTTATTTTCGAAATTGAAGGTGATAGTTTTGGATGTAGAAGGAAACATTCAGAGAAGCAAGCCACCCCTCCCCTTAGTACTACTCTTGCTTAACTGCCCTTACAGAATGTTATTAAGGCTCCAAAGTTGAAGCACCAGGCAATTTGAGGGCTAAAGTAAAAAACAATTGGTGCTTGCCTGAACTTCTCAATAAAGAACAGAAAAACACAAATTTTCTTGCCTATCTCACTCATTCAGACAACTTTGTCATTTCTAATGTAATAAGAGATGGAAGTTTATTCTTTATAAAATTCAAGCTGGGAGGCTGAACGCAGAGTCTCCAGGCACACAGGAAGATGGAGTGAGTTGCCTGGCTGAAAAGGGGCTAAAGCTAATACTGAGATGGTGGAACCACAAGATGAAAGCATACTGGACTCACTGGAAGGGAGAAGCCCTAGAGAACTGCTGGACCTACAGTACACCTTGTGTGACCAAGGAATCAATTTTTATGTGATAGGAAAAAGCCTCATTGGCCCTGGAATGCAGGAGGCAGACAGCCTTCAGCTGCAGAGAGCTGCCTTACCCAAGGCCATGTCTCTTCCGAGTGTAGCCCACATCCAATGACTGCTCAGTGCTGGAGCATAAAGCTTGGCCATCTCTGCTGAACTCAGGACAATCCTGAGGCCATTTGAGCTCCAGAGTCCCTGCAGGATCGGCTGACTATCTTTGGGCATAAACCACAGATCAACTTTTCTCTGTGCTCAAACCTGCTTCCTATACCTCCCTTAGTCAGATATTGATCCCAAAGGCACTCTAAAGATCTTGGTGCTGAAGTCTTAGAGTCTGCTCTGTAGTGGACCTGACCTGCAATTGTACTTTAGGTTTCTTTGTGTTTCAAAGGCATAATTTCCTTGAGAGAATAAAGATTGGTCCCCCTGCTGAGAAATTATAATCCTTCTTTGCATGGTTATTTAGGGATGTGAGGAGATAGAAATGGCCATGAGATAGAATCTCAGCTTCCAATGTATGGAACTATTGTTGTGACCCCCATTGAAAACATGCCACTTTGAACACCAGAAGTCACAAGGACAAGAAGCAAACATCTGATCTTTGGCCTGATGGATCAGTCCCAGTTTTACACCTGGATTTACTAGAACCATGCGCTCTGGCTCTGAAAGAAACAGTTCCATTTCCAGAGCAACTGACTCTCACATGCATTGCTACTGTGAATGTACCATCATACAGCCCCTTTGAAAAACCGTTTGTCAATGTTCTATAAGCTTAAGCACTCATCAATCCATAGCAGTTCTCCTCCTAAATACCTACACATTTTATAAGAATCATGAACTGTGGATAATTCATATATCTCTGAATATATAAATAGAAAAACTCATAGCTTATTAAAATTTGTAGCTTATTGAATATTATTCAGCAACAAAAAGGAATGTATTGCTGGTACATGCAACAGGAATAGCTGGATCTTACAAACATCAGATTTGGAAAAGAAGCCAGATCCAAAGTGAAAACCTATTGTATATTTTCATTCATACTCATTGCAAATATAGACCAAAGTAAGCTGTGGTCATCGAGTTTAGAACGTGATTGCCTCTGGTGGGAAGCAGGGATTGACTGGAAAGCTCCTGGCATGAGAGAATGTGATGGGGCCATGGGAATGTTCTACATCTCCTTTTGGGTGATGATTACATGGGTGTATATGAATGTTAAAAGTCACTGATGTGGAGACCTATGGTGTATGCATTTTTATTGCATGTATTTTAAACTGGAGAAAACTGAACAGGAGACAAGACAGGAGCAGCTGGAAAAGTGGGAACCATCTTAAGAAACACTGGAAAGCTGAATGCTAGGCTGGCAGGGAGAAAACCTGGAGGGCAATGGAATCCCCAATGCAGAACCAAAAGGAATCAAGATTTTGTGACACCAGGTACCTCTAGAGTTGGATGTAAAAGTGAGGCTAAACACAGAGATTTTGATAAAAATCTGTTGGAGAAGTTTCTTTAGTTCCTTGGGTCAGCTCCATCAAGTTAGCATCTGGATGACTACTTCCACCAACGACTTCCACTCATCTTTCAGTGGAAAATGAGACTTTCTTGCTCCTATATTCCAGGTGAGAATTGGAGGTTGCTAAACTTAGGTGATGAAGTCGGATTGTGGACATAAAAGTGCAGGAAAGAAAGGGATTCTGACAATTTCTGGAGATGGTAGCTTGGCTCACGTTCCAACTTGGAATGTGAGAACTGAATTTCTGCTTGTTATCTTCAGCAGCATCACAATCTTATCCTAGCCAGATAGATGCCCTGGAATGGCTATCATTAAAAAAAATCTTGGATAGTAAAAGAAAAGAAACATAAACACACAAATAATTTGTAGAAAATATTACTCCTATTGTCCTCCTGTTTCTATTCAGCTACTTTCATAAATATTTTACATTCTCTTGCCAAATAAGAGCAAGCAATAGTACAGCTAAACTTGTTTCTAAATTAGTCTTCTGGAAAGTTCAGGGAGTTAGGGGTGGCTGTGGAGGGCTTCTTCAAGCAATTGTAATTAGAATTCTATGTTACTTCATCTGACAATCTCAATTTGGGTCACTCTTCTTTGTAAAATTTGCCCATATCTAGCTGTTTGCCCATGTCCAATCATAAGCTTTTGCTATTCTGTACTGTTTTGTTTTGGAAAATCAAGGAACATTGATAATGAAAATTATCTAAGAGCAAGTGTAGAGCCATCTTTGTCCTCTCCCATGACCTCTGTTCCTTCATTTCTGAAGGCTTCTCTTCATTTCTGAGAAATAACAATTATGAGTTTGATGCATATTCTTCCTGTTTATAGTCGGAAGTCTACAGAGCCAAGATGATATGTCAGGTTTGGTTTTAACAACTTCTCTTCCTCCTGCTACCTATTTAAAAACTCAATATTACAAGGCCTGAACAGATTGCTACGTATATAGATCCTAGTGACTCCAACAGAGTCAATAGACCTGTGTAATTTTTTATTTTATTCATTCCCCTGCTGATGGACATGTAGATTATTTCCACATCTTTGTTATGTCAAACAACACTTTCTTGAACAGCTGTGTGCATAGAACTGGAGTTCCTTGGTTATACTGATATTTGTTTTCAATTATTCTAAGAATAGCTAGGTCAGTCTACAATTTCTATCTCCATTAGCAGTGGGACAGTTCTGGTTTCCCCATATCTTGGCCCATTTTTACACTGTCAGATCGTTTCACTTTTTCTAATTTAAATTGAGAAAAAGTGTCTCAATGCATTTTCTCAATTACTAGTGATCTTATACATCTCCTCATATTTATTGGCCATTTGGATTTCCTTTTTTTTTGAGTTGCCTTTTCTAAGGCTTCGATCCCTTCTTTTGGGTTGACTCATTGTTTTTATTGATCTGTGGAAGTTTTCAGGATACTTATTCATTGTCTATTTTACATATGACAAAACTGTTCTTCCAGCCTGTATCTTGTCTCAATTTTTTATGTCATCATATACTGGAATGAGTTAAATATGTCAGAAATTTTCATTGTGGTTTGTGCTTTTGGCTCTTCTTTAAGATAATTTTCCCACCTTGAATTCATAAACACATTTTTCAGTATATTCTCAAATAGCCCTAAAGTTCTCTTTTATACAGTCTTTAATCCATCACTAATTTACTCTTCTAAGTAGTGCACGGTAGAGCTCTATTTTATTTTTCCCCCCAAGATCAATATCTCTTATTGAATTGTTGATTGCTTTTCATGGGATTGGTAAGCCACCTTTATTATATACAGACTCCCACATATACAGTTGAGCCTTGAACAAATGAAGTGCATGGGTCCACTTATACAGGGATTTTTTTTTTCCACAACCGTATTGGTAAATTTTTTGGAGATTTAGAACAATTTGAAAAAACTCCCAGATGTATCTTGTACTCTAGAAATATTGAAAAATATAAGAAAAAATTAGGTGTGTCATGAATGCATAAAATATGTATAGATATTAGTGTATTTTAACATTTGCTACCATAAAATATGTACAATCCTGTTACAAAAAGTTAAAATTTATCAGAATTTACACACACACACAGACCATACATAATGCCATTTGAAGTTGAGATAAATGTAAACAAATGTAAAGATATAGTATTAAATCATAACTGCATAAAATTAACTATAGTAATACTGTATTATTATAAGAATTTTGTAGCCTCTTCCTTTTGCCATTGCAGTGAGCTCGTGTGGTGAGTATCCTCTTAAAATGCTGCAGGATGCTAATCATCTCTGCCTGAGCAATTTTTTTCTCTCTGGTAAATTGTCTATCACAGTAAAAAGTGATCTCTTGAGTATCATGTTTAGGGCAATATCCTAAAGCTTGAATAATACTATGGGGCCCAGACGAAGTGCCACTAGTGATGCTGGAAATGTTCCCAAGAAGCAGAGAAAAGTCACGACAGTATAAGAAAATGTTGAATTGCTTGATGTGTAGGGTACATTGAGGTCTGCAGTGAGGTTGCCAGCCATTTCAGACAGGCTATTCATCTTGTAAATGGTTAAGGTATCCATAAATATAGTACAGTATAGTAAATACATTTTCTCCTCCTTATGATTTTCTTAAAAACATTTTCTTTTCTCTAGTTTTCTTTACTGTAAGAATCCAGTATTTAGTACATGTCACATACAAAATCTGTGTTAATCAACCGTTGATATCTGTAAGACTTCCAGTCAACAGCAGGCTCTTAGTAGTTCAGTTTTGGGAGGAGTCAAAAGTATTTGAGGAGTTTCAACTGCACAGGGATTCAGCACCCTGAATCCCCTCATTGTTCCAGGGTCAACTGTACATGTATCTGTGTCTGGTCTCAGTATCTGTGCTTAGAGGTACTGTTGATATCAGCTCAAATATTACAGTTTGATAAGGGAGAAGTCTTTTTTTTGTTTTAAGGCATCATTTTGGGGGTTGTCATTTAAATATTTGACTCTAACAGTGCTAGCTCTACCGCCTTGAACAAGTGACTTAATGTCTCAATGACTCAGTTCTGTCATCTGAAAATTAGAGGTATGAATCTTCTTATAGGTCATAAGAATTAAATGATTTATTGTACCAAGAGTAAACCGAACAGTGTTTGCCATGTTATAGTCACCAGGTATGTTAGCTATTTTAAATAATATTTTACTATTAGAAATAAAGAGGGACTTCTGTTCATCAAAAGATATGAAAAAAAGAGAGAAATGACAAACCAAGGAGTGTGAACTGATATTGTATTACTCATATCCAGCAAAGAGCTGATATCCATTATATATAAAGAGCTAGTGCAGAGAACGCCAACCCAATAGAAAAATGGACAAAATACATAATAGGCAGCTTATGAGTAAGAATACCCAAATGGCCAATGAACGTGAAAAAATTACTCACTCTCATTTGCAGTTAGGGAAATGAATTTTTTTTTTTTAAGTTTTAAGTGACAAAATCTCACTGTGTCACCCCAGGCTGTTGTGTGGGGACGAAATCACAGGTAAAACAAATCTTAATGCCCTCACCTAACTGGCTAAAACTAAAAAGTCTGATATTCACCAAAGGTTTGCAAAAGTGAAGAGCACTGAGCACCCTCATACACAGCTATCCTGTGTGTAAATTGATAAAAACTGTTGAAAAACAATCAGGCATGGTAAAGTTTGAATTCACATACAGTTGTCCCTTGATATTCTGCAGGTGGATGGGGTTTGGTCCTTAGTAACCCCTGAGGATTCTGAGGATTTTCAAGTCCATATATAAAATGGCTTGGTATGAGCATGTAACCTATACGTATTTTCCAACATACTTTAAGTCATCTCTAGATTACTTACATTATGATGAAAATGCTATGTAAATAATTGTTTACTGTATTATGTTCTATTTATTTTTATTGTTTTTTTTTTCTGAATAATTTCTACCCACAGTTGGCTGAATTCACTGATGCTGAAGCCAGAGGTTACAGTGGGCTGCCTGTATTCTGTGACAAGGGATCCATTCATACCTAAGAGGACACATGAGCTCCAGTATACATGTCCAAGCATGTTCTGAGCAACACTGTAAGAGGCCAAAAGTGGAAACAACCCAAGTGCCCATCAACAGCACAAACATTTATACCATTGAATGCCTTACGGCAAGGTAACAGGATCAAGTACAGCTACATGGAACACATAGATGAGGGAAATAAAACACAAAATACATTAAAATATAAAAAGCACAATTCTATGTATATAAGGTTACATAACATTTTCAAAATCAGCAACGTTTTAATTAATTTAATTAATTTAGAATTCTCCTGCAGAGGAGTTTTCTCTCTTTTCTCCAATGTGTTAATTTATTTAATCATTTATTTACAACAGCACAGATTAATATTTATTTTATATTTTGGAATATGATATAGTAGTATTTTAGTTTGTTCCTTAAATTGTTCAAGATTTGGCCATTGGGAGCTGTTTTATTGGTTTTTGTACCCCTCTAAAATTACCCCATCAATGCTTTTGTTTGTTTTCTATTTATCACATCCTTATTTTCCAGCACTCCAAGATGCTCTAGGCCCTTTCTGTATATTTCCTTTCCAGATTTAGAAACTGTATTTCTTCATCAGTATTGCTAGATTGTTTTTTTCTTTAAAAGTGTTAGATTTCAGTTTTATTAATCATCTTTTTAAAAAAACATATTGTCCCTTTTATTTGTAATTCTATTTTTATTTTAATGTTTTATTTTTTGTTTTGGTTTTGTTTTACTAATTGCTTGACTTCAACATAAAAAAAGTTTTAGAAATGTGGTTATTAATTTTCAAGTAAATATGATTGGATTCAGGTTTTTTATTTTTAACCTTCAATATTATTTCACTGAGGTCCAGATGTGCTGAATTTATTGACCTATTAAATTTTAATTGACATTTATTTTGTAGTCTTGTATTGGGAAATTCTTCTGTTTTCTATATATTTTTGGTTGTTGCAGGTTATATGATCAAAATTGTTGTTTGTTGTGCAAATTATTATAGCATTACTAGTTTTGTTCTCTGCACTATTGATTTCTGAGAAAACGGTGTTACGGGGAAAAAACAAACTTCCATCATGAGTGCAGATTTTTCAGTTTTACCTTATAACTCTCAGTCTTGGCTATGTGTCACTGTTATGTGTTTAGGTGCGTTAAGTTCATCACTGTAATGTTTTCCTAGTGAATTTTCTTTTCAATAACTATGAAATGTGCTCCTTTGATCCTATCAATACACTGGATATTAATATTGTTGCCCTAGGTTTCTTTTGTTTAATATTTGTCTGGATTGCCTGTTCCCATAAATTGACCTTTAATCAGTTAGCTTTGTTCTTAAGATTGGTTTAAAACGTAGAATAATAGGGAGGAGCATGGGAGGGTGGGACGTCTAATGTAAATCCAGCCCAGTGATTACATTAGCTGGGCGCTGATTAGGTTAGGATGTTGCCCAGGTACAAGGCCAGGATCTTCGGGGCCTGGCTTCATTTGGAGTTCAGCTACCAAAAGGAAACCTTCCTCTGGGTCCTGGAGTATTTGGCCTGAAATTGGGAACTCGGAAGTTGCTGCTCCAGGGCGCTCCCTGCGGAGCTCCGCCGCCCGCCTCTCCGCCCGGCCTTTCCCGGCGTCCCCACGCGGGGCGCAACCGCGAGAAAGAAACGCAGGTCGCACCGTCAGCGCCCAGAGCAGCGCCAGTTTCCGGGCCCGGGCTGCTCTCGGAGCCATGAGCTGCGGCCGCCCCCCTCCCGACGTGGACGGCATGATCACCCTCAAGGTGGACAACCTGACCTACCGCACCTCTCCCGACAGCTTGAGGCGCGTGTTCGAGAAGTACGGGCGCGTGGGCGACGTGTACATCCCGCGGGAGCCCCACACCAAGGCGCCCCGGGGCTTCGCTTTCGTCCGCTTTCACGACCGGCGCGACGCCCAAGACGCCGAGGCCGCCATGGACGGGGCGGAGCTGGACGGACGCGAGCTGCGGGTGCAGGTGGCGCGCTATGGCCGCCGGGACCTGCCCCGCAGCCGCCAGGGAGAGCCACGCGGCAGGTCCAGAGGCGGCGGCTACGGACGGCGGAGCCGCAGCTACGGGCGGCGGAGCCGCAGCCCCAGGCGGCGACACCGCAGCCGATCCCGGGGTCCCAGCTGCTCCAGGTCCCGCAGCCGATCTCGCTATAGGGGTTCTCGCTATAGCCGGTCTCCCTACAGCCGATCTCCTTACAGCCGGTCGCGCTACAGCCGCTCTCCCTACAGCAGATCTCGCTACAGGGAATCTCGCTACGGCGGATCTCACTACAGCTCATCTGGTTACAGTAACTCTCGCTACAGCCGATATCACAGCAGCCGGTCTCACTCGAAGTCTGGGTCCTCCACTAGCTCTCGCTCTGCATCAACCTCCAAATCGAGCTCTGCGCGACGATCCAAGTCCTCCTCGGTCTCCAGGTCTCGCTCGCGGTCCAGGTCTTCATCTATGACCAGGAGTCCTCCCCGGGTATCCAAGAGGAAATCCAAGTCAAGGTCGCGATCCAAGAGGCCCCCCAAGTCTCCTGAAGAGGAAGGACAGATGTCCTCTTAAGAAAATGATGCATCAGGAAGCAACGTGATGGAGGACTTGGGGGAAAAGGATCACATACTCAGTCTATGGAAGCAACGTCCCTGGAAGAAGAGGCTGCCTATTGAAAAGGTTGTGTCACACTTTTCTACCTTTTTGCCAGTTTGAAGCTTTGCATCAGGTGGCAAAATTCATTCTATGTGCCGTTTTGTTGTTATTCACATTTTATTGTAACTTAGGAGGTGAACGACCTAAGATTACGTTATTGGGTTTGGATATTTGAGGCAAAAATTTATTTTTATTTCTATAGTGATGACTGTTTTGGTTTGAAATGAACAGATTGGTAACCTAATTTGTGGCCTCCTGACTTTTAAGGAAACGTGTGCAGCCATTACACACAGCCTAACGCTGTCAAGACATGCTTCAACATTGCCTTCATTCCTTAAAAACCTACAAAAGGTGGTGTAAATTAATATGGATAATTTTATTTACCTCCAGGTCTAAAAGGTAGTGTGACCCAAATTTGTATAAAGATTTTTCATGTGAAAGGACTGGGGTTTTAGCAAACACAGGTCTAATCTCTTTTGTGTTTTTGTGCACCAGGCCCGGCTGCGTAGCAGTTGAGTGATGCTGGTTAGCTATTAAGGTGGCCTGTTGCAGTGCAGAGTGCTGAGCTGCTTCCTGTTTTCTTCTGATTGCTCCTGGGGAAAACACGCCTTGTCCTGAAGAACAAATGGCTGTCCAGTTTATTAAAATGCCTGTCAACTGCACTTCCAGTCACCCAGGCCTTGCAGATAAATAATGGAGCATGCAGTGAGCACATCTAGCTGACGATAATCACACCTTTTCCCCCGTCTTTTCTGAAAAATTGTAAATCTGATCATATCAACATGTATGAACTTAAAATATGGAGAATGTTATGGAAGAAATAGTTTATAAGTTTGTTAAGTACTTATAACATGGTTTATCTTTTTGATTATTAATTTTTTACGCTAACCATTGTTTCTGTAGTTAAAATTGTTTTCTTGGTGTTATCTTTTCTCAGAATAAAATTAGAAACTTTTGATGGAAAGTAGGTTGTTTTATTTTCTGTATGACTTTTGGATATTTGTACTTTTGAGAAAATTATTAGCACCAAGTGTTTCTCAAAATATAATTTTTAAAAAATCCTTAATAGGCTTTTAGCTATGTGCTTTATTGTTTTATCACAATGCAGTTTATTTGTAGTTTCTCTCTTTTTTCCTCACACCTATGGTTTTTTTACTTCCAAAATTATTTTCAAATAATCCATTTTTGGCTTTCATCATTATCCCTACTAGATGTTATGTGTTCTTTTGCAATTGTTTCTGCTTATACCTTTACTAGCAAAGGGAAAAATAACAATTTGGTGTCAATGATCTGGTGACAATAGGATTACATTGGAGCCAATTGAATAAATTTATTCTTTCAATCATATGGATCTTCATTAATATTTTTGACTGAATTATCAATTAAAAATATTTCATTCCCTTTGTGCAGAAACTGCTAAATCCAGGGTTCGATTCTTGAATGAACTGGCAAGGTGGCTGTGGTCTGTAGATATACATCCCACATTTTGTTGTTATAACAGTTAGTAGTTAGTATTGCTTTCATATATAGACTCCAGAATCTAAATTTTACGATAATGACATTTCTTCTGGTCATGACAAATGTAATATTTTACAAATATAAATCTACGTAGAATCCAAAGACACACACAGAGCAGTCCTGTCTGAGAAATAAAAAATCAGGACACCCATGGCATCGTAGTAGCCCCTCGCGTCCAGCAGGTGGCGAAGGGAGGTGAGGTATATTTATTAAATGGGACCGAGTGGGACGGGGACGGGGCAGCCCTAAGGGTAGGGAAGCATTGTCAATTTCTGGGGATAGAATGAGACCCAGGCATAGCTGGAGTTTGAAGCTTTGAAGCAAAAATATCTGTAGAACATCTTAAACGTGACCAAAATATGATGTTAAAATCAGCAACTCTTTATACGTTAAAAACTTTGAAACCTGTGGCCGGGCATGGTGGCTCGCGCCTGTAATCCCAGCACTTTGGGAGGCCAAGGCAGGTGGATCACCTGAGGTCAGGAGCTCAAGACCAGCCTGACCAACATGGTGAAACCCCGTCTCTACTAAAAATACAAAAATTAGCTGGGCATGGTGGCGCATGCCTATAATCCCAGCTACTCGGAGGCTGAGGCAGGATAATCGCTTGAAACCGGGAGACAGAGGTTGTGGTGAGCCGAGATCACGCCATTGCACTCCAGCCGGGGCAACAAGAGCAAAACTTCATCTCAAAAAAAAAAAAAAAAGAAAAAGGAAAAAAACAAACAAACAACAACTTTGAAACCTAGGAACAATTTTGGACCTGTTGGAGCAGAAATGTGTAGTTGTCATTGAAGGTGTGAACATACCCTACCTCTACTCTACATGTGGAAGACCTGACCCACAGAGGACATGAACCCATGAAGAAGAGTGATGTGACATGTTTTGCATTTTATTAGTACCATGATCTAACCAACTGAGCTAACTGGCCACACCATTTTATCCTTTATAATGATCACTATGAGGGCTGAGTGCAGAATGGAGTGTATGTGGTCAAGAGTGGAAGCTGTGAGGCTATTGCAGTAATCCAGAAAGAAAGGTGACAATGGCTTAGACTTCAGTGGTAGTGTTGGAAATGGACATAAATAGACATATTCAGGAAATATATTGATCTTAGATCTAATAAGACACGTAATAGATTAGAAGTAGGGAAATTAATGAAAAAGCAGAATTAAGGATGACTTCTCACTGGCTTGAAATGCTAAATGGATGACGGTGCTGTTTAGTGAGTTGGGGAAGACTGGGCGTGGTGATGGGTGTAGAAATTGAGAAAGGAAAATCAAGAATTTCCAGAACTTTCAGAGCAATGTTAAATACTTTCCTTGATAGTGGGTCAGTCATCATTTATAAGTGCATTTCTAAAAATATTGCTTAATTTTGTTTTTGAGCTTTGTATAAGTGGAATTTTGTGTGTACTGATTATTTTGCTCAATACTATGTCTTTAAGATTCTCTGTATTGTTGCATGTGGCTGAGTTTATTTTTGATGCTGTGTAGTGTTTTACTAATTAATAAATCATAATTCAGTTTTTACTGTTCTATTGATGGACATCTGGGTTGTTTCCTATTTTAGTTATTCTGAATAAGGAAGCAATGAATATTTTTATACATAAAACCTGATGTACACGTGTATATATATTTCAGGTATCAATCCCAAAAGTGCATTTTCTGGGTTATAGATCAAGTACATATTCAATTTTGTTAGATAATTTTCAACTATTTTCCAAAGTAGTTCTACCAATATATACTATTATCATCAATTGATGAGAATTCTACTTGCTCCACATCCTCATTAACACTTGTTAACGTCAGACCTTTTAATATTTGCAAATCTGATGGGTATATAGTGGTATTTCATTTGGTTTTAATTTTCTTTACCCTGATTACCAAAAGGTTGTAGCTTTTTATTTGTTTGTTTTTTAGCCACTTGGATATCCTCCTTTGTGAAGTGCCTTTTCAATAATTTGTCCACCTTCCTATTGGGTCACCTGTCTTTTCTTAACAATTTAAAGGTATTTTCTATGTATCTGGATCTTATTTGTCTTTATGCCCTATAAATATATTTTCCCATTCTGTGGCTTGTTTTTTAATTCACTTTATGATGTCTTTTGATGAGTTATTTTTACACTAATGTAGCTAAATTCTTCAAACATTTTGTGGTTAGTGTTTTATATGTCTTGTTTTCTAATTTGAAGCAGTAAAGATAGTTTCATATATTATTTCCTATACTCAGTATAGTATTGTCTTTCAGCATTTAGTACTTTAACACAACTGAAATTGATTTTTGTGCATGTGGTGAGGTAAAAATCTAACATAATTTTTTTCCTACTTGGATATCAATTTTTAAAGCACTATTTATTGAAAACTCCTTTCCTATCCAATCTGCCACCTCTACCATATATTAGTATCCATACTGGGTAAGTTTACTTCTGGATTCACTATTTATTTCTATTGAGATATATACATATACATATACATACTGTGTATGTGTATATATACATGTATACACATACATATACATATATAAAGATGTAGATATATATAGAAGATATAAAAGATATATAGTCTGTAATATATAACATATATATAATTTTATGTAAATAGAATATATATAAAGTCTAAAATATATTTTATTTATATTTCATATATATTATGTATACTTATATATAATATATAAATATATAATGTAATTATGTATTATATATATAGAGAGAGAGACAGGCAGAGACAGAGACAGAGAGAGACAGAATCTTGCTCTGTTGCCCAGGCTGGAGTGCAGTGGTGTGATCTTGGCTAACTGCAGCCTCGACTTTTTGGGCCCAAGTCATCATCTCACTTCAGCCTCCCAAGTAGCTGGGACTACAGGCACACACCACCACATCCAGCTAACTTTTGTATTTTTTATGGAGATGAGGTTTTGCCATGTTGCCTAGACTGGTCTTGAACTCCTGAGCTCAAGTGATCTGTCCGCCTTGGCCCCTATTAGTATGTTTTTTCCATGCCTGCACCTAATACTGTCTTAATTACTTCAGCTTTATAATAAACCTTGATATCTAATAAAGCAAGTTCTCTCATCTTGTCTTCATCAAGAGTGGCTTAGCTATTCTTGGTGTTCCTCTTCCAGGAGAAGTGGATAACAAGATGAGATACTGAAAGTTCTACCCCTTGAACGGTTTTTCCCTTCTCCAGAATTGCTCAGGGACATACTGTGTAGGTTATAATGCCACCATGACCCATGCTAATGGTTGTAGCCACTTATGCACAGCCATTTGTAACTGAGCTTGATAATTTTACTTCCTCAATCAATTGCTTACCAGAGAATTCCCTACAAGGCTATATGTGAAGACTGGAAGAGGATAGCAGAGTGGCAAGAGCAGGCATACTGGGGACTATAAGTCACCTGCTTATGTGATTTACTTGTGTCTTCAGAACATGTCCCATCTTGGTCATTTCAGTCTTATTTCTGCTTGAGGGCAGAGAGCTGGCAGGTGTGACTCACTTTGTGTCTTGTTAGGTCAGTCATCACCCAGCTCATGATGGGAGGCTCAGGTCATATGCTCACCTATGGTCAAGTTTTTTTTATCTCTGCCAGGGCCCAAGAGCAAGTGAAGAGCTTCCAATGGAGAACTGTCATTTACTCAAGAGGAGAGTTATCTACTAAATACAGCATGGATTTGCTTCAGAAACCCAGAACAGTGGTTCTCAAACAGAAATGTACATTTGAATCCTGTGGGGATCATGTTAAAATGCAGATTTCAATTCAGTGAGTTTGGTCTGGGGCCTGAGATTCTGCATGTTTAATAAAATCCCAGGTATTGTCAGGGCTGCTGGTCATGGACCATTCTTTAAGTAGCAAGGATGTAGAAAACTCCATTGTGATTCTCCTGTGGGAACTTGATATGAAACATCAGTGTTTCTCAAAGTGTCCTTCCCCTCCTTGCAACAGCAGAATCAGTATCACCTGGAAACGTGTTAGAAAATTCCAGAATTGGTGAGGCCAATTCTAGGGCCTCACTTCCCAGACCTACCAAATTAGAAACTCTAAGATAGGACTCAGCAATCTGGTTTAACAAGCTCCCCAGGTGATTCTAATATGCACTAAAGTTTGAAAACCACTGTTCTCCATAGGTTGCTGGTTCTCAACCAATTAAATCAGTATCTCTGGAAGTGGGACATAGGTATCAACACTATTTTTAAGTTCCCAAGCTGGGCGTGGTAGCGCATGCCTGTACTCCTAGCTACTCAGGAGGCTGAGGTGAGAGGATCCCTGGAGTCCAGGAGTTTAAGGCTGCAGTGAGCTATGAGTTTTGTGGGAAAATATTCTAAACCGTAACAAGGACCTATAATTACCATCTGAGACGGGAGTGGAAAATTAGTCTAATGACATTCAGACAAGAGCTTTGTAAGGTACTAAAATTGTTTGGTGTCTGTGTAAGCGTGTGAGTATATGTGTGTATTGACTTCTTCCCTGCAGCAGTAAGGAGTGAAGCCTTTGTTCTCCCTTTGGAGTAGCAAGGAAGTAGGCAGGTAGGGAGATTTTAACTCCCTCTTCCACCAGGATGGAAATTAAAGAATACGGTGGGTGAACATAGAAAGAGGTGAAGAAGATGGGCCGAGTCCCAGCCGCATACTACAGAGAAGAAAGGAGACTTGAGGAAGCCTGCTTGGGTTTAGAGGGGCCTGGGGAACTTAGTTACAACAAAGGCTCTGTGCTATTCCTCACTGGGTGCTGGAAAGGACATTCAGAGAGGGATTTCTCTTTTCACCGTATAACTAGAACTATGGATTAAGGTTCTGGATGTCGGGGAAAATGTCCACTGTTAGGGTACTGTGTGGGAGAAGCTCCGCCCACCTCGTATTAGGCCTCCTGATGTAAGATGGGCCACAGGTTAGTGGGTTAGGTAATGTCTCTGGGGACTGGAGCCTTGCCATTGGCCAAAGAAGACAATCAGTCCCTTAGGTGGTATTCAAAGGGTGGAGAAAACTCTGTTGTAACAACATCTGAGATAAAAAGTTAAAAAGGTTTCAGTAACTGTAGTGAAGGGCCCTATGAAAGCAGTTCATACTGCTGAACTAGATTCTCAGAGTGGCTGCCACAAAACAGAAGTGTTGAGATGAAGCTAAAGGCCAGTCCTGAAAGCATGCAGCTTTCTACTCCGAGTTCTCCCACTACTTTCCCCTCTGTTCCCCTGCATTTCTGCATCTTCCTGCCACTTGAGTCCTCCCACCAGTACATGAAGGGTCAAGAGGCCTGTGCCAAAGTGGTGACTGTGATGAACCAAGATAGATTTCCCTGGGCCCAAGCCACTCCTTATATTGGCACCCAGCTGTGCAGCAAGCTTCCCTGGCATGGCTCCAGAGCTGCCGAGGGTTTCCTTCCTCGCTATCAAAGAGAGGGTGACTCCCAGGAACGTGTGCCTCTGTTTGTCCATTACAAATGACCTTGCATCCTTGTTACGAGAAATTCCAGGAAGGCAATTACTCTGGATAGTAATAATGATTCTCTGTTAATTATTCCTTCCATCACCTCCTCCCTCACAGCCTCTTATTTTTCTTTTAATGGTGAAATAAATAAATGATGATGTGGTTTTGTGTTTTCCCTCTTGTCACAAACTCAGCCCATCCATTGGCATGCTGTGTATCATGTATACAAAGTTGATTCTGAAGCGTGATGTGTTTAGTAAAGCAAACCTTTCCCTTACTCACCACTTTTACCTTTCCAGCAGTTAGTTACAGAGGAAAACCGGATGTAGAGCCAGCTGAACAGCAATTGAATCTGGCCTTGCCACTTTGTGGTCATGTGACTTTCAGAAAAAAATCGTTGATTTTCTCTGAGCCAAAATTACAGTGCAGGATTTTTGTGAAGATATTGTGTGATGTAAATGTGACAGGCAAGTAGGAGGTGCTTGATAGATTTGAGCAAGAATTCTGTGCATTTATGCATTCTCCCTACCTCTAGGATAAGTCCGAGGGCAAGGACCTACTCTCATATCCTTTATTTCTGTGATGCTCAGTTATACCACTGTCCTCACCACCACTCCCACAGCCCTACCCATTACTTTTTTAATTAATGAGTTTTATTTTTTTAGAATAGTTTATGGCAAAACTGAGCAGAAGTTAGAGTTCTTCTATAGACCCTGTCCCCACATATGCATAGCCTCCCTCAGCAACATCCTCCACCAGAGTGGTGCATTTGTTACAGCTGATGAACCAATTGATGAACACACCATTATCACCCAAAGCTCATAGTTTATATTAGGATTCAGCCTTGGTGTTGCACGTTCTTTGAGTCTGGACAAATGACTTATAATGATAAGTATCCACTCTTATAGTATTATTCAGAGTAGTTTCACTGCCCTAAAACATCCTCTGTGTTCCACCCATTCATCCCTCCTTAACCTCTGGCAACCACTACTGTTTTTACTGCCTCTATAGTTTTGCCTTTTCTACAATGTCATATAGTTGGAATCACAGAGTATGTAGCCTTTCAGATTGGCTTTTTTCACTTAGTAATATACATTTAAATTTCCTCCATGTCTTGTGGCTTGAAAGCTCCTTTCTTTTTATTGCCAAATAATATTCCATTGTCTGAATGTATCGCAGTTCATTTATTCATTCATGTATTGAAGGACATCTTGGTTGCTTCCAAGTTTTGCAATTATGAATAAAAATGATGTAAACATTTATGTGCAGGCTTTTGTGTGGAGGAAAATATTCAGCTCATTTGGGTAAATACCAAAGAGCTTGCTTGTGGGATTACATGGTAAGAGTATGTTTAGTTTTATAAGAAACTGCCAAACTGTCTTCTATTACTTTCACTAGTAGGAAACTTCTTTTTTTCTCATGATCTACCCACGTATTTGTACAAAAGTTCACATATACTTATTTGCAAATTCCTCTCCTTGTTGTACTTGGCCTTGTTGCAATGCTGCCAGGGCAAGGTCAAGATTTCAAAAACAATCAGGAGCCAGAAGAGCCAACCTTTCTTCAGAACTCCTTCACTAGCTTATTGAGCAATCTTTCAGTAAATCATCTCTTTCCTCTGGCTCTCCACTTCCTTATTTGGGCAAAGGGAGCTCTTAGCTATTTGCACCTGTGCTAGAGTTGGCACACAACAAGTTCAGACCAAAGCAAACACAATTTGTGCTCAATAAATGTTGGCTATTATTACTTATAAGCCCACATTTGTAAGATGTGCATTAGAAACTACACTTGAATGCACACTTGTAGAGGTTGGTGTTTGGGTCTTGACTCTAAGATTTATTTTAAAATTTTAACTATAGGTTTTGACTGACTACCGGGCCACACTAAATTATTCATAAAGATTAACCATTACACTAACTATTTTGTGTATGTGTGAGAAGTCCTTTCCAGATATTTAGAAATAACTTCACCCTGATATGTATTTCACTGAGCTGTGACCATATAGAAATTAGAAGTTGGGGTTTTGTTCAGTGTTTTAGTTACCTATCATTGCTTTAAGTAGAAAACCACAAACAGTTGCTAGGAATTGGCTGCAGAGATAAGTGGGAAGGAAACCCATATAAGTTGAATAGAACCAGGGTAATGAACAGCCCCTCACTCCAGCTGCCTTGCAGATCCCACTCTGCTCACCAGCCTCTCAAGATGAAATTTCTAACATTCTCTAGTTGCTCCTCATTGCCACTGATCTGTAGCAACTGTCAGGGTAACACCTGGGGACCCTTCTCACTAATCCGCAGCAAGTGCTGGATGTTATGGAGATAAGCAGTTTCGGGTAGACAAAGGAGGGGAAAACCTGAGTGCTGTAGGGAAAGGGTGTCATTGTTAGAGGTGCCACCTTACAAAAATGTAATATTTGTACTACTGGTATCCTGGCATTCAGTTTCCTTGTGTCCTAATAGTTCAGGGCCCTCCACCCAAAAAAGTACCACACTCAGGCCTGTGGATCTCTGAGAGCATCTTTTCCTGTTCTCATCACAATCTTTTATTTATTTATTTAATTTTGAAATGGAGTCTTGCTCTGTCACACAGGCTGGAGTGCAATGGCACAATCTCTGCTCACTGCAACCTCTGCCTCCTGGGTTCAAGAGATTCTCCTGCCTCAGCCTCCTGAGTAGCTGGGATTACAGGCACGTGCCACCACACCTGGCTAATTTTTGTATTTTTAGTAGAGGGGGGTTTCACCATGTTGGTTAGGCTGGTCTGGAGCTCCTGACCTCGTGATCTGCCCCCCTTGGTATCCCAAAGTGCTGGGAGTACAGGTGTGAGCCACTGTGCCCAGCCAAAATCTTTTATTTTTTTGGCCCATCCCTCAGAGCCTCTTCTTAAAAGATTCACATTGCATCTGTCTATGTATTTCAGGACCCATTTATTCATTTACTCATTCAATAAATGTTTACTGAGAACCTACTGTTCCAGGCTCTGTTCTTGGAATTGGGGACACAACAGTGAAAAAGACAAGTTTCAACTCTCTTGGATGATCTATTCTCATTATCAAGAGTGATATATAATAACATGTCAAGTAATTGTAAGGGCTATGAGGAAAAATAAAGCAGAGTGAGGGGTTAGAGAGTAACAGAGGCTGCTTTATCTGATAGGATAGCTACAGAAACCTCCGGGGGATGTGGTCCTTGAACCTGTGACCGCGGGAATGGGGCTTCATTGTGGGCAGAGGGGCAAGTGCAAATGCCCTGAGATAGCAACATGTGCTCACAGATTAGCAAAGGGGCTGGCATGTAAGAGTGAGGGAGTAGGAGCCAAGGCAGGGATCTGAATGTGGGGATGAAGCAAGCATAAATGTCTTAACTCACTTAATGCATACTCCTCCAGAAACCCCTGAGCAGTTGGAGTGGTTGATGTTTCAGGTAAGCAGGGGGTGGAGGAACTTGGGGACCACAGAGCCCTTGAAAGCACTCATAATTCACAACCAACCCTGTGAATGGCTCTCTTTCCTACCAGATGCAAATCTTATGAGAGAAGGAATTATACTTTTTGGTTCCCTGCTGTGTCAGCTAACATGACATGTATCTGACTCCTACCAGGCACTTCATACTACTGTCTAATTGGATTGGACTCTAGCAGTCACAGCAGATCCCTGGCATTCACTAAGTTAACAACAGTCATTTCAGCTGCTTATGAGCAATCTCAAATCAGAGCCTGCGTAGGAATTTCCTGGAAAAACAGCTACTAGGTGGGAGATCAGGTATGAGAGTCAAACAGGCAATAGATTTGGAGTATTAAGGCTATGCACTGGAAAACCCTGGCTCCAGATAAGGATAATATTTAGAAAAGTGCTAGGATTAGGAATTTGCAAAGATCTCAGGATCCATTCCTTGTGAATATCAAGTGTCTACTCAATAAGTTTTTCCCACCTGAGAAACTCCTTAGGAACCAAGTGGCCTAACCTTGCCTCTCATGATGATATTACCTTAACTGTACTTACACTTGGCCATCTAAAATTGTAAGTACTTTATCTATAGTTTCACATTGTTGATTAGATCAGATTAATACAATTGGTTGTTGTCTTTCTTTTTTTTTCTGTGCAGTGAGAAGTCAATGAATGTTGTTGATTAAATGATAAATGACCTAAAACCTCAATAAAAGTGAAAAAAAGGGCTAGCATAATAAGAAACAGCTAAAATAAATAGTTCTCTCTTATAGCATTATTACTTTCACATTATTTTTAAAAATAATGTAACTAGTACTAAGCAGGGGTTGAAATAACTTGAAGAGCCAGAGAATAAATCCTTTCTCATATTTCAATAAAAGATTTTCATTCATTCATCCATCCATTCGTTCATTAATTCTTTCAACAAATATTGTTAATCAAGCACTCTCTCCATGCTAGGCACTGTACTAGATGCTAAGGATAGAACATAAGACGGAGATTATAGTCAGCTTGGATGGAGACACAGACAAGGAGTTAGGCACTCTCACCATGCTACAGCTTCTTCTAAGAAACCATAGCAATATCCAGGCTCTCCTCCATGCTGCTCGTCTTAGAACCCCTGGGGAAATGTGTCTTCTGTTGGGAGAGTCAGCCTCAAGTTCAGTGCCAAAGCTACATGGACTCTCAGAGCTGCTTCAGTCCATTCCTGGTTTCACTGCAGCCCTTTTGATCACTTTCTCCCAATCATGCTTGACAAATGGACACAGATCACCTTTCTTGGTAGCAACGGCTGCCTTAGGGTACCTATATTCCTTTCCTGCCAGTTCTGCCAGGCATAGGATGAGCCTGCAGAGATATGGGGGCTGGCTTTGATCACCCCATTGGCTGCCTCACTCTAGGAAGTGGGTGTGACTTACTGTCAACCCTCTCCCTTCCTCTGTCCATGCCACTGACATTACTTGGCTCCTTTAGGGAGCAGGGTCATTTAAATGCCATTTGATATGTTCCATTCTCTCTTCCCACTATCCAGCCCCCTGCCATATACTGAACGTGTCCCACCAAAATTCATATGTTGAAACCCTAATCCCCAAGTGATGGTATTTGCAGGTGGGGTCTTTGGAAGGTTTTTAGGTCATGAGGGTGAAGCCTTTATGAGTGAGATTAATGCCCTTAAAAGGAGAGATACAAGAGAGATTTCACTCTCTGTCATGTGAGGACATACCAGAAAGGTGGCTGTCTCTAAACCAAGAAGAGGGCCTTCATCAAGAGCCGACACCTACATCTCAGACTTCCCAGCTTTGGCACTGTGAGAAAGGAGTGTTTGTTATTTAAGCCCCCTAGTCTAAGGAAATTTGTTACTGAGGCCTGAGTTGACTAAGACAGCCCCCAAGGAATGCTCTAGGGGAGTGGGAAAAAGGAATAAAGAAATAAATTATGAGTATCCATGATGTGCCAAGAACTGTGTCTAGCACTTTCTATACCTCATTCATTTCCTCTCCCAATAGCTCAGTCTGTAAAGTAAAGCCAATGGAGTTTTGAACCCTAGCTCCACTATTGATTAGCATGACTGTGGGCAAGTAACTCACAACTCCAAGGCCCAAGTGCCTGGAGAGACAGAGTAGCAGGGTCATTACTAGCATACATCCTGTGTCTAAACCCAGCTCTGTGCTTGTAAACTTGGTGGCCTTGGCAAGCAACTTCATCTCTATGTATTTCAGCTCCTTCTTCCCCAAAATGGAATGATAACAGCAGCACCCAGGACAATAAGGGTTGTTGTGAAGTCTAAAAAGCTAATATAAGTAAGACACTTTGAGTAGTAAAGAACTCAAGGTAAGAATGAGCAATTATTTTACATCTTCTTGTTGAATATTTTTAAAAAGTGTAACTTGAGCACAGTGTTTGGCAGGAAGAAACACACATCAAAGTCTTGCTGTTATTGATATGATTTTATTATTTTAATAGTAATATCATTACTTTTATTGCTATTGCTATTGTTACTTTCAGGCTTAGAGGTGATAGGCCCGCTATCTTCTCTATGGAAGTACTAGAAGAGAGAATGACAAAGCACAAGTGCTCCAGCTCCTTGTCACCAAAGTATGGGCTGGGATCCTGCAGCATGGGCATCATTTGCAAGCTTGTTAGAAGTGCAGAAGCTCAGACTTCGGCCCTGACCTATGACTCAGATCTGCATTTTTAACTAATCCTCCCAGGTAAATCAAGGACAAGTTTATGGTTGAGAAGCACTGCTCTGGCACATTGGTTCTCAGCCTCGGCTTCCCATTAGAATCATATTTGAAACATACTGATGCCTGGGCCCCCATCCCCTTGCCCCCCCGCCGGAAATTCTGTTTTAATAGGCAGGAGTACAAGGGTTTAAAAGCTCCCTGAGTGACACTAACATGCACTGAGGGTTGAGAACCACCCATCTAGCATTTGGTCCATGGGGAGTTTGGCTGCAGGCGCAGATGGGAGTCTAGTTTGTTCAGCAACTGCCAGTGAGAGTTCTGGTTTGTTTTGCTTCTTTTCAGGCCCCAAAGGAAGTGGAAGTACAAAGGGACATGAAGAGGGCACATTCTTCTCTCCCCACACCCACCCTTCCCCCGTCTTCATTCCAGCTAAAAGGACACATGACAAGGCTGGGACAGGCTTGTCGGCCAACGTTTCTGTTTCTCTGTGTTGCACTTCACAGCATCCAAGCTGTACTGGCTGGCTGTGTCTCTCTCACTCAAGTCACTGTGCCAGCTGGGCTTGGCTTTTCTGTGGTAGAAGCTTGTTCTTCCTTGAAATGAGGTCCTTCTCTTGCTTTTCTGTTTTTGCCCACTGCTCACAGCACCCAGATGTTGCTTGGTTGGAGAAAACTCGACCAGAGATCTCCTCTCAACCTCTCATGTGAGACTCTTGATGCCTGGTGGGAAATCCAAAATCCCAGCAGGCTCTTGCAAGTTATCTAAGTGAGTGTTGCTGTCAGGACAATGGCTCCTGCCTCATCATAAGGCCAAGGACTTGGACAGTGGGGGTGACTGTTGTTATGTGGGGATGAGGGCCATGTGGCTGCCATTTTTTGAATATTCAAGAGAAGCTTTGAACTTGGAATTTTATTTTAAAATCTTTAGGTTTTTCAATGTTGGCAGCTAATTCAAAAAACTTACAAGCGCTACTGGCCAAATTGACCTGCTGGCCCACTGACCTCTGAAACATTCCCTGCTTTCTAAATGACCCATTTGGGTTGGGAAGTTGCCCCAAGCCATGGAGACTAACTTAAATAATCTCACTCTACTTCTGGCACTGGTAGAAAAGGTAAAACACCTGGGGTCTTCTGAGTCATGTGTCCAAAGTTTTTAATTCAGGTGACTTGTTCTGGGCTTGTTAGTCAGGCAGATCCTCTGCCAAAGGAATGCCCTCCTATGCCCAGGCCCATAAGTGGCTGTTTCTAATGGCACCATCCAAGTCCTCTGTGTGTCCTGGGGTCGCAGTGGACCTCTATGTCTGACCTGGGGTCAAATATTGTAGGAGTTGTGCAGAGTATGTCATATTGCCCTGGGAGAGCTGAACACATGGGAAGAAAGAAAGGCTTACACTCTTCAGTCTTCTCCCTCCCCTCCTCTCCTCCCTCCCCTGAATAATAGAGAGCCAAGCATTTGACAGAGCTCCTTGTTCAATGCTTCCATGTCTCTGCTAGTGATCAAATGTTTCTCCCTCAATATTCTCTTTATACAAGATGATGTGACGTGAGTTTGTTGCTAATATTAGATTTGCAACAGATGCCCTCATTGTTGGGTCCTGGGTACATGCAGAGCAGATTAATAATCCAAAGACAAAGGCCTCAAATGCCCAGTGACTTTAATAACAAAACTTGCTGCAAGGGACAAGGGCTCACTCTGCACTGGGCAAGGTGAGGGGGACGGGCCTGCAAAAGGCCCAGAAACTGAGTCCACCATCTAGATGCCATTGGAAACGTAGGCGGAGCTGTTGGTGGGAGGTGGAAGGAAGCACCAGGAAGAGGCATCTTCAAGGGGTCACAAGCAATAATATTCAGGTCTATGGTGAAAATGACAAGTCATCTAGTCACTGCTGGTGGCCAAAATTTGGACCCAGGGGAACCAGGTAGCAAGCCTAAGAATTCAATAGATATGTCAATGGACATAGACGGTTCCTTCTGCTCCTTTTCATTTTTCTTAATAAAGCCTTTTTAGACAAATCGTAAACCTCCATGGTTACAAACCAAGAACCTCCTGGGTCTAACTAAGCATGAACCACTAGGATTTTCTGCTCCCCTCCTGCTTCATCTTCAGAATACTGTCATCTCACCTCTACAAGGGAAGGTGTTTCTTAATATCTACCAATGTGCTTTTTTTTTCTAATTTTACTTAGTTGCCTGAACCTTATGGAAGTTAACATTGCAAACCACGAAAGAGAATGTGTCTATCTCTCTTTGTCGCCTCCTACACATAGGCATTTTCTTAAGGAGTGTTCCTCTGCCCACAATGATCCCACTGCTATTGCATTGGAAAACTGCCTGAGACTTAATCAAAGTCAATGGATCAAGGGTATTTTGGTCTTAGGGAGTTGTACTGGAAAGGTTCTGTGCTTCAGAGGTCCTATCTTGATTTGGAATTGAATTGTCAGGTTGCATCCTGAAGCTAACCAGTTTATAAACTGAATTTACTCTTTCTGAAATTATAAACCAGAGCCCTAAAATACTTGTCTTGTAAGTTCCAGATTTTCATAATTCTGTTTTCTCTAAGTGAAACTCTGCCCATCTACTTATAGAGATGAAAGAAAGGACTAGCATTTATTGAGTTTTGCTATAGGTTAGATGCTTCATATTGGTTATCTCATTTAATTCTCATGTCAATAATACAAAATAGGTATTACTATTCCCATTTTACAGATGAGGAATTTGAGGCTCAGAGAGCTCAAATAGCTTGTAAGTGGCCGAGCTCAAATTTAAACCAAAACCTCCTGATGCCAAGACCTGTGGTTTTTCCATTTGTCTGTCTTTTTGTTTGGGAGTCTTTTATAATTCCCTGATGCTGTTACATGTCAACTAAGACAGACACATACAGACTTAGAGATGGGACTAAATGTTTTCCCTATTTTTTTCTACCAATTAAAATAAATAGCAATTGTTTTAACTCATAAGTAATTACAATGAAATTGTTACTTAGGCAGGTGTATTTCTGAAATAAATGTATAAAGTTCTGTGTTGAAAATAGAGATGACCTGGTGGTAAGCTGAGATTGTGGGTTCCAGGATGGCTGAGACCATGTTTTATACCCTCTGTGGCCCCAGCAATCTGCACTGAGCCTGGCCTGTGGGGTCCACTCGGTATTTGCTGAATGAAGGAATAAGTTTCTCCTCTATCCACATCCATATTGATGTGAAGTCTGATATTAGTTTTTTCTATTTAATGTGGTAAAAGACCCAAAACATCAAACTAATCATCCTAACCATTTTTTAAATGTTAAGTATATTCACATTGTTGTGAAAAAGATCTCAAGAACTTTTTCATCTTGCAAATTTCAATTTCTATACCCATTAAACAACAACTGCTATTATTTTTAAACATCATCCACATTTAGCTTTACTAGAAAGAAGACAGCTCTGCCCACATTTCAGGTAAACATGACTCAACCTCCTGCTGCTTATGCATCAGCAACTCTCTTGACTCAGTAAAACACTGTCTGCCACCCACACATGGGTTCAGCCAGGCAGGCTCTCTTTGATTTGGTCATTGTTAGAAAAAAAAATCAGGCATTCTAACCCCAATAGGAACTACTCCTCAGCTTCCTCACCTCTCCTGGTAATCCAAACTGTATTAGCTTCCTAATCATTTGGCAATTCCTTATATGTGCTAGAGAGACAAGAGAGGAGAGCCAAAGAAGTAGCTCTAGGGGTCTAGAAATTAATTGTTATTCTAGTTTGTGAATGATGTTTCAACATATCTCATAATTAAGTATGATTTTCCACCATTCCCATTGTCTTTCCAGAGCTTCTCCGCCTAAATTATACTTCTCTGCAACACAACACACAGTACTTCCCTTATCAGAGCATTTCTCATGCTGTATTGTAATTGCTTGTCTGTCTGTCCTCCGTACCATACTTCAAGTTCTGTGATGCCAAGGTCTGTGTCAGTCTTGCACTGTAATGAAGATGGGTATAGCATGAACTCAATGTTACAGAACTCACTAGCTGCATGAAGATTTCTCTGCTTTGCTCTGCCCTAGTCTAGGGCAAAGCCACTTGCAAATAATTAGCTAGCTTGTGTTTTCTCTTCTGGTTGCCCACATGACACTGAGAGGTGCTGGCCTGAGTGCCAGGAGAGCAGGAACTAGGCTAAACTTTGCTTCCCTTAAATACCCAGCATCTAGTGCCATTGCTGGCTCATGGTAGATGTTCAAAAAACATTCTGAGGATGAATGAATGAATTAGAGCAATGAAGACCCAAATGAAGTTTCATAAAGAAAGTTTCTTTCATTCATCTACTCACTCACTGTATTAGATGCTTACTCTATAGTAGGCACTATGTTCATGACTAAGGGGAAAGGTAGCAGTTACGAAACGGGGTTACTGGCTTAATAGGCATAATTAGAAGGGGCTCTTAACCTCATAGAGGGGAGGAGGGAGTAAAGTTGAGGACATGCTTGTCAGGAAGGTGAGTGATTGAGGAAGTGATGGTCAGCTAGACTATTGGGAAAAAAAAAAAAGCTAGATGAAATGAGTGAAGGGATGAGAATGGGTGGTGAGAATTCCAGGACAAGGGAAGTAGTTTATGATGCAAAGTTTCAAAGACTAGAGAGAGCATCAGGCTGAGTTCAGTGGCTCAAATCTGTAATCCCAGCACTTTGGAAGGCCAAGGCAGATGGATCGCTTGAGCTCAGGAGTTCCAGACCAGCCTGGGCAATATAGCAAAACCCTGTCTTTACAAACAATACAAAAATTAGCTGATGTGGTGGCACACGCTTGTAGCTGCAGCTACTAAGGAGGGTGAGGTGAGATGATCAATTGAACCCATGACATTGAGGCTGCAGTGAGTTGTGACTGCACCATTGCACTCCAGCCTGGGTGACAGAGAGACCCTGTCTCAAAAACAAAACAAAAGAGAGAACACTGTGCATTCATGGAAATATAAGAAGCTGAGCGTGTGGGCAAGGTGGGAGTGGAGAGAGATGAGGCCTGAGAGGGAAAGGCCAGGTCTCTGGGGTCATGGAAGTCAGCTAGTATGTCAGGCTGCATCCCAAGGTAAATGGAGAGTGATTAAGTGCTGTAAGGGTAGGGTGACATCATCAGATTTATGTTAGGAAGTCATCCCAGCTGGAGAGTGGATTAGAAGGGATGACGGGATAAAAACTGGGCATGACAAATGAGGATGGCTTGGTCAAAGGTGTGATGGTAGAGATGCAATTATCATCAGAGCAGTGAGGCAGGGGAAAGAAGTGTCTAGTTGGGCTCATATTTTTAAATAACTTTGGACAGAACCAACCAAGCCACAGAAGTGCATGTCAAATGTTTTATTCCACATCAACCATTACTTTTCATCCTCAAGCCTTTGCTGAAGGCTATGGAACCCAGCTTTGGCTGGGTCTGAGTGCAGAGACCTAAGAGGATCTGGTTTGAAACCTCTTTCCCTGTGAGAAGAGAGTCAGTGACCAAATGTAGAGACAGCAGTGAATTATTGATGGACCTACATGTTTTACACATACAGATGCTGCTAAAGACAGTTTTCCCCTAAAATCAGCAGTTAGCAAATGTTTTAATTAGATCAAGGCATTCCTACCTTGTAGGTTGTTCCAGAATCTTGGGGTGAGAACATTTGTAATTTGCAAAAGTAATATTTTATCTGTGGAAGGCAAGCACATGGAAGAAAAATCTATTGTCTTGTACTATAAACTAAAGAAAATAAACAAAATCATCCTGGCTGTGGGATGTACAAATGTTCAGTGTTATATGTGTGTCAGTCACTGATAGAGGGCTGGGGAAAAAACTAAAGTCTGCCACAGGGACTGAGTGGCAGAGATATTTATGCTTATCAGAGGTGGCGGGCAGGCATCAAGAAATTTTGAGAAAGTGAATTAAAGTCTTATAAATACTTTAGTCATAAAGGCCAATGATGATTGTATTATACTTTCTGCATTTGTTAAAATACAACATAATCATATTTGGCATCTAATCACTCCAGATTTTGTGGTAGCCACTGGGATCCACCAACCACCTTTGTCCCTAGGAGCACATGATTTAATAAAGAAGACAGATACAGGGACTATTAACACTCTACCATGATAAGTATCATAACAGATAAATGTTTAAAGAACTCAGAGAAGAGAGGGATGGATTTCTAGTTGTTCAACTGTGTTTATATATCTTTATGGTAGACATCATAAGTCAACATTGGGGAACCCTATATTCAACCTTATAAAATAATGTAAATATTTTTAAAATCCTGTAAAACCTATAATCCTCCCAGCATCCCAGGAGCAGCATTGTCCCTGTGGGAGGACTTGATTGAAGCCTACAAGGATGAGATGACTGAGATACTAGTACCAGATGATCAGGGTCATCATCCAGATCAAAGGGGACTTCAAGTCTAGCCTCTTCTGTGACATCACACTAAATGTGTCCCCTCCTTTTTTTAAAAAAACTAAGATACAAACTTTGGTTTCATTTCTGGGACCAAACATAGTCAACATTTTCCGGAATTAAAACCTGTAAGAAATTTGTTCTTAAGTTCCAATGTATAATCTCTTGAAGAGCTTCCTTCTTTATGGGCTCACCTTACAGATGCGCTGTGAGTTAAAAGAAAAGGCCAGGCTTGGGAAGCAGAGAGACCTGTTTCAAATCTGTCTTAGGACTCACTGGCTGTGCCAGCTTAGGCCAGAATCAACAGGCTCTGGTCTCAGTCCCTGTAGTGGCACACTGGGGAAACAGATGACATCGTAAGATGAGCACAGGCCCTGGCCCTGGGTAGCTGCCTTGACCCTATCTCTGCTGCCACCATCCTACCATCCTGGTCCAAGCTACCATCTCTTATCTGGATTGTGGCAATTATGGGGTGTTTTTCTTTTCTTTTCCTTTTCTTTTTTGAGACAAAGTCTGGCTCTGTTGCCCAGGCTGGAATGCAGTGGCACAATTTTGGCTCACTGCAACCTCCGCCTCCTGGGTTCAAGCGATTCTCCTGCCTCAGCCTCCCAAGCAGCTGGGATTACAGGTGCCCGCCACCACACCCAGCTAATTTTTTTGTGTTTTTAGTAGAGACGGGTTTCACCAAGTTGGCCAGGCTGGTCTCAAACTCCCGACCTCAGGTGATCCGCCTGCCTCAGCCTCCCAAAGTGCTGGGGTTACAGGTGTGAGCCACCCATTTATTCTGTGCCACTTCAATCTACCAGTCTCTTCCCTGATAGCAAAAAGAATCGAGTCACCACCTTTAAAAGATGAAAATCCTCAACATGATTTACAATATTTTTTCCAAACTGCAGGTCATGAGCCATTAGTGGCTCATAGAAACAATTTAGTGGGTCAACACCAGCACTTTTTTAAAAAAGTGAAGTAGAACAGAAATATGAAATTGCAATGCCAATCATAAGCATAAGAATTATTTCATCAAACTTTTCTCATTATGGGCCTTCTCAAAAAGTGTTTGAAGGCCTCTGGCCTATAATAACCTGAGTAATATGACCCCTGCCTCCTCCTTTAGCCCCACTTCCCATCATCCCCCACGCGGTTCTCCGCGCTTTACCCACACTAGCCTTCCTTAAATTCCTCCAATACATCATGTTCCCTTCTGTGGGAGACCACTTAGCACATGGTTTTCCTCCTTGCCTAGTTAATGTCATCCTCCAGGTCTCAGCTCAGATGCCACTTCTTCAGGCAAACCTTCCCGGATTACATCCTGAACCCCTGTAGCTGTCAGGGTCTCACAGATCTGTGTTCAGTTTTTAGTTATCCCTTTAATAGCATGTTTCCTCGGTTAATGACAAACTTTCCCACTAGGCTGTCTTTGTGACCGCAGGAGCCCTGCTCTTGTTTACCCCTGTGGTAATCCAGTGCCTATCTCAGGCTGGCACCTAGGCATTCAGAGGGATAAATGAAGGAAAGAATTGGCCAACCTGTTGACCAATGACGTTGGCTGGCCTCCTTCCTTGCTTGGTATCGGTTTTGTTTCTAACACTTGCACCAAGAAAACCACACAGGGTTATACTGTCTGCCTAGTTTAGGAACTTCCTTTAACAGTATTTCTTTACTCTCTGAGTTTCTGGTGAGCTAAAAAAACATAACAAAAAACAAAAAACTCCATCAAAATTGTATGCGTGTGCTGGTCGTTGAGTACTTCGGTGGAGAGTGGGAGACGCATCTTCATGAAATTTCAGAGGGGAACTCTGCCCATCCACTCCGAACCAGCCGCAGCTCCACGAGCATCTCACGCCACCCCTCTGCATCACCAGGGCGGCCGTGGGGCGCGCGCGATCAGCAGGCTTCTTGGCGCCCAGTCCATGCGACTATCTCTTCCCAGCCCCGGGACTAGGCCCGCCCCACTCGGATTCTCCACTCTTGGTAGCGCGCGTCCCCCGGACTGCTGAGACCAGGCGGCGCGGAGGCAGGTGACCCGCGTCTCCAGTCCCGGGCGCAGCCCAGGGTACGTTGTCAGCATCGCGGAGCGCGGCCCTGGGCCTCTGCAGCCATCTTCAGGGAGGGAGGCGCGGCCTCCCGACGCGGACCCGCCCCCGCCGCCCGGGCCGCCCCGCCCGGCTCCGCAGAGCGCCGCGCCTAGGTTGCGACTTCCCTTCCCTACCCTGCTCGGCTGCGTAGTGCGCTCCCCGCCCAGCCTGCAGAGCTCGCGCCGCGGCAGCCCAGCCGCTCGGCCCCGCCGCGCTCGCAGAGGCCGCCATGGGCACCGCGCGCTGGCTCGCGCTGGGCAGCCTCTTCGCCCTGGCTGGGCTGCTGGAAGGCCGGCTCGTGGGCGAGGAGGAAGCCGGCTTTGGCGAATGTGACAAGTTCTTCTACGCCGGGACCCCGCCTGCGGGGCTGGCGGCCGATTCCCACGTGAAGATCTGTCAGCGCGCGGAGGGTGCTGAGCGCTTCGCCACCCTCTACAGCACCCGGGACCGCATCCCCGTGTACTCCGCGTTCCGCGCCCCGCGCCCTGCGCCCGGCGGCGCCGAGCAGCGATGGCTGGTGGAGCCGCAGGTAAGCGAAGTGGTTCCCGAGCCGGGCTGCGGGCGCCGGAGACCGTGCCGCTGGACATGCCCCCAGTTGCAGCTACCGCGAGGGGCGGGCCGGGAACAGCAATCCCTACGCCTTCGGTGCCTTGGGCCAAGAAACCCGGGTTCCAGGTCCACCCTGTTGCGTCCCCGGAGTTAGCCTGCCTCGCCCCTGTCGAGCTACAATAAGAGCCTGGCGATCTGCGAGCCTTCACTTCATGAGCTGCAGGGCGGGAGGTCCCCTGTGGGAGGAGGTTCTCCCTGCATTTCTGAGCAGACATCCGCAGTGTTTCATTCCTGAATGGTGAAGAGCTTGATACAGAGACCCTGGAGACCGTTCAGATCCGCAGAAAGCCTAGGCTGGGCGCTCACAGGCCTTCGTGCAACTTATTGCCATAGCACTCATTTGGAGGTGGGTAGGTGGGCATTTTCATCCCCATTTTACAGAAGAGGAGATAAACCCAGGGGGTGAAGAGACATATGGAAGACTACCCAGTTAGTAAGATGGGGCAGGTCTCTGTCTAGAAATTCACTGCCTTTTCTACTAAGTAAAGCTTCTCTTCTGCAGAGCTCATCCTAGCCTGAAAATCCTTCCTCTACCACGGCGTTGAGTAAATTCGATCTGCGGTTGTGTTGAATTAGAACAATGAAATAAAGATACAGATTTTTAGAAACGCAATGGGGTAGTTAAAAATGATAGGGAAACATTGACTACCTCCAACTGATGGAAAGATAAGCCAGTTTTTCCTGACTCCTCATATCTATATTATCATACCACTAGGAAATCGTGTCACCTCTCATGGTGTTCTGTCCCGTCTGGTAAAGGTGACCAAACACTTGAGAAGCCCTCAGAGTCTTCCGAACCTGCTGGCCTGCTCTTAATACCTCTCCTCAGTTGGCCTCCTCTCTAGAACACCCTGCCAGACTCCCCTTTGCCCTCTCACCAGCCTCCCACCCCTGCCCAGGCTGCTGGGGGAAGAACTGACCCAACGCTCTCCCTTTCCTGACGGCCACAGCTGCCCAGGACCACACCAGTGGACAGGAGGCTGGCTTTCAGGTGCTTTATTCAGAGCCTGTGGGTTGTAATCTCATTCAGATATTTCTAGCTCTGAGGTCTTGGCCAGGTCTCAAACAATCTGCACCTAGTTTTCTTATCTTCCTCACATCCTTCCACCTACCTCAACTGTTGATAACACTTGTCGAGATCAGGCATGTGAAAAAGACGTTGTCAGTTGCACACACAAGACACATTTAAATCCAAAATTAGTTTTCCACCAGCTGCACCCCTAGAGCTCACAGGGTGTTCCCCACCTCTCATCTTGCATTGTGATTGTGTGCCTGCGAAGAAAACAAATGAGCTAGTTCTTTCCCCTTGATCTCATGGACAGCTTGGGGAGACAGAACATACGTCTGAGGAAATCATGGGAATGGATGCTAAACAAATTTCAGTTAAATTCAGAACACATTTAGTGACTCCTGCTGTGTGCCAGATATTTGGGACCAAGAGATCTGAGTGCAGTTCTGGAACAAAGGCTACCTGATCTGCAGGTGGAGTTTGCTGGGTGGAGAGGTGGTGTAGTATCTGATTAGAGCCATGCTATGTGGGTTCATATCCTAGTTGCTCCACTGACTAGCTATGAACTTGGGCAGGTTAAATTGGAGATAATAGCATAGGGTGGTGTGAAGATTTAATGAGTTACCATATATAAAGTTCTCAGGTGTGTGACACATGAGTACTAAGTACTAGCTGTTGCTATGACCTAAGCAAAAAACCATAATTTAATAAAGGTGAACAAAGTCCTATTAGATTTAATCTGTCTTTGAGGTGATGGAAGCAAGCCTTAGGGTCAGGATGACATTTCTGCTGTGTGTGGAAAGATAAGGCAGAGTTTAGAAGGGAGGCAAGGAGGAGGACATTTCAAGCAGAGGGAACAAACATCATGAGTGAGAAAGGCATGGCAGATTCAGGGATTTGTGCGTGAAGAAGTTGGAACAGGTAAACTAATACAAATAGATGAATGCACTCAATTGCTCAGAATAAAAAGGAATCATGGAAGGGAGGGATCAGGTGGGGAGGAGCCACCAAGGAAGGCTTAGGGAGGCAGAGCCATTTATGCAGCTAGGGAAGGAGTGAGTCGTAAAGGAGCATAGTTTGACAGAAAGAAGTACAGGGAACCAGGTAACATGGAGACCCTGGGTGAGATAATGAGGAAGGGGACTGTGGAGATTAAAGAAGATGGGAAGGGAGGGTGGAAATAGTTACAAATGGCAGCTTGAGAGGTAAGATGTACAGCGGTTCTGAAGAGTACAAGGGGCCTGAGTTCCTGCTGTGCTGAGAGGTCAGAATGGTCACTGTGGCTGAGCACTGCAGGATGCTTTTCCCTGCAAGGTGGCTGGCCTCCCACATCCACCCGCTCGACCTCAAGTCAAGTCAGCCAGGATCCAGAGAGTATTGGGAGAGAGGGAGGGAGGAGGAGGTGTGAGGTGCAGCTGGGCCTGGAGTGCACTGCAGCAAACCTGCCCCCACTGTTGCCTGCTCCCTGAGGCCCTGCCTCCCAGCCAAGATCCCCACTGCAGAAAGATGCTCAGGGCTCAATGTGTACCCTTGGCGGCTTCCAAGCATTTTATAATGCTGAGTCTCCTTGTACCCACATCACCTTTTTATGAGGTCAGTGTTACCAAGAGGACCCGCACACAGGGGAGGAAGAGGCAGGAGACCAAAGGAACTCAGTGCTTGCCTCCAGTGATGAGTCAGGCAGGGCAGCAGTGACACTGAATTCCCAAAGCCCAGTTCGGCAGCTTTTGAGTCCACACTGCAGTTTCCCTTTGAAAAGAATCTCCTAAGTCAAAGATCACAGAAACTTAGTCACTCTTGTGCTGAAAATCTGTAAAGTGTTGCCTGCCCAGCCCCTACAGGACAAAGTTCACACTGCAGAATGCAGTTTACAGGCTCTCCATAGCCTAGCTCCTGTCTCCAGCTCCAATCTAGTTTCTCACCATGCTCCACCCTCATATTTTATGTTCTAGCATTATCCAGCTGCCTGGAGTTCCTCTCATAAACCAGACTGTTTGTGATGTCTGTTTCTTAGCTCATGCTGATTCCCTTTGCCCAAATTCCCTTTCTACACAGACCCCATCTTATCCTTCACTTCCTGCCCTTACTCCATCCTTTAAGACTCTGCTGAGGTGTCACCTCCTCCAGAAAGAATTCCCCACCTGAACTGTATCCACCTCCCAAGTTAGGTTCACCCCTTCAGTGCTCTTATAGTTTTTCTATTTTCATACTTACCATGTTGTTTTGTAATTATCTGCTTATGTATCTGTCTCCCCAACTTGAGCCCTTGAGGAATGATGATTGCATCTTACTCATTCTTTTCCTAGTGCCCAGCTTATAGAAAGCACGCGATAAGTGTTGAATAAAATAATTTGATGTTGGGAGGATCAATCAGGCAGGAGCAGGTGAGATGTTCTGCTTCAGTTTTCTCAGTGGGGCGCTTCCTGTTTCAGAAGCTTGCACCAGGGCTGGCCAGCAGCAACTGTTACAAACATGCTCCCTATGCAGAGCTGGAACCCTGCTCTGCAGCCACTCCATCAGTCTTAGCTTTGGCCTTTGAAACTATCCCAAATGATTTTGATCTCTGCTCTGCCTACAGGAGATGGTTTGGAGGAGTTCTAGTCAAGACTCCAGAAACCTGAGAACTGGATTCTGGTTTAGTGCAGGAAGCCTCAAACCTTTTAGTTTGTTGACTCCTTTCCACTTAATGGAAGAATTTTTAGATAAGATGCCAATGATACCTTTCTAAAGTGCATTGCTGATTTATGCCAGAAGCCAACATATAAAGCTCTATCATTTTATAAACATGGAAGGAACTGAATATATAAATTATATAATTAATATATTATACATATTAATTATATAATATATAATTTATATATTCAGTAACAATAGTGTATATTTGTTCAATCTTAAAAAATACTGTGAGGTAGATATTATCTTCATTGTAGAAAGGAGGAAACTGGCTAAGGGAGGTTAACTGAGGTGTTTTAGGGTCACACAGCTTATTTTTGAACTCATTACTGATTACTCTTCTGATACACTGTGGAGATTCTTTGATCTCACAATGGATCCACTGCGCTAATGGTCTTAGGACTCTAATTTTCATCTTTTATGTGAGAATTCTAATTTCTACTCCACTTCTATTTTCTGACAGTCATAGGACAAGTGGGAGCACTTACTTGGCTGCATAAAGGTTGCTCAAGTGTCACTTTACTCTGGAATGAAGGGGATATTCTGGTTAACTGCAAAAACATTTTCCTGGAGGGCACAGTGAGGTCTTACTTCAGATCTTAGTAAATGCAAATGGTTGTTTCAAGTTAGAACCTTGATTAAGTCCTTGATTTTTAATTTCCATCCATGGCTTATACAACCTGAAACAGAAATACTGTTCAATTTGTTCCAACCTCAGCCTTCTTTTCATTGTGTCAGAGAACAGATATATAGAGCATCATACACTTAAATCTCTGTGTAAGGAATGCAGTGAACAGGACAATCCTGATTCTTACTCCTTAATTAAGAGACTTAATTCAGATCCCTGCTCTTCCATTTACAAGCTATGTGACTTCCAGCCCCATTTTTTGGATCTGTTCATTAAAGGTTGTAAAAGTGTTTATAGAGAGGTTGTGACAAATAAACAAGATAACACATGAGAGCATGTGGCATGGTACCTGGAATATGGTAAACTCTTAGTAAATATTAATATGTATATAAGGTGTTACTTCAGTAGGTGCTAGGCGTGTGCACGCACACACACACACACACACACACACACAAATGGAATGTTGGATTAGATAGGTGACATCTACAATTCTGCAAATCTCTCCTAAAAAGTAAAATATCTATCCATGTATCTTCTCAAATGCTTGGTGTATGTCCCACATTCATACAGTAGCTGCTTCATAAATGCATGATGAGAGATGAAATGTGTGGAAGATTGAATGAATGGATGGAGGGTGGATTTGAGTGATTAAAAGCAAAAACAAACCAAACAGGTACCAAAGACATCTCCACCCTCTCTGTCCTGGAAAACCAAGAAGTGTGTTGTCAGAAAACAGTGAGCAATGGCATTCCAGTCTATTGTGCTGAGACTGGATAAGACTGGGAAGTGCCTGACCCAGGGGATGGTTCCAACCTTTGTTGAATTTTTCCCTTCTGGCTTTTTCTTCATCTTTGGATTTAGTGTTTCCTTTTGTTTTGCAGGCCATTCTCAGGATCAAGTTAAGGTATTTACCTGCGTTGGCAGAATATTTCAGGGACATCTGTCCTGAAGCAGTCCAGTGGTGACAATTCCCTATACTATTCTTTCAGTTTAGACTTATATCTGGACAATCTAGGCAAGGAACTATCATTTATTGATCCCTTACCATGTCAAAGGTCTTCACATTCTAACTCATCTCATCTCTATAACAACTCTAGGTATTATGACTTGTGTTTTATAGTTTAGGAAACTGAGGTTCGGAGTAGTTAAGTAACTTATCCAAGGTCAAACAGCTTCTAGATGGCAAAACCTGGACAGGAGTTTATGACTGCCCAAATCCAAAGCTCTTAACTCTCTTTATTCTCTATCACACTATTTTCTAACTAAAATGTTAGTTTTTTCTCTCCAGAATCCAAACTGGCTGACTAGACTTGTTATTTTATTTTTAATCCAGTTCTTTGGATGGTTTATGGTTTCACTACTAACATACCATTCTGTATGTAAATGCCAGCTTCAGATTTCTTTTAGCTCCGTTACTGGTGATTCATGGTGATTGAATGGAGCTTTCCTTAGGGAATTGAGATTTTATTCTTTGGGCATAAAATTTCTCTTCCTTTTAAACTCTCATCTCTGAAAGTGAAAATTTTAGAAAGTAAATCCTCTTATTTGCCAGTAGCATTTGTTTTCAGTTATCTGGTCTATCTTCTAGAATTACTGTTAGTCAAGAAAGCTTTTTTTTTTTTTTTTTTTTTTTTTCAAATTTCCTCCTTCAAGATGCATGTTATATCTTCTGAATGGTGACTTACCCTTTCATTTTCATGAAACTTAACATCTGTCATAGTAATAATTCATTGCCTGTCGATATATCTATTTGGCCACTGAAAGGAAGGAGAAATGAAAAAGAAACTGACTCATAGGCTGAACCAAGAATAGAAGCACCGTTTAATATTCCAGTCATGCTTCATTGACCTAGTGCTGAACAGAAGTGTGGCTCAATCAAAAGGTCAAACAGAGGGTAGTTTATATTTTTAATCAAAGCTGAAAATACGGGTACATTTTACTTTGTAGAATAAACAGATGGCTGAAATATTATTTGAAAATATAAATGTAATTACATGTTTCAGTTGACTTATACTTTAAGGGCTGATTGGTCTTCAGTTTTTATTGACTTCCAGTTGGCAGGGACACCTAATGCTTTAAGAAAGCCCTGAGCCCTCTGTCAATTCATTTTAGTCAACAAATCTTTATTGAGCATCTGCTATGTGTGAGGCACTATTCTAAGTCCTGGAAAGAGAGCAGTGGTTACAGACAAAAATACCTACTCTCATAGGGTTTATATCTAATAGAGAATATAGATTATAAAATAAATAAATAAAAGACAAGGTGCCAAGCATGGTGGCTCATGCCTGTAATCCCACTACTTTGGGAGGCCAAGGCGGTCTGATCATTTGAGCCTAAGAGTTCGAGACCAGCCTGGGCAACATGGCAAAAACCCATCTCTACAAAAATTAGCGAGGAGTGCTGGCATGCACCTGTAGTCCCAACTACTCATGGAGGCTAAGGTGGGAGGATCATTTGGGCCTGGGAGGTAGAGGCTGTGGTGAGCTGAGATCATGCCACTGCACTCCAGTCTGGGGGACAGAGTAAGACCCTGTTTCAAAAAAAAAAAAAAGGCATATTAGACAGTGATAAGTGTTAAGGAGAAAAAGCAAGGAAGGAGGCTATGAGATATCAAGGAAAAGGTGAAGTTTAAAACAAGGTTTCCATCCAGGGAAGAGATCACTGAGGAGTTGACTTTTGGGTATAGACATGAAAGAAGTAAGAAAGCCAATTATGCAGGCATCTATAGAGGGGGAAAACGTTCTGGGTAAAGGGAATGGTAATTGCAAAGGCCTGGAGGCATGAGTGTGTTGAGGAAGAACTAAGAGGCTGGTTTGGCTAGAGAAGAGTAAATGAGAGTAGCAGGAGATGAGGTCAGAGAAGTGGGGAAGGAGACGGCAGATCATTTAGATTCTTCTGAGCTATTTGTAAAATATTGGGGTTTTACTGTGTGTGAAGTGGGAAGCAATTGTGCAGGGTTCTGAGCAGAGAGCTTCGATGTGATCTGGCTTACATTTAAATAGGACCATTTTGGCTGCTGCATTGAGAATAGACATGTGGTGTTAAGGGCAGAAGCAAAGAAACCAGTTAGGAGGTTTCAGTGATCTGACAAGACAGTAGTATCTTGGATCAAGATGATAGCACTGTATATTCTGGATATATTGTGAAGAAAGAGCTCATAGTCTTTGGAGTGAGAGAAAGGGAAGAGATGACTCCAAGGGTTTGGGCCTGAATAATCAGAAGAATGGAGTTGTCATGAATAAGACAAGGATACAAAAGGAGGGGCTGTTTGGGGGCCATATCAAGAACTCGCTTTTGTTCATAAGAGCAAGAATATAATACTGGTTGAGTATCCCTAATCTGAAATGCTTGGGACCAGAAGTGTTTCAGTTTGAAGATTTTTTTTTGGATTTTGGAATTAGTGGCTGAACCTCCCAAATCTGGAAATCTGAAATCTGAAATGCTTTAATGAGCATTTCCTTTGAATGTCATGTCAGTACTCAAAAAGCTTTGGATTTTGGAACATATTGGATTTTGGATTTTCAGATCTGAGATGCTCAACCTATAGTGGCTACCAGGGGCTGAGGGGTGGGGAAGATGAGGAGCTCTTGTTTAATGGGTATAAAGTTTCAGTTACATGGGATAAATCAGTTCTAGAGATCTGCTGTACAATGTAATGCCTATAGTTGATGATATTGTATTGTGCACTTCAAAATTTGTTAAGAGAGTAGATTTCATATTAAGTTTTCTTAATACGCACACAAAACAAACAAAAGGACACAAGGAAAGTATGGGAGGTGTTGGACATGTCTCCCTCCTTGGTTGTTGTGATTGTATCATGGGTATTTGCATACATCCAAACCCAGCACATTAATTATGTGATGGGTTATTACATATTTATTGCACATTTAATTCATCACATTAAATATGTACAATTCTTTGTATATCAGTTATACTTTGATACAGCTGTAGGAGGAAAAGGTACTCCGTTTTGGGCACTCTGAGTGCGAGATACCTTCAGGTATTCAATTGACCTTCAAGTAAGTACAGTCTAGAGCTCATTGGATGCTTATCATATGGCAGGAGGCACTTTTCTAGTGTTTTTTTTTTCACATGTAATTTCATGTAATCCTCAGCATCGTCAGAAATAGGTACTATTATTATCCTTCTTAGAGGAGGAAACAGGCCCAGAGAGGTTAAACTACTATTGCATTTTTACACAGCTAAGAAGAGGTGGGGCTCGGGTTTGAACCTGAGCTGTCTGACACCAGAGCACACATGGACTGCTTCTGTTGCAAACCTGTTGATGTGTTGGGTGAGCTCCTATTGAATGCTCTTGAATGAAGTTTATCTTTTAAAAGTTCACATGTTCATTTACCAGGATTTTATAGAGGGTGTGTTTCTAGCTCTGGCAGTCACACGCCCATGAATATCAGAGGCTCACCACCTCCAGGTGTACCTTTGTGGCTATAGGAAGGGTGGGGTTATTGCAAGTACTCCATTGGGCCGAGGGTGCTCTGCCCCCTTGTACAGTCTTGTTCTATACTGATCCATCTTGAGCTCTTCCTATTATCCTTATGCAAGCAGACATTTTCCATAAGGCACCAGGTTAGAGCTGGGAAAAATGGATCACCCAAAAACTGTGTTAACTCTGTTGAGCAACAGATTTTGTCCCCTGCATCTCAGTGAGTAGCGGAGATAAGAGGGTAGGGGATAGAGTCTTGCATCTCTGGGCGTATGGAGACATTGCTGCCAGACAGGCTGTTGGATTGGATGTGGTGCATGAGCCTGAGGAGAGCCCATCTCCTGTCTCAATGCCAGCTGTCCCTAGGGGTGGGAAGGAGGTGCCCAGGCCGACTACACCCTCCAGAGCTCCGCTCCTTGAGCAGAGGTGGCAGACCCACACATCCATCATCCAGCCCTAGTCTGTTCAGGAGCTCCTTCTCTGCAGCCAGCTTGGCTCCCAGGAAGGAAGACCAGCAGAACACTTAAACTTAATAACCCAGTAATGCAGTAAGTCCTACTTTGGGACAAGAGGAGGGACTTTGCTCTAACTCAGAACGTATACCTCCTTGAACGTGCCAAAATTCCTTTTTCCTTTATGACTGTTTAGTAAGTTAAAGTCCTTCATCTTTGCAGGTTCTTGCATTTGTCCCTATACCGACTTTATCACAGCTTGGTAAATGTGCCTTCCCTCTATGTTTGTGAGATGGCAGCACTGGTTTCAGGAAATCTGCTTGCTGTTATCTTAGTGTTTATAACTAAGGGATCCAAGTCAACTTTGTTGATTAAATGGACCAGGATGCATGGTTAAATAGGAACCCCATAATGAAATATCTACGGTTGATGTTTCTGAAAGATTGGGCATCCACTATGTTCTCGGGACACGCAGAAACACAGGGAAAAGAAAGCCAAGTTTGTGAACCATAAAAAACTTTTATTCTCATTCTTGGATATCTCCATTGTATCTAGAGCCATAGTATCCATCATAGAACCAGATATAACTCCTTCATAGACATGAGGTGTTTGGGGTGGTTGATGACCTTACTTTCTGCTCCTTAGTGGACAGACTTCCCTCCTATACGAGTCCTGCACAGACTTATCTGAACTCTAGGGCCCAAGTTCCCATCATCTATCTAAGTCTCTGCAAGACAGCTTCCTGACTGGTTAACCCATTCCATCTGGTTCTCCTCTATCCTTTCTCTACTCTGAAGGCCTCTTTGGAAACCCTTCAGGACTCCCCAGTGCTCTTCAGATAAGGACACAGCTCCTTATCGTGCTCTACACAGCTCCTTATCCTGCATAATCTGTGTCCCTTCCCTTTCCAGCCTTATCTGGTTTCACTCAACTTGCAGGTCTTTAACTCTGGCCACTTTGGCTTCTTTCTGGTTTTTATTATTATTATTTTTTGAGACAGGGTCTTGCTCTATTGCCCAGGCTTGGGTGCAGTGGTGCGATCTCAGCTCACTGCAGCCTCTGCCTCCTGGGCTCAAGCGATCCTCCCACCTCAGCATCCTGAGTAGACCACAGGCATGTGCCACCACGTCTGGCTAATTTTATGTATTTTTTTTTTTGCTTTTTGTAGAGATGGGGTTTTGCCATGTTGCCCAGGCTGGTCTCAAATTTCTGAGTTCAAGTGATCCTCCTGTATCGGCCTTCCAAAGTGCTGGATTACAGGTGTGAGCCACCATGCCCAGCCTACTTTTTTTTTTTTTCTTTTTAAAATGTCCATGTTCTCTCCTATCATAGATCTTTGTACCTGCTGGGTGTTTTTTTTTTTTTTTTTTTTTGCCTTCCGTGATATTCCCAAGTAGGTCAACTGCCCATGATACTCTCTAGTAGCACCAAACACACCTTTCTTTGCTAATAAGTTGCAATTATACATTCATTTGTGTGACTAATTGAGTGGCACCCAACTAGATTCTAAGTTCCCTGAAGGCAGGGGCCAGGACTATTGGTGCTCACCATTGAGTCCTGGTTGTCTAACACAAAGACAGCAAACTTGTTCTGTGAAGGGCTAAATAGTAAATATTTCGGGCTTTGTGGGCCATATTGTCTCTGTTGCTACTATTCAACTATGCTATTTTAGTACAGAACAGCCACAGACAATACATAAATGAATGAGTATGGCTATGTTCCAAGAAAACTTAATTTATGAAAACAGGTGGTGGGCTGGATTTGGCTCATGAGCTAGAGTTTGCCAAACCCTGGTGTAGCGTAATTCCAGCACTTAGTTTGTGATCAAAAAAATGTTGTTGAACAGTGAGCACTTGGCAAATATGGATTGAGCAGTGGCAGTAAAATGTGCGAACTGTGCAATCCTGTTCTTATTATGGCACAGCAGCCTAGATGTACACGTACAGACAGTTTTCAACTAATCTTTTTATTGTCTCGGTGGTAGTGGTTGTTATTTACAATACTTAGTTTTTTAAGATTATAAAAATAACATATGCTTATGGTGAAAATTTTTTTTTAGCATTTCAGAACTGTATAAAGAAAAGCTCCCACTTCTGAAAGATACTCAGTCTTTACAATTTGTGTGTATTTATGTAACATTCTAGAAATTTCCATAACACCTAGAGACACACGGACTATTTCATAACTTTTATTCTAGTTCCCAAGGTTCAGCATTTCTTTGAACTCTATGAGGCCACATCTAATAAGCCCCTCAAACAACCACCATACCAATGGAGAAGAGTGTAGGGACCCCTTTAGTAGGTGAGTTTGCACATAAATGTGAACAATTTATTTTATTAAGCATTTTAACTTAGAAATAGAAGACCTCAGGACTTCAAATATAAAGTCTACCTCATATTTTCCTTTTTAATTTTTCTTTAATTTTTTTTCTTCCACAGACATTTTCAGTTGTCCAGCTACATTGCATATTTCTTTCAAGAATATATAACTCACAGGTGGCTTGAAAAAATCTGACCTTCCTTCTCCTTCCCTGTTCCTGCACAGAAGGGCATTATCCTTTTCCTCTTAAAGGAGAGGAGGCAGAGGCCCAGGGAGTCACTGGTCTGCCCGAAGTCACAAGGCCAGTAAGCAGCAGAGCTGACAGATCTCCACATTTCTAATCTGGTGTTCTGTTACTAAAGCCTACTGCCATTTGGCCTCACATTTAGAGGGCCTTGAAGAAGAGCTACCTTCTTAAAGCCCAGGAGAAAACCCAGGAGAAAAAAAGGGAAATTATTTTGCCTAAGGGTAAATTTTATTAACCTCAAATTATATTTATTACATATCATCGTGAAGCAGATGGCTCTTTCCTGCTTAAAAAAAAAAAAAAAAAAGGTGGGCAGGCATGGTGGCTCATGCCTGTAATCCCAGCACTTTGGGAGGCCGAGGCAGGTGGATCACCTGATGTCAAGAATTCGAGACCAGCCTGGCCAACATGGTGAAACCCTGTCTCTACTAAAATTACAAAAATTAGCTGGGCGTGGTGGCACATGCCTGTAATCCCAGCTACTTGGGAGGCTGAGGTAGGAGAATCCCTTGAGCCTGGGAGACAGAGGTTGCAGTGAGCTGAGATCGCACCACTGCACTCCAGCCTGGCTGACAGAGCAAGACTCTGTCTCAAAAACAAAAACAAACAAACAAACAAAGAAGTGCTAAGCTTAAATAACTTGAGGAGGATTTAGGTTGGATACAAAAATGAGAGTTATTATGTTACGGAAAAGAGTTAAGGGCTGTTAAGTCCCCTTCTCTAATGCTCTTTAAGATCTTTAAAATGAAGGGTGAATTTTGCCAGTTGGCTTTGGAGAAAGGCTATTTATTATGGTTATAATCTTGTATAGAGACAGGCTGTGGACTTTCCCAGTTTTCAGATGAGAGCGACTCATAATTGAGTTGACAGTGATGTCTCTCAGACTCCAATTCCATGCCCAGGTAGCTTATTGGCCAGGCTTGTTACTGCTGTTGCTTTCACTGCTGTCAATATTGGGTACCATTCTATTTTTCAATTTCTCCCACAGTTAAAGAGGAAGCTAAGGAACTAGGCAGAGTGGGTGTGTGTGTGTGTGTGTGTGTGTGTGTGTGTGTGTGTTTCCTCTCAGTGAGTCTAACCATTCATTTCTACAATAAATGTGGTCACAACCAATCAAAGACAAGAGTTTATCATGACTTTGTTCCCTTCTCTACCAGTGAATTGGGGTTTAAGAAGTAGGCATGGAATTACAAGGAGCTTCAGTAACGGAAACAAACTCACCTTGTTTATTTGTTTGCTTGGTTATCTTTTTATTTATTTATTCATTCCTGGTCAGCAGCTCTAGACTCATAGTGTTGCAAAGGATTAGTCCTCAGACATCCAGCTGCTACTGATTTCATCAGTGTTGTCATTTTCATCAGCATGAAAACCGTTTATTGAGATCTTAGGACTAAATCAAGAAATAGGAATCCAAGATGTCGTCCTGGAACAAGACACAGTCCCTGCCCTTGGGTGTCTTATTACTTAATCGGAAAGGCAGATCATGACCAAGAACTGGTTTACTTAACTCTCTCTCACTAGATTGTTAGCCGCTAAGGGGCAAGGATTAAACATGCAGAGTGGTTAAGAAAATGGGTTTTGTAGTGGGAGTCCCACCTCTGCCATTTATCAGCTGTGTGACCTTGGAAATGCTACCAAATCTCTTAGAGCTCAGTTCCCCATCTGTGGCATGGGACTAATAAATTGTCCCTCTCCTACAGAGGAGTTAAGATTCAGGGAGACAATGTGTGCAAAAAGCAGTTTGCATTGTGCCTAAACACTCGGCGCATATATGTTAAGCATGTTGAATGAATAAGTAGCCTTTGCTTCCCAGACCGTGTCTGCCTTGTGGACAGCTAGGATGAGTGTAATGCTCCTGTGTCTGTGGGGTGTTATTGCTGCAGTGCCCTTCGTTTCACACCTGCTCTGTCACCACCTTGCTCGTGACTGCCCACAGCTTTTAGTCTGGATTCAGTGGCTCTGTGCTATCCTCTGTTATTGTTACCCCTCTTCTCTTTAGAATAATTTGGTAGAAATTTCTTCTCTTTGTCCCCTGGGTTGCCCCCTCTGATCTGCTCCCAGACTTACGGGATCAAGACAACTTGTCCCAGGTGGGTGCAGTGCCTCACACATGTAATCCCAGGACTTTGAAAGACCAAGGCTGGTGGATTGCTTGAATCCAGGAGTTTCAGACCAGCCTGGATGTGGGGAAACCCCGTCTCTACTAAAAATAGAAAACATTAGCTGGGCATGGTGGCACATGCCTGTAATCCCAGCTCCTCGGGAGGCTGAGTGGGAGGATCACCTGATCCTGGGAGGTCGAGGCTGCAGTGAGCTGAGGTCGCATCACTGCACTCCAGCCTGGGCAACTGGAGTGAGACCCTGTCTTAAAAAAAAAAAAAAAAAAAGAAAGAAGGACAACTTATCTCATCATCTTCATTTGTTCCCCAGTTTTAATCCTGGAGTTTAGAAGGTTCCATTGCTTGCAAGATTCATATCCCTATTCCCTCAAAGGCCTTACTGGGTTCTCATAAGGATGGTATTTCTGATATTTCAAATTCATTGATGCATGAATCATAAAACTTATCCAAGCTTACTCAAGGGAAGGGCAGGGCTGTTGAAAGATATCACAGGTAGATTCACAGGCACGGGAAAAGAGATACACACTGAGCTCAAAGGAACCAGACTTGGGAACCTTCTAGAAACCAAAGGGTCCCACAGAGTCTTCAGGGTCTTTTTCCTACCCTGTCTGTATCTTCTCTCTTTTAAACAGTTTGGCTTTCCCATGGCTCAGCCTGGCTGCCAACCCCAAAGTGCATCTAGGAGCCTTCACACCCTTCACTGGCTGTTGTCAGTCACTACGTTTCTTACACTGAAAACCCAAGAGAGCCATATGGTTGGTTGCTGGCCAGATTGGGTGGCCCTTGGTTGTGACTGGCATGGAGGTGGGTGGGAGAGGGTCATGTGTAAGAAATGCTACTCTATCAGAGACAGTGTTAGAAATACTTGGTTGTGGATATATCTCCCAGGACCGGGTGAGTTGAGCCTTGGAAAAGATTTCACTGGGGCCGTATCAGTCAGGGGCCTGGCTGGAAACAGATGGCACTCTCAAAATAGTCTAACCAACAGGGTTTAATGAGGAAACTACAGTTGTTTCTTGGTATCCATGAGGGATTGGTTCCAGGACTCCCTGTGGATACCAAAATCCTTCATGCTCAAGTCCCTTATGTAAAATGGCATAGTATTTGCCATAACTTAGGCACATCTACTTGTATACTTGAAATCATCTGTAGATTACTTATAATACCTGGTACAATGTAAATGCTGTGTATATAGTTGTAATACTGTCTTGTTTTATTTTTTTGAATTATTCTATTTTTTTTAAGTTCCGGGGTGCATGTGCAGGATGTGTGTTTGTTACATAGGTAAATGTGTGCCATGTGGTTTGCGGTGCCTAACAGCCCATCACCTAGGTATTAAGTCTCACATGCATTAGCTTGTTTCCTTAATGTTCTCCCCTCAGCCCACCCTTCCCCAGTGAGTATTTTTCCCCTCCCTGTGTCCATGTGTTCTCATTGTTCAGCTCCTACTTATAAGTGAGAACATGCGGTGTTTGGTTTTCTGTTCCTGCGTTAGTTTGCTGAAGATAATGGCTCCTAGCTTCATCCATGTCCCTGCAAAGGACAAGATCTCATTCCTTTTTAATTTGCATTATTTTTATTGTTGTATTATTAAATTTTTTCCCTGAATATTTTTGATCCACAGTTGTGGAATCCATGGATGCAGAAGGCACAAGAATTAAGAGAGCCAACCAGTTATGGGGATGCACCTAGGGACTAGCAACAGCAGGAAGCTGTGACCATCCTAGGCCTGTGGGGTAAGGGTAGGAGCCTGGTGAGAGCCGTGTCTGTACAAAAATTCAGCCAGAGCCAGAGCCACAGCAGCCAGGCAGGGAAGCAAGGGAATGAATGTATGATCTGGTCCCTCTCTCTTCCCGCCTTCCCATTGATGGCTCCAGTCAGAAGCCAGAGGGCAACGGGGCTCAGCTGATGTGATTCCTACAAGTCAGCCTCCCATAAAAGTCAGCCTCCCATCTAAATCAATCAGCCTCCCCAGATGCAGAGTAGGGCAGAGAAGAGGGGAGATGGATCTGGAAGACAAAGGATGGACACCCAGCACAGGAGCTGTGAGGTCAGAGCTGAGGCTTGGCACCCAGATAGGATTTAGGTAGCATAGAGGAATGGTGAAAGCATCCCCAGCTGGTAGTGACAGGGGCAGTTGTAGAGAGAAGTGGGGCGCATTTACATTACAGCCATGTAACTGACATGGATGAGTGGGGGGATTGACCTATTCTGGTTGAATATAAAGGAAGGTTTGAGAGAAGAAGTTGGAGAAATTTGGCGGGGAGGCCTATGAATATGCCAGTTTGTCATTTAATCAGGAAGTAATAGGATGTTATTGAAGGTGTTAGAGTAGTGAAATGTTCAAAGGAATATGCATAGCAAAAGTAGACTTCTCACTCCACCTAGGACTGAGGAAGGAAGTCCTTGCTTACACATGTTACATGATCAGAATATTAGCTGATCTAATAGGTGGAGGATCCAAAGGACCCACAGTATTTTGTTCTCTACCTTGGCATTATGACAGCTCTTGCGATTTGTGGATAATTCCTCTCTCAATATCACGGGAATAAATTAAGCTTAGCCAGGGCACTCCCCAAAATGATTTAAACATTTGTTTTTCAGCGTGAGGTTCATAGACACCCCCCCCTTTCCCCCGTCAGCATCACCTGGGATGGTGGTGAAAATGCATATGGAGGTCCCACCCCAGACATACTGAATAGAATGTATCTCTGTGGTGAAGAACAGGAGTCTGCATTTTTGACAGCCACTGCAGGAAATTAGTGATGTCTCCTTAATTCAGTTGAATTTGAGAACTATTGATTTAAGGAGACATCACTAATTTCCTGCAGTGGCTGTCAAGGTAGGGGCTTAATTCCTTCAGAGAGTGATCAATGAGAACCTGATGGAGATCTAGCCCCATGGTTCCTATTACAATCGTATTAGAATCACCTGGGGAAATTTAAAAACACCCTGATGCTGGGGTTGGGTGGAGGGGAACTTTTTTTTTACTGGTTTAAGAAGTCTGGGTTGTAGTCCCAGCTACTCGGGAGGCTGAGGCAGGAGAATGGCGTGAACCTAGGAGGCGGAGCTTGCAGTGAGCAGAGATCGGGACACTACCCTCCAGCCTGGGCGAGAGAGCGAGACTCAGTCTCAAAAAGAAAAAAAAAAAAAAAGGTCTGGGTGAGGCCTGAGGATATTTTTAAAGCTCCCAGGTGATTCTGATGTGCAGCCAGGCCTAAGAACCTTTGATCTTGTCTGAACTCAGAAGGTGGAAAAAATTAGAAATGGAGCCTTCTCAATGTAAGGGACTCCTCTGAATTCTGTACCACACAGTCAATGCTAAGAATAATTGCTCTGGAAAGGATAGCAGAGTGGAAAACAGGCTTCTGTGAGTAACGTGGAAGGAAACCAAAGAAGACCAGGGCTGATGTAACCTGAGAAGGTACTGCAGTCTGGAAAGGTCTTAAAGGAGTCCGCACACTTTTTTTTGTTTGTTTGAGACGGAGTCTTGCTCTGTCACCCAGGCTGGAGTGCAGTGGCGCGATCTCGGCTCACTGCAACTTCTGCCTCCCGGGTTCAAGCGATTCTCCTGCCTCAGCCACCCGAGTAGCTGGGATTACAGGCGCGCGCCACTCCGCCCGGCTAATTTTTTTGTATTTTTCATAGAGACGGGGTTTAGTAGAGACCGTGTTAGCCAGGATGATCTCGATCTCCTGACCTCGTGATCCGCCCGCCTTGGCTTCACAAAGTTCTGGGATTACAGGCGTGAGCCACCGCGCCCGGCCGGAGTCCGCACATTTTCTTAGGCTCCCTGGAGGAGCTTGAAACTCCTCGCTGTGTGTGATGAGCAGCCAGAGGTGTCCCCGGGAGAGTCTGTTTGCCCCCAGGCCACCCATTGGCCTTCACACAGGGCTTTCTTGCCTGCATTTATTGCCAGTTTGGAGTTGGTGAATTTAAAGAATTCCTCCTTTTATTTTTATTTTTTCAACTAATCAAGAAAAAGGGAAGTCTGAAATGCAAGTAGAACACCCACCCTTTCGAACGTTTTATCTTCCGTTCCACCGTCTTCTGACTCGGGAGAGAGCTCTTTAGCCATTTGTCTTTGTTTTCCCACAGTTTGCCAACACCTACGGGTGTGCACAGCACAGGCCAGAGCTGGAAATGCGTCCTTCTTCCCACAGCCAGGAAGGTGTGTGAGTGGTGCTGGGAGCCCAGAGGAAGGGTGATTCACTGGAGGAAGGCGGAGAGGACAAGGACATGCTCTGCTAAAAGGCCTTTCAGGAAATGAAAAGCTCTGCATTTCTCTTTTCTAAACACACACACACACACACACACACACACACACAGACACCCAAAAAAAGAAAAAAGAAAAATGAGCATTCCCCTAATTCTTCTAAAGCGGTTTCTATTCCCAAGAGGATAAAGAGTATTTTAGATGCCAAGCACGGAAGATTTTTTTTTCCTGAAATGGGTGGGTTGGCACTTTCTTTCCTGAGAGCTGAAAAGGCCTCATGCTTTATTCCTCCTCAAATGTCCTTAATCTGCTGTGGCCCCACCATCCTCCCCCTCCATTGTTGAAAGGCAGCAGCTCCTTCCCTCGCTGGGTATTTCCCATGGTAAGTAGGTTCTCCTAGGACTCACCCGAGCCTCAGATTGAGTTCATCCTACTGTGTGTGACTGTGCAGAGGACCTTTAGGCCCCTGTAGGCAGCTCTGATAAGATTATCTGATGTTCTCATTATCAGCTGCACCCACGATCTTTTCTAAGGAGGGGCTCTTTGACCCACCTGATGATGGCAGCAGGGGTGTTGGCATTCCTTTTACATCCCAGTGTGTGTGGGTGTGTGCCTATATTGTAGTTCACACAGCAGAAATAAAATGGGAACACCCACTGTTCAGCTCATTCTATTATTTTAACTCTTGTTGAAAAATAAAACAAACCCCTAAGGAAATAGCGTCTTTGTCCCCACGGAGTTGGATAGCTCCCTAGGTCATCTCCTGACCACAGGATCTTGTCGGAATCATCCCCTACATGTGCTTATCTAGCCTCAGCTTAAAATTCTCCAGGGGAAGGAAACTCCACCCTCCATGAGTCAGAGTCATTGAGAGTTTAATAACCACTTTGATGGTCTGTTGTCAGGACCACCTTTTCCTTGCAGCAGATCAAGGAGCAGAATTAGAGGAGAGCCAGTTCTCTCTGGAGACTCATCTGCAAATTGGAGGAAATCTTATGTGCATCAGAAGATTGTTGTGGAGCTCAAATGAGATCATTCTTTCAACAAATGCCAGTCACTCCCTGGTGTGCAGGACCATCATGCTAGGTCTGGGAACACAGAGATAATTGGGCACTGGCCCTGGCCCTTCAATTCAGTGGTTCAGACTGATGGATAAACATACCGTCTCAGTGCAGTGGCAGACTCCTCTGCTTTGTCTTTGGAGGTCAGCCTGCCAAACTCGGCTGCCCACTTGTGTCCCACACTCTGAGGCGCTGTCTCCACTCACACCAGTTGCCCATCAGCAGCAGGGCCACACCTGGCCTGCTACCTGCTGCCATGCTGCTCCTTCGAGAATCCACCCTTCTCCTCCCCATCACCACTGAGCCTGTCTTGCTCTTTACCTGCACCTGCACTGCTCAGTCTCTTCACATCAGCGGTGCCATTAGCACCTGCAACCTTGGGCCCATGCCCACCTGGATTTGGAGGTCAGGTACTTCAATCTGTTTGCAGGGACAAGGCTGCCAGGGTTCATATCCACCACACCTAGGCCAGTTCTTTTTCTGTTCTTGTCTCTGGACTGCAGATCATTGCTGGGGGTGTAAGTACAAAAACTCAAACCTTGGCCTCAGCAGAGCTGCCCTGCCCCACTTGTCCTGGCTGACATCCATGGGGCCTTTCTTTTCAGTGGTCTTTTTCCCTCTTCTGTAAATTCCCTGGCATGGTGGCCTTCGGAGGCTAAAGACATTCCGAATTTTCCCTATGCTCTTGGCCCCTGGCCACCATGGCAGAGAAGCAGATCACCACTTCCCTGAGTAATTGCCAACACCAGCCCTCATCTGCCCTCCTTTCATCCTCCCCTGCATTCTCAGAAGAGGTTCTCAGAAGACGCTGACTCTTCTCCATGGGATCCCAATATCATCCCCTTGCTCTGCCCATCTTCTTCTTCCATTGATCCCATCATGGTCACCAGTGTACTGATTAGCAGATACCTACCAAGAACCTACCATATACAGAGTCTCTATTATGACTTAGGCAGACAAGGAGTACAAGAGATGATCCCAACTTTTGAGGAGCCTACAGTCTGTAAAAAATACCAGAGGCAAATGCACAGGATCCCCCTCCCTGGTACACTGGGTTCCCTTCTCTCTGACAACTCTTTTTTGCTGACTTTCAAGTCCGTGTATGTATGTGTGTGTGTGTGTGTGTGTGTGTGTGCTTTTTAAAGCCAATGACCAACATTAGTAACACATTACAAGCCTCTCTCCCCTTTTCCATTCTTCCCAGTCAGTCATTCTAGCCCTCTGCAGAGACTCCTTATCCTCCTGTACATTCTAAGACATTCTGTCACTTCCTTTCTGCTCTCAGGGCTACTCTCACTCCATTGTCCCATGGTGTAGTCCCCTGACTGGTCTCAGCTGGGACACCTGATCTCTTTCTTAGTCTTCTGGCCCTGTGGGATCCTCTGTCACATCAAAACACTTGCACAAGGTTGATGCTGGGAAGGGAGTTAAAGGAACTCCCTTGTCCCTGTCATGTCTCTGAGCTATTTCAGAGAAACGGCTTGTGAAGATGACATGATTCTAGCTCTAGAGAAGTTGAGAAAAGAGTGCTTGGGCCAAAGAAGGACAGAAAAGGAGTGGAGGAGGCCAGCGAGCAGTGTTGGTACTGGCAGGCTCCAAATCTTCATGCTTATGTCCCTGAAGGCCACTTCCCACAAACAGCTCCTCCTCCCTCCTCAGTGACAAACTCCCTATGGCAAATCTGCACTGGTGACTCTGGCCCCTGACATTTGCATAGATTTTGCAGCCCAGAAGTCCTCAGGGATGGGAGTCCGTTCAGTGCCTTCCTGCTCCTCCAACCCATTGCCTTCTGAGCATTCCCCTTGGGATGCTCTAGAGTAGAAGTCCCCAACCTTTTAGGCACCAGGGACAGGTTTCATGGAAGAGAATTTTTCCATGGACCGGGGAGCAGGGGGATGGTTTCGGGATGATTCAAGAGCATTACTTTTATTGTGCACTTGATTTCTATCATTGTTACTTTGTAATCTATAATGAAATAATTATACAACTCACCATAATGTAGAATCAGTGGAATCTCTGAGCTTGTTTTCCTGCAACTAGATGGTCCCATCTGGGGGTGATGGGAGACAGTGACAGATCATCAGGCATTAGATTCTCATAACGAGCACACAACCTAGATCCCTCACATGTGCAGTTCACAATAAGGTTTGCACTCCTATGAGAATCTAATGCCACAGCTGATCTCATAGGAGGCAGAGCTTAGACGGTGATGCAAGTGTTAGGGAATGGCTGTAAATATAGATGAAACTTCGCTTGCTCACCCACTGTTCACCTCCTGCTGTGTGGACCAGTACTGGTCCATGGCCCTGGGGTTGGAGACCCCTGCTTTAGAGCTTCAGGTAACCTGCCCTAAGATGCTATGTCATGCAGAGACTCAAGTAGCCCCAGCCTCCCAGTGTTCCCTTTACCTTGCATGGAAGACGATGTTTGTTTATCCTTGTAACCTGCTTATCTCTCAAGGCCGAGGTCCTCTTTCTCTCCTGCCTCTACCTAAAGACTTCTTAAACAAGAGGCCTCTTGCTGCAGTCTCCTGTTGCTCATACCCAGTCACTTCCACCAGCTGTCTTCTTTCCTGAGCCCTCTGTCGCTACTGGTCTCTAATCACCAAAGGCCTAGGCCTTAACTTCATCTTTCTCTTTCCTCTCTGCAGCAGGTGGCACACACTGTTGATCATCCCCTAGCCAAAGCTTTCTCCTCCCTTGACTTTTGGCATGACCCTAGACAACTGATTCTCCTTATAGCACCATTTTTGTCTCTCATTTGTTCCTTTATCCTCCTGTTCTCTCACAGTGTCTGCTCTGTGGCTGTCAGCATTCCCCTCCTCATTCAGATACTTGGGATGCTACTGGCATGTACTTAGGAGCTTTGAAATCAGAGAAGCTGGGCTTAAGCCCTGGTTCTTCCACATGCTTGTTTGATGACTTTGTACCTGCCATTCATCTGAGTTTCAGTTTTCCCATGTCTGACATGGAGATGATAATGATACCTATCTTGTAGGGTTATGTGAAGGGTAAATGGGATGCAACAATGTTTTTGAAATTTTCGTCTGATCCCCTGCTGCCCTTTCCAAGTAACCTGTCACTTTTCCTTACCTAGTGTCCTATTTTCACAGGCTGCCTGTTTCTGCCTTAAAGCCTTTGTGTAGAAATCTTGCTAAAGCTTTACTGACCTATCTGTTTCACCAAATCTGTCAACATCTTGCATATCCTTCAAGTTCCACTTCAGGATTGTTTCCTCCAGTGTCTTCCCTGACTGCACTCATTGTGCCCTTCCTTCCTCTGAAATTCCGTTGCTTTTCTTTCTAACATTTATTTAGCAGTTGATATAAACTGGATTATGCTGTTGCTTTTCTTTTGATTTTCTGTTTAAGTTTGTATGTATCTGCCTTGTTTCCGTAAATAGATGGTGACTTTATTGATGCGAAGGCCCATTTTGAGGCATATGAAACAGTGATTAGGAACATTAGCTATGGGGCTGGACTTCCTAAGTTGGCACGTGGTCCCGTCACATACTAACCATGTGACCCTGGGCAAATTACTGAAGCTTTTTTTTTTTTAATTTAAATTTTTTTGTGGGTACATAGTAGGTGTATATATTTATTGGGTATATAAGATATTTTGATACAGGCATGGAATGGTACATAGTAGGTATATATATTTATGGGTAACATGAGATATTTTGATACAGGCATGCAATGTCTAATAATCACATCATGGAAAATGGGGTATCCTTACTCTAAAGCATTTATTCTTTATGTTACCAACAATCCAATTATATTATTATAGTTATTTTAAATTATACAGTTAAAGCGTTATTGACTATATTCACCCTATTGTGCTATCAAATACTGGGTCTTATTTATTATTCTTTCTTTCTATTTTTTTGTACCCATTAACCGTCTCCACCTCCCCAACACTCCCCACTATCTTTCCCAGTCTCTGGTAATCATTCTTCTGCTCTCTAACTCCATGAGTTCAATTATTTTGATTTTTAGATCCCACAAATAAGTGAGAAAATGCAATGTTTGTATTTCTGTGGCTGGCTTATTTCACTTAATGTAATGACCACCAGTTCCATCTATGTTGTTGCAAATGACAGGAATTCATTCTTTTTTATGGCTGAATAGTACTTCATTGTGCATATGTATGTACCACATTTTCTTTATTCATCTGTTGAAGGACACTTAGGTTGTTTCAAAATCTTAGCTATTGTGAACAGTGCTGCAACAAACACGGAAGTGCAGGTATCTCTTCGATATACTGATTTTCTTTCTTTGGGGTATATACTCAGAAGTGGAATTGCTGCGTCATATTGTCACTCTATTTTTAGTTTTTTTGTTCTATTTTAGTTTTTAGTTATGGAGAACCAAAGTGTTCTCCATAGTGGTTGTACTAATTTACTTTCCCACCAACAGTGTAAGAGGGTTACTTTTTTTCTGCATCTTTACCAGCATTTGTTATTGCCTATCTTTTGGATATAAGCCATTTTAACCAGGGTGACATGATATCTCATTGTAGTTGTGATTTGCATTTCTCTGATGGTTGATGATGTTGGGCACTTTTTCATATACCTGTTTGCTATTCGTATGTCTTCTTTTGAGAAATGTCTATTCAAATCTTTTGCTCATTTTTTATGTTTCATTGATTGATCAATTAACTGATTGATTGATTTTGAGACAGGCTCTCACTCTGATGCCCAGGCACAATCTTGGCTCACTGCAGCCTCTACCTCCTGGGCTCAAGTGATCTTCTCACCTCAGCTTCCTGAGTAGCTGGGACTACAAGTGCACACCACCATGCCTAGCTAATTTTTTGTAGAGACGGGGTTTCACTATGTCGCCCAGGCTGATTGCCCATTTTTAAATTGGATTATTAGATTTTTTTCCTATGGAGTTGTTTGAACTTCTTATATATGCTGGTTATTAATCCCTTGTCATATGGGTAGTTTGCAAATATTTTATCCCATACTGTGGGTTGTCTCTTCACTTTATTAATTGTTTCTTTTCCTGTGTAGAAGCTTTTTTAACTTGTGATCCATTTGTCCATTTTTGTTATGGTTGCCTGTACTTACGGGATATTACTCAAGAAATTTTTGCCCAGAGCAGTGTCCTATAAAGTTTCCCCAGTGTTTTCTGTAGTTTCATAGTTTGAGGTATTAGATTTAAGTTTTCATCCATTTTGATTTGACTTTTGTATATAATAACAGATTGGGGTCTGCTTTCATTCTTCTGCATATGGATATTTAGTTTTCCTGGCCCCATTTATTGAAAAGACTGTCTTTTCCCCAGTGTATGTTCTTGGCACCTTAGTCAAAAATGAGTTCACTGTAGGCGTGTGGATTTGTTTCTGGGTTATTTATTCTGTTCCATTGGTCTATGTGTCTGTTTTTATACCAGTAACATGCTGTTTAGGTTACTATAGCTCTGTAGTATAATTTGAAGTCAGGTAGTATGATTCCTCCTGTTTTGTTCATTTTACTTAGGATAGCTTTGGCTATTCTGGGTCTTCTATGGTTCCATATAGATTTTAGGATTGTTTCTTCTGTTTCTGTGAAGAATGCCATTGATATTTTGATAGGGATTGCATTGAATCTGTAGATTGCTTTGGGTAGTATGGACATTTGAACAATATCGATTCTTCTATGAACACGGAATATTTTTCCTCTTTTTGTGTGTCCTCTTTGATTTCTTTCAGTAGTGTGTTATAGTTTTCATTATACAGATCTTTTACTTCTTTGGTTCTGTTAAATCCTAGGTATTTACTTTGATTTTTGGCTATTTTAAGTGGGATTACTTTTCTGTTCCTTTTTCTGATTATTCGCTGTTGATATATAGAAATGTGACTGATTTTTTGTAGTTTATTTTGTGTCCTACAACTTAACTGAATTTGTTTATCCGTTCTACTAGGTTTTTTTTTTTGTGTGTGTGTGGCGTCTTTAGGTTTTTAATATAAGGTTATATCATCCACAAACAAGGATAATTTGACTTCTTCCTTTCCAATTTGGATGCCCTTTATTTCTTTCTCTTCTCTGATTGCTCTAGCTAAAACTTCCTAGCTATGTTGCATAATGATGGTGAAAGTGGGCATCCTTGTCATGTTTCATATCTTACAGGAAAGACTTTCAGTTTTTCCCCATTCAGTATGATACTAGTTGTGGGTCTATTATATATATGTTGAGGTATGTTCCTTCTATCCCTGCTTTTTTGAGGTCTTTTATTGTGAAGAGATGTTGAATTCTATCAAATGCTTTTTCATCATCAGTTGAGATGATAATAAGGTATTTGTCCTTCATTCTGTTGATATGATGTGTCACATTGATTGATTTATGTATGTTCAACCATCCTTGCATCCCGGGAATAAATCCCACCTGGTCATGATGAATGATCTTTTTAATGTATTATTGAATTTGGCTTGCTAATATTTTGTTGAGGATTTTTGCATCAATATTCATCAGAGATGCTGGCCTCTGGTTTTCTTTTTTGATGTGTCTTTATCTGGTTTTGGTATCAGAGTAATACTGACCTCATAGAATGTGTTTGGATGTATTCTCTTCTTCTCTGTTTTTTGGAATAGTTTGAGTAGGATTGGTATTAGTTCTTCTTTAAGTGCCTGGTAGAATTCAGCAGTGAAGTCATTAAGTCCCAGGATTTTCTTCACCGGGAGACTTTTTTATTATAGCTTCGATCTCATTACTTGTTATTGGTCTGTTCAGGTTTTGGATTTCTTCCTTGTTCAATTTTGGTTGGTTGTATATGCCTAGGAATTTGTCCATTTCTTCCAGATTTTCCAATTTATTGGCATACAGTTGCTCATAGTAGCCACTCATAGTAGATATTTTGAATTTCTGTGGTACAGTTCTAATGTCTCCTTTTTCATCTCTGATTTTATTTATTTGGGTCTTCTCTCTTTTTCTTTTAGTTGCTCTGGCTACTAAGTCAGTTTTGTTCAACTTTTCAAAAAATCAACTTTTTGTTTCATTGATCTTTTGTATTGTTTTCTACATTTCAGTTTCATTTATTTCTGCTCTGATCTTTATTTTTTCTTCTACTAATTTTGGCTTGGCTTACTCTTGCTTGTCTAGTACTTTAAGATGCAACATTAGGCTGTTTATTCGACATTTTTCTACTTTTTCGTTGTAGGTGCTTATGCCTATAGACTTCCCTCTTAGTATTGCTTTTGCTGTATCCCATAGGTTTTGTTATGTTGGAATATGTTTCCATTATTATTTGTTTCAAGAAATCTTTCAACTTCCTTCTTAATTTTGTCATTGACCCACTGGTCATTCAGGAGCATACTGTTTAATTTCCATGTATTTGTATAGTTTCCAAAATTCCTCTTGTTATTGATTTCTGTTTCTTTGTGTTCAGAAAAGATGCTTGGCATTATTTCAGTTTTTTTGAATGTTTTCAGATATGTTTTGCGACCTATCACATGGTGTATCCTTAAGAATGATTCATGTGCTGAGGACAAGAATGGGATTAAATATCTATTAGATCCATTTGATTATAGTGCAGATTAAGTATGATGTTTCTTTGTCTTTGATTTTCTGTCTGGAAGATCTGTCCAATGCTGAAAGTGGTGTGTAGAAATCTTTAGCTATTGTTGTATTGAGGTGTATCTCTCTCTTTAGCTCTAATAATATTTGCATTATAGGTTGGGCACGGTGGCTCATGCCTGTAATCCCAGCACTTTGGGAGGCTGAGTCAGGCAGATCACCTCAGGTCAGGAGTTCCAGACCAGCCTGGCCAACATGGCAAACCTTGTCTCTACCAAAAATACAAAAATTAGCCAGGTGTGGTGGCATGTGCCTGTAATCCCAGCTACCTGGGAGGGTGAGGCAGGAGAATTGCTTGAACCTGGGAGGCAGAGGTTGCCACGAGCTGAGATTGAGCCACTGCACTCCAGCCTGGGCAACAGAGTAAGACTCTGTCTCAAAAACAAAAACTTTGCATTATATATCTGGGTGCTCCCATGTTGGTTACCTATATATTTAAAATTTTTATATCCTCTTGCTGAATTGACCCCTTTATCATTATATAATAACCTTCTTTGTCTCTTATAGTATTTGTCCTGAAATCTGTGTTGTCTGATATAAGCATAGTGACTCCTGCTCTTTTTTGATTTCCATTTACATAGAATATCTTTTTCTATCCTTTATTTTCAGTCTATGTGTGTCTTTATGGGTGAAGCATGTTTCTAGTAGGCAGCTGATCAATGGGTTTTGTTTTTACCTCCATTCTGCCCATTTGTGTCTTTTGATTGGAGAGTTTAGTCCATTTACATTCAGTGTTATTGATAAGTAAGGACTTACCCCTGCCATTTTGTTGTTTTCTGGTTGTCTTGTGGTCATCTCTTTCTTCTTTCCTTTCTTCCTGTCTTCCTTTTAGTGAAAGTGATTTTCTCTGGGGATATGATTTAGTTTCTTGCTTTTTATTTTTGGTGTATCTGCTGTATATTTTTTGATTTGAGGTTACCATGAGGCTTGCAAATACTATCATTATTTTAAGCTGATAACAATTTAATGCTGTTTGCATAAGCAAACAGATAAACAAGCAAAAAGACAACTAATAAAAACTCTACACCTTAACTTGATTCCCCCACTTTTTCACTTTTTATTGTTTCTATTTATATCTTATTGTACTGTCTGTGTCCTGGAAAGTTGTTGTAGTTACGGTTTTTGACGGGTTCATCATTTAGTTTTTCTACTTAAGATTAAGAGTAGTTTACACACCACAGTTACAATATAATAATATTCTGTGCAGTTACTATTACCAGTGAGTTTTGCACCTTCAGATGATTACTTATTGCTCATTAACATCCTTTTCTTTCTGATTGAAGTACTCCCTTTAGCATTTCTTTCAGGACTGGCCTGGTGTTGCTAAAATCTCTCAGCTTTTGTTTGTCTGGGAAAGTGGTTATTTCTTATTCATGTATGAAGGTATTTTCACCAATGTACTACTCTTAGGGTAATAGTTTTTTTCGTTCAGCACTCTAAATATGGAATGCCACTCTCCCCTGGCCTGTAAGGTTTCCGCTGATGAAAAGTCTGCTGACAGGCATATTGGAGCTCCATTGTATTTTATATGTTTCTTTTCTGTTGCTGCTTTTAGGATTCTTTCTTTATCATTGACCTTTGGAAGTTTGGATTAAATCTCTTAGTCTTCTTTGGGTTAAATCTGCTTGGTGTTCTATAACCTTCTTGTACCTGGATATTGATGTCTTTCTCTAGGTTTGGGAAGTTCTCTGTTATTATCCCTTTGAGTAAACTTTCTACTTCTATCTCTTTCTCTACATCCTCTTTAAGGCCAGTAATTCTTAGATTTGCCCCTTTGAGGCTATTTTCTAGATCTTGTAGGTGTGCTTCATTGTTTTTTATTCTTTTTCTTTTGTCTCTTGTTACTATGTATTTTCAAATAGTCTGTCTTTAAGCTCACTAATTCTTTCTTCTGTTTGATCAGTTCTGCTATTAAAAAGACTCTGATGCATTCTTCAGTATGTCAATTGCATTTTTCAGCTCCAGAATTCCTGCTTGATTCTTTTTAATGATTTCAATCTCTTTTTTAAATTTATCTGATAAAATTCTGAATTCCTTCCCTGTGTTATCATGAATTTCTTTGAGTTTCCTCAGCACATCTATTTTGAATTTTGTCTGAAAAGTCACATATCTCTGTTTCTCCAGGATTGGTCCCTGGTGCTTTATTTAGTTTATTTGATGAGGTCATGTTTTCCTGGATGGTCTTGATACTTGTAGATGTTTGTCTGTGTCTGGGCATTGAAGAGTGAGGTATTTATTGTAGTCTTCTCAGTCTGGGCTTGCTTCTACCCATCCTTCTTGGAAGGCTTTCCAGAGATATGAAAGGACTTGGGTGTTGTGATCTATGCTGTATCTGCTTTAGGGGGCATCCCAAGCCCAGTAACACTGTGGTTCTTGCAGACTCATAGTGGTACCACTTTGATAGTCTTGGGATGAGATCAGAAAGAATTCTCTGGGTTACCAGGCAGAGTCTTTTGTTCTCTTCTCTTACTTTCTCTCAAACAGACAGAGTCTCTCTCTCTGGTCTGAGTCACCTGGAGCTGAGGATGGAGTGACACAAGCACCCCTGTGGCCACCACCGCTAGGACTGTGGTGGGTCAGACCTGAAGCCAGCACAGTACTTGGTTCATCCACAGCCTGCTGTAACCACTCCCTGGCTACTGCCTATGTTTGCTCAAGGACATTGGGCTCCACAATCAGCAGGTGGCAAATCCAGCCAGGCTTGTGTTATTTCATTCAGGGCAGTGAGTTCCCCCAGGCCCTGGGCATGTCCAGAGATGCCATCTGGGAGCCAGGGACTAGAGTCAAAAGCCTTAGAAGTCTACCTGGTGTTCTAGTCCATTGCAGCTGAGCTGGCATTCAAGCCACAAAAATGCAGTCCTTCTCACTCTTCCCTCCCCTTTCCAAAGGCAGAGGAGCCTCACCCTGTGGGCTCTGACACTGCCACCACAGTCTTTCAGGGAGTACTGCCAGAACACCCCGTCAGTGTTCCCTCAAAGTCTCTTTAGTCAGCTTGTGGCAAATGTTGCTTGGCCTGGGACTTACCTTTGAGGGCAGTGGGCTCCCCTCTGACCCAGGGCAGGTCCAGAAATGCCATCCAAGAGCCAAGTCCTAGAATCGGGGGCCCCAAGAGCCCACTTGATGCTCTCTGTGGCTGAGCTGGTACCTGAGGTGCATGATAGAGTCCTCTTTACTTTTTCCTCCACTTTTCTTGGGCAGAAGAAGTCTGTCCCTGTAGCCACCACAGCTGGTATTGTGCTGAATCTCACCTGAAGCCAGGAAGTCTCAGAGTCGCATCTAAGGCCCATGACATGCTTACCTAGGTATTGCTGCTGATTATTAAGGGCCCAAAAGGTCTTCAGTTAGCAGATGATGAATCCTCCCAGGACTAGGTCCTTCCCTTCAAGACAACACGTTTTCTTCTGGCCCAGTGTGACTAGAAATGTCATCCAGGGGCTAGGGCCTAGAAACGGGGCCTCACAACTCTGACCAGTGCCTTATCCTGCTGTGGCTGAGCTGGTATCCAAAATGCAAGACAAAGTTCTTTCCACTCTTCTCTCTCTTCTTCTCAAGCAGAAGGAAGAGGTTTCTTTTGGAGCTGTAAGCTGTGCAACCTGGGGTTAGGGGAGGGGTGATGCCAGCACTCCCTTAGCCACCTTGGCTGGTGTCTCGGTAGGTCACATGCCCTCTAGATCACTGGTTCTGGACCCAGTTCAGCACTAGGACTCACCTAGGAGTTGCAGTCCCTGTGGCCTAGACTGCCTTTCATGTTTATTTAAGGTCCATAGCACTTTAGCCTACAGTGGCGAGGCTTGTGGAAAATCAAGTTCCAACCACTGGGATTGGCAGCTTTTCTCTGGCTAGGGCTGGTTTAATGCTCTCCCTCCGTGGGCAGGCATTAGCTGAGTTTGGTCCAGTTTTGCTTCCTGCTATGTAGCAAGGGCAGCACTGAGTTCAATGCCTCGCAGTTGCTGTACTCCCCTCTCCCCAGTACATAGAATTACCCTCTGCATAGAATGCCAGTGCTGCTGTGGGATGGTGGAGGGGTGGTGTTGCTCATTCAAGATTGGTTTTCCTATGTTTTTAGTACCTCTTTTAGTGATATGAAGTTAAGACCAGGTACTGTGAGTGCTTACCTGATTTTTGGTTCTTATGAAGGTAGTTTTTTGTGTAGATAGTTATTAAATTGGTGTCCTTATGGGGAAATGATCAGTGGAGCCTTCTATTCTGCCATCTTGCTGTGCTCCCTCTTCATTTTCTTCTTCAGTGACTGAATCTCAATGTGCCTCAGTTTCCTCACCTGTCTTGTATGTGGTAGTAATAATACATAGTTGTTGCAAGTTTAAATGAGAGTATAGTTAGCTCAGCCCCTTCCTGATTTATTAATAATACATGTGGAGCTCATAGAAGAGTGTTTGGCATACAGTGCTTAAGAAATGATGATTGTTGTTATTATTTTCAGTTTCAATGCCTCCTCTTGCAGTGCTAGTCATCCATAATATAGGCTTAACAATATTGTGGAATGGGTGAATGTTTCCCCTCCAATACTCTTTTCAATTTTTCATTGTTTTCCTTACATGCATATTATCATAAAAATTTAGTTTCCCCTCATTTAATTCTGAAACAAACAAAAAAACTACCTATGGATTTAAATAGGTTTTACTGTCTGATATAAGGAAACAGATCAGCCCTTTGAGATAAATTTTTTTCTTGGTACTAAATTTCAAAATGAATTTATTGTAAGATTATTTATGGGGCAGGAGGCTAGTAGAGCGAAGACAGCTCATTTTTCTAAAACCTACTTAACATGTTGAGATTAGAAAGAAATTTTTCCATTGAATACAGGAACTGTATCAAATTACATTGACAGTCCAGGGGGATTAGGTCAGCTGGGAGGTAGATAAGACAGAGCTTTGTGTGTTCCCCTATATTTAGAGATTCCACTGGGATACTAAAGAGGAAGATCAGTGGTGTGTGCAAATGAGCAGGTATAATCCAGAAATTGCCATCTGAAATAACCTTTTACATCATAGGTTTATTTTTGTCTTTAGGGAGCAATGTTGTCAGTAATTTACTATAATTGCAATAACCAGATCATTAAACCATGTCTGTAGAGAGCATGGAAAAATACATCTACTCTTTAAGTGACAATGTATCAAAGAATATACTAAGACTATTTTAATCAAATAGTATTACTATTGTTATTTTTCTATATATTTTTTTCAGTTTTTGAGACAGAGTCTTGCTCTGTCACCCAGGCTGGAGTACAATGGCATGATCTTGGCTACTGCAACCTCCACCTCCCTGAGTTCAAGCCATTCTCATGCCTCAGCCTCCCAAGTACCTGGGACTACAGGCACATGCCACCATGCCTGGCTTTTCTTTTTTTTTTTTTTGTATTTTTAGTAGAAACAGGGTTTCACCATGTTGGCAGGCTGGTCTTGAACTCTTGACCTCAGGTGATCAAGTTCCAACCACTCAGCCTCCCAAAGTGCTGGGTTTATATGTGCGTGAGCCACCATGCCTGGCCTATTACTATTTTTAATACAGTTTCCTATAGATGAAGTGGGCATTTAAGTTACACACACACACACACACACACACACACACACACAGACACTTTAGCATCCCTTCAGAAAATGAGAGCCTACCAAGACATACTTAGTTGTTTTGTAGAGTTAGGTGAGCATGGTAATGATGGGGGCTGGTATACTGATTTTATTTAGATTTTTCAGATGATTCTTCAACAAAAGCTATTAAAACATGAGTCATCTTGGGATCAAAAGAAAGTTTTGTCATAGGTTAAAAAACTGGTCTTAAACAGGGAGATAGCATAGTGAGCAAATGGGCATTTTCCTCAGTGGAAATCAGTTAGTATGGTATTAAAAGGTCCTAGGGGCCGGGCGCCATGGCTCACGCCTGTAATCCCAGCACTTTGGGAGGCCGAGGCGGGCAGATCACTTGAGGTCAGGAGTTCGAGACCAGCCTGGCCAACATGGTGAAACCCCATCTCTACTAAAAATACAAAAATTAGCCAGGTGTGGTGGCACGTGCCTGTATTCCCAGCTACTCCAGAGGCTGAGGCAGGAGAATCGCTTGAACCCGGTAGGCGGAGGTTGCAGTGAGCCAATATCAGGCCACTGCACTGCAGCCTGAGCAACAGAGCAAGACTCCGTCTCAAAAAAAAAAAAAAGTAAAAATAAAAGGTCCTAGGATTTAATATATTTTTATAAATGATGTGTTAAAGTGACTTCATAATGTAATGTCCGGTTTTTTTTTTTTGACAACTCCAAGTTGCAAAAGATAAAATTGACAGAAATGAATTTCAGGGAGATAGAAATACCTGCATGAACAGACAAAAGAGTTGTGGGTAATAGTTAATACAAAGGAATTAGTAAGAAAACAGAATCAGATTGTTTACAACGTGGCCAATGTGATTTAGGAAAGGGCTGAGAGTCCCTGTAGCCCATTGTTAGTAAGAGGCTTCAGCCTATATAGTTCTTGTTACCATCAGTAAAAGTGTTGAAACATACTGCCCTACTCATACCAAACATTGATTCAGGAGGTAGTATAAATACCAAAAAAAAAAAAAAAAATTTAAGCAAAGCAGATACATTTTGGGATGATAAATCTATAATGAGTTATGAAAGGAAACAAGGCTTGCTTTAGGAGAAACGTTTTAAGCCTGAGACAATGGAGAAAACATCTGGTCAACTGAGCAGATGTGGAATTCCTTTCCTCACACTGCAAACACATAGAATATTGGATAAAATGTAGCATTTTTCCGGCTGGGCGTGGTGGTTCCATATTTGCTCTTCTTTCTCCATGTGAAAACCCTGAACTGAGAAAATAACTCAGAAGCTGGTCCCAATTCATTGAATGCTGTAGGGGTCTGGCAGGGGCAACTTTGAAAGCAATCCTGTTGGGTTTTTTTTTGTTTTCTGACAAAATACCATGGACCTCTCATGATGATAAACTCATCAGCAGAAATTGCAAAGTACTTAACTATACACACTCCTTGAAGTCAACCAGTAGAAGCAACAAAATAAACTGAAAAACCAAACAGAGAAATCTTAAAGGAACTTTAAAAATCAATGTCTAAACTATTAAAAGATAAAAAAGGATTTCCCAAGAGAGAGAAAAAAAGGAGAATTTGAAATAAAACAAAATAGAGATGCTAGAAAAAAAAATCATTGAAATGGAAAAAGTTCCATTCCTGCTACTAATTATTGGAATACTGGAAAATTTTCTTCATCATTCTGTGTCTTGGTTTCCCTATCTGTAAAATAAAGTAAAAATGCCTTCCACATAATGTTGTATTGAAAGCATTAAATTGGTAGTTCAAAAAATATTAGTCTCCAATCCATCTCCCCATCACTATACAGGTATAGTAGCCAGATATTCTGTCTCAATTTTAAACACTATGTTCTATCTTGTCATCAAACCATAGAACCAGGTTTGGAGTTCATAAGAATATAGTAAACATGGATATGAGGTTCTGAAGAAAGCAGGGGAAGGGGAGGGAAGATGTGCCCCAAGCTGCCTGTATTTCTGAAGCATATGGTTTAGTTACTGCTTTGCCTTGGAAGGCCCAGGGCAGGGGGGTGCACAGGACCCAGTGTAGAATTGGGCCACGGCCTTCCCAGCCACCTTGGTTCGATCCTGGCTTATTTGCCATGTAAGTGTATGGGAAATTTCCCTGTGGAGTTGGGCAGAAAAGGCCTTACCTGGTTGTCAGGTGCAAGGCCATGGCTGAAATCTGAAGCCCCATGAACTTAAGTGATCTAAGAGGATGCAGAAACACCCAGCTTAGTCTCCTCTGATTGCAGCACTGGAAGACCACGCATAGCAGTTTGGGAGTGTATCAACCCCCACAGTCCTTTATAAGTCCATTGTAAGTCCTGGTTTCTGCTTAACAACAGGACACTTGGTCTCTTACACATGCCATGCACGTTCTCTCTCATTTACTTCTCTCTCATTTGCTTCCCTTTTTTATCCTCCCCTGTTCTCCTTCTGCCTCTTTCTATTGCTTCCTCCCCTTCCTCATCCAAGTCCCTCTTCTCTGCTCATTTTTTTAGGCCTTCCATCAACCCCTGTAGGCACGTTTCACCCTTGGGTGGCTCTTGGGCTAGAGACACTCCAGCATGCTCCCCCTATGCTCTGCCACAGGGTTATCAATTCAAAAACAATCTTTAGATTCCCCTAGAAGGAATGAAGGCACTGCACCAGGTTAAGTGCATACAAAATGCTCCAGTAACCATGGAGAAATGTGCATCTTAAAATCCCGACCTTACACCCAAGTCTCCATAGATCTTGGCTCTGCTATATCCTGATCTTATGATTCAAAAATGAGGCTGATGTTTCCTTGGGATGTATCTTTCAGATATAAGAGAGCAGAGACAGCAGCTTAACCAAATGAATGAGCTTCTTTATTATTATTATTATTATTATACTTTAAGTTTTAGGGTACATGTGCACAACGTGCAGGTTTGTTACATATGTATACATGTGCCATGTTGGTGTGCTGCACCCATTAACTCATCATTTAGCATTAGGTATATCTCCTAATGCTATCCCTCCCCCCTCCCCCAACCCCACAACCATCCCCGGTGCGTGATGTTCCCCTTCCTGTGTCCATGTGTTCTCATTGTTCAATTCCCACCTATGAGTGAGAACATGTGGTATTTGGTTTTTTGTCCTTGTGATAGTTTGCTGAGAATGATGGTTTCCAGCTTCATCCGTGTCCCTACAAAGGACATGAACTCATCATTTTTTGTGGCTGCATAGTATTCCATGGTGTATATGTGCCACAGTTTCTTAATCCAGTCTATCACTGTTGGACATTTGGGTTGGTTCCAAGTCTTTGCTATTGTGAATAGTGCCACAGTAAACATACGTGTGCATGTGTCTTTATAGCAGCATGATTTATAATCCTTTGGGTATATACCTAGTAATGGGATGGCTGGGTCAAATGGTATTTCTAGTTCTAGATCCCTGAGGAATCTCCACACCAACTTCCTCTATCCTACAAGGGATGTGGTAGCAGGTGAAGAGTACCCAGGATCATTGCTCCTTCTAAGAATGGGGGAAGGCATGGAGTGAATGAGTAGGGTCAACCGATAGATTACTCCATTAGACTTCAGCAAATATTCTTGCCTTTATACCAAGTTGCTCATCCATTGCCCTCAATACCCCTATGCATACCTACAAGAGAGTGTCTTCATTTGCCATTGCAGAGCCAGAGAGATGTGCAGTTGGACTGCCCTCAGACTAGAGGTGCAACACAATTCCTATGGCCTTGACTCCCTGGGTGGTTATTTTATATGTTTAGTGAGTAGCACCGATTTTAGGGAATCAGTTAACAAGAATTTACTCATTTTAATTAGGTTTGTATTTTTTTATTTCCTTTTGAAAGTAACACATATTATGGGTTGATGTGGGTAGGGAGGTACAAGGAGAGAAACAAGAAGATAGAGGAAAAAATATGACTTGCATCCCCAGGAATCAAACAACCATGTTGACATGTCATATGCTTATTTCAAAAGTTTTCCTTACATACTCGAAGGCTTTTAAAAAAGTGATTATTTAATTTTATATCCTGCCCTTTCTTTTCAACATTATAGCATATATTTTCTTATCATTACGAACCCCTTTATAATTCCAAGTGCTTTTTAATGATTTTGTTTTTGAGATGGGGGTGTCACTGTGTTACTCAGGTCGGAGTGCAGTTGCACAGTCTCTGCTCACTGCATCCTCTACTTCCCAGGCTCAAGCGATTCTGCCACCTTAGCCTCCTGAGTAGCTGGGACCACAGGTGTGTACCACCATGCCCAGCTAATTTTTTGAATTTTTTTTTTATAGAAATGGGGTTTCGCCATGTTGCCCAGGCTGGTCTCAAATGCCTGAGTTTAGGTGATCCACCTGCCTCGGCCTCTCAAAGTGCTGGGATTACAGGCATGAACCACCATGCCTGGCCATAATGGTTTTTAATGAGTTATTTCTTTGATAGATATAACATAACATTATTTACGAAACCTTTCCCTGTTTTTTAAAATGTGGGATGGTTCCACTTGCTGCTATTATAAATACTGCCGCCCCAGGGCATAAAGATCAACAAGAATGCCTTGAGATTCTAGTATGTGTCAGGCCTTGGGCTGGGTTCTGGGGGAATATACATGGTTTCTGGTGTCAAGAATTTACAAGTTAGTTTGGGGGATAATGACATAATCCTAAATTAATCCTAAGCACTTTCCTTTTGTCCTTTCAGATAAGATGAAAATAATCATAAATAATATTGAATTTTTTTATAAAGAAAGCAGAACCAAGAAAGGATGTATATATTGATGGCAATTGATATATAGCACATGTCTAGATTGACCAAGACACAAAATGAATTGTTAGTCATAGCAAATATTGGGGAGATTAAGTTCAAACAGCAACTGGTCTAATTTGAATTTTAGTTTTGCCTGATAAATACCTAATAACTGACACCAGACTGTACATTTTCCCCCATGTAATTTAAATGCGCTGATTAGAGTTGGTTATTTTTCATAAATCCGAAAATGTGTAAACATTCATTAGGAACATGTGCATTAAATTGCAACCAACATTGGTGGCTGATTAACTGAGTTGCAGTTCTGGCTTTATGGGCCTGTTGAGATCTACTCTCCCCTTGTTTTCTTTTTTAGAATTACTTTGAAGCTCATGCAAAAGTATTCCAAAAAAGAATTATGAAGTTCATGAAACTACAACAGATTTTTTTTTTTTTGAGACAGAGTCTTGCTCTGTTGCCCCGGCTGGAGTAAAATGGTGCAATCTCAGCTCACTGCAACCTCTGCCTCCCCGGTTCAAGTGATTCTCCTGCCTCAGCCTCCCATGTAGCTGGGATTACAGGCACCCATCACCACATCTAGCTAATTTTTGTATTTTTAGTAGAGATAGGATTTCAGCATGTTGGCCAGGCTGGTCTTGAACTCCTGACCTCAGATGATCCACCCGCCTCAGCCTCCCAAAGTGCTAGGATTATAGGCGTGAGCCACCGCACCTGGCCCCAGACTACAACAGATTTTAAAAAGAACATCACGATGGTGGGTGTGAGTGTGAGTGAAGGGGTGTTACTGTAGAGCAGGGTGGGATAAACACAGGTAATAGACTAGGAAACAGCCTATCTGAAAGATGCTTTGAAACACCAGGATTTTGGTATATCAGAATGAAGTGTCCATGTGCCAGAGAACCAAGTCCTTCCAAACTCAAGCGTTTGAAGTAATAGACCAGTGGGGACTTCTCCAGAGTCTGGGCAGGATGATTCTAGTGCTGCCTCTGTGCTGTAAGCAGGGATGCATCTCACCACTTGTTTTCTTCTTGCAGATCGATGACCCCAACAGCAACCTTGAGGAGGCGATTAATGAGGCAGAGGCCATCACCTCTGTGAACAGCCTGGGAAGCAAGCAAGCCTTGAATACAGATTACCTTGATTCTGATTACCAAAGAGGACAGCTTTACCCATTCTCCCTTAGCAGTGATGTCCAGGTGGCCACATTTACTCTCACAAATTCAGCCCCAATGACTCAGTCCTTCCAGGAACGGTGGTATGTGAATCTCCACAGCCTAATGGACCGGGCTTTGACCCCACAGTGTGGCAGTGGGGAAGACCTATATATCCTCACAGGCACAGTGCCCTCAGACTACAGAGTTAAAGACAAAGTGGCAGTCCCTGAGTTTGTTTGGCTGGCAGCCTGTTGTGCTGTCCCTGGAGGAGGCTGGGCCATGGGCTTTGTCAAGCACACCCGGGACAGTGACATCATAGAAGATGTGATGGTAAAAGATCTTCAGAAACTGCTTCCATTTAACCCTCAGCTGTTTCAGAACAACTGTGGTGAAACTGAGCAAGACACAGAGAAAATGAAAAAAATCCTGGAAGTGGTTAACCAAATCCAGGATGAAGAACGAATGGTACAATCTCAAAAGAGTTCTAGTCCCCTTTCTAGCACCAGGAGCAAGAGGTCTACTCTGTTGCCTCCAGAGGCATCTGAGGGAAGTAGTAGCTTTTTGGGAAAACTCATGGGCTTCATTGCTACCCCATTCATCAAGCTTTTTCAATTAATTTATTACCTTGTGGTAGCAATCCTGAAGAACATTGTCTATTTCCTGTGGTGTGTTACCAAGCAGGTGATTAATGGCATAGAAAGTTGCCTTTACCGCCTGGGCTCAGCCACCATCTCATACTTCATGGCCATTGGGGAAGAGTTGGTGAGCATTCCCTGGAAGGTGCTCAAGGTCGTGGCCAAAGTCATCAGGGCTCTCCTCCGGATCCTTTGTTGTCTGCTGAAGGCCATTTGCCGAGTTCTGAGCATCCCTGTCCGTGTCCTTGTGGATGTGGCCACTTTCCCTGTGTACACCATGGGCGCTATTCCAATTGTTTGCAAGGACATTGCACTGGGCCTTGGTGGCACTGTCTCACTGCTCTTTGACACTGCTTTTGGTACCCTGGGTGGCCTATTTCAGGTGGTTTTTAGTGTCTGCAAGCGGATTGGCTACAAGGTTACTTTTGACAATTCTGGGGAGTTATAAACTCAAAAAACTAATAGTATCCAGTCACAGTGAATTTGAAAGCTGGAATAGTTTGTCTTTACAATGGGTTTCTGTTCACTGTCAGTTATCATTATATTTTGGCCTTTGGTGGGGATGTCTGCTTGTTTTTGCAAAAGAAGATGGCAGAATTTAGACTTGACAGAGGAGAAATGCTCAGGGTGAGATTAGGTGTAGTAATCTGCTGTTTACCTCCAGTTATATGTGCAAACTCCCAAGCCACTAATAACTTCAGTTATGCACTCTAACACAGACGACCACCTGAAATGCACTGGTATTTATTTCTGATAATTAAAAATTACAGGGGAGGGAAGAACTAGAAAAAGAACAACTTTAGACCAAAGGTGTCTGAGAAAAGGAGAAAGGGAGCTTGTTCTTCCCATTGCTCTTTGTGATTTAAGGCAAAACAGATTAAAAAAAAAATCTGCAGCCAATTTCTTGGCATTTGCTTCTCTTTCTCCTCAACTCGACTGACCTTGGTGGAATGCAGATAATGCCTCTTTGTTGAAATAACTTTGTGGGAATGTACAATTTTCTATATCTCTTAGCTTTCCGTGGTTCTCAAGGATATGTACAGTTTTCATTTTCCTCCAAAGTTGAATTTTGCTACATTTTTCTTTTAGGTAATGATAAGCATTTTTTAAAAAATCATTTTTAGGTAATGGTAAGCATTTTATGCCAAATGTGGCATAACAGAGTTTGAATTGAAGGGCAAAGTTTTCTTTTCTTTTTTTTTTGGGCCCCTTGAATGGTATAATACAGTCCTCTCCGGTGGAAAGAAGAGAAGAGAAGGTGGACAGCCCTGCTCTTAGTAGGTGCTGCAGATCCAAGGACATCTTTTGTCCAGCTTGGATTAACTTGACGTGTATCCCTGCCTGACAAGGTTGAACTGAAAGATCTATATGTTAAGCTAACATGAAAATTCATATTCTGCAACATAGTAGATTTTTCTAATGCATGAAATAAGTACCCAGCACAGTAAAAATACTCTGACTTATGTCCCTAAATGGTTGTTTTGATACAACTATATAGAAAAGAGCCACAAAATAAAGATAAAAGTTATTGTGGCCATCTCTGAAAAAAATATATAAAATATTTAAGAATAATTATATCTTAGGAAATTATTTTTACAGTGTGTTTGAGGCTACAAACATAACTCCCCCATTAATACAAATTAAATGTGAGAGCTCATTCTCAAAATTTTTTTGATCAAGCACTTGTCATTTTAAATCTTGCACTAAAAAATGGTAACAAGAGGGACCAAACTTTGCTTCCCACAATTGGGATGGAATCACCTGGATTTTTCTGAATGTTTTAAAGAATTGCTGAGAGGTAGAAACAGCCAAGTATGAAATACTGATCTTGGGGCTACCGCCCAGGATCAATCAGAAAGTTATATGCAAAAATTCGGGGTCCCAACAAGGAGAGAACAATATGTCAACCATTTGCATGGGGTCGATGGATGAGAAACATGAGCGTAGCAAGAGTTACATTTTGCAGAAAAATAGCGGAGGCACACCCAGAGTAGAACAGCAGCCAGCAAGCTGCCATCCTGATCAATTTGTGATGCAAGGTTAGGGAGTATGAGCACCGCATGGGTCCATGCTAGGGAGATGTGCACCAGGCTTAGCTAAGAAACTTAAAGCAGTATTTTACCAACTCTTGTCTTAGGGAGCATAAAGTTTGGATGTCCCTTTATTTCAGCAGTGTGAAGGTAAATGGAAGGGTGAGGGTTTGACTTGGTACTGATTGGTCAAGAATCCTGCTGGATAAAGAAAAGGAATTTTAGAAGTGACCAGAGGGACAGTCCAGCCAAACTATTATTTGATAAGGAACCCAAGGCCCTGGGAGGCAACAGGCTAGCCCTTAGTTTCATGGCTAGCTGAGAGCAGATTAGGAGCCAACGTTGTTTGCACATGTCCCATCACACCTGAGATGTCAGACATGGGAAGTTCGTGCTATTATTCAGTTGCCTCTCTGGACCATGGCAAGATTTCCTCATTCATCAAACAGACTCCAGGCCCTGACAAAGCAGTTGGATTTGGCATGTGTGATGAAAACAATTAGCCATCCATGTACAACATTATGCTTACTGCATCCCATGGAAACTTAATTCCCTCCTAGCACATATTTGCATACTGAAAGGTCCGAAAAGGGCATCCACGGCAGCTTGAGCCCCTTAGCACCATGTAAGGAGCACAGCATCCAAACGGCTTCTTGAGAACCATTGGGGAATGTCTTTCTTTTTCACATCCAATTGTTTAGTGTCTATTTATTCTTGGGTGGCCAGTTTTGAAACCTAAAAAGGGACAATAAAGCAAAAAGTATCAGTAAGGATAGGTGGCTGAGACCCACTGCCCTGAGCTACTAGTGTGGCTGTGCCTGTGGGTCTCTAGAACCATCTGCATTGGACGTGAAGCCACAGCAGGTGGCTGGACTGCTGGCCTGTTCCTAATGAGCTACGCTGGGCTTTGAGGTAGAGGTTGGGGTTTATGAACCCCAACTCTGGCTTAAAGATCTTGCTGTGGCTCTGTTATGTTCTGAGGCCTTGGGATTAGCCTCTTCCTCATTATGGAGCTGATTTTCTAGTCTGTGGATCAGCTATGCCTTTGGACACTTCTCTTTTCCATTGTGCCTTTTGAATGTTGTCTTCTCACTCAGCATCAGCACTTCGATCTAAATGCAGACTAGGTAGTTGGGAGGAGGAACCAAAGTGAACCATCCTTCATTTATTCAGTCATTCGTTCATCTGTCAAACACGTATTTGGACATCAAGGTTGCAGAGATGAACAATGCATGGATTTCATCTTTGAGGAGTTCAAAACCTAGTGGAGAGAACACATGGTACAATCGTAACACATGAAGGACAAGTAAGTGCTGCAGTAAAGGTACTAATAACATGTTCCTTGGAACAGAGGAAGAAAAACCACGAAACCATGGAAATTAGGGAAGCCTTTACAGAGGGTGTGACAAAACTCAATTTGACATTTTCAAGCTATGTACAATGATGTGCACCTTGCAGATGCTCAATAAAGTAATTACTGACAACTCGTTAGCAGTTCTGTAAAATATCTAAAAGGGGAGAATCCTAATAGTTGAAATGAGGCTTGGGGACTGTGAATTGTTGCCATTTTCTTCTTGATCCGCATTAATTCAAGCAGCTTCCAGTGACTGGCTTTTGTTCATTTCTTTAAAAGTTTGCATCATACATGAAAAAACAGAGAGGTCTGGATCAGTGAAACAGGACTTAGAACTATTTTTTAATGTTATTGCTCTGCAAAGTATTTGGGACAATAAGTGTTTTTGATATCTTGCATAATTAAGCACCAAAGACTTACTGCTTCACTGAATCTGAATCACATAGAAAATTATAGAAATACTTTTATTAGTTTGTTTATTCATTAGGAAGCTCCCACAGTGAGAGAAATTACAAGCAGTCTCTGACGGGGGCTGGTCCTCTCTGTGGCCTTTAGTAGGGTGATCCTCTTGGGTGGAGGTGGCAGTAATTCTTGGCTGCCTTCCCAGTGTGGGCAGCATCTTGCCTAAGCTCACCACAGAATACGTGTTTGTCCAAATGTTACACTACAAGCCATATAGTGTGGACTGCTTGCTTTTCATTAATGGGTTCTCAGTCTTCCCATTGTCTCTCTTTGTAGGTATTTTCCCCCAGGTCATGGATTGATGTCTAACTCCAAATCAATTTTTAAGCTTAAATTTCAACAAAGAAAGTGCTTATAACCACTTGTCATCCTCAATTATCCATTGTGAGGAGGTGGATGTAAGATGACTTCTGGAGGCCAGTACTTCCTAATGATTAAGAGCCCACGCTCTAGAGTCAAAATGATGTAGGCACAAATCCTGGCTTCCCCACTTATTGTGTGATCTTCAGCAAGTTACTCACCTCGGCTTTCTCATCTATACAATTATGAGTACCTATCTCAAAGGGTTGCTATGAGCATTAAATGAGTTAATGAACATAAAGCATTCATCACTTACCATGCTTGGCACATGGTAAGTGCTCAGCAAATGTTAATTGTTGCTAGATCTATTGTGGGCAATGATATTTACACTTCTTGGACAAAATTGGTTTGATGGTGCCTTAGAGGTTAGGATGTTTCTAGATCAACGCTGGAAGAACCAGGATCAAAGTGTGGTCTGGGAGTCAAAGTCATGAATGAAAATGAAGCAAGCCAGAACCTCATCAGTGGTGTCCATGAATCTGAAGGTACAGATGAGGGTTGGACCTGGAGTCTCAAAAGAGAAGGGTCAGAAAACTGAAACTCAACATGTGTCCAGCACTATTCAGTTTTATCTCATAATCAAGCCTCCAAAATCCAAACACATTGTCAGCATCTGCTTTGAAGGTAAGCATTGCAGGTAGGATGAGGCAACCCAAAGATGGCATTGAGAAAGAGGCAGAGCCTCTTGGACACTGTGCCTGGTGAGTGTGGGTTGGTGGGGGAAAGGCAGGTGATCATTCTGATACAGGGCCTTGGGGTTAACTAGTTTTAGTTGTCCTGTGACACTTTTGGGAAAGTCTTCAAACCTTTGTGAGATTTAATTCCTTATCAATAAAATGTGGGTAATAAAAATATCACCCCATAGGGTTTTTTGTAAAGATCAAGTGAAACTAGCTTTGTAAACTATCAACTATCATAAAAATATAAAGATTCATAATTATAAGTTTCCAAGGTTGGTCCTATTTCTTTAAAAATTGGTGCATACTTCCATTTTTTTAAAGGTGAGTAGATGTGAATGAAAATTAAAGTGCTTATTCAGAAAGCATAAATGGCTTAGCCAGAAATTGGGTTTGACAGTAAATGTTGAACATTATGCCTTGGGAACTTAAGATTCTCAGAATGCTGCCTCATCCAGCCTTGAGTCCTACTTTCTTAAAACCCAATCAATCCCGTTTTCAGTAGATTCCTCCACACACCTCATGTCCATTTGCTGTCTGGCTCGGCTGAATCATTGAAATGAGTAATAGGCACTGAAATGAAAGACACCATATGAATCTTGTAAAACCTGAAAAGAAACAAGTGCGAGACAGTGAACAGTCCTGGTGAGTCTGAGAACTGGCAGAAGCTGCCTAGACCGCCCCTGGCAGCCTGCACACTCAAGGCCAGCCCAGGCCTGCCACTGACATCTGTCCCTGAGAACATCAGACAGCAGCTTCTGGGCTTTGTTTAGGCTGCACCAAGTGTGTGTTTCTCCAGCATTCTTGCTGATTTGGCATATCCAGATGTATTCTGTTTACTGCGTCTGGAAGGAAACTTCCAGGGGAATAGAAGTCTCAAGTGAGGAAGTGGCAGGCTTATGTAAAGGGGAGAGTGCACCTGGAACACAGGAGCCCTGAGTTTCCCTCCTCTGAGTTACTGTACATTTTCTGGTTGTAATCACTGGTATATTTGCAAAACAAGAGAGGGACCATCTCTAGGGTCTTCTCAAATTGCAGGCAATAAATCCTTGCTTTTCAACAAGTACTTTCATATATTTGGGTCACAGAGATTCTGATTGCATTCTCTCAACTTATCTCTCCTATCTGAAGGTTACCAAAAGTCAGAGAAATTCCCTGCGATGTTATCAGGAAGGACAGGGAATGATACATCCTGAAAACATCGTTATTTTTATTATTATCATCAGCATTTCTTCTCCCCAGACTTAGAGAATTAATTAGCAGGGTTGCCATTAGGTGGTGGCCAACCTAAGAGTAAGAAATGTTAGTAATGCCCCTGGCTTCTATTTAACTCCCTCAGTAGCCTGAAGGGTTGCCAGAAATCTCACCACTTGGCACGCTTCCTGTAGACTAGGAAAATACAAATAATCTGAAAGAAGTTAACACATTGTGTCAATGCTAGCAACTTAGGGTAAATGATTTTATGAAATCCTTCCTACTAGCTGGGAACAATTCTACATGCAAGTAATTTTTTTTTTGAGACGGAGTCTCGCTCTGTCGCCCAAGCTCCGCCTCCCAGGTTCACGCCATTCTCCTGCCTCAGCCTCCCGAGTAGCTGGGACTACAGGCACCGGCAACCACGCCCGGCTAATTTTTTGTATTTTTAGTAGAGATGGGGTTTCACCGTGTTAGCCAGGATGGTCTTGATCTCCTGACCTCGTGATCCGCCCGCCTCGGCCTCCCACAGTGCTGGGATTACAGGTGTGAGCCACCGTGCCCGACCACAAGTAATTGTTTTGATTGGTAAGAGGTATGGTGGGAATACCATATTGAGAGTCAGGAGGTGCCTGTCTTAGACCAGCATCCTGTGGAACTGGAGCCTTACCCCAAGTGAGCCCTTTATTGTAAGGGCTGGAGACAAAGTGAAAGACCCTGTAAGATCTTAGAAATCAGGCCACAGAATTTTTCTCTAAATGTCTAATATTAGATCAGTCCATAATGGATCAAAGTAGAAATGCACACCTGAAAGAAATAACAAGCGTGTTGGGCCTATTGCACTCATAACCAGTGGTATGCTGGTAAATGTTGAACCACCAGCTTTCTGTGTTTGCGGGGAGAGCACCCTGATTTGTAATGTTTGCCAATTTCTGTGGTGTCAATATTTCCATCACAGCTGATGTCAAGCTGCCAATGTGACATCACTGAAAGCAGCATTGGGAAGAGATGTACACAGCCTGGGCTCCTGAGCTAGTGCAAGTCACTGGGAACTGGCTCCCCCATACCACTAACTTCATCATCCAATTGAGTGCATAAGATACACAGAAGGAACATTTCCAGCAGAAAAGAATTGAACAGCTATAGTATGGCAGAGGGAGGAAAATCACTGAAACAAATACTGACCATGCCCTTTTGAGTACTATTCAGGAGAGAGGAAGGCTTGACAATCTGAACTTTAAATATTTCGAAATCCAAAGACTACATCCCCAGCCCTGTAAAATAAATTCATAAGGTTATTTTAGCTCAGTGCCATTAAACAATAACTTATCTAATGCCTTATTTTCCATCCTTTTCCAGTCAAACAAGCTTCTGCTCATGGCCTGGCTTTCTTTTTTTTTTTTTTTTTTTTATTATACTTTAAGTTCTAGGGTACATGTGCACAATGTGCAGGTTTGATACATAGGTGTACATGTGTCATGTTGGTTTGCTGCACCCATCAACTCATCATTTACATTAGGTATTTCTCCTAATGCTATCCCTCCGCCAGCCCCCACCCCCACAACAGGCCCCAGGGTGTGATGTTCCCCGCCCTGTATCCAAGTGTTCTCATTGTTCAGTTCCCACTTATGAGTGAGAACATGCGATGTTTGGTTTTCTGTCCTTGTGATAGTTTGCTGAGAATGATGGTTTCCAGCTTCATCCATGCCCCTGCAAAGGATGCAAACTCATCCTTTTTTATGGCTGCATAGTATTCCATGGTGTATATGTGCCACATTTTCTTAATCCAGTCTATCATTGTTGGACATTTGGGTTGGTTCCAAGTCTTTGCTATTGTGACTAGTGCTCATGACCTGGCTTTCTATGTTGGTTTGCCTCTATGGTCCAAGTACGCTGAACATACAGATTTCAAACTCTCTTGGCAATGCTATACTAAAGCAACTTGAACAAGTGGTTTTTGATTATGTTTTGGCTTCCTGTGTAGCTTAAGTACATAATGTACATAAGATGATAATGGGAGTGCTCTAGTCTATATATCAGCTCTATTTTTAATGTAAATTAATAAAATTTCATTGTAGTATTGTCCTTAATCTCTTGTGTGTCCTAGCATGAATCCCTTTCTTAGAGTCTTATTGCTTCCAGAAGCTCAGCAGAGCCCACATCTGAGCTTTCAAATCTGGAAAATATTTCAGGTTGTGGTATTCAGACCAGCAGAGAGAATTCTGCACAGCCTTGGTTAGCTTTCCCTGAAATACCACTGCCACATTTCCATCTCCTGTCTCAGACTCACCTCTGAGCTCTGCAACCTCTGTCTGTGAATCAAATGTCACAGGATGTGTTGAAAATCAATAAAAACTCATCCTCTGCCATTGGATGGCAGAATGCATTAGTTAGGATACCTTTGCCTGCATGCAATAGAAACCCCTCTCAAACTAGCCTTGTCCCAAATTTACTGGATCATATAACAAGAATTTAGAAGGGGCCTCTTGAATCAGGGACTCACAAAATGACAGAACTCTATCCACTATCAACAACTCTTTGTTGTCTTCATTCTCACCTAGAGTAAATGATATTTCTTCATACACTGTGAAGCACAGGGAGCTCTGAATATTCACCCTGATGGTCTCATATCTGGAGGAGGAAAGCTCCTGTGTTAGTTCTGGCTGGGAGAATCCCCAGGAAGGTTTCTTTTTCCTAGTTGGGTACATGCAATCCTTGAGTCAATCACTGTGGCTGAGTGAGTGCAATAAGATGATTGACCCAGACTGGATTATGGATCCATATGATGGTGTTGGTAGTTCTCATAGGAAGGACAGAGGAGAGGAAGCAAGATAGACATCCGCAGTAGTCCCTCATAGACTGACTTACAGCTTTATTTAAGACGTATAATGATGCCCTTTCAATTTATTAGGTGGCTTTTAACTTGCAAAGCTCTTTCATGTTTATCAGTGGACTGCATCAGAACCACAGATGTGTTTGGTTTCTCTTAAAAACAGAAGCTATGGCCAGCATTTCCTCAAGGCCATAACAAGCTACAGCTGAGTAGACAGGGCCAGCATCCTACAGTTTGTCATAGTCTCCATGGTGTCTCTATTGCCTCTCTGACCTGATCCACTTTGCTCATTTAACTTACTTACCTGGCTCCTGTAGCCTTTTGGGTTTGCTGATCCCCGATGTGATCTCACGTCATTCACATCTATTCTGTGAACACTGATTATTCCCATTTTATTTTAAACCAAGATTCAGAGATTCAACTGACTTTCCTATGGTCACACAATTAGAAGGTGAGACCCAGAACCTAGATTTTAGAGATGAAGGCTGTTCAGTCCCCTGCACACGGTTGTAAGTTATGCAGAGGTTTCATATCTGCTATGTGAAGGGAGCCCTCTAGGGTTGTGTAGTCAATACTATATGTGGAAGCCCTGAGGCTATTTTCCCTTCCATTTCACCATAGTCATAATACTGTCACAAAGTTAGTTGAAATAATGCACTTCCTTCAAAATTTATTGTAGAACAAGTACTCGTGACTAAGTAAAATGATAAATGATCAGATTGGAACAAATAATTCAGTTAATTATATCACTAAGTCTTACCAGAGACAATAGTAAAACTTGTCTGACTTATGCAAATAATATAGTTAGGTCTGCAGTGGAGAACTCGCTCTGTAATGTCCACAACTATTTTAGGAGTGATTTTACTGTCTTGAAATTTTTCTTGCTATACAAATAACCTTAATCTCCCAGTTTCCGTGTGATTAAAATGAGAGGTTTGCACTCAGTTTTCTAGTGAGACAATGATGCTTAATCCTGATTGCACGTTAGAATTGCCGGGGAGGTTTTATTGATTTTTTTAACTAATGTTAGGGTCCCATCTCTAGTGGTTTTAAAATAAGCTTCAATAAAGAAGATATACAAATAGCAAAAAGTACATGAAAAGATGCTCAACCCCATTAGTCATTACAGAAATTCAACTTAAAATCACAATGAGATCAACTGTACTCACTATATAGTATAAAGTAGACCCATGCAAGGATGGCGAGGATGTGCAGCAACGGAGCTCTCATTTAATATTAGTGGAAATGTAAAGTGGCACAACCACTTTGGAAAGCTGTTTAGAAGTATCTTAAAATGATAAACTTACGTCCACCATATGATTCAGGCTTTCCACTCCTAGGTATTGATCCAAGAGAAAAGACAACATACATCAATACAAAGACATACCATGCAATGTGCATGTTCGGAGCAACTTTATTTGTAACAGTCCACAACCGGGAAAAAAAAAACCAAATGTCCAGCATCAGTTGAATAAACTATGGTATAACCATAAATGAATGCTATTTACCAATAAAAAGGAACTGACATATATAACCACATGGGTAAATCTCAAAAAAATTATGCTGAGTTAAAGAAGCCAGACGAAAGACAACATATGATATGATTCCATTTGTAAAAAATTCTAGAAATGTAAATTAATCTATAGTGACAAAAAGCAGATCTGTTTTCTTGGTGATGGGATGGGGAAGTAGGGGAAAGATTACAAAGGGCATGAGGAAACTTTATGAGATATTGTATATGTTCATTATCTTGATTATAGTGAAGAGTCAGGATGTATATTTATGTCACTGTGCATCAAATTGATTGTTAAATATGTGCAGTTTATTGTATATCAATTATACCTCAATACAACTGTAAACAACAATACTGATGCCTAGCTCTCAGTCACAAAGATTCTGATTTAATTGGTTTAGGTGGGGCCTTGGCATCTGTAAATATTAAAAACATCACCTATGATTCTATTGTACAGCCAGGGTTGGTTCTGTGATTTTAGATCATTATAACTGCCCTGGGCCAGGTAGTTTGGGAGAAACCTCCCGCACTTTTTAACTAGAGCAAAAGGGGATCACCCACACAAGAGCTGCTGCTCATGCATGCAAAGTGCTCCAGTCAATCACCTCAGTGTTCAAGGCTCAGACCTGGCCTCTAGAAGATGGAGCTACTTGGCCTTTCACAGAGCATGAGCCCCCTCCATCCCTGCCATCTATCCATCTACTCCAGCTGGCTTAATGCCCTCTTGAGACTCCATTTTCCCTTCAAAGCTTCCTCTGGTGAGCATGTCAATGATATGTAAACTATATAAAGATGTCAGTGTGTATGTGTAGAAATAGTGTGACTTGCTCCAGGCAGACATCTCCTAATAACACCTGTCGGTATACCTTGGGCAGGATAAGACACTGACATCAGCTGCTTAAAGGCAGCAAACTGCAGATCCCGAATCCTGAAATGTGGAGGAGAAATGCTCCCCACTCTGGTGGTCCCAGTGATGGCAGCAAAACTTGACCAATAGGGGGCTGCCCCTTTTGGTAAATGGTCTTTCTACTCCACCCTGAGACACAGCGAGAAAGATCTTGTTACAAATTCTACTCCACTTCTTAGTAAGTTAAGCTAGTCACTTAAGCTCGTTTTCCCTTTATTTCCTCACTTCTAAAATAGAGATAACATAATCTTCCTTGTTTACCATAACAGGGTTATTGTGGGGATCAAATGAGAAAATGAATGTGATCATGCCCTATAAACACAAAGGCATTATTATGTACCATGATTATCCTAGTGTTTTATAGAAGGGAGCAGTAAAGGCATAGACTCACTTGGTGGGAAACTGGATGAGCCTCCTGGAGTCTGAGTGGGTGTGAGGAATGACATCATTGCAGTCTCCAGAAACTGGACTTGCTGTTTCCATGACTTGAGTAATATCATAATCATGATGATAAGGATATCTACAAAGAATTGTACACTTAGGTCTAGACACTGTAATAAATTGTACATCTATTTTTTTCTGAGCTTACAGAGGAGGGCACTGAGGCTTAGAGAGGTTAACTACCTTGTCCAGAGTCACACAGCCAGTAACTGGACTTGGGTCTTGACATACCAAAGTCCTGCTCCAGAACCCACAGCAATAACCAAATGAGCCTTCTCCTACAAGGGAATGACTCTCAGCTCAGTATTTTAATAAATGACTTAGGTGCTTTTTGCAGGTATTCTCAATCTCAAAGCAGGCAAAGCTCTGCTAGGAGACAGGTGCTTTGTTCTAGAATTTTCTGTGCTATCTGAATATGACAGAGGGTGTTTATGATTGAGTTTTCCATGCAGATGTTTTTCCTTAGCTTCTAAAAACAAACCTAGTGAAATAAGAGTAGGGTTATCAGGTAGGTTGCAGAACCTAGGGTGATCTGCCTTGTAGAGTTTGTGGTTAATATTCATTTGTTGAACCTTCATGCCCACCAGCCTGTATATTAGGCACAAAGAGTAGACCAAAAACATAGTCATGTACCTGCTACTACAGTGCTTGTACCAAATGCCTACATACTGTGGCTGGGGAGGTTAGAAGACTGATAAGCAAATAATATGGTAGACAAAGAACTAATGTCCTTAATATATACATAGAGCTCACAAAAATGCCTAAGAAGAATGCTTTCACCATTGTGTTGTTGTTATATAAAGTCACAGTTTATCTTTTTGAAGAGAATGAGTTTATAGAAAGGCAGATTAGGAATGCAATCTTTCCCATGTGACATCCTTTCTTTATATGTATTTTTATTGTCAGAAAAATAATTTCATGGGCAAAGGGTTTCAAAATATGAGTTCTCATTTTGAGAAGGGAAAATGCGAAGTTGCTACAAAAAAACTTATCTTTAAGAAAGAATTCAGATTTATAAATGCATTCAGCCACTCTGACTAGAGGTGAGGTTGTAGAATGGGGGTGTCTTATCTGTTGCACTCCCTGGCCTGAAATACCATTTCAGTGCTCAACTCCTGGCTTCCCTGAGTAATTCCAGCCCCCATTTGAGAGGTTTGATTTCATAGGACTGTGGAGAGTCTCTTTCAGGAAAACAAAGATCGAGCAATGCTGATCACAAGCTGCTGGAGCTGGATCCCCTCTAAGGGGCATGCCCAGGGAGTCTCATAGCCCTGCCAGTTTGACAGCAAAATGGTACAGACAGGAAACCTGCACTCTCTCTTGCTCAGGCTGATCCTGGTTAATGTCCAATGTTCCTTTGAGAAGGATCAAGGACTCTGGGTCTACTGGCAGCCTGAACTGCCTCCTGCAGCTCTCTTTGCTCCCGTCATCCTCGGTCTGTTTAACCAACTTCCCAGAAACCATCCATTGATCTTCCAGTACGTTGGTCAGTGGAGATGAGATTGAGTCAGATGAGGAACCCATCCTTGAGGAACTCGTGATCAAGTTGTCCCTCTGTTTGATCAGTCTTTCAAGTGTCCTTGCCTTCTAGCTTCTTTTCTTCTACATTCCCAGAGCAATGTGGCCCTGGAGAATGATTCATTTAGTACCAGCTACTGCATTGTGTGGTGAGAAGGGAGAGGATATAGGAAAAATGCTTCTGTAATAGCTGCTATGATGCCATTGGTGTTGTTGGCAGTCACCACCCTCCTTCCTAACTCTACTGGCAGGCTGTGGAGGCAGGCTGTGATGTCCAGCTGCAGATTTCTGATACTGTCAAAAGTGCTCACATCCCACAGCCCCTTGAGCTGTATTATTCCTTGGAGAAGAGTTCCACACAGCTCCACTCAGGGCTCCAACTCCAAGCCGTGGGTTGGACAAAGAAGACAGGGGAGGTGATCTAATCACCAACACACATCTCTCTGCAGTACATTTATAGAAGACTCGTAAAGTTACTCACTTTGAGAAATTAGATGCTGTGTAGATGTTGTCTCCAAATGCTAACATTATGTAAGGACATGACATTGCTTTCTTCACAAGGAAGAGGAAAAGCAATTTTCCTTGCTTGGCTCAGGTTGATCATGTGAGAAGAGCACAGAAAAAATCAACTATTAAATAGTGGGAAACTACGTCCATCACCACTGAGGGAGATGGCGTTTTGAATATAATGAAAATGGAACTGATCAGTGAAGAAGCTCTCGGGCTCTGTCTAGATTGTGTTTTAGCAGGCCTTACCCCTGAAAACTATTTTATTTTTAATCTTCATCACACGAATACCCTTTCCCTTGAGTGAGTAGCATCATCAACTGCTTGGGCATTTCCCCAGATCGAGTCAGGCTTAGCTGGATGGGCATAAACACTGTGGACATGACTAAGCTTAATTCCATTACATGAATTGCTTGCAAAAAATAGACGAATCCCCTTAGGACCTGAATAAGGAGTTTCCCAAAGTTGTGAGGCCCTGAGTGGACCTCTCCCTGCTATGTTTTCCTCAGAGCGCTGATCTGGGACCTGAGAAACAGGGTGCACCTGTTAATGTGGTTTCTCCTCCCTGCCCCACTAAGTCACAGAGCCTGACATGCTGTTGCTCTAGTAGCTACTCTGCCACTCTCAGTCATCACACTTCTGACATGTCACTTGTCACTGGTACTGATGAGTGCTTCAGATTCAGTAGCAAGCATGGCAGGGCCAGTGGCAGGAGGATGGAGGTTGTGGACCATCATGTGCGTGGACCATGGTATGATCTGTCTTCACCACTAAACTGGAAAATGAAGAAGATGATGATGGAAATTTTCCTGTGGATATGAGATGGGTGGGGACACAGACGGAGCCCTTTTGGACCAAGGACATGGAAGCAAGAAGGAAGGCCTGTCCTTCCACAGGCATTCTTGCCATGACTCCATGGATTCATCTCTCCCTAGGAATGCTGTCATGATTTCCAAGATCCTTCGCATCCTAGGAGTGATCAGCAAAACTACTCAGACCTGTCTGCCCTGAAGAGCATCCACTATGAACCTCCAGACCCATCAGTCTAGGAGGGCTATTGACTCCTTAGAAGCAGTGCAAAGTAGGAGAGCACATCGGCACTCTCCAGGTGCATCTCTTGCTGGAGAAATAATCATGACTTCCCAGATCTATTCCCCCCTCCCTCCCTCAGGAAGACCTATCTTAACTCTCCAGCAGAGACATCTCCATCCAGCAGGACCTTCCATGATTTTCCAGGTTGGCTTCCAATATCTATCACTTTCTACCCAGAATAAAAATGAGCAAGATATGAAAAAGAGCCTCCAGCAAGTCTTTTCCACATTGGAAGAGCCAGGAACCTCTCATTTGTTCCAAAAAGCAGCAAATAGAAATACAATTCAGACCTCTCTCCACCATGAAAAAAAAGCAAACAAAATCCCATTCTGAAAGTAAGAAGTAGCATGCCTTCCAAGCCTCTTTCCCCAGCCATAGCAAACTTCAGATAAGCTCTTTGTCTAGAAGTCACACTCTGGATCTCCTTACCACCAGAGTGGGTACAGGAAGTCCTCTGACTCAGATCCGTCTCTCTGTGGAATAGACCTTGGCCAAGGAGCTCTGATTCTGGAGACGGGGGAGCAGCTCTTCTGATTCCAATCTGACCCTGCTCCAGATGGGTCAAGTTCCTGCAGATAAGGCTAAGTACTTGCTTTCCTGGGCCCAAACTGACATGCAGTGAAAACCTTAGGAGCTTAGGTGAGCCAAAGAAACCACAGAGTTTGAAGTTGAATTCCAAATGCCAAAGCCATATTTTAGTAACTTTAAACTGGATTATTTAGACCAAAGGAGAAATGCAGAGAAGATGAGGAGTCCCCCCAGTGGGGAAAGGGGCTGGCACAGAGCCAGCCAGAACAATAGAGTATGGAGGTGCCGAAGCCCCTGGATGGCTGTGTGGATGAACACTTGCACTGAATGCTCAGAGGACAGGAGAGAGGAATCCCATGGCCAAATTGATTGAGAAGAATTAGCCTAAGGAGATCAGAGATAAGAAAGTGAGGACTCACTGCAGTGGTCTGGCACCTCCTTCCAACGGATTCAATATCTGGCTGGGACACCGCAAGGATGGAGAGAACAGATCCAGTGTGTTTGACCCAAGGCAATTTGCAGGCGTGCAAGCAAGAAGACAGTCACTGTTGTGACTGAACGTATGAGCATGGGGGATGGACCTTCAGCTGCTACATCTATCTTGACTAACAATCAGGGCTTACCCAGATCAGCAGCAACTTGTTGGGCACCAACTTTGGTCCTAGGAGGATTTGGGGCTGGAAATTCTAATTAGGGGCACCATGAACTTCTCAGCTATTCTAATATAGAGGAAACACTGGTTTTTCAGTACCCTGAGGACATCTAGAGTTTATTCTGCTTAGAGTTTTTCTCTATTTTACTTTTCTTTCTGTAGCTGAACATATCCATATTTATTAGAAAAAGTGCAAAGCCCCTTAATTTGTACTTCTAGCATTAATAAGCGGGTAGAGGCAAGACCAGAACTGGGGAGTGTTCTCTTCCTTAGACAGCAATCAGCAGCTCAGACAGCATCTCTGGCAGTTGGCTGTAAAGACCACTGACATCAACAAGATCCCACATTTTATGAGCAATAACTTGGGTTCAAAAAATGCAAGTTTATAGCAAGAAGGTGAGTTACGTAACACATACTCAAGGAAAAAAGCAAACAAAATTGGTCAAAGATAAGCCAAAAGGAATACATCCCAGCCAATGCCGGACAAGATGGAGATGAAGAAGAATCTCTTTGGGCTATAAAATGACTAAGCAGAGAAATTTGGAGGCGAATGGCAGAGCCTCCTCCTCTTCCAGATTGACTGTTTAGAGGTTGACAGGGGCATCATGCCCTGCCATTGCTTCATTTCTGCTTAGAGACAGTATTAAAAGTTCCTGGACAGGTGCCAAAAGTACCGTTGACATGCAATGAGTCTCACAAGACCATCACCTTCAGGGTGTTGAGCAGAGAAGCTGACCAGGCAAGTTTCAAACACACTGGAACAGTTTCTCTCCACTTCCACTTCAAGAGGGTGGCACCACCACCAGACCTCCTGGCATGAAGAGGCTCCACTCCTACTGAGAAATAGTTTTCCTCCTTGGCCATCACTGCCTTACATTTTTGCCGCCACCCTCACATGTGGTCCTACACCCTCAGAGCCCTGAGCTACTCTTACTCTGTTGTGTCTGCAGCTCTCTGGTTCTAATCCTGGCACCAGGAATCCACCACCAACTTCCGGGGTCTACTACCAATTTCTAGTGTTTGCCTTTCATTGCTGATTTTCATATCCAGGCCCAGAAGTTCACCCACCAACCATTGCAATTTGCCCCCAGGTCCCAGGGGTCCAGCAGCTTCTGGATTCACCCCAGCCTCTTAGGTTGCACCCAGTGACCCAAGAGTACACACTGATTCTCAACTCCCCATTCCTCCTCTTTTTCCAAATGAAAAGCTCTACCCTTTTCCCCCTCAAGCTTTATTTTTTCTTCTAATTTCCCATCTTTTTCTCCATAGGGAAGTTTTGGTGATTTTGTATAGGGGCCTGTACTGTCCCCAGAGTTGATTAAATAGATTCTACCCCCCACCCCATGATATGAATACACTGTTGCAACAAAAACTATACTAAGCTGCTAAATGAAAGAGCCCTGTACTCTACTGTTTTGTAATAAACTACAGTTACAGCCCTGCAGAGAAACATTAATACAAACAAGGAATAAGTTTCAAATAAGAAAGAGGAGAATAAAGAGGAGAAATGATTAAAGGGAAACTGAGCAATGAAGCAAACTTTTGTCTATCCATGCAAATTCTCCTGCTCCCAGTACCTTGTGAGTTGTAGATGACGCTCCTCAGCAGGTTAGGCTGAGAATAAAGGGCCCAATTCAGATGACTCCTCTGCTCTGGTGAGTTACCTCCTCTGTTTCTTAAAAGGAGAAAACTAGAGCTTTCTCTGATGTGACACCAAACTTATGTTTATTTTTTAAAATTGAAATTCTAACCCTTATATTTGTGTGAAACCCATGGTTTGTGAAACATTTTTAAAAACAATTTTAAGAAGCCATAAAACATGGCTGCATGTGGGAAACTATGATAGCTAATAACCGTAGCAGCTGCCAACTACTTGGCTGTAAAGGACTCGAACTCCAGCGTTTTTTTGTTTGTTTGTTTGTTGGCTGATTTTACTTGCCTATTAAACACTCAGCCTATTAAAAACTTAGCGTTGCTCATGAAACTTGAGAAAGCAGATTACACTGCTAATTTTCCCTGATGTAGTTGTGTGAAATAAATTTGAATTAAATGAATCTCTGGCATTTTTCTGAACCCACACAAAAAGAAATGCATTTTTTTGGTGGCTGTTTTCTTCTTCTTCTCTCTCTCTCTTTTGTTTTGTTTTATTTTGGTGCCTCTAGGAGCTGGGGCCTCAATGATGAACAAGATCCAGGCATTGGCCTTAAAGAGCCCACAGGCTGGTGTTCAAGATCCAGGCAAACCCCTCCTTCCTTGACAAGGGTCAGCTTTGAGCAAAGATGGGTAAGTGGATGTGTAAACAGCCAACTTAGGTATATGGAGCAAGAAGGCAAAGAGCTGGAGAACTGCCACTCAGAATACAAGTTGATGCACAGAAAATATATCAGCAGAATCCAGAGCACCAGGAAGCTGAATCAGCAGAGCTGGCCGATAGTGAGATGACTCACCCCATTCCATGCAGGGGAAATGCATCTGTCTTCTTCGTATCCTCTCTCCCTGCACATATGACACTGAGCAGAAACTCTTCATGTGTTTGCCTCTGGCCCTGGGCTGTGTCTTAGTTATCTTTCTATCCCACTTCCTGACATTACCATCTACCACACTTTCTGGTGCGGAGCGAGGCTTAATAAATAATAGTTGTATTAAACAAGCATTCAAGAAGAAATGTCCTCACTAAGTGGGAGGTTGAACTAGAATAGCTCCCAAATTCTGTTCTACTTGGAGATTCTATGATTATGTAGACAGTCTGGCATGGGATAGGTGCCCACTAAATATTGATTCAGATGATGCCTGCTTAGTTTTGCAGTTATTTGTGCCCATGTTTTATCTCCCCATATAATCAGCTTACTTTTTTCTGCAACCGTATTAATTATTTACGAAGCACATTAGTAATCAGTTTGCATGCATTGTCTTCCTTGATTTCACATAACCCTAGGAGCTAGTGATTTAGTTTCTATTGCTGCATAACAAACCACTCCATAACTTAATGGCTTAAAACAACCATTTATTATTATCTGTCTTGGTTTGTATACTAACTGGGCTCAGTTTATTCCCATTCTTTTTGGGGTCCCAGATGTGGGCTGGTGCTGCAGTCTTCAGAAGGCCCAAAGGTGCTGGATGTCAGGAGAGCTCACTCGGTGGGCAGTTGATGCTTGCTGTTGGCTGGGACTGTTAGCCAGAGCACCTACACATGGCTTTCCAAGTGTTCAGGCTTCTCACAGTATGGTGGCTGGGTTGGAAGAGGGAACATCCCAAAAGACTCACACAGAATGACTTAGCTTGTATGAACTAGCCTTGGAAGTCCCAGACCATCACTTTTGCCACATTCCAATGCCCAAGTAAGTCCCTGAGGCCAGCCCAGATGCAAAAGAAGGGGAATTAGATTTCATCTGTTGATGGAGGAATGGCAAGGTCATTTCTGAAGAGCAGCTGAGATGGAAAGTATTTTGTAGGCATTTATGGAAAATGCCATCTGCCACAGTAGTTACTATTAATATCTCTTTCTACACAGGAGAAAATTTCACAATGACCTAGCTAAGTTATATGATTAACCTGCTTGTTCAAGATCAGCCAGATCCAGATGTCATCTAATTTAGTAACCATTGTACTTCACTTAGGATAGTGTTCTAAAACTTTAATAAGGAAGGAGTCACCCCTTTCAAAAATGCAGTATTAGTATCAAGAATATGAAAACATAAATTCTAGTAAAATTTATAAAGTAGAAATATAAATTCTAGTAACACTTGGGATGCCATGTTCAATAAATATTACTGAAGGAGGAGCTAACATCTGCTGCACTGCTTCAGTGGTCCAGGCACTCATACACTATATATAAACTCACTTAATCCTCACAGTTATCTTTTCCCCCCAGATGAAAGTGAACTTTAGAGGGATTAAATGCCTTGCCCCAAACCAAGTAACCACTTAGCGACAGAGCCAGGGTTTGAACACAGTCATGTCTCAGTCCACATTCCATGTGCTTTCCACTGAGCTCCATGTTACAGGTTGGGCTCCCCAGGAATCAGTCTCTGAGATGACAGTAGCATGCAGGAAGTTAGCAAAAAAGTGCTCAAGGGGAACACACGTGGGGAAGGGGAAAACTCAGGATTAGGCAAAGGAGAAGGTGGGCAGGTAGAACTAGAGCCAAGCAAATGCCAGCCAGCCTTTTTGGAGGGTTTGGGTGGATAACGGACAATGTCAAAAACAGCATTAATTTTCAATCCTGGGTGGTGGAAAGACTATATATATGTATGTATATATGTATGTATGTATGTATGTGTATGTGTGTATGTATGTGTGTATGTATGTGTGTGTATGTATGTATGTATGTATGTATATGTATGTGTGTATGTGTGTGTGTGTATGTATGTATGTATGTGTGTATGTATGTATGTGTAATTTCTCTATGTCAGACACTGCTGGGTTTGTGCTCCCCTCTATAATCTACTGATTGTGGGACTTCACACGAGGTACAAAACATAAGTGACCTAATAAGCCCTCTAGACAGGGCTTCAGGGAGGAGCCAAGGCTGGCACATAGTCAGAGGGCAGGAAAAGTTCCACTCCCTCCGTGTGATTAGGAGGGCTGCTTTGTTTTCTTCCCAGGCAGAGACCTCAAAGAAAAGTGTGACTTGTGGCAATCATTGGAATGCTCTAACGGGAGGGAGCCCTAAGCTAAGGGGAGGGGCTGTATCAGCCCCGGGAGGGCGAGGGACAAAGGGGCATTGTTTCCCTGGAGGGCAGGCTGGGGCAAGGCTGACTCCACTGCCGGCCTGGGCGTGGGCAGGTTTGCTCCCGGGAGGAGAAGGCCTCCATCCTGGCCCACAATAGCCAACCCAAAACAGTTCTGGCAAAATTAAAAGACGCAGGAAAATGCCAGCGACCGTTTATTTTCTCCTAGGGTAGATGGGGGAGAAAGCAGCTCCTTTTTCTGGGCTGAATGGAGTCTCAGGGAGGGGGCTAGGTGACAGCATCGCCCTTTCCTCTCCGGCTATTGCGCACCTTCTGGAGCCTCGCTCAGCCTGCTCCCTCCGGCGTAATACGCCAATGCTGCTACCCACAACGCACAGACCAGAAACCAGGATAGACAGAAGCCTAGAATGGCCTGGCATCGAGCAGGCCCAGCGCAAACGCAAGGTCTCTTCCTCTCCTTTCGGTGAACCCCACGCCCAGTCCCGAGAGAGAGAGCGGATGCTCATTTCCGAAAGCTGGCAATCCTGCAGTGGCCACTGGAAAAATACATATACGTGTGTGTGTGTGTGTGTGTGTGTGTGTGTGTGTGTGTGCGCGCGCGCGCACACAGTGCATATCGTGCCCATCTACAAGGAAACCTGGAGGCTCCACAAACAACTTTGAGTCCCGGGAGGGCGGAGGTGGAGAGAGATTCTCCGCTTGGATAAGGGCGGCTGGATAGCCGAGTACTCTCTTTTGGGGCTGTTGGCCGTCTCCGGAGTCTCGGGAGCGCCTTGATGTCCCTTCCCAGGGCTCGGGTTCCTTTGAGAGAATCAAGAGGAAGGTGTTTTTCACTAGGACTCGCGGTGGGCCCCACCTGCCTACCGTGGCCGGCCGGGAGCTATTACAGCAGGGTCTGCCCGTCCGACGACGGCGGCTCCAATCTGGGGTCCCGCCGGCGCCGACCCCTCAGCTCTCTCCCGATACCTGCTGGCCTCTCTCATCTTTGGTGGCACTCGCCGCCACGGGGACGGTGAGATCAAAGAGGTAGACCTAGGCCAGGAGGGACTGCCAGGGCTCCTTCCCGCGGGCCAGCCTCTCGTCCTTCCTCCCGGGACGGGGCTCTTTCCCTTTCTCCGGATGCGGGCCTTTGAGAGTCAGCGACGCCTTAGACTCCTCCCAGAAAAATGCACCCTCATCTACCCAATTCTGCCCTACCCTTTGGAGCTCCTGGACCCTCTAACCGCTCGGTGGGGTCAGAGCCCACCCCCGGAAGGGCCGCTGGTCGGGGACTGGTTCGCCCTCTCCTGGCCTCCTCGGACCAGTGCGCGGGGAGGATCCCGCTAACGCCGGGCGCCTGCAGACCTTGAGCGGCCTCGCCCTGGTGACCTCCCCGGGAAAGGCTGGGCGGTGCTTCCACAATGAGGGCCACCTGTTAATTTGCACGAGAAAGTGCTGCCGAGGGCCCACACGTGCGAATCCACCTGTGGAGTGCGTCCCCTCTCTGGGGCCAAGGCCTAGGGGAGGCCGAAGCGGAGAAGTTGCCTGAAGACTGGGAAGTAAGAGTAGGGGCGTCGGAGGAATCGAAGTTGCAGTGACATCAGGCTCGGACAGCCGGCGGACTCCTCGCAAGGTGATCGGATACTTCCGAGAGCCCCACAGTCCTCCTGGGCCTTTGCCCTCGCGTCTGGGATGCGCTCGGGCGCCCCCAGTCTGCGATGCGTTCGTACCTCCAGTAGGGTGACGTTTTCGCCGGGCCCCTCTGCGAACAGTCTCCGCCCTCCTCCACTGTGAGATATTTCACAGTTTCACCCGCAGAGGGCAACCTTATTCCAAGTTCCCGAGCGCCCTAGGCCTCTTTCTCCTCCCTGCCTAACTGGTGAGGTGGGACTTCAATGCCTTTTAGGTTTACAGTCTTTTCCTCCCCACGGCTTCTCTTTCCTCCCCGTCTCAGGCACTGGGCATTTCCAGTCGATCCAGCAGGTCTGGCTTCTCTCACATATGCAGTAAGGGTTAGGGGAGAAGGTCCCAGCTCCTCTTGTCTCTAGCAGAGTGTAAACTGGCTCTGCTGAGGAGGTGGCTGTGCTTTTATTCCTTCTCCTGAGAACTGTTTATATATTAAGGAGCTTCACAGCCTCCAACATAAGGAAAGCAGGTAGGAACTGATCATATAACGCTTTGTAAATGTTTTAGACTTTGGCTTTAATGGGAAAGAAATGGGGAGCCATTCGTGGGTTTTTGAGCAGCAGGTGGACATTGCTTTTCATAATGACCACGCCAGCTGCTGTTTGGAGAATAGACTGTAGGGGTCACTGCGCAAATTGGAGGCCGCGATCCAGGTGAGAACCAGGTGAAACAGAGCTCGGGCCATGGAGTGGCGCTGGAGGTAAGGAGAAACACTCAGACTCTGGGTATGTTTTTTGAAAGTAGGATAAAAGGCCGGGCGCGGTGGCTCACGCCTGTAATCCCAGCACTTTGGGAGGCCAAGGTGAGCGGATCAAGAGGTCAGGAGATCGAGACCATCCTGGCTAACACGGTGAAACCCCGTCTCTACTAAAAAAAAAAAAAAAAAAAAATTAGCAGGGAGTGGTGGCAGGTGCCCGTAGTCCCAGCTACTCGGGAGGCTGTGGCAGGAGAATGGTGTGAACCTGGGAGGCAGAGCTTGCAGTGAGCCGAGATGGCGCCACGGCACTCCAGCCTGGGCGACAGAGCGAGACTCTGTCTCAGTCAATCAATCAATCAATAAAAATACAAAACATTAGCTGGGTGTGATGGTGTGCACCCTTAATCCCACCTACTCGGGAGGCTGAGGCAAGAGAATAGCGTGAACCCAGGAGGCAGAGGTTTCAGTGAGCCGAGATTGCGCCATTGCACTCCAACCGGGGCGAAGATTTACATATATATAAGATTTTCTGTCTGATTGTTTTTTTGGGTATGAGAAAAAGACAGGAATCAGGGATGACTCCAAGCAGCTGGAAAAACGGAGATGCTGCTGGCTGAGATTGGAAGATGCTGGGGTAGAGGGATAAGACAGCTTAATGTTATATATTTTAGGTTTGAGGTGTTCATTAGAAAAACAAGTGGAGAGATTGATTGGGCAGACACACAGGTCTGGAGAGGGCTGGGCTGGAGATAGAAATATGGGTTGCCATGATACAGGCATGGGACTGAAAGCCCCATCAGTCCCTTGGAGAGATCATCAGAGAGTGAGTAGAGACATAGCAGGGCGAAGCCCTGAGCCCCGGTTCCCCCAGCATGTACCTGCAGTCTGTTTCCTCTTCTCAACTACAATTCCCATGGTCTTGTCTTGTTCACAGAACCTGCTCAAGGAGCATCTATTAAATGAAGGAACCCAACTTTCATCACATGTAAAATAAACATCATTATAATCCTACCTCATAAGGTTGTTGTCAGAAAAAGTTAAACGTCGTAATGAAAGTGAAACTGCGTTATGATTGGTAGATGCCTGCTATATTTTAAAATGTAGGCTTCATTATCTCATTCTGTACAGCTTGTATTACTTGATTGTATCTTCACAGTTTCTGATGCATGCAAGGCAGACACTCTCGTTCTCACTTTATTGACGAGGAAAGTAGGATTGGTGAGACAAAATAAGTCCCTGAAGCTGCATATCTAATGGTAACACCAGTGGCTGACCTGTTTGAGCACATCTGCGGCAGGCACTGTGTTAATGATTTTGCATGTGTTATCTGGCAACAACACAGCGAGGTGGGGGTTATTATCTTCACTTGCACATGAGGAAACTGAAGCATAGAGAGGGTGGTTAACTTAGCCAAGGTCCCATAGTGAGTGGTTGGAAGAGTCTGGGCCATGAAGCAGACCTGCCCATCCTGATTCAATGTTCTTTTTGCAGCCTGATAGCTCCTCTTCTTCATCCCCCTACTAGACTCCTGCCAGGGCCAAGCCTCACCACTCCTTCCCTTGACATTGGCAACATTCCTCTCTCCTTAACGTTTCTCTCCTACCAAGCCTGCTTGCTGCAGGATACAAGAGTTCAGTCACTCCTTGGGAACAACCTGCAGGTCAAAACATTTTGGCTTATTGCTTCCCCTTTCTGGAAAGTCCTTTCCCTTCCTCTCTGCCTTATGAACTCCTATGTGTTCTTCCAAACCCTGGTGAACTCCTATGTGGTTTTCCAAGTCCAATTAATATGTCACCTCTGTTGTGAAGCTTTCCCTGCTTGCACCAGACAAGAGGCATGACTTAGATCATGTGACACTTTGTTTATAGGTCTATCAAAACAAACTGACAATTTCCTGTGGGTTTGACTGATGCCCCTGTAATATTGTGATTTTTCTCTCAGGTTCTTATATTTTCATGTCTTTTTATCCAACATGCTGTTTGCTTCGTGAATACATAAATGAATGACCCATTTACAATCACTATCAAAGCAAATTTATGGATATCAAATATTCTTCTAGAGATGAGGAAATAGGCTAAAAGGAGTGATTTGCCTAAAGTCACTCAACTGATTAAATACTGGAGCTTTGCTGGGTATGATTATGCGTGCCTATAATCCCAGCTACTCAGGAAGCTAAGGTGGGGGCAGAGGGGGTGGGTGGCAATGACCGCTTGAGCTCAACAGTTTGAAGCCAGTCTGGCTAGCATAGTGAGACTCTGCCTCAAATAAATAAACATAAATAAATAACATAAATATTGCAGCATGAACTCAAGAGAGGTGAGGAGATTTTGTCTGGTGAAACTCAAGATTTCACATGCCTATTGCTTCCCTCTCTGGCATCTAGGGTCCTGGAACCCTCCTCCAAATGCTCCTGCAGGTGGCAACAGAGGCCAAGGAAAGGTGAAGCATTCTGGCAGAAGTTCTGGAGACAGATGAGAAGCTGAGCTCCCTGAGGGCAGGGGCAAGGTGACTTGAAGAAAGCCAGGCCAGAGGGAGCATTTTATGCATCCATCATTTGTAATCCAGAAAGAAAAGGTTTAGACAATTTTAGTGTAACCATTAGTCATAAAATTGACACTGAAGAAAGGAAAAAGCAATTGAAATAAAAGGACAGTAAATAACAAACTATCTTACAGGAAAAGCTACACCATGTGCCCCAAGACACCGAGCTAGAAAGTAGCAGGGGTAGTCAGTATCAGGGCCCATCGCCTCATGTTATCTGCACAGGGGGTCTCTGTCTGATGTTTGGGCACAGAGAAACAAAGTCCAGGTATAGTGCATTAGACAGGACCCAGAGGGTGTTTATGCGTGGACTGATGGCCACCTCGAGGGTCAGAGCTTCTGGCTTATTGTGTCTCCAACTCTGTCCTAATACACATTTTTACCAATGGCTTGCTGGAAAAACAGAGGAAAGGCCCGTGAATTTGCCAAGGAGAGGAAGCTCTGAGTGTTCGCGAGTGCCCATGTGGAGAACAGGGAATTGTACAAGTTCGAGCTGTGTGGGCCAATAGGGAAATGGAACAAAGGGACATTTTACCTTTGTGTTCAAAATAATTAGACAAGGACAGCATGGAAGAGACACGGCTTTAGTAATAGTGTGTGTTGAAAAGAATGGGGCTGGGACATTTATTACAACAACCGACATTTGTGCAGCATTTATGAGGCATTTTCATTACTCCTTATGACACATTAGAAGTGGTAATGGGGAAACCAAGGCTGGGAGTATCTTGTGTAATTAAGCAGCAGAGCTGTAGTGTGAATTGTGTCTCTGTAACCCTGGGGTTACTTCTCTTCTTTTGTTCCCCATCTCTAACCAAGCTGCATGCTCCGCTCGTTCTTTTTTTGTGAATGTCTCTCACCTCCAATGCAGCCATCCATCCTGTTAAAGGAGTGGATTATCCATGTCTTTCTGAGACTATTGTACAACCTCCTCATTTAATCTCATTTCTCTTTCCTCCCATTAATTTTATATATGCCACATGAGCCGGATTACCAGATTTAGCAAAAAGCAAAAACAAAACGCCAAGATACTCAGTTACATTGTTACATTTGAATTTTAAAAATGAATAATTTTTATTATATGGGACATATATTAAAAATTATTTGTTGTTTATCTGAAATTCAAATTTAACTGTGCATTCTGTATTTTATATGGCAACCCTGATAATCATGAAATACCATTTCCATCATTCCAAAAATATCCATTAGTTCCCTGTTACCTGAAGGACAGGGGCCTCAATCTCGAATTTTTACAGGTAGGTAACATAAACATACAAATTAAGTGACTGGGTAAGTGGAGCCTGAAGCTAAATTCAAAATTGAGGAGCAAATGTTCCCTGACCCCAGACATTCCAGTTCAGACTTTAAACATATATAATCAACTCCAATAAAAGCAAAAAAGAAACACACACACACACACACACACACACACTCACACTCACACATCCATAGCCATCAGTGAGTCTGGCTTCTAATCTGAAACCTGGGCTAAACCAAACCACTTGGCCTGGAATTGGAGGCCCCTGATTGGCCTTTCTGCCCTTCACTCTCACCACTCTCCACCATGGGCCCTCCCATCTCTCCTCCACCAGCTCATCATGGATGGCCTCCCTAACCCATAGCCGTCTTCTTACCATGCCAGTCTCACAGGCCACTCAAGTCCACAGTGATCTTTCCCTTTCCATGGTCAATTTTGGCTCCTCTCTGTCCCAGGGACACGTTTAGCGGTCACATCATTTTTCTCTCCAACACCCGAAAGGGAATACAGGAAGTGACTTTGAGAGGCCCTTACCATATGCCAAGTCCCCTAAAAAGATCTTTGCTTATTTTTGTTCCCTCTCTCCTTAGTGAGATGGTGAAGTACTCAAGGGTAACAACCCTGTCTCATACGATTCCAAATGGTATATTGAGCTTTGCTATAACATCCATGCTCAATATATACTTTCTTACTGACAGGTCCAAGAGTGTACAAACTCATGAACTCAATGACCGCAGACTGGAAGTAAAATCACAAACCAGTGCTTCCCCCACCCCCACCCTTCCTTGGTACACCCCTGTCACCTCCCAATTCTGGCTTCAAGCATTTTTCAAGTCTGAGGCTTTAGCCCAAATTTAAGCTTTGGCTTAAATAACGTCTATTTTTTTTTTTTCCAGAGCTGATAAGAACTTACATTTAAAAGATGGTTCTTTTTTTGGTCTCAGTCCTGCTGGGTAGTTGTGCCTTGTTAGAAAATTATCCATAGCACTTTCAAAGTCCTCCTCATGAGCATGTTGAACTGAGCCAGACTTGGAGCTTTGAATGGAATGCCATTTAATCTTGGCAAAGGTCCACCTTTTGTTTCTAAGGAGGGAAAAAGCCTAAGGAACATGGGTGACTTAGGGACCGTTTGCACTTAGACCTGATCTGCTGGGGAAAGGTTCGGAATCCTGGAAATACACAAATTAGACACTGAGCTGGGAAAAAGAAAGAGACAAGCACTGGCCAGGCAACCTTCAGTTTTGCTAACGCCAAAGATTTTAAAAATATCATCCCCTTCTTAGGATTCCTTGGCCTGCCTAGCTATGTTCTGGCTGAGATGTGCTGAGCCGGGCTGGGCTGCCGGCTCCGGGACTGGTTTGTAGCCAGCTGTGCCTTCAAAGAGCTCTCTCTTCAAGACTTCCTCCAACTCTAGATTCCACAACTGCCTCCAGGAGCTGCTGGGCCAGGGAGGGCCCTTCTGGAAGCCTGGTTGCCTTTTGAATTCTGTTTTTACTCTTTTTTTTCTTTATAAACAGATTCTCTTCATTTCAGTGGGAAAAGGTGTCGTGACAGATCCATGTCTCTATTTTACCCTTAGGCCTCAAACTTCTTCATGGGAAAAGATGGCTTCTCTTTTTTAATTGAATGAACTAGAAGAAGTTCATTGTTATTCATCAACTTCAAAGAGACTATATGAGGCCCCTTGGCCAGGACTACAGAGCAGTATTTTTTAATCAGAAATTATAGCCAAAAAGAAGAGACCAGAACACATGGGTGAGTGTTACTGAATTATTGGTTTTCCTTAAATAGTCTAGTTTTGGTGTGTGAGAGGAAGAAAGTTGCAAGTGCTTATGTGCCAGGTACTGTGCTAGGATCTGAGGATGCAGAAATGAAGAAAATGCAATCCCTGGCCCTCCCACCTGTTGGGGGAAGTGGACTTCGCACCCTGTGGATAAGGAGTACACAGTGTAGCACTGTGGTTAGAAGCACCAGCTCTGTCATCACAGGGCTTGGCTTGTTTCCTGGCTCTGCTGTGGGCTGTGTGGCATTGGGCAAGTTACTTAGCTTCTCTGTGCATTATGTTTTGCATCCTAAAAATGGGGTTAGTGATAAAATCTGTGTTATATGGTTCCTGTGGGGATTTAGTGAGTTAAAATAGTTAAAGTACTTAAGCTCAGTGCTTAGCACTTTGAGTGTTTATTACTATCGTTGAGAAGATGTAGAGGAAGTATATGGGCATAGAGAGCAAGGTGCAGCTGACTGCTTAGGTGAGGCAGGGGATGCTTCAAAGAGGAGGTGACATTTGCTTTGCACTCTGAAAGATGAGTGGGAGTTCAGTAGACGAGGGTGGTGTGAGGGAACCCAGGCAGTGGGAAGCGTGGTCGGGGCAGAGAGAAGGTGATGGCTGGAAGCAGTAGCAGAAAGGCCAGTGTGGCTGCAGCCTGGGACTCTCATGTGGCTTGGGGGAAGGGAGTAAAATCACAGGCTGAGTCTGGAAAGGTGAGTTCAGGCTAGACTGAGAAAGGCTTTAAACTCCGTGTCATTAATTCATTCATATAACTCTATTATCCCCATAAAGATGAAGAAGGAAGGCATTAAAGATTATGTAATTTGCTGGGTGTGGTGGCTGACGCCTGTAATCCCAGCACTTTGGGAGGCAGAGGCTGGCGGATCACTTGAGGTCAGGAGTTCGAGACCAGCCTGGACAACATGGCAAAAACCTGTCTTTACTAAAAATACAAAAATTAGCCAGATGTGGTGGTGGGCGCCTGTAATCCCAGCTACTTGGGAGGCTGAGGCATGAGAATCGCTTGAACTCGGGAGGCAGATGTTGCAGTGAGCAGAGATGGCGCCACTGCACTCCTCCCTGGGCGACAAAGCAAGACTCCGTCTCAACATCACTGAACCAGTAGGGGGCAGAGCTGGAAGTTGAGCCTAGGTGTGTCTGACTCCACAGCCTACGCCCCGAACCTTGACTTTGTGCTTTCTCACAATGCCTATGGCTGCTGCTTTAAAACAGCACTTTCCATTTGCCTTGTTAAATGGGATTGTATATGAATTATACTTCACTGTTTATTTCTAGAGAAATAAAAGAATCTAATAAAGGAATCTGACACGGACCTTGGGTGAATAAATATACCCTTAGGCTGGAGTGTATTTCAGATAGCTTGGTTAGGGAACTTGCGTGGTATCCCCAAGGCTCAGGCCCTGAGAAGGCATGGCCACCTGATACCCTGGTTCCTTTAGCACAAAATCCTCATGATAACCTCAGTTCGCATTTCTTTGAAATCTGCTTGGCAGAGCTGTGGGATACCTGAAACTCTCTGGGTCATTTTGCTTTGATCAAGGGCTTTGCTGTTATAGGGGCAGTCTCAGATCAGGTGGTGGAGGTCATCAGGCCTTGGCGAAAAGCCCAAACATCTTCCAATGGGACCAGGCCCTGTGATAGCATCTTTCCAACCCATTAATGGTCAGCTGGGCTTTTTTGTTGTGTGTCCATTCTGAAGTTCCTCACTCCCTTCTTTTCAGAGACACTCACTGCTCAAGGACACTTATTCTTTAGGTTCCAGGCACCTCCTGGGAAGTAACTGGGGAGAGAAGAACAGGGCTACAGTGGGAAAGCAGACCACAGGTGCCAGGCAATTTCCTTTCTCCAAACACTTCCCTGGGGACAGCTGCCACTCATAAGCATCCTAATGCAGATCCACAAAGAACTCTTCCCTGCCCCACAATTCATTTTTTTTTTTTTTAGACAGTCTTGTTCTGTCACCCAGGCTGGAGTACAGTGGTGCAATCTTGGCTCATTGCAACCTCCACCTCCCAGGTTCCAGAGATTCTCCTGCCTCAGCCTCCTGTGTAGCTTGGATTACAGGTATGCACCACCACGCCTGGCTAATTTTTGTATTTTTAGTAGAGACAGGGTTTCACCATGTTGGTCAGGCTGGTCTCAAACTCCTGACCTCAGGTGATCCACCCACCTCGGCCTCCCAAAGTGCTGGGATTACAGGCATGAGCCACTGTGCCCAGCCCACAATTCATTCTTATTCTCTGTCTTTCCCTTTATAATGCTGACTACAATTTGTAGTTTTATAATTTCGTGGTTTTCTTGCTTACTATCCACCTTCTCACTCCCCTGACTGTGAGCTCCATATGGCAGGGGCCACATCCATTTTATTTCCTGTTGTAGCCAGCATTGAGGACCGGGGTGGCAGATGGTCTTTTTTCCTGCAACTCTGGCAGTTCCTTTTCTCTCTCCTTCATCCCCACTAGTGCATTCTCCTCTTCCTGGCCTTTAAGCGTTGGGATCCCTCAAGACTGGCTCTTTGGTTACCTTTATCTCTCGCTTTTTCCTAAACCCTCACCCAGGTATAAAGCTTCAATTAGTCTACCTGACATCTTTGCAGATCTTAAAGGCATCTCAGATTCCCAAGTTATCAAGGCAATACACATGATCTTTTCCCTAGAACTTGGCTCCTTCCCAGTGTTCTGTGAGTAAATGGCTGCATCAGGCAGCAATATGGGCAAGACAGGAACGAAGGAGTCATCCTGACGCCTCCTTATTGTTTACCCTCCCTGCAAGCCAATCACTTAGACTTGTTGATTTTTACCTATTGTTCAAATCCACCTACCGCTCCTCATCTCTGCTGTTCGTACTGTAGCCTTCACTGCCTGCTCTTTTCACCTGACTAGCTTATTAATGAGCCTTCCTACTTCTGTTCTGGTCCCCCTCCATTTGTTATGCTCCAGTCAGAGCATCCTTGAAATGCAAATCTGATCATTTCACTATCATTACCCATCCCCCGCCCCCAACACACACACACACACACACACACACACACACACACACACACACACACACACAATTCTTTGACAGCCTCCATTGCTCTTACAATAAAAGCCAACATCCAGCTAGGTGTGGTGGCTCATGCCTGTAATCCCAGCAATTTGGGAGGCCGAGACCAGCAGATCACTTGAGGTCAGGAGTTTGAGTCCAGTATGGCCAACATGGTGAAACCCCGTCTCTGCTAAAAATACAAAAATTAGCCTGGCGTGGTGGTGTGCACCTGTAGTCCCAGCTACTCGGGAGGCTGAGGCAGGAGAATTGCTTGAATGCAGGAGGGGGAGGTTGCAGTGAGCTGAGATTGCACCACTGCACTCCAGCTTGAATCAACATGGTTAACATGGTGTCAACATGGTGACAGAACAAGACTCCATCTAAAAAAAAAAAAGCCAACATCCTTTGTTTGTGTGGGCTTTAAAGGCTTTGTAGCCCAGACCATACAGTAGGCTGACTTCGGCAATGCACTCTCTGGCTGATCTCTTATGATCCCCCAGTCTCTGGCCTTTGTGTTGGGAGGCACCTCACTCTGGCAAGCCAGTCTCTTGGACAGTGTTCCTTTGAGACAGCTCCAGCCTGGTTACCTTCCAAGGTCTTCTCTTGACCTACAGAGAGCTCACATATCCTTGCCCTGCCAAATACTGGAGGGGCAATTTTTCTTGTGGCTGTCCTCTCTCTTGGGTTTGCATGCCTATATGGGCAGCAAGCTGCCTGAATGCTTTCTTTTAGATTGGAATTGAATGCCAGTCTATATTGTTCCTTAAACTCCACAAGATTTGTACAAATGCCTCAGAATGAACTCCTTGAAGGGAGCCGGAACTCGAAGCATAGCACTTTCTAAACAAACCCTCTCTTTTTGCCTCTTCAACCTCCACTCTTTCATAGCCAGGAGTGGGGTTGAAGTAAGGCTCACAAAACGGGTTTGGGATCACCACTTTTGCAAATCCTTAACGTACCATCATTTCACTTTGCAATGTGGGAACACATTGCCACCTCTTGAATGAATCCTTTTGGGGCCACGGCCAGCACTGAGTAGTTCTATTTACAGAATCCTGTTTTAGAGAGAGAAGATGCTCACTTGATGGAAGGAGTCAGTTAGAATCTACCATTTTCAGACAAGAAGGGGCATGTTCCTTTTGGAAAAGCTGGGTGGGCACAGTCCTGAGCAGTTAGAGGCATCATAACAGCACCAGGAAGCTGAATGTGAGGGCATAAGAGCTAACTTGACTTCTTCGCTGATATGCCTGTTGCCTGAAGTTAGAGTGAAGGTCTTTTGAAACTCCTAACTTGGCCCAACTCCTTTTTACCTCTTACCCTCCCGGTCATTCCCTGTACCCCATCTGGGGGCCCTCCCCAGGGATAGCTCCTGGCCTCAGCCTAGAGAAGCTGCTTCTGTCAGAGATTATAAGAGGCATCCCCGCCCGGGCGCGGTGGCTCACGCCTGTAATCCCAGCACTTTGGGAGGCCGAGGCGGGCGGATCACGAGGTCAGGAGATCAAGACCATCCTGGCTAACACGGTGAAACCCTGTCTCTACTAAAAATACAAAAAAATTAGCCGAGCGTGGTGGCGGGGGCCTGTAGTCCCAGCTACTCAGGAGGCTGAGGCAGGAGAATGGCGTGAACCCGGGGGGCGGAGCTTGCAGTGAACGGACATCGCGCCACTGCACTCCAGCCTGGGCGACAGAGCGAGACTCCGTCTCAAAAAAAAAAAAAAAAAATAGGCATCCCCCAACTCTGGGCCACAGCTGGAGACCTAAGTGCTGCTGCACTCTGGCCAGGTTGGACAGCCGCACTTCTCTTGAACACTACCCAGAATCTCCACTTCAATCAAGTGGTAAGAAGGGTCCTTCTCTCTTGCCCAGGAGTCCCGTGGCTGTCTGGGCCTTGCCCCTCCCTGAGTCGTTAGTCCATTCACAGAGTATTTCTCTCTCATCTCACCACGGCCAGCACTGTACAAATTCATGAAGGAGATGCAATTTGTCTGAAGTGCTTATGACCAAGGGGAGGGGCATTTCATGCACATTGGTGTAAATTGGCACAACCTTTCTGAAAAGCAATTCAGAAATGTGTATCAAGAGTATTAAGGGTGTTTTTTGCCGTTTGAGAAATTCCATTTCAGTAACTTCCATTTCAAAAGCAGTTTCTAACAGGTTTGTCATGGGGCGTTTGTTTTCACCTTGGGAAATCCATCTTTGATGTCGCGTCTTCTGAATTCTATTTGATTTGCTCCTTTAATAACGTCATGAAACTCTGTCAGTTTCCCAGCTATATATGGAACACAGAAAGAGAGTGTAGGCAGTCAAGGTGGATTTAAGGCTGTGTAACTCTGTGAATAGTGTTGTCGAAGAGAGAGGCTGCTCCCAAAAGACATATGGCTTCCAAAAGCAGACTGGTGTGGTGCTGAGTGAATAAACATTGTGTGGGGATCTTGTAAAACGGGAAATTTTATGAGCCCCTCACCTCCCATTCTGATTCAGCAAGTCACGGTGGTTTCCAGGAATGTCTATTTTTAACAAGATTTCCTGTAGATTTTGATGCTCAGATAGAGGTCTGATAATCACAGCTTAGAATGTAATCTACCATAGTCTATTTCATTTTTAAGAAATGCTACTAGATCTTATTTTGATGGAATATTGTATGTCACATGGGATCCATGCATTCAAGAAATATCTGAAATACTAGACAAGCATTCTCACTGGCAAATTATAGGGAGGAGTGTAATTTCAAAAAATATTACATAACCCATATGCCATACTTTCAAGTGCACAAAATGCATATAGACACAGAAAAATCTAGAATGATTTCGGTATGCAAAGTATTCTGCTCACTAGCAAGCACAGGCACTTCATTTCTTTCCTAGGTGTCATGTGACAAATGGGTGCCTGTTTCTATTTCACCTTTCTAGCACTTCTTAGGCCCCAACCCTAAAGATGTGGTCTTAGAAAAAGCTGGATTTTTTTTTTTTTTTTCTCATTTCTGCCTAATTCAGCTGTTGACTTTCCATTCCACCTGCAGGCCAGTTTGGTAAATCAGAGCTGCAATTATTTTTGCTGTTAGGAAGATATCTATTGGGTGGAGTTAATAATACAATTTTGTCCAGTGGTTCTCAAAATGTATCAGGCATTGAAATCACCAGGAACGCTTTTCAAGACTGAATGCACTGGATTCACCTCAGTCCAATTACATCAGCATCTCAAGGTTGGGGTTTGTTCTCAGGTCTTCAGATGGTCATTTATATCATTCAACAAGAAACTTAAGCTGAATTAAGGTAGGGAAGTTCAGTAGAAAAAATGTCAGAAAGACCAGAATTTGAATCTCCACTGTGCCAATTCTAAAAACTGTACCAACTTTCTTACACTAGTAAAGCTTTCTATGACTTAATTTCCTCATCTATAAAATGAAGATATCGTCATTGTAAAATTATTGTGAGGATTTGTTCTTCACAAAGTTGTGAGGATTACATGAAATTGTATACGTGAAAGGACAAAGTACACACATAAACATGAAGTATTATTTTACTTTAAAAAATGGCTCAAAGTTGTTAATAAATTCATGGGGAAACTAGTGTCAAAAGCCTGATTTTGAATTGGGGGAGAACTTGTAGAAGGACTGGGTTGTTAGCTGAGTTTGGCCCAATGTACCCTGTTCTTTGTCTCCCCTGGCGTTACATATTATTGAAAAAAAGATTTTTTTTTTTTTTTGAGAGACAGGGTCTCACTATGTTGCCCAGGCTGGTCTCGAACTCCTAAGTGCAGGTCCTCCTGCCTCGGCCTCTCAAAGTGCTAGGATTACAAGCATGAGCCACCAAACCCAGCCAAAAGATAGACTCTAATCGGCAAGAAGCTGGTTTCCACTGATCTCCCATTACAGCTAGACACATGGCACAAAGGAAGAAATCTTGCCTTTGGTATAAATTTTTACGTAATATGTGAATTTAAGATAAATGAAAAGTCAGGTCCTTCCTTAGAAAACTTGCACAAAAGACTGCACATCCCTTATAGCTTTCCAAAAGCCTATTTTACATTCCTACTTAGAAGTCTTATCACCACTTCACATTACACATATATCATCTTCCTCTCTCCATTACTTTTTTTCTACTTTATATCAAATAGTAACACTATTCTCTGGGCTTGTTTATCCATTCAAGCTCATTATTGTGCTGTATATTTCAAATACATGAGTACACATCACCTAATTCTTAACCATCTCAAGAAGGTATTACTCCTGATAGAATGTAGTGCAGAAATCAAAGATCATAGAGATTAATTTACTTTCAAGGTCGCAAAGCTAGTAGAATATGAAAAAAACTAGGTTTTTTAATCCAGGCCTTTAATCCAACCTTATGTTCGATGCCTCTTTCCTCATTCTAATTACTGCTTTGGTTAACAAGAGACAATAATAAAGTTAATTTGCCTCTTGCTAAGATCACAATTGATATTTTAAAAGGTAACAATAACTATATATTTTGCACAACTTACACTTTTGCAATATTCCACCAATAGAATATTGAGTGAGTGATAAGAAATATCACCAGGAAACTGGGTCAGGAAAAAAATAGTGAAAATAATGACTCCTATAATTCTGATATCTTTAAGAATGCATGTCTCAATAATCAAGCAGAAATAAACCAAGCGAGAATGCTACTCCAGTATAAACAAAGTAGGCAAATGATTGGTGTTCAGTTTTGCCAATTTTATTGAACCAATAAAATTCCTACTAATAACAATGAAATAAATTTCTGCAAGTATAAATGTGATACAGTTTAACAAAACCCATTGTTCTGTACCTATAAATAGATTTTCAAAATGTCATAAAAAGTGCAGTTATGAATTGTTAACATGTTAATACACAGTTCCTTTATTTCAGATGTGTTTGTCTTGACTCACTAACAGTTCCTTCTGCATCTGTCCAAATAATGTTACCCTCCCTCCAAAGAAAAAAAGAGTCATTAAAGCACTAGAATATTACACATAAACTGATCCATTTAGGTCAGCTTTAGTCAGAACTGTAAAATCAGCAAACATAAGAAAAACAAAACCTAGTAATACATACAAAAGCTTTCATGGGTTCTAGAACCTTCTTAACTGCTGATTCATGTGGAGGGCATTAAGAGTTGAAAAGGCTTATATGGTTAACTACCTTAGACTATATCTACAGCAGGGTCTGGTTTGCCAGAACAAGTTTAAAGTGGCTGTTTATTAAGTTTGCTATTTTCAGAATTGAAACTATAAGACCGCCATTTGACACTGAAACTTGCGTGAATCCTAAATTGCATCAATTATCTATTTGATAAAAGCTTATTCTAATTTAAAACCTTATAGAGTAAGAGACTGATATATATAGCAGTCTTAAAGATCACGTCATCTGCCTTACATTAGTCCAGTCACGTGCTTCGTAAAAAAAAAAAAAAAATTACAGTAACAAAGCACAGGACTACAAAGGCAAAACATCACAGCTTCTGATTACATTGAATAAAAAGTACCAAGAAACGCAAATGATAATTCTGTATTAATACTGATGAATTAAAGAGCTATAACAGACATTTCACAGCATGCTACATATATCGCTCACAACTTAAGGATAAATGTCTAACATTGAAAGTCAAGAAGTTGGCAATCTGATTTCATGTGCAATTCAGCTACAGTCTTAATATATACATTCATTATGTAGCTGTCCTGCAAAACCAGGATTTTTTAAAAAGAGTTTTCAAGTTCAACTTCTATTTCATAAGTTAAAAGATGCGTCCAGTTCTTCCATGACCAGGAAAGTTATTTTCAGGCTTAAAGGAGCTAATCCAAGTAGCAAGGCCATGTTGCAAGTGGACCTGACAGGGTTCTTTATAACCTTGCTGAGACTGTGTATGTGTATGTGCCTATACTAGTAGCACTGAGAAGATGCCAAACTGGCTGTGGTTTGCTTTCTATGTCTCTTATTTTGGGTTGAAAAGAGTAAATGTGAAGAGAAAGAGGAAGGGGAAACTGTATTTTCTCTCCAGAGAAGACTAAATAATGCAAAGGAAATATCTGCACTAGATATATAGTTTGGATCACTTTCCTTGGTGAACAAGGGTACTATTTAACTCTTTTACCTTAGAGAACCAGCGAAATTCAGAAAGCGGAAGTCTCTCAACATTACAAAGGAAACTCCTTGGCCACCCAACTAATACATTTCTTTTTTCTTTTAATCCTTCCTTATCAGACTTGGGGAGCCAGTTGAAAATGTGTAAAGATATTAATTTAAGAAAGAGATGTATAATAAGTTTTATTCTGTAAGTTTCATAATGTATGCACTTAACTAATCAGGATTTGTGAACAATATTTTAACACTATAGGCCAGAGAGATTCTCTCTGATATTCTTTCGGTAGAAATTATACATTCATTTTTTTAAGAGGTTAACTTGAGGGGTGCAAGAAAATAGACTGTTCTAGCAAAATTTACATAACAAAAATTCTATTCATCTTATTTAGACTTACTAATGTTTGATGTTGTCCTATGAACTGTAAAATTGGGTATCTGTTCTAAAGGCTATTTTGTGGTATGCCCTGCACGATCTCAAAGATTTCCACAAGCATTCAAAAGAATCAGATATTCATTCTGTTTCCCCCCCATATATATAATTTTTCATTCTGTACTTCATGGTGGTACAGTCATAATTAGGTTAAAGCTAAAATGAACACTTCATGGCATATAATTTAATACAAACCGCCTCATTCAGTCTCCATTATTAAGTCTCATTTCTTAACTAGGATGTCAATTCATTCCTGAGCCCTGAAAGGCATTTATTGGATACTACTATCAGGTTGAGTTGTTCATGAATGAGATGGAAAACAACCAAATACTACAAGAAATAATAATAATCTATACTTTCAAATGGGATGGTTCATCAGGTCAGACAACTGTGTGCAGTGTCCCATGTTAGAAACCTGACATAATTTTACATTTATGAACAACCTCAAGTGCACCTAGCTGGAGAGAAGAACTATTACATCTTCTTCCTCTTTGCATTTCCTCTTCCTTCTGGATATACCCGAAGTGCGGCTAGGAGAATAAAGACTACAAAGTCAATGCATTTTCTTTTCATCCCATGGAACATTTTTTTTCCTCCCATAAGAACAGGATAGGAACAGAGGTTAGAGGCTTAGTCTAACCCAGGAAAGCCTGGTTAAACCCTTATGTACCCAATTTTGTGTTATTTTATCTATATTTTAAATCATATGGGCTTCTGTGATCCCATAGGACCATCTAAATACCCTTTGCCATATGTCATTCTATTAGAAATGTGTTTCAAGGCCCAAACACCACCAATAAAACAAATGTCTGGAACACCACCCTATTTGCATACCAGAAATTTCCCATTCCACTGAAGGGTTACAAGTCATTCTGGATTGCTGGAGAATTTTAACTTTACATTCAAATAGCTTGGACTAACAACAGTATTCATTCATAACCTAATACAAATCCAAGTTAGGATGGCAATTCAATCACTTTAAAATCCTGTTATATGCTAAATTCTGAACGATAGAAATAGTTCAATTTCTGTATCATGTATAAATATAAAGTTTCCTACTTTGATAGAAGGCAAAAATCTTTTATGATTTATTTAAAATATGGAAGTTGTATTACTGAACAACAGTGAGTGAATCCATGAAAAGGTTGGATACTCTGAATTTATAGGCTCTTTGGGGATGAGGTAGAGGAGAGCAAGATATTTCGGCAGCAGGGAAAAGGGTAGAACAGAATAGGGTGACACAATTTACACTTGATACTGCATTAACATCTGGTAGAGTGTCTAGGGCAAAGGTTAGCCAAAATATAGCTGGATGGTTGAGGGATTTAGAAGGAGTTGGGATGAATCCATAGTCTCAATGAATGGAGAAAAAGTAACTCAGGAAAGTAAATGCTGGTGACTTATCAGCGGGTGGCTGGTGATGTTTGGTTTGGATTGTGAAAGCTGCTTAGACCAAGATGGGCTGAGGGAAGGGGAGGAGAGTGAGCATGTAGAGGTTGAGGCACTTGGAGGAAGAAGCAGGCAGAAAAGGGTGGACTGAATGCAGACAGGACCTCCCACATGGGAAATATTTTCTCTAGATTAGGTGTACGGTGCTGAAGGCAGCCACACTCTCAGCACTATGTTCCTCATATTCTTTGAAAACTCTTCCTTCCTCATAGGGCTCTGCCTTGACATATACCTCTACCTCTCTTATCCATTTCACCCCAGCTATTTTTGTTCTAGGTCTCACCTGGGCAGATTCTAGGTCTGCTAACTAAGCCAAATTAGCATTGAAATAAGCTCCACATACAGTGGGCATATAAGTTCTGTTGACTGAGATAAATACATTCATGTTACAGTACTGCTTTGAAGAAAGACTATTTAATTTGATTCTCAGTCTCCAGAGGGATATAATAGGGAAACACAGTTTACGTTGACGGCCACCTAGAATAGATTCTGATTACATAAATTAGGTAACTTAAAACTCAATCTGAGCAGAGGAGCCACGACTTTCAGCCTGCTGTTGAATTGTGCTACTAAGCAAATGTGATATACTATTTACATAACAAACATTATTGTTATGTACTGTTTAGTCCATGTTAAGACCATCTCTTTGCATAAAAGCAGTTCTATTAAAGAGAAGAATTTAAGGTCTTGCTTTCCAGAGAAATGATTTAGAATTGTCTTTAAAATACAACCTAAAACACCTTATTTTGCTAACACAGTGCAAATCATTTTTATAATATGCACTGAAATTTATTTTTTCCATGAGGAATTGTCCTTAGAGTTCAAAAGAATCTTACCATCATATAGGCATGCACCCTCCCTCCACTAAAAATGGTGTACTATTTTAAGTACAGATCTTTAATTGTTGATCATTTTATTTTGCTGTGGCACAGAAATCTAAGATTTTGGATTTAAAAAAAAACTTTATAAGGGGGAAAAGGAAAAAGTTGCTCTGGAATAATAATTAGCTTTTAGAAGCATTTAAGATCTTTAGGAGACATTATAACAACTAAATAGGAGCTCTGGTTCAAATTTTATAGGATTCTTATATAAAACTTATATTGAGTTTTCTGTTGTAAAAACAGCCCTGTGTTTCTCTGCCATTATTTGGGCTTACAACCATAATTAAAGGCCAAGGCTATGCCCCAGATTCCATGTTAGCCATCTTTTATTTTAAAAATACCCCAAATGGGACAAATTCATACTGGGACTGAGACAATGTACTTAGTTCAAAAAGGGGAAGGAGGTAATAAGCTGTCTCAAAAGCCTCTTTTCCCCTAATAGTCATATATCCACCTGAGGAAGCCTCGTCTGAAGAAGCCAGTGAGGCACCTGCCTGGCTACTCCCATAGTCAGGTGGGTTAAAGAACAGATTATTTTCAGGTGGGAGAGTATCTCAATATTTCTTAAGGTGATCTGAGAAATTATAAATTACCATTGAAGCTGGAAATCTTGAAATTCCAAAGTAAATAGACATTATTCAAGCATACACATCAGTGGACTATGAAGACTAATTTTAACATAATAAGCAAAGAATTAAAGAATTCACATTCACATGTGCTTTTCTCACGTACACTTGCACATTTAAGTTTGGCACAATGTGAGCGCAAGGTGTAGATCAGCATATTGCATAATCACGTCATTATACCAATTGAACCAGATATCTCTTTTAAAAATATCACATTTTAATATAAAAAGCTATACTATAAATTACTAAATAGTAAATTCAATACTCTGAAAAAATACCACCCTGGAAAACCGCATCAGAATTTCAAGTTTGCATTGGATAAAGAGAGTTAACAGCAAACTCGTTGTAAAATGGTATTCACAACCTGAAATGCTGTGCATGCTGCGTATTAGTAGGTGCTTTAGCACCTGCAGAAGTCAATTTTTCTAGGCTGGTTCACTGAGGTTCATAAATATATGGTGTTGTTTTTGTTTATAGTTCCAAGTCAACTTATTTTCCTATTGATAAGATAGATCAATGCTGAGCTAAAAAGAAACTTTGCAAGGAAAGAGATCTATTAAAGGCACTAATATTTCCATAGCCTAAACTCCAACTACTTACATTTCCAGGGAAAAAAATAAACACAAACTAAGTGGCCATTTTAGTTACTTAAACCTTGTTTCCCCTTTTGGTCTAAAGCTCATATGGTGTTCTGTGAGAATTTCTCCTCCTTTTCAATACATACAAATCATTTTTTATCCTGTTATACAGTTCGCCTGCACAAAAATATAGGGCTATTAATTGAAAGCATCTAGTAAAAAAACAAATTCAAGAATAAATGACATCCTCAACTTGAAAGTTGTGAAGTTAGGTAAGTCAAATGGACATTTATGTTGCCATTTGTGTTTTGCCATTCTCCTAAATATTTTCTTTGTATTACATATCTACATAATGTAATATTGAATAAAAGTTAACATATGGCATATGCAATAAAACAGACGAGATATGGCACAAGTTCTCTGAATAATCTCTTTAAATAAACCACCCTGTCTTTAAAAATATTAGTAATTTTTTCCTCACATGGAAGATTTCAAACAGGATCCTGGAATCCAAAAATGCAGAACTACCTTATGTTAATAAGTATACAGTCATATTTGTTTTCCTATCTGGAACAAAATCTAAAAGAAAGCAACCCAATATATTGTACCAGAGGAGGATGATAAATGGAAGAGGAAAATGATTTCATGAAACACTAGTTCACGATTCTTTCACAAAAGAAAAGTTAAATCTTATATCACAAGTAAGTCTAAAATGAAATATTTGCGGGAACTCTAACAGAAAATTTTATCTATATTATTTACTATGAAAAATGGATAAGTTTTCAAAAATTAGCATGTATGTGTACAATTCAAGTCACCCTTAACTAACCAAAAAGTGTTTAAAAAGCAGTGCAGTTGTGTCCTACTGGATAGTTGTAAGCATCTCTTTAGGCACTTCACTGGTTCATTGACATAATACAAATTAAAGCTATAAACACATAATGTGCTCTCTGAAGATAGTCTAATCAAGCAACGTAAACCAATGCAAAAATGTGACTTTTTGGCCGCTTATTCCTCCCCTATGACTTAATAACGTTTTTAAACCAGTTGTCCAAGGAGATTTTTCTGGGGAAGGGAATGCTTTGGCATTATGAAAGGAACATTGTTCAATCCCAGAAAGGTAAAACTGAAAAAAGCCTGTGCAATAAAGAAATTTGAAAAAAATTTCTTTATGGCTCTGTTTAAAAGGACACTTTTGCAGTGATATGACAGGGGGAAAGTTTAGTTGAGTATTTTTTGAACATATTGCACTCTGTTTTTGTAGTTCAATCACATTAATGCATAGAAACACAATTTTTACCTTTGAAAAATAAACTGTCTAACCTATTATAAGAACAAAAGTCATGGAAAATAATTTCTAAAAGCCTAACAGGAAAAATAGGCATATTAACCTTCCTTTGCTTAACGAAATATAGAAAAAAACTATGAGAAAGGAAAAATGTGCAAAGAAAATTTTTGGTCAGTCTTGTGTGGGTACAGGTTTATATGTGCCAACTAAATGAACTGTAAGCAGCACTGTGAGCACTGATTATTTAAGGTGACTGAGGATTACTGTCAGTGATAGGATTGTGTTATAATTCCACTTATATACATCTGATATGGAAAACTGAAACTTCCATTTTAGAAGAGAAAGAAAATAGCTGAATTTGGCATTTCAGTAGCATGCTATAGAATTCATCATGATTAATTTCACATTAAATTATGGGCAATAGCTGTATCACATTTCATGTTATCGCCAATAGCAGTAAAACAACAATAAATGAACAAACAAACAAATAAAAAACAGTGCCTGACAAATAATCTCCTGGGGACACAAATATGTGTCCAGTGAGCAGCTTGGTTCAACAGCGCATGCTTTTCCTCCACCAGATTTAGGACACAACATTAAAGTTTTAGAATGGCCAGAGAGGTCACTCTTTGCTGAATTCCAATATCTGAAAAACAATTGCTTGAGCAGATTGTAAGCACTTGTCCTTATTCTTAAAAAAAAAAGGGCGGGGTGGGGGGAGAAAAAATACACATACACACAACCCAAAGGCGCTGAAGTTAAGCATTAATACGCCAGATTCATGATTTATGATCAGTATCCAAAACTCCAACTACAAACAATGCAAAGTAGTGCTCCTCAGTATTATTTTTGCAATTGTTAGTAATGTTAAGCATCAAGGAAAATAAAACACATCATTGCACATTACAGCCGCAAAAAACAAAAAAAAAAAAACAAACGGCTAAACTTTGACACTAGAGAACTGAATAATTTTTGATGCTATATCACAAATAGCTTCAATGTTTATCTTATGTGAAAGGTCTTTACACATGTATGACATTTTCCTTGGGTGATACTTCAGGTCAAATGCCGAGTTATGGCACGAAGAGCATAAAGAAGTTCAGCTTGCATTCGTGCTTCCATTAAAAGTAGATTGACATGAACCTAGAAGTGAAAATGTTATCAGTTTAGTAACCATTATAAACACCTGGAAAATCTTATTAGACATTCACAAAGGTTTTTTTATGTGTATATAAGCAATATACACACACACACACACCTAGGCATATTTATCCATGTTCATGATGCAACACTCAAACCTGTGTCTAATGGCTCTGCAAGCAGTAAAAATAACCCATAAAATCTAAAAAATTCTGATAACTTTATTAAAGTTGTTATTTTTGTAAAGTCAATCTGTTGGGTTATAAAATAAAACTAATTTTTATAAATTATAATTTTCCTACAAATTACATTTCTTTCTAGTTATAAAATTTTACATGGCTAAAAATCAGCCCTCATTTTTTTTTTTAACAGTTTATGCTTATCCTGTGAAAAGCTTTAAAAAATTTTTCCTAGTATTTACTTAAAAGATACTAAAGTGAAAATCTGATGTTTAAAGTTTCTGATTAGTGTTTGATACTTGTTAGACATACATAGCTTCCCTAGAGTCTTTCAGATAAAATTCTGCAGAACATTTCTTTCGGGGTTACATCTCGGCTGATAAGTTAAAATGGGTATCCACAAGTTTTCAAAATTTACTATAAAAATATGTTTTAATATTATATTCTTTTGATATATTTATACCAGTTGGATATGTGGTTGGATATATTCTCCTGAAGAGTAAAGAGAATTTCTAGATACAATCTAGAAAAGGAAGAAAATCTAGAGCAAACATATAAATATGGGATAAAGACCCATCAAGGGGAAATGCTGGATGTAAAATGGGTATTTACCTGATGTGAGTGGCTCTAAGACTTCAAAAAATCTGTTAGGTACTGAAGCCATAACATTCTCTGCTAAGATCATACAGTTTATTAGCGAATGTTTCCTAAAAAGATTTTCTTACTTTCAAGCTTCGAAACTGTTGTATAAAGGAGATTCTTGAACTTAAAGGTTAAAAGTCCTAGGACTTAAGGCCAGCTCTTATACTATGATGTTGATAAAGATCCTTAACATTTATTAGGTTTTCTAACTTCATGTTGCCTATATATTTCTTTCAAATAAATATTTTTATGTAACAGTATATTTGGCTCAAAGGTCCTGAATTATACTGTCAAAACACTAAATTACCAAGTTTGGGTAAAAATCTATTGTCTTTTTTTCGAGAGATGAAGTCTTGCTCTGTTGCCCAGGCTGGAGTGCAGTGGAGTGATCTCGGCTCACTGCAACCTCTGCCTCCTGGGTTCAAGCGATTCTCCTGCCTCAGATTCCCAAGTAGCTGGGACAACAGGCATGCACAACCATGCCCAGCTAATTTTTGTATTTTTTAGTAGAAATGGGGTTTCACTACATGTTGGCCTGGCTAGTTTTGAACTCCTGACCTCAGGTGATCCCCCCACCTCGGCCTCCCAAAGTGCTAGGATTACAGGCGGGAGCCACTGCACCCAGCCACTATCTGGGTTTTTAAAATATTTTTTTAATTCAGATTTATTGACTAGTAACCCAATTTTGGTTATATGCTTTGTTCAATATAGCATATAAAAGTTTATCGTAAGCCTTAGAAATACTAGATCTGAGTACTGATATCTTCAAAGCACATTTGGAAAACTGTCTACAGTTCTAACTATTAATAAAAATCAGACATACTGAAATGTTGTATTAGGTATAATTGTATTTTGGCCCAGAAGGCACATCCATTTCGAGATTCTTTAACCACTAAAGTTAACCTATTAAGACAACGGTTTCTGCTGGGCACAGTGGCTCCTGCCTGTAATCCCAGCACTTTGGGAAGCCGAGGTGGGCAGATCACCTGAGGTCAGGAGTTTGAGACCAGTCTGACTAACATGGTGAAACCCCACCTCTACTAAAAATACAAAAATTAGCCAGGCGTGGTGGCAGGCACCTGTAATCTCAGCTACTCGGGAGGGTGAGGCAGAAGAATCACTTGAACCCGGGAAGTGGAGGTTGCAGTGAGCTGAGATCGTGCCACTGCATTCCAGCCTGGCAAACAAACAAGCAAAAAAACCCCAGATAGCTAGATGATGCCACTTCCATGTCAATGGCTATAATTTATTAATACTTTCATGTGTCATTTTTCATAACTATTACTTCTTGTACTGAAGAACTGTCTATGGTATAATGCTTAATACTGAAACACGTACTTTTTCTGAGTGTTTGAACTGCCGCCAGTAACTATCATACATGCGTTTTGTAGTTCTCTCAGGATAGCAGGTCACTGTCTTAATGTAAACCTTCAGGCTTCTTTCAAGTAATTGATTAACTTCTCCATAATCATAGTCATCATACCTACGAGCAATACAACAATAGCTTTATAATGACAAAATCAAAATATTTAGTTTCCAAAGTTATACTAAGGACATTTATTGTCTAGTAATTAAATACTAAAAGCTCGTTAATTAATTGAATCAACAAATGTTTACTGAGTACCCATTATGTGCCATGAGTACTCAGTAGTAGTGATATACTAGTGAACAAAACAGACAAAAATCCTTGGTCTCATGGAGCTTAAATTTTGTTGAAGAAAAAACGAAGAAAAATTAAAAAGATAAACACATTGTAGTCAGATGGTGATAACTGCCATGGAGAGGAAATGGAACTTGGTCTGGGAGGAGAGGAGTTGTTATTTTAAATAGGGTGGGCAGGAAGGCTTCTCTGAAAGCCTTGATATTTGAACAAATACCAGATGGTGGTAAAGAAGCAAGTGTAAAGGACTTGAGGTAGGAGTCAAGTGTTTCAGGGAAGAGCAAGTAATCACTGAGTCCCATGCTGCCAAATAGTCAAATAAGATAACTGGGAACTGACCACTGGAAGTAGCTATATGGAGGTCACTAGCAACCTCGGTAAGAGCAGTTTTGTTGGTTGATAGGGACAAAAGCCTGATACTGTGAATAGGTTCAAGAGAGAATGGGAGATAAGAAAATAGTGACAGTAAATATACACAATTTTGTCAGAGATTTGCTTCGCACGAAAGCAGAAAATGAGGCAGTAGCCAGATGGAAATGAAAGGTGAAACTGAAATTTTCTTTAAAGATGGGAGAAATTAAGTGTGTTTCAATGCTGATGGGAAAGATCCAAAATGGGAGTAAAGCTGATTATGCTGGAGAGAGAAGGGAGCATTGCTAGAACTGAGATCTTTAGAAAATGAGAAATGGGATTTTGTGCATAAGTGTATAGGAACATAGACAGTAATGACAGCAGAGTAAATGGGCACAGATGTAGACAGGTAGGTAAATGTAGTATTGGGAACTTGTGGAATTTCTCTGTTACATTTTCAGTTAATTTTTAACCCATATAATGCTTAGTTTAATAAAAAGAGTATCTTGATGCATTTATGTAAGCTTTATTTTGTAGCATCCAACAGATATATTCACCACATTTGTTGCCTTGTATCCAATACATATTTATTGCATTTAAATTGAGTTTTATCGGTGTTTATTTTTCTTAAGTAGGTAGATATGATATATATGTGTTTTAAAATGTATTGATTCTTTGATAACATTGTCTAGCATGGTAAATGGACAAATAGCTCAGTTATTACATACAACCATAATCTATTACATGGAATATCGTGTTATTAGGCGATTTATCAGTAAATTTTGGGGTTCTTCAGCTAAAATTATAGAAAATACTTTGCTTAACCGATTAAATTCTAATTATCATAAAGTCTGTCTGATATATATCTATATAGTCAAGTTGAATAATTTGTAACTGGAAAGTTTTTCTGTCTGCTAATCTATTTCCATAAAAGCCTCAAAACCACAACTCAAAAAGGCACATTCTCCAAAAAGTGCTTTCTTGATTAGACTATTCAATCTCATGTACTTACTGTCCTCTCAATGCTAATTTTCTAAATTTAGAGGTCATTAATTTATATTGGCTGATATATTTAATTTCAGTGTTATGTGACCTTATGTAAGCTTATGAAGGCACAACCTAGTACAGTTTTGTTTATACCGTAATTACCATTCCTTAAAAAATAAGTTTTAAAAAGACCAAACTAACTAAACAAACCAGAATTTATTATAGTGATCTAAAGGGACACTACACCTGTTTTTTTAAAACTCACCTGTTCTTCCAGGAAGGATTCTCAAATTTGGTCTAATTCTATCCTATCCCCAATCATTACTGATGCTTTTTTCCCTCAGTAAATTTTTACCACTATATTTACATGTGCATCAATGTTAAGATTCATAACACTTAAAGAAAAATGCTTCTCCATAAAATGAAATTAATTTTTAAAATCAGAAGTCTACATGTAATATTTTCTTCCCAGAGTCATATACTCCCAAACAGGACAAAAATAAGACTCATGCTTGAATTTTCACTTAGAAATGTAAAAAACTGTCTCTACAATGAACATACCTGATTCCAAACATACAGTGAACATAGTTAAATAAAGCTCTGCGCAGCATGGTTGTGTCAACATCCTCATGGGTGGCCATAGTGTTATATGTGAGATTGTAGACCATCCGAAACTTTTCATCAAGAAGATGTCCAATGTCAGAATAAAGTCTGTTCACCAGGGAGAACCCATGATTTTCCCAGGTATAGTCCTAAAAGAATAAAATGTATTTAATTACAAAGTGGGCATTTTCCATCTAAATTCTATGTATTATTAAATATAACTAATGAAGCAAGTAAGCGAGGCTATTTCTAATTTAGCTCTAGGTTTTCAGCTTTACTAAGGCTTTACCAATAACCCTTCACATCAGTTAGTAGATCAGAGTGTCTGGATGTTTCTTCATGGGGTATGGGATTTGCCATGTTAGTGATGAACTCTGGTCATCTCCTACACTCAGGTACTACGCACACTATCCTTTTATCTGGAAGGGCCCCAGGAGATCTTGGAATATTCCCATGTGAACAAACCTACCCAGTGACATGGACAGTTAGCAGATCATCTAAAATAACCATGAATGAGTTTGTCATAATTCAATCTTATACCCTCTTTAGGAGTCATATCACTGCTGTGGCTATTTCCTAGGGGTGAATATTAGAGTAGCCCTTAAGCCCATGACTACTGGTATATGATTTTATTCCAAGAAAAAGTGATGTCACTTGTTTTCCTCTCTGTTCCCCCTCAAAAAAATGGTATAAACATTATGCAAATACCACGTAATAATAGAAGTAAGTGAATAAAGCAGACTGTTTCCTTTTGTCTTCTTAGGGAGAAAAATGTTGAAATAATTATCCATCTATTGGGAACTCCAATTAGATTAGGCTGAAACTAGGTTAAATACAAAGATTTATAGATTCTATCAAAAATTGTTTAGTGCCAATTTTTAAAATTTAAACACTTAACAGTTAAAATGACAGTATGTTCTAGTTTCTCTGAATTAAAGACATATTATACCTGAGCTCGGAATGTTGGCAAATGCTCTTCTCCTCGTCTGGCAAAGTCTTCATACCCAAAACCAGGGTCTTCAATATATCGAGAGACATCAGATGTTATAATCATGTCATCCTCAAAATCTAAGGACAATAATGAACAATCTAGTGTTAAGGATACTGTACGTGGTTATGACAATAAAACGGAACTCCATTTTCTTCCACTTTTTAGCTTTTCCATGGATTTCTAAAGTGAAAACATGGACTCCGTGACTTTATATAAAATATCTACTGCTAAAGTTTTAAATATAATTTCATTACCAAATACTGGCAATCTTACCATTTAACTAGTTTTCCTAACTGTTAGTTTGACTAACTGAAATATCTAAACAGTAGTAGCAAAGGATCAATATGCTAGTTTTACTAATTTAGGAATGGAAGATAGCATAGGCCTATAAGTATAAAGCTTAACCAGTTTTTTTTTTTTTGAGACAGAGTCTTGCTCTGTCGCCCTGGCTGGAGTGCAGTGGCGCGATCTTAGCTCACTGCAACCTCTGCCTCCTGGGTTCAAGCGATTCTTCTGCCTCAGCCTCCCGAGTAGCTGGGACTACAGGTGTGTGCCACCATGCTCAGCTAATTTTTTGTATTTTTAGTAGAGACAGGGTTTTGCCATATTGGCCAGGCTGGTCTCGAACTCCTGACCTCGTGATCCACCCACCTTGGCCTCCCGAAGTGCAGCTTAACCATTTTTTTGGTTTTGTTTTTATCTCTCCAGGGGATGAAGTGGGATGAGAGGAAGGAGAAGAGATGAAGGTGAAAGACCACTCTGAGGTCAAGATAAACTTTGTTAAAATTACATGGTGTTTCATCTGGATGTATTCACAGTAAAAATTAGTTCAATATAGTTTATTTTTAGCTTGCAAAAAAGCATATAGGGAGAAAGATCAGAAAGGACACTCAGTGGGGAGGAGAGCAGAGTTTTTGATGTCGTTATCATTATTTTAATACACTTGAGAGCTAAGTAGGGGGGCTCAGTTTGTGAACATTCACTGAGCTTTATGCCTAAGATATGTGCACTTTTCTATGCATATGAAAACAAAAAGAACACAACATATGGAGTAAACAATGTCCTAATGAGACTGTGACTAGAATATTACCAAAGTGGCATTCAGGAAGATAGCAAGGCAATAATAATATTTTAAGAAAACTGATTTCTGCATACTTGATGACATTAACAATTTACCACTGAAAAAGTTTAAATATCCAATGCATATTAATTTATGGAAAATAATTCTATCTCACTTTTTATTTTAGGTTGGTCTGTCTTTACTATTTTTTCTGATTTTAACCATTAAAAGGGAATGAACAAGCTTCATTTACTAGCTTCTAGTCTAGAAAATGAACATATATTTCTCAAAATAAAAGAACAAACTAGCTATTTCCCTGAAAGGAACAATATTTTCATTATAAGTATTTTAGTATTAAATGTCATATTTCATAAATAATAAATAGTAGAACAGTATTATGGCATAATAAAAGACAAACTATAATTCTTAACTGAAAATTTTTGAGAGACTTAAAAAACAAGTGTAATTATGTTAATTCTTCCAAAAGAAAGACCTGGTAGTAATACTTCATTATCTTTAATCTTTGCTATTGCATGAACATCCTAACATTAAGTATTCTTTTCTCACAAGTTTTCAGCTGTCTTTAGGTCACTGCTGTGGACTAACTGGGTGCTTGATAATGGCAGGAAAGATTAAGTGCTCCGGTTACCCAATTTCAGATAAATCTTATTAAAATTCTTAACAAACTTCATTACATATAAAGAAAAGAGACGGTGTTTACTGAGTACTTACCATATACCAAGTACTATACTACACACTTACTATCTATTTTTTGTTTCATTAATACAGGAAGAAATATCCATTTAAGAAATAAATTAACTGTATCTTACTAACACCACTGTCAGTACTGTGTCAGGAAGAAATACAATGTGTAGATGTTTAAGTATAAGATGATGTGAAAAACTTCTAAACATTAAATGCTTAAATTGATCTGAAGTTTTTAAGTGATTTTTCAGTCCTGTGAAGAGAATTTTCAGGCTTATCCCCAGCCCAATCCCATAACCACTTTATTTTCTCCTTGTCCTCCAGCACTCTATTCAGGTCAACAGAAACACTTTTAAAATGGCATTTTCAATGCATTATCTCTTAACATTTACAAACCAGCTTATACTTTCCTTAATTCAGTTCATTACATAATAATATAAATGAAGCAAAAATTATAAAATGTAGTAGCAATCACTGAGGCTGCTATGAAAGGTAGTTTTATAGGTTGCAAAGTTTATGGTTTGCAAAGTAAAATAAAGCCAAAAACGGTAAGTAATAACTAAACTCTATAAAACAGTCTCTCTCTAGATGTGATTTTTCCTTTGACACTGCACAACCAAATGGTTTCATTTGGCAAATACTGATACTGGAGTTGACTATTACATAGTTGGTTCTTTAGTTTTTGTTTTGCTCATATACATTTTCAAGTTGTATGACTTTTAGACATTTTAAAATAAACAGTAAAAAGTAAGTAGTCAGCCAAATAAGAGAAGTGATCCTAGGAAAAATCTCTATGCATTAATTTTTAACTTAGGAGTCAATTAACACCTGTTTCCTAGACAATTTTTATTCACAGAAAGAAATGTACAAAGGTCCCTCAATCCACAAATACTTTTTTCCTAAATTTATCTTAAGAAGTTAAAATTAGCATTCTGATTATTAAATCTAAAACTCTAGCTTTAATTCTATCTAAACAAATATTTCAAAGTCTGTACTCAAAAGAAATAGTATTTTGTTCATTATCTGCATTATTCTGCCCCTAAGAAGTAGTTACTGACATAATACGGGAAACATTCTGTTGCAGTAATGGAATGCGTAACTGAAAATACAAAAAACAGTAAAAGCTAGTTAACCCTGTTACCAAGCTACAGAATATGACCCCTGTAGAATACTTTAAACATTTATTTTCTTCAAAAGACTTGAAAAACTATTCTTAGAATCCTTACATAGAATCTGGAATACTTTATAACGCTGGTCAAACCAAGACTTTTTTAATACCAAAAAAAACCCTTTTTATTTCTATTTTAAAACATGGTAAGTCTACACAAATGACTCAATTAGCTATTGTACTGAGTCTTTTTTCTATATTTTATTTGTGCAGCCAGCAAAGTTGGTACTGGCAATGATTAAGAGTGAAATATGTATTTTTATATATATGTGTGTATATATGTGAATATATATGTATGCGGAGGGGTATATGTATGTATACTGACATTATTTCCTTGAAATAGCCTCTTCTATTAAAATTAGAACATAATTTTTGGCTAAGGTCCAAGACTTTCTAGTCAAAATTCACTTTTGAAGGCTGTAGTCCCAGCTTAAAGTTCCAAGAAGGTAGAGACTGAAATCCAAAGTATATTTTTAATATTTCAAAAGACCTAAGAGAAATAAAACATTGATATTTTTCAAGCTTTAGTGATCTTAATGAAGCTCTTAAAAATTAATTTCTGAAAACACACAGATATTACTAACTTTAATATAAATGTTTACATTTTTAGACATTAGTTTACCTAGAAGGTTCATCATAGAGTCATTATTTTCCTTCAACCTCACCTCTTCTCTCTGGATGAATTTTATAATCAACTTTTAATGTCTGTTCCCAGTTATATGCTGATAACTTCTAAAATTTTGCCTTGACCTTAAAGCCCTCTCCTGATTTCCCATCTCTTCTACCCTTTGTATTCCAAGAGTGGCTTGCATACTAGCAGCACTGGCATTACTTGGAGGCTTGATAGAAATGTGGCCTCTCAGGCCCTACCCTAAACTGACTGATTCAACTTCTGCATCTCAACAAGATTCCCCAAGTGACTCATGAACACTGAAGTTTGAGAAGTGCTGTGCAAGACATTTCCAGACTGGTTGTTTTATAGACATCTCTACTCAAAATGTCCAAAATACGGTAGGTTACATATTTCTTAAGGTTAGCAAGATCCTTACAGTAGGGACTCTACCTACCTAACCAGATTTCTCTTTACACTACCTGTTTCATGATGTACGTCCTAACAACACAGAACCACTTGTTCTTGGACCCAGCATCCTGTTTCCTTACCATCGTGCCTTTGCTTGGGCCTGGATGCTGTTTACCATGTCCTCCTGTGCCCCTCAGTCATTACCTGACTTCCTCACACTCAACTGGGTTAAGATTTATCTTAGAGCCAAGGGCTGCAGGCATTCTTCCTCTAGGTTCCTCTTCTGCCTACACCCTTTGCCTATCAAGACTGGGTTCAGTGCCCTCTTCTAGGCTCCTATCTTTCACATTCTGCTATGAGTTACAATTATTTTTTTGCTACTAGAATGAGAGTGCCCTGAGAGCAGGAATCATGCCTTATTTAACCTTAAAACCTTAGTACCTAACACCATGCTGAAACTCTATCAGGTACTCAGTAAGTGTTTGCAGAGTGAATATTAAACCAATAATCCAAATACTAGGTTTCTTTGTTTGGAATTTCCTGCTGACTAGAGGCTCTGATTTTAGTGACAGTAATCTTCAATGGATTAAATTAATTGAAAGGATTAAAATGGTTACTCAATTTGGTAGATAAAATTTTTCATAAAAAAGATCATCAGGAGAAATGATAAAAAGGGTTCTTGTTCTTCCTGGTAAAACTGAGAACTACTGATCAATGTTTTATGTTTAACATTAACAAGTTACGGCTGAAACAATTCTCAAAATTTATGAGATTGATGAGTTTTAAGACAGGCAGTAGTTTTGAAGCCCTCTTTTAGATCAACAGAACTCTATTTTTAAAAAATATATTATGTGTGATCCCAGCTACTCAGGAGGCTGAGACAAGAGAACCGCTTGAACCTAGGAGACGGAGGTTGCAGTGAGCCAAGATCACGTCACTGAACTCCACCCTGGGTGACAGAGCAAGACTCTGTCTCAAAAAAAAAAAAAAAAAAAAGTTATGCACATAGATTACTTTTAAAGAGTTTAAACTTTGTATTGAGTCTATGCTATTTTAATATCATTTACTATGTGGTGTTCAATATCTTTTTAGTTGTAATTGAAAAGTTTATTTCCTATTTCAGTCCTTCGAGTATTAGAAAAACTGTTTTCAAGACTACAGCAAAGAATCTCAGCTTTTAACACAGGATGAATTCCTCCAAATTCAGTCTAAGAAAATGACCTAAATAATACATTTTTATAGAATTCCAAAGAAATGTAAATGCAAATGCAGTGTAATTTTAGAACTAATCTGGAAAAGCAGCAGTGTGAGAATAATCTTCCCACACACCCCCCACCTACAAAAAAGGCAGTTTTTTTTAAAATTTTATCTATTGAAACAATATTTCACTTATCATTTTTAAAAAATCACAAAAGTAGGATAAATTAAATATGTCTATCTAACTTTATAAGTAACTGATCTGCTTTAAATAACATTTTATCCAGGATAGAGTATGAACTACAAAGCTGAAAGTTTCTCTCAACTCAATCTGAAATACATTCAAGGATGAACCAGCCTGAGGGAAAGCAATAGCATGAGGGTAAGATAGAAGAGGAGAACTAAATAAGAGAAAGATGGTAGCAGAATCATTTTTACATATCCACATGGAAAACACTGAAGTTGCCCTGTCAGGGTTCTAAGAACAACTAAAAGGCAAAAAAGTGCAAAAAAGCACCTGAATGAGGAAATGAATGAAAAGTATCTCCAGAGACCACAAAAAGACTTTCTTTCTTCTCCTTTTCAAAACGAGTGCTCATTTCTTCTTGAGACGCCTCTTCATCTTCCCTTTCTTCTTGAAGTCTTTTCATCCTTTCCATTAAGGCCTCTAGCTCACTTAGAGAATCCACAATCTGGAAACAGATAAGATAATGTTGGGTGCTATTCATACTAAAAGTGTTCCAGTAAATATCTCCATCTCCAAATGTCACCTTACTATGTACAGCGGAACAGGCACAGTTATGAAGTTCTTAAGTCGGTTTTTCACCAATTTCAAAGGAAATCATGACAGATTCCAACATTTTCAGAAGTATGATTTTTTTTTTAGTTATAAATATAGAAGTTTATAAGTATATATGTGTGTGCATAAAATCTACAATTCTAGCATTTGGTATATATTAAATATTATAGTTTAGTTTAAAAAAATGAGGCAGCACAATTGTTTTACTTTTTGCTGTCATAAGGTATGTTTTCCATTGGTTGTTCCAGCATCTTATACATACAAGTATATTGTTTTGGGATCTACTGTCCAAAGGGTCTAACATTAAAAGCCTATGATCACTAGAATGCATCACTGTTTAGTCTTTATGATTTGCAGTAATATGTATTTGCTTTAAAAGCCTCTTTAAAATAAATCAGAACTTCAGGTACCAAATTTTTACAGTAATAAAAATTATGCAAAAATATTTTAAGTATATAATATCCTATCTAATTGGAGAAAAATTCTCTCTAGATATTTTTAATATTAGAAGTTTAAAGCAAAAATAGTAAAGAAAAATAGCTAAGAAAACTAACCCCAAAGTTGCTGCCTGAAAGAGATGCATTCTCTATGTTGTTGTCATTAGCAAGATCACAAACGCAGAAATTGTTGACTGATATTAGCCTGAATCCATTGGAGATTTCTGGATCTCTCTCTGGATTGATACCACTACCAAAAACAAAGCTTGCCAAAGCATGATAATGTGCCAGGAGGACCACAGCATGTACCAGTTCAGGCAGAGACCAATTATTTTCTCCAGTTTTGACAAGTTTCTGAAATAAGAAAGCAAATCAGAGCAAATATAAAAATTCTAGAATGCTACAAAGAAATTTCAATGAAAATCTACCAATTTTCATATATCCACTTAGAGTAATAAAACTTAAAACTCTCTTTTAAAAATGTTTCACATGTTAAAGATATGATTTTGGCCAATGCGCCATTAAAACTATCATACCTAACAATATAATTACATTGTAGTGTCTTCTAAATCCCTTATTATACAATAAATCTTCTGCTTCCAAATCATTTTTTATATAGTATGCTATTTTAATGAAATACTTTTAGAGAATCAAAGAACACTGGAGCTAGATAGGACTTTAAAGATTATCGAACAAAACCATTCATTTTAAGGTATATTGGAAACTTCATCTCACAAAATCACGAAAAACCCCAATTCAGCAAGTCAAGTTTCAGTTATCCTTTAGATACCTTCTAATGGAGAAAGAACCTGCAGCAGATGACAGAAATTGTAGAATACTACCTCACATCTGAATAAGAATTTTAAAAATTTCCAAGCACTTTTTCATATTCTGTATTTCACTTGACCCTCCAGCTGAATGATGGATCACAAATGAAGTCATTAAAAACAGTAATTCCTCCACTTTGTCCAAGAGTGAATTCCACCAATTAATCCATCAGGGATTCTTTCCCATCGGTGTTCATTTTCTCTCCCTTTCTCTCTCTCTATCTCTCACTGTGTGTGTGTGTGTGTGTGTGTGTGTGTGTGTGTGTGTGTGTGTGTGGTGTATGTAAGGGGGAATCTCATCCCTCTCTTTCCCTCCTTCCAAATCTAAAACTTTCATTTGGCTTACTTAATGGCTAAAACAAAACAAAACAAAACAAAATAAAAATAAAACTGCTTTCTTTTGCTTTACTACCCACTATTTAACTACACACCATATATAATTTAATGTATTACCAAAAGCTCAGGGAAAAGAAAAGAAAATCAGTCAAATTCTATCATCCTATGGCCAGGGGAGATAGGAAAAGATCTGTTAAAGAACAAAATTATAGCTAGATAGAAGGAATAAATTCTAGTGTTCCATACCACTGTAGGATGACTATAGTTAACAATAACATACAGTTTCAAATAGTTAGAAGGAAGATATTGAACATTCCCAACACAAAGAAATAATAAATGTTTGAGATGATGGGTATCCTAATTAATCTGGTCATTGTACATTATATATTATCAAAATATCACTATGTACCCCATGGATATGTACAATTATGTGTTAATTAAAAAATAAAATTTAAAAAGTGATCTTAAGACAAAAATATCATTATTATAATCTGTAATAATGTAAATAAAGAGGGTCATTATTGAATAATAAAAGAATATACACCAGAAAAATATACTTGCTTTACATCTGTATGTACCTAACCTTGTAGCCACAAAATATACTAAATGGTTGCAATATTGACTGAAAAAAATTCTACCACTCTAACTTTTACATATTTTATTTTTTATAAGCAATTATATAGTTACAACCACACATATCTATATTTTTCTGATTTTCAAATTTGACATTTTGACATGTTCATTTTTCATTAGGCCACAGTGCCATATTAATTTTTAAGCAAGGCCTCTCCTGTATATCAACAGATGTATATAACTACTTCTCCTTTCCTATACCATTATTCATATTCTAAATTTGTTTTGTTTATTTGCTTCTATAAACAGCATCTTCATACTATAGTTTTATTCTTATTTTAGAAACATTTCCTAATAGGATTTTTAGAACAAAGTGTATTAATATTTTTATGACTTTTGATAATACTGCCAAAGAGCTTTCCAAAAGGACTGTTAGAATTTACAATGCCCTCACCAATCTCTGCAGGATTATCATTAAACCTGAAAGGACAGCCAACACTCACCATCTCTAATTTCTTGCCTCACATTCATTTCTACTTTTAAAAATTCATTACAATCTGGTTTCTTTTTCAAGCAAACTCCAGAAGCTACATTTACTAATATTACACATGACCTTCCAAATGGCCAAATTTGACTATTTCTTTTTAGTCCTTATTTTATTTGATCTCTGCAGAATTTACATTGTTTACCTTCTCCCTTCCTGACATTAATCTCTCTTGACTTCAACAATTCCACATTTTGGGGAGGGAAGTACTCTTGCTACCCTGAGAAAGATCTTTCTCTATTGCTGTATTCCATCCACAATCTTCCTTCCTTGTACAGTATCTCCTTGGATGGGCCATTCATTCCTTCAACCTGACCTTTGCTTATCTGTAAACAACTATCCAATTTTACTTTTAACTCACACTTTATCTTGAGTTACAGACCTGTATTTCCTTTAGTAAGTGGACATCACTTTGTGGATGTCATTTTTAGTTGTTGTCAGCCTGTATATGCTCATGTCATGAAGAAGGACACCTTAGTCACTCTCTTGTCCCACCCACTTTCTCCATCCTCACATCCTGCCAGTCACCAAAGTCCTACTTACTCTCATGCAGAATCATTACTAGAATCTTATCCTTCCTATGTATCTCCCATGGCTTAAAAAAAAAAAAAAAATCACCTCTCAGGTGTAGTACTATGACTGGTCTACTGCTTCCAGTCTGTACAATCTGTAATTTATCTTCTAAATCACCTAATATATTTATATTACAACATGGCACAAAAACCTTTAATGATTCTCGATTCTCTATCATATTGATCTCCAAGCTCTTGTGATCAAATGTACTTCCAAATGTAACAATTGGGAAAGGTCCAACCCCAGATATTACGTATATTTATTTGTAAATTTATACACATAAAATATATTTTATATAGAATATTTATATATGTGTACCGTAATAAAAACATAAAATACACAAATACAAAAATTTAGAAGAATGAGATGAGAATATACACACATACACAAATATTCTGTTAATATTTTGGAAAATTTTCCTGTGTACCTCCTGAGTACCATAACATAACCCTGAAGACCACAACTTTCTGAGAATAAAATACAAATTATTTAATACAGTATTCACTGGGTCATACAATATGATCTCAATTCTTCCCAGTTCCCACCTTACATAAACATCGCTGCACTTCAATAATCTGAAACTGTTGGCTATTCTTCCAATATACCATAATATTAAATACTCTATTCTTTCTTTGAAATGCCCTGCTCTACTTGAAAACTCCCATTTATTCTTCAAGACCTAGCTCAAATGTTACCTCTTTCAGAAAATAAACTTTCTGGTCCCATTCTCTTTATTCATACATTCATACACTGTTGTACTGTGATTATTGTCATTACCCTGTTCTTCTTCTCCCCTAGACTCCAAGCAAATCTATGGGCAGGGTCTTTATCTTTACCCACCAAAGTATCTGGCACAAAGTAATTAAGACATGACATTAAAAACAATGATTAATTCCCCTATCTAGCTAACATATCATCAAATCAGAACATAAATCTTAAGACAGCATCATGCTTCACAGTTTCCCAGATTCAGCATCAAAATCTGAGAGTATGCAGATTGATAAATGCTATGTTTGGTTGAAAGGGCAAATAACAAAAATGTAGTCTAACAAGAGGATCCAAAAACCAAGGACATTTCTATGCATTAGGAACAGATATTTTAAATAACAAAGGTTTCCACTGATAATTTAGATGATAGGTCCCATCTATTGAATAGTTACCACGTGCCAAGAATAGTGCTAAGCATATTGAATAATGACCTCACCCTGTAGGCCTTTGATGGAAGCGCCTTCAGAAATACAAGTGCTCTTAGTCAATCACGACAACTCTATTTCTCGTCTAAGCTCTAGTTTTAAAAGGCATTTAAGCATTCACACACCAGCTGGCAAATCACTTTTTTATTTGCAAAATCATTTTTTGAGAATCTAAAACTTATGAAATGTTAGAACTATAAAAAAGTTTAAAACTCATTTAATCTAGCTCCCTCATTCCGTAGAAGGGAGAACAGAAGCCCATAGAAGTTAATTTACTAAAAGGACACAAACTTGTAACAGAGTACAGACTAGATCCCAGGCATCCTATCATGCTAGTGTATTTTCTTTAGTCTATCTACTACTTAAAAATAGAAACCAAATTTTCTCATAGCCATTCACCAAACTAGTTGTAGAAGATAATGATCACTTAAAGAGGAGAAGTATTCATTTGTGCTTAAATTAAACTGACTTTCTAAACTCATCTTTTCTACACATACTAAGACACTATTATTTATGTTCCAAGTTCCTAATATACACATATTTAAAATTAAGTCCTAAGCAAATTCCTTTTTATTTCAAAGAAACATTCAGTACCTGAATGTGCTCTTTTGTGATCAGCCAAGGTCGATGTGCTAGCAGCTTATTAATTTCATTAAGATTTTTCAGTCTTTGTGGCACATATTCCAAACCATTCAACCACTCAGCAATACCTCCAGTCTTTAAAAATTCATCCACATGCATGTTTATTAAGTAAGAACACTGATGTCTAGCTGCAGCCTAAAGCACAAAGAAAAAAATTCATTGATAAAAGAATCACAGTAGAGTTTCTTTCCACTATTTCTAAACAAATAATTCAGATGGAGCTAATGATTTTTATAGCCAGTACCTCTTTTCTTACAGAATCCTTTTTCTAAAACATCCATCATAATGATGTAATAGATTCAATACATGAAGCTGATACTTGTATAAGCAAATAATTGCCACATGAAGCCAATTATTTCCTTGTCTGGAAGTTGGTATAGCTTAAGCCATAGCCCACTTTCTAGCTATGAATAGGAAATACAGGTCCATTTCAATATGACAAATATACCTATTACATTCTACTTAAAACATAATAAAATCTCATTAACTTACATTCTAACAACTCAGGATTCATCCTAATTTGATTACTTCTCTTATCCTCTTTAAGATAAATGTGACTGCAGTCATATTTGTACACATCTTCCTACTCAGATGACATGGAAGCTCACTGACCCTTTTCTTCCTATGCAGTCAGAATCAGCCCTCAATTGACCTCTTTTTTCCTCAGGGCTGCTTCTCAGTAAAACAGTATTATTTTATTCTTTCTATTCTCTACATCTTATTTCTCCACATTTTACAAGCATTCTAAGTCTGCTTTCAGACTTAGTGTCATCAAAACCTTAAGCTAAAATTACAGCCTCAGTGAAGTTCATCATTCAATAAAACATGGAATGTTGCTTTTTGTTGTTGTGTAAAAGTTCAGTGAGACTATAAAAAAGACAATCAAATCAAACGTGGTCAAACTTAATCTCCTAACTCCTGGCTAGTTATGACAGCCCTGTCAGCCCAGTTTCTTCCCCAACTTCTCCAAATATATAGCACTTTCATTATGTTCTTGTTCTTCTTTTTCTCCATTAAAGTCCGACACACACAAAACTTTATAATTCTCCTCTCTGACCTCTATTGCCTGTGAATAACTAGTTAACCAGTTTGTAATCAGAACTATACTTAGAAGTGTTATAATTCACTCAAGAATTCTTCTCTCATTCAGATTCTCCATTAATGCTGACTGATACTTTCCTCTTACTTGGCCAAATTAGTGACATTCTTTATGTATAAAATTACTAAGAAAAATGTCACAAACAACTTGTGTTTGTATAAAAACAAGATATCAAGAGCAAAGACAAAACTTGTGGGGTATTATTTTGCATGCTATAAGCATCTTTATTTGTAAGAGATTAAATATGAAAAATGATTTTACTGAAAATTAAATGAGAAACATTCAGTGCATTAAGTGGCTTAACATATTCCAAATATACCCAAGACACTTGGTATCCAAAAGGCCATAGGCTTCTTCAGTTCTTATGTCCATAAATTATACTTAGCTCTATACACACACAAGGACACATGCCTATTTTGGAAGGGAGAAAGAATAAGTGAGGAAGGTGTTATGTGAACATAGGAAAATAAGCACCCACCATTATTGCAATATAGTGCCTGTATGGTAGAGGAAGGGGACCATCCATGCGCAACATGTAAAACTGGCTCCGCAAGAAAGACTCCAGGTACTGAGTGTGTAAACTCATGACCTGTGTGATGTTGTCCAGACGACCGGATGTAGAGTATTCTTCCACAAGAAAGTTAGTACGTTCATCCACTGTGTTTGCTTGGACAACCTTATAACCAAAAAAAACAAAACAAAATGACTATTGAGACATAAACACACCCTTGGTTTAAATAAATTATGCCACTATTGAAGCAAATGAATATTCATTTGATATTAACAGACACTGAAATTATGCAGTTGCTCATACTGGAAACAGAAATAAAAAAAGAAAGCACCATTCATTTTTGGCTCTGGTACCACAATTTATTAAACAACAAATGTTAAATTATCAAACATTATACACACAGCTATGAATGAAGAAAAGAAGCTTCCATCTGTTTTGCTAGGCATATTAGGTAGATTCTTCAGGGTCCATTTGCCTGGCCATTGTCACACCAATGTGTGGTAAAGCACAGGCAGTAGCATCTGATTACATACATTTACAATTTCATCTCATCAGCCTATGAAGATAAGCACATCATTTTTAGACTAATATTTTCAGTCTAATCCTTTGCTTGCTTTTGTGATTTAACATAAAAAAAACTTTCTGAAGTCTTTTCAGGAACAAAGGCATATATAATAAATTTTAGAAGTGTTAATTGAAAAATTAATGAGGACACCAGAATACTGTCATTCCTATTTTGAGCCTAACAATAATAATTACTAAAAACAAGGCAAGTTATTGAAATGGACATTCTCCATCCTAGGAAATCAAAAGAGTTTTCTCAAAAATAGATTATTTATATATAGCTTCACACACAATGACAGTTTGGGCATCACACCAAGAACTGGTTCTGAAGGTGTTAAGAGTTTATTAGCACCTTGTAGAAAGACTCAACCCTGTGGGAGTTAATGGACATGAGATGCATAATTCTAAGAGTGGTTCATTGTTTATTTGTATTTCAGAATTGGAATTCTAGACTTATTTTAGAGATAAGGAAACAGATTTAAGATTAAATTCAAGCTCATGCACTTTATTAATAGCAGAGTCTGGTCTAGAATCCAGATCCCCTAAAGCCCAGACTAATGGTCTTTCCAAACATCCACACTGCTATTAAGAAACTGTTTACTCTTCAGAGCTGGCTTCGCAGTCTGAAAAATAAGTACACATTATACAAAGGCACTACTAACTTAGGGAAATTTAATCCCAAAGGAAACATAATGTTTGAAAAGTATAAATTGTGAGGAAATGTTAACTACAATGGCGTAACTCATTATGGAGCCAAGTATACTTTGATTTGCTCACTTCCCCACCATTTTGTCAACTACAGGGACCAAGACAGTTAAAAATATAATGGGATCCAGATGAACCACATATAATTAGAAGTAGAATATTTGTTATTTTTGTTTTGCTTTCCCAGCATAAGTTTGTTCTAACTGGATGCTTAAGATACATTAATAGATTCATATGATGCAATAGATCCTAAAAACCAGATTATCCTCAAATATATACTGTGAAAAATGACTATGCTTCAGGAAGTCTTTATATGTAGTAGGCAACTTAGAGCAGCCCCAGGCTATCTGAGGAAAATAGGCATAAGCAGGATAGCTTCTCCAGTGCATGGTGCATCGTCCTCACCGAGATCAGCTATTGTCACTGAGCTCCCGAAATGTTACTGTCACTTTGGATCTGCACTTAGGTGGGAAGGTCACTAAAAAGGTGATCTGATGATGAAAGAACTGTTGACTCTGGCAATGATCAGGTATTATTCTATTTCTACTAGTCCCTTCTTTTAAGACAATAATTGGCACTCTGTAAATATTTGTGAAGCTGAAAAGAAAATATCTCCATGGTTTTCTGACATGTGAACAAGAAACTCAAAAGCAAAATTCATTCCTACTTTCATATTAACAGGAGATATTCTTTGATACAGTTAAGTTATTTTTAAATCTTACTTTTTATATTTTAAGACAGATAAACTTACTTCCTTCTCTGGAATAAAGGCACTTGGTCCTCTTGTCAAGGGTTGAGACACTCTGATTCTTTTATCCTATTTTTAAAAGAAAAGTTTTATGTATCAATGATGACTTTCTAAGAAATGTTAAATTTGTACACATTTATTGCTAAGGTACTAAAATAAAGAGAATAAATAATTAAATTATGTGAGACCAGAGTAAGTGTTGGGTTTCAGATCAAAGAAAACCCATAGGGCCACTGTATGGATGAGATAATGGGGCAAACACCTACCATAGTGCTAAGTGCAGCACAGCCTCCTCAAAATGTCATATCCCTTAGTCACAGTCTACACCATAAACTTTAAGCCCACATCTGACATGCCTGAAAACCATTAACCTCCATAATAAAATAGTGTTTTATAGTAGTATACTGTTAGACATCAATTTGAAAACTAAATAAAAGGTTAAATTCGAAGAAGATTACATAACAACCCTTCAAAGCAATTACCCAGTCTGCTTTTTTTCCCCTAAAATAGCAATAAGCATATCTAATATGAAGTTTTGAAACTTTAAGAAAAATGTAAAAATTAGAGAAGGAGAGGTTAGTTCAATATAAAGAATGGGGAACATAGTAATTCTTATTGTTCCACTTGCTATTCTATTGGTGGTATTAACAACTGACAGATTGCCAATGGTATGTCTGAATGCTGATTTTTTTTTAAGTTTTTAAAAATTTGTTAACTTTTTTAGATTGAAAAATATTTTAGTATCCTCATTAAGTGCGATACAAGCCATAAAAATTCGAATCAGAGAATAGGGTCCTTCTTCTCACCCTCCCTTTCTCCCCCCATTACTAGGTAACCTGAGTCTTTTTTGGTCCTTACAATCAAACAGCCTATCAAACACAAAATAGTTATTTATATCTCTTAAATCCTTTACTTCATTAGGAACCAGTTACAAAACAAATTGGTGAAAGTAGGCAGTCAGGCATTTAACACGATTTTTTTGAGAGCCTAATCAGATACTGTGATAGACTTTGAGGATACAGGGTGAGGAAAACAGATATGCTCTCTGCCCTCATGAGCTGTACACACAATCTTCATCAATTTTGGGAGTTCTATTGAAATAAATATATTAAACAATAATACTCTTAACCTGGTAAAGTTTCAGAAATAACTTTATATTTCTAGGTTATATTTACAAAATTATGACAAAGGCCTCAATCTCCTGGTCAAGTACACTGGAGGACTGCATGTTAAGAGGATGAAGTCAGGATTCCAATATTGGTATTTCTTGTCTATGTCAACCAAATCTAGACTTACCCAGAAAGATAATTTAAAGGAAAATAACAGGTTTCTTCCTTTTGCTAGTCTCCATAAGATATAGAAAAAAAAATTTCGAACACTCTCTGTATAACTCAATGAACTACAAGGTTAAAGTAAGCTATGATCGCACCACTGCACTCCAGCCCAGGTGACAGAGTGAGACCTCATCTCACAAAACCACCACAACAACAAACTTAACGAAGTAGTATATGAAAAGCAATTTTCTGGACAACTATTCATTTCAAATGAACAAAGCAGCTGGAAAAACTGATTATGAGGAAAAATTATGATTATGAGGTTTGAGGAAAAAAATTTCAACAGGGAGATAAATCGAAATCTTTAAATAATAAAAAATACATAAAATTTAGAGAACATGTAGGGGGAGCAAAATATAAACTCACGTTAAGATGGACAATGGGATTTTGGAAACAAAAAATGATTTATTAAATTTGTTGATAAAAATCACAATTTGATACAGTTAGCAACTAAATTTACCTTTAAATGTTTCATATTATTACTTTAAATATTTTCTGGAACAGGTGAGATTTAAATCTGAAAAAAATATTTTCATTATAAATGGAACTGAAAGGTACTGCATTTAAATGAATATAACATCCCTTAGTGTTTAGCAATTGAAAAGAAGCAACTTAAACTCAATTTCATTTGTGTCAACACTGATTTCTTCATTTATTTAGCAAACATTAATTGAGCATCTACAATGTGCTAGGCAGTGAGGACACAAATAAGAATTAGATTGGCAGAATGCATATAACCAGCTACGGCGTATGACATATACCATCGCAGATGCATACAAAAAGTGATGAAAGAAGACATCATTTTAGCAATTATCATTTACTTAAGTCATTTTCCTACTGTTGAACATTTTAGTTATATACAGTTTTCACTATTATAAGTAATCCTGTGATGAACACCTTCATATAAAGAGACTTGGGACATATTTTGTTGTGTTTACGATAGTTTCTTTAGGAAGATTCCCAGAAGTGGACTTACTATGGTTTGGGTTATAAATATCTTCAAACTTCTTGTTGCTTACTGCCAATGTGCTAACAAAAATGTCTTACCAATTTTATTTTCATCGGCTGAGAAAATGTCCACTTAACTCACTAATTTCAAAAGTAAAAAGCAGCATTCAAAAACGTGTTTGAAGCGTTTTATTGTATGCTTCTTTGTAGTAAAAAGTTCTTAAGCAGAGATGTGGATCAGATCTGTGTTTTTAATAGTGTTGAGGGTGATGTAGACCCTGGGCCTGAGAGGGAAAAATCCCAGCTGGGAAGCTCTGGTGATAGTCCAGGAGAGATAAAATATGGCCCGACCTAAAATATTTGTTTATATACCGAACATAAAAGAAAACTAACACAATTTTTAAGTTTTAACATCATGTATTCTTCTTCAATTATATTTTTTAATGTTGCCATTTTTGAAATGATCAGTCTAGTTTCTGCTTCTGCATAAGGAGAATCTTTTCTGGCAAGGACTCTACTACTGTATTGTCTCAGTTGGCTGCTCTGTCTATTCATAGGAAGGTGAAATACAATTTTAAAAATGATCACAGTTCATAAATTCTACTCTAAACACATTTCATTCTGAAAATTTGTTTCCACCCACTTTTCTATCTCTGCATGCTTTTAAAGTCAGTAAGATCAAATACAAAAGAAATAGGATAGTACTATATCCAAAAGATTGATTTTTTTTTTTTTAAGATAAGACCATAAGCTAGAGTTCTGGTCAAATTATAATGCCTTTCCTCCGCCTTTCTTTCAAATCCCAAATGTCCAAGGACCAAGTTCCTACTTCACTCATACTAACTTTTCTAAAGTCTCTAGACCTACGTTCCCCAACATGGTAAGCATCAGCCACATATGGCTAAATTTAAATGAATTAAAATTAAATAAAGTTAAAAACACAGTTTCTTAGCCACATTAACCACATTTCAGATGCTCGGCAGCCACATAGGACCACGTGTACTCTACAGGACAGCGCAGACATTTCCATCTTCCACTGCAGACAGTTCTACCGGACAGTGCTGCTCTGGACTCATTTGGTTTTGCTTTTTTAAAATTGCATTTTCAGACATTTTTATAACTTTTTGAAATGTTAAATGACTGCTCCACAGAGTTATTCATTTGATGGTCACACCTACTCAATCCCAGAACCAAGCATTTTAGTGTAATTGCAGAAATGCTCTGAACCAATCAACCTATTTGTCCTATTTGGGCAAATTAGGAAGAAAAAAAACTATCAGCCAGTTCCAAGGACCCTTGTCTCAATTTCTGCTTACATTACAGTCCCCAGAAAAGTATCAAGGGCACGCTCACTTTCCTTCCTTCTTTCTTTCTTGTGGTAATAAATAAATAACACCCAAGGTTTACCCTTTTAAATTAAGTGTACAACCCCAGTATTGTTAACTATATGCATGATGTTGTACAGAGGAGGTCTAGGACTTTTTCTTCTCACATAACTGAAATTTTATTGCCATTGAACAGCAACTCCCATTTCTCCCTACCCCTAGGTCTAGGAACCACCATTCTACCTTTTGCTTTTTATGTAAACACAGTCTTTAGATCACAGCTGAGATTCTCCCTATGTAATCCCCTGCTTTCTTACCTCTTTGCACAAGTCAAATCTACCTCCTTCTGGGCAACTCTCTTCTTTTTGGGCTTCCTTTTCTTTTCTTTTTTTTTTTTTTTTGAGACAGAGTTTCACTCTTGTTGCCCAGGCTGCAGTGCAATGGCACAATCTCAGCTCACTGCAACCTCTGCCTCCCGGGCTCAAGCGATTCTCCTGCCTCAGCCTCCCGAGTTGCTGAGCTTCCATAACACTTTACCACCCAACCCATTAACTTCTTTGATCATTTACTTTTATGTTTCCTAGATGTTCCTTGCAACTCCTTCCTTATAAATATTATTCTTTCAAGTCAATGTTCTCTTCTATGGCTACCATATTCTTTACACAAAACAAAATTCTACTCAAATTTGTTATGGTGACTATATTGTAGGGAAGACGATGGAGCAGATGAAGGAAAAAATAAGGGCACAGGATACGAAAATGAGCAACCCATGCAACTGCCTCCTGAATCTTTTTTATCTAGAGAACTCGCTAGCTCTTCTCCGCCCTCCAGTCTGGCTTTGGGTATTTTGTGACATAACCTGGATGCAACATTAGCACCTTAAAATCAACATGTTTAAAATGAATCTTCTATCTCAAACCAGCTGTTCCTCCTCACTTTCCTCTGTAGGTTATAAAATCACCATACATACCAGCAACCCTGGCTCAGATTCACAGTTATCTTGGACTCTTTATCCTAGGGGCCTGCATTCAAATGGTTGCTAAATCCTGTAACTGTCTTTTACCAACTAAATCTTTAAGTCATCCTTTCCACACCCCCTACTCAGTTGTAAGATTTCTCTCATGCCAAGAAACCTTTCCCCTCACAAGTGAGAATAATATCAATTCTAGACTGTAGCTTACCCCATTGTTGGGAAGCTTTGAGAAGATACCGCATAAAAATGTAAAACACACAAAGCATAATATAAAATATTTTTATTTTTCTTCTGCTTATTTTCCTCAATGTCAAAAAAAAAAAAAAAGAACCCAAAACGAAAACAGCTATATTTTCTCAACAGATGCTACTTGATTAGAAAAATTCAAGGATTGCTCTATGCTATAAGTGAAAATATGCAGTGGCTGCACTAATTTTGAGGAATAATATTGCTATGTTTTTCTCTAAGCATTTCAGCTAAAGCTACTATCTTACTTTTGGGAATAAATGAGTTTGATCATTTAGTCAAAGATCTAGTGAATCTTATACAATGGCTTTTAAATAATAAATCTTATTTATTTCTGTGAAAAACCAAAACAAGTCCTTGAGTTTCTTTCGCTGTCACTAGCCACATGTGCCTATTTAAATTTAAGCTGATTAACATTAAATAAAGTTAAGAATTTAGAGTTCAATTGTACTAGCCACATGTCAAGTGTTTAACAGCCACATGTGGCTAGTGGATACCATTCAGGACAATGCGAATCTAGGCTATTTCTACCATTGCCAAAAGTTCTATGGTATAGTGTTGCTTTGTAATATTGTTCAGCTGCTAGGATAATGCAAAGATATAAAATGGCTACAAAATCAGGAATAAACATAGCATAATAAACATGTACTAAAGTACTTTCATAGAAATAAAAGATTGATTTGAATGTTAAAACTGAAAAACCCAATAAAACCAACCAATTAATCTTAATAACAGAAAAGTTGAGAGATACCATTCTTCAGAGTCTTAATTTGATGACAACTTTGAAATCACTAACTAAAAAGAATGAAAGAAATTATCTAAAATGTTGACTTGAGTTTAAAAAAAGGAATGTAAAAGTACTTAAGAAATTTTAAATAGTAATAACTTTATCGTGATTTGTTTTCAGAATTAGCTATTTTTCATGAAATCCTATAATTTTAATCAAGAAAAAAACTAGTTATAAAATAGGAACTCACACTTTCTATGTGTCACTTGTATGTGCTCTAAGAGATTATTTTGTAAGGTTTATAATCTCAAGAATGTTACCATTAGGAAAATTTATTTTTACAGATACCTCATTATAGCTGAAAAAAGTTACGCTTGAAATTCATCAGTTGAGATTATGCCTATTAAGTAATTATCTGCTGGAAAACAAAACACTGAAAGGATGAGGATGAATTATATTTAGAAAATCACTTATTTTGACACTTAACAGCTAAGCAACTTATTAGATCCCTTTAAAGGATATAAATTGATCCCAACAGAAAATTAAGATACTTGTATTTGGAAGTTAGAAACTCTTAAAATTGTGAGTCTTTAGGAGTAATCAGCAAATTACTTGCCCCTAAAAAGACTGACTTCCAAAGAAAATTAATTGCAGCACTTTAAGCTATTAAATGCTTTAAAATAAATTATTAAAATTAATTTTCACTTATTTTTCAGTGTATTTTATTAAAAGTGGAAAAGCAAAATCATACATTTCTATCCACTAAAATGTAAATGTTGCTTATAATTTATCTCTGTAGGGGAGCAAAATGTGTAATTAATTTACATAGAAATACTTAAGGATCTTTTTTTTAAGGAAAATCTGTTCAACATATAAAACATTCTGGTAAAGTAAAATTTAACTCCACAGAGAACACTAACCCCACAATTTTTAAAGATATCCTTAGAAGATAATTTAATGGTGCCAACATTCTTTTTTAAATACACTACAATGACAAAATGTCTTAAATACAAAACACATGCCCCAAACAAAATTTTTAGGTACGAATGTAAGAAAGCCAATTGAAATGGTCTATACAAATAGTAAATTCAGTTTTTGACCCTCCTTTTATTGTTATAGATGTTCCATTTTGGCAGAAACACTGCAACAACAACAACGACAAAAAAGTAGGTATAAACAGGCAGCTCTATGCTATGAAATAATGCTGATGTAACCCTAGATGAGAAAACAACAGGTTTTAAATGAATTATAACGGATTGGTACTTTTACAGTAAACTTAACTTTAAAGGCCAGTCACTAACTGGAACATAAATTCAGTTCCCACTATCTCTAAAAGAAAAATCCAAGAGATAATTTTTAAAAATGTGACTTCTATACCATATTAAAATATGTATTGATGTTCACCAGATTATAATAACTGAGATCCAAGATTATTCCATAAGAAAAGATCTAAAAGCAGAAAATGGCAATGGCACCAGGGGTGAGAATGTTTTAAATTACACCAGCATCTCTTCTCTTACTTGAAGCTAGAGTGGTTCAAGGAACCACTGAGGATCAGAAGCCCAGCAGATATTACAGGGGTGTCAGAAATTCACTGACACTCCAAAGAGCACTCAAAATTCTCCTTCATAATGGGGAATCTCATCTAATCCTAAGGGCCTGAGACTTTAAGAGTGAACTCCTTTTAACTGAGCTATTAAAACCAAGGCTATCAAGTCCTTCCTGCAACAGTTTTACCTCTGGATAGAGTCATTTGAGGAACATAGGAAAGATCTTGTTACTAATAGTGTGAAATCTAGCCTTCTTCAACAATACATATGAAATTCGATTTTTAACTTGAATTCTCAAAACATTTCCACTCAAAAGTACTAGAGTTATCAACTGTATTATAGCAATTTCTTTACCTCCTCTCTCTCTACTGAATCATCAGTTCTTTGTAGGGCGGTCGGTCAGTACCTTGTTCATCTTTGACTACTTCAACCTTAGAATGGTGTACATGTGAGGTAAACTTCTGGTCTAGTTTTTACAGCTTTATGTAATAGTGGTCATTTGCATAGTAGTATGTTTTTCTATTTCACTTTTCCAAAAGAATGAGTTCTAAGAAATAATATGAGATATTATGATTAAGTAACTTTCATAAAAAAAAAATCTTGGTGTGCCATTTGGTAAGAACCATTACATAAATTTTACTTGTTTTACTAACTGTGAGCCCAAAGCTACACAAGCTCACCTAGTGAGTACTCTGGAAATGGCAGCCATGAGTACTGCTATTATTAGTGGAAACTGGCAGTAGTACTCATTGTAGTAGAAGCAGTTAAGTATTTAAAGATGAATGGATTCATTCCAGCACTGAAAGAATTGGAAGAATGAATGAAGAATTAAAAACGTATATCCACATAGCAAAGGGCAGCTAATGAGTTTAATTTGCAGTGCAGTATAACTGAGCTTCCAAATAAGCTTTTGCTTGGCCAGTAACAAAATCCCTTAATTTTTACTCATTAGAACACATAGTGAACTTGTTCTAAGTGCAAACAAGTTGTTATATTTATACATTGACTATGGAGTGACAAGCTTCTAAAAACAAAAGGACCACTTCAAGGTAGCTCTAGAACCCTGTATGACCCCAGAATTATACAAATCTACAAAGGTGGAAATAATTAAGAACAAATGCTATAGGACAGTCTTTAAGCTACACCATTAGCACTATACTACTAGTTAGTCCTTTAAACTGGAAATAAATCTAAAATCACATTCATGTCCAGTGTCACCCAGAGGCAAGTGACAAAGAACACACTTTTTCCACTTTCCATGTAATGCCACAGAGTGATGTAAATCAAAGCTACAGTCACCTGTAAAGTTAAAAGGTAATTGGTAGTTTTAAAATGACTTGTCTTTTCTGTGCTCTGTGGAAATTAGATATATTTGAACCAGTGTATTCCTGAGGATCTGCCTTCCCTTTTTCTCTCTATTGAAATGCTATCCATACTTCCCTTAAGCCCTGTCTCAAATACCAACTCCTTTGGTCTTCCTTCTCTCCTGCCAACTCCCAAGGTTTCCTATGAAAGCTTTAAATTTATATTTCTTAAGGTTCAGTTATATTGTTTCTCTCTCTTATAGCTATTAACATATATCATTATCTTATTGCTCCTTTCAGACTATAAGCTCCTTAAAGAGTAGAATCAATTTCTAACACAATATCTGTAGCATTACAGCTCAGCAAAGTGAAAATAATAGATTCTCATATATTTTTTGAATTGAATTAAGGAGATAGGAGTCTGGCTGTAGGCTCTTTCATCCATTTCTCCTCCTTGAACAGAACAAGAACATCCTGTGGATTTAAGGAAATTAATGTTCTCTGTATTCTTATTAGAAATACCAATAAGTTAAACCAATATATAAAACACAGTCCTAAACATCAATCTACTTACTGTCTTCCATGTGCCCTCTGGATGCCTATTTGTTTATTTTCTTAGTTATTAAAACAAACAGTATCTATAATTTCCCATAATTTGTACCACTTTCTTAAAAATCAGTAATATTCCATGCTGTGACACTAATCTTGGGCAACAAAGCCTCCTGTATAAGCTTTTAAGTGTTGAACACTTTTTATAGAGCTATAGAGATACAAAATATAGCTGTTGAATATGCTAGTAAAATTTTGAGCTATAGCACAAGAAAATGAGGAGAGAACTATAAATCTTAGTAGCTGAGATAATGCAAGTCCATAATAAGCACTTAACTATTGCTTCCTTAGTAACATAAAGACAATATGCTTTTCTACCACTAATTATAAGATCTGGTCCCAAAAAAGTATTAAGAAGGTCTTTACTTCTATATGAATAATTGTTTAAAAGTTTCTGTATTGTGTAACAATAAAACTTCACCTTGAATTTTAGAAAGCTTTACCTATTAAAATAATGTCTCAATTAGATGAAAAGAAACTAAAATTGGAAGTTTTAGAAAGTAAAATTCCCATTAGAGACAATTATATAACATTCTAATATTACTCAGTCGATGGTTGATAGTTACTAGTACTTTTGGAGAAACAAAAATATGCTGTGAATGTAGTTATCTTGGTGTATGAGGGACAAGTGGAGTTTTAAATCAAGCTTCCATATTCAGCATCTACCAGCTTGACTATAGTATTATAAAATCAAAAGGCTTTAGGTTATTCCAATGGAACAGAATGACAGGATGGTTTTCAGATTTTTCAAAACACAATGATAAAATACAAGTCACTTACTCAGCTTAGAGGAATCAGGGAAATATATTAAATGCATTTGATTTCTAGAGATTTACAAAACAAATTATAAGCATTTAGCCATATGGAAACCAGTACTTCTTTACGCACTGAGTCAGAAATAAGAACTCATGTTCTCATTTAAATTGAGAAAGTACCTTTCACACAGCCCCCCAGGATCACAACTGTGTAAATTCAAGTATATTTGATTTTATTTTGAATTACATTAAACTTCAGTTGTAATAAAACTTAAAAGAACAGAAGTCTTTATTCCTAGTTTTGAAAGGAGCAGTCACATTTTCATTTTTACCTGGAATAGAATGAACAGATCTGATCTGTATAGTAAATGCATGAAGACATCATTTCTGCTTTATTTTGTCAATCCTCAAGTCTATAAGCAGAAAACTACAAGATTGTGCTTTAATGTACACAGGTAAACTTAAAACCTACTGTAATCAGAATTAAAACCATTCTTATGCTCATTTAAGTAAACAGTTCACAAACGTCTTGATGTCAGGACCTCTTTATAGTCTTAAAAATTATTGACCCCTCTGCTTCTGGGCAAGGAGTGGTTTGCTGGTGTGGACATCTGTGTCTATGTGAAAAGTAGTGGTCATGTGGCTCAGATTTGTGCTATCCAGCAGTATGTCTCCAAATCCCTGGTAGCCTATTGCCAGAAATACGTAAATGAGGCTTCTAAGAAGCAGATCAAAGACATCCTCATCCAGTACGACTGGATCCTGCTGATAGCTGACCCCCTTGCTGCAAATTCAAAAAGTTAGGAGGCACTGCAGTTATATAAGAATATGTCCTTATATTTTAGAAATGTATACTAAAGTATACAGCAGGTAGAAGAAAATGAGTTTTGAGATTTAATTATTTCAGCAGCAATAATAGCAACACAGGATTGATGAAGTTAAGAGTGATAAAACCTTCCCAATATTAAATTTGGTCATGGGTTTATGAAGCTTCATTACACTATTTTTTCTGCTTTTGCGTTACTTGAAATTTTTATAATTTTTTAAGTGACTAGCAAGGTACCTGAGATAAATAGGCATTTAAATAAATGACAATTATTACAACAAAGTTTTTGTAATTTATAATACAAGTTAATGAAAAATAAATGTTATTAATAAACCTAAGATTGAAATTAAACACTGTAACTTTTAAAAAGAAGAATTATTAATTCATTTGATTATTTTTTTAAACCTCTGTTATGTACTGAATGTTCCTGTCCCCCCCCTCAAAATTCGTATGTTGAAATCCTAACCCCCAATGTGATGGTATTAGGAGGTGGGGCCTTTGGAAGGTAATTAGGTCATAAGAGTAGAATCTTCATGAATGGGATTAGTGCCCTTTATAAAAGAGACCCCAAGAGCTCCCTGGCCCTCTTCTGCCCTGTTGAGGACACAGTGCAAAGATAGCTGTTTATGAACTAGGAAGCAGACATTCATTAGACACAATTTGCTGGCACCCTGATCTAGGACTTCTCAGCTTGCGGAACTGTGAGAAATAAATATTCATTGTTTCTGCCACCCAGTCTTTGGTTTTTGTTATAGCAGCCTGCATGGACTAAGACAAGCTCATTTTCTGGAAAGTCTTGAACTAAGTACTTGAAAATACAAAGATAAATGAAGCACAAGTGCTGACTTCAAGGAAATGCCAGGTAAATAAGTATGGATGCACAATTACAATGTATGTTAGGAGCTATAACGGGAGTAACCAAAACAGGAAAGCCTCACTCTGCCTGCAAGAGTATGGACTAAAACAGCCTTCCAGATGAGATAAATCTTGGGAAGGAGCAGAAATTTGTCAGGATACGTAGAAAAGGATAGTTAAGTCTATGTGGATACAACAATACCAGTAAAAAGAAATATAAAATACAAAGACATGACACATCGAGGGAACTATGTTGTTCTACATGATTCCTGAAACTTTCTCAGGGAATAAGGCTAGAGACATAGGCAAGAGTCACATCATGAATGTCAGAGTAAAGAGCTTTGATATTATATAAACAATGGGCAATAGTAAAATAATTATATTTGTCTTTTAAGAAAATATTTCTGACATCCATTAGAAAGTAGAGTGGGGTGGGGGAGGCTGGGGAAATATGAGCTATTAGTAGGCTACTATATTATGTAGGAAAGAGAAGATTTGGGTTAATTAAGCAGTATGGATTAAAGAAAAGGAATTATATTGACAGCTAGTTAGCAGACTAAACAGAATTGAGTGACTAATGGAATATCAGGGTAAAATAGTGAGGAAAGTCTAGGGTTCCTCACAGAATTCTGAATTAGATGACTGTATGGATGAATAATGGTGACACCAACTGATATAAAAGCAATTCACACAATAAGGCAGCTGAAATTTAGGTTGATACTAGCAATCCAGGGATTATGCTTATAAGACAGTAATGTGGAAGGATATGGGTTTCAAGGAGATGAAAGCACTGTCAAGAATCAAGTGTTTCATTATTTTAATTTGCATTTAAAGACCCAAACTTTTATTATACATTACACTCTAATATTTAATAACAACTTTATACTAGGTTATCTCACCACCTGTTCACAAACTTCTCAGTGAGTCTAATTTGCTTTCCATTTCTACTACTACTACCTCAGTTTAGCCTATCATTTTATCCTTAGTTTATTGAGGGGGTGGAGTTGGGGGAAGGACAGTAGAGGAAGAAAGGCAAGATCTCCAACATTCTGGCCCCTAACCTAACTTTTCAACTTTTGTTTTCCAAGTGTTCCCTTATATGAACACTTCACATAAGCCTCAACACAGTTCCTAAATTCTGTATATTGACTCATTCAAACCCACAGCGAGTTTTCCCGTCTTCCAGATTCCCATTTATATGATGCCTGGTATCATTTTGTGAAAGAGAAGATAAACCTCATAAAAGTGGTTTATCTTCTCTTTCACTAATTTAATTATAAAAGAAGTGTTCTATCTTAATGACTAATTCAAATCAGGTGCCCAATAAATGTTGATTGATAACATACTATTTCTATATATTACTCAGCCTATTATACATTTAATGATATTATGAACTATTTTTGAACCATAACCACCTTAAAATGTTTTTTGGCATCCTGGATTTATGCCAGTCCTAAAATACACACACACACACACACACACACACACACACACACACACACTCTTATAATTTAATAGAGTTACTTCATAACATCCAAAGTTTCTCAATTCCTGTTTTGGCAAGAAAATTCTCAGAGTGCAGTTTTTGATAGAAAGAAAAAGCTATAATTATGCTATAATTAAGATCTGTGAAAGTAATTATCTTCTAATGATCACAAAGACTTCCTTTAATTTGTCATTCTCTTGATATCTCCTCCCATTTTCCAGATTAGTTTGCATACAGATGCTATTCAGGCCCTTTTCTGTTCTTTATCTTTCTTTTTTAAGTAACTTAACTAAGGATAACAGGATTTGTTATCCTTAGCCTGTACTTAAGGTTTCAGTGTTAGTGTACTAAATCAATAGTTTTTCAGTTAACTCAAAATAAACAGTCATTCATATCACCTAAACATTACTATTTTTTTTTTTTAGACGGAATCTTGCTCTGTTGCCCAGGCTGAAGTACAGTGGCATGATCTCAGCTCACTGTAACCTCCACCTCCCGGGTTCAAGCATTTCTTCTGCCTCAGCCTCCCGAGTAGCTGGGACTACAGAGGCATTTTTTTTTGTATTTCTAGTAGAGACGGGGTTTCACCATCTTGGCCAGGCTAGTCTTGAACTCCTGACCTCGTGATCCACCCGCCTCAGCCTCCCAAAGTGTTGGGATTACAGGCATGAACCACCACGCGCGGCCAACATTACTACTTTTTAAGTACTGAAAGGACATCTGTGAACACCAGAGGCCTGCACTAGGCATTCTAAGTTTAAAACACTTACTTCCAAATCAAAGAAATCAACCAACCAATCAGTATGTACCAATTAAATTCATTGTTAAGCAGCTTATGTAATAGCTCTTTTAAGAACAGAAAGTACAAAAACTGCCTAAAGGGGTTTACAAACTACTTGGTAAAATTAGATATAGACACCCAAAGAGTAATAAACAAAGTAATATATACCTGAATGCTAGAGGTAAGGTGATACGATGAAAAAGGTACTAAAACCTGAGTTATTTTCCCTTCTTAGCACTGAAAGGATCAGAGCTTTGATCATTTTTCAAGGAATTAATTTTCACATTTAAAAAATGAGAGACATTCCGTGGGGCCTTTTTGCATTAACATTCTATGGTTATACAGAATGCTGTGAAAGATTCTAAATGCTGGTAGAAAGTTTTCAGAAAGAAAATAAGCTAAATGCTTTAAAATTACTTTCCCATTATTTTGCTAGTTTAAAAAATGTTTTATTTTAAAAATAATTTTACTTAACCTATTAATAAACTGATACGTTCTGGATTTTTGGTAAAATGTTATAAAACCAAGATTAGAAAAAGGTCTATTGTAGATATATATCATATAATATCATATAATTTACATAATTTAATAGCAGAAGAACTGTAATTTTAAATATGTCTAAAATTCTCTTCAATGTTCTATACTATATGTTTTTTTTGTTTTGTTTTGTTTTGTTTTTTTTGTAGAGACTGGGTTTCATCATGTTGCCCAGGCTGGTCTCGAACTCAAGAGTTCAAGTGATCCACCTGCCTGGGCCTCCCACAGTGCTGGGATTATAGGCGTGAGCCACCACACCCAGCTAATTTATGTTCTTCATAAATGATCCAGTGAACAAAGCATACCATACTCTAAAAAAAAGAAATAATAATAATCTATTTATTGTCAGGATTATGGTATTCAATGATTTTCTTCTTTCCTTAGTTTTTTAAAAAAAATGAATCAAGGGATTATTTTAAGGTATTTTATGTAAATGGTGAGAGTAGTCTTTTAAATAATCTTTATATGAATAACCTTTATAATCTAGTAGTATGAATAACTTTTGAAAGTCCTCCAAAATAATGTATGGACTTGTCCTCACATATTTTTATTTTAGAAATATATTAAATAATTTTAGCTCCAGCACGAAGTATTACTGGTCCTGTATATATTAGTGAGGTTTAACTTTATGTAACTGTTTTGTAGAGAGTTCATATAATCATGACAGGACTTCAAATACAGCTGTTCCTTCCCAAGAATGTAATCTCCAAAAAATACATTTTTTTCTAAAAGAAGAGCTGCATGATCATCAGTGTGCGAAATGTGTTTATAACTATCAGAGCATATGGGTTGGCTGGTAGGTAGTAATTCCTCACTTAAATGGCTACCATTGACTTTCTTCACAGAATTGAAAGAAACTACTTTAAATTTCATATGGAACCAAAAAAAGCCCATATAGCCAAGATGATCCTAAGCAAAAAGAGCAAAGCTGGAGGCATCATGCTACCTGGCTTCAAACTATACTACAAGGCTACAGTAACAAAAACAGCATGGCACTGGTACTAAAACAGATATATAGACCAATGGAACAGAACAGAGGCCTCAGAAATAACGCCACACATCTACAACCATCTGATCTTTGACAAACCTGACAAAAACAAGCAATGAGGAAAGGATTCCCTATTTAATAAATGGCGTTGGGAAAACTGGCTAGCCATATGCAGAAAACTGAAACTGGACCCCTTCCTGATACCTTAAACAAAAATTAATTCAAGGTAGATTAAGGACTTAAACATAAGACCTAAAACCATAAAAACCCTAGAAGAAAAGCTAGGCAATACCATTCAGGACACAGGCATGGGCAAAGACTTCATGACTAAAACACCAAAAGCAATGGCAACAAAAGCCAAAATAGACAAATGGGATCTAATTAAACTAAAGAGCTTCTGCACAGCAAAAGAAACTATCATCAGAGTGAACAGGCAATCTACAGAATGGGAGAAAATTTTTGCAATCTATCCATCTGACAAAGGGCTAATATCCAGAATCTACAAGGAACTTAAACAAATGTACAAGAAAAAAACAACCTCAACAAAAAGTGGGCAAAGGATATGAACAGACACTTCTCAAAAGAAGACATTTATGTGGTCAACAAACATATGAAAAAAAAGCTCATCATCACTGGTCATTATAGAAATGCAAATCAAAAACACATGATTAAATCATGATCATTAAAAAGTCAGGAAACAACAGATGCTGGAAAGGATGTGGAGAAAATAGGAATGCTTTTACACTGTTGGTGGGAGTGTAAATTAGTTCATCTATTGTGGAAGACCGTGTGGCGATTCCTCAAGGATCTAGAACCAGAAATACCATTTGACCCAGCAATCCCATTAGTGGGTATATACTCAAAGGATTATAAATCATTCTACTCTAAAGACATATGCACATGTATGTTTACTGCAGCACTATTCACAATAGCAAAGACTTGGAACCAACCCAAATGCCTATCAATGATAGACTGGATAAAGAAAATGTGGCACATATACACTATGGAATACTATGCAGCCATAAAAAAGGATGTTTGGCCAGGCGTGGTGGCTCACACCTGTAATCTCAGCACTTTGGGAGGCTGAGGCGGGTGGATCTCCTGAGGTTAGAAGTTTGAGACCAGCCTGGCTAACATGGCGAAACCCCGTCTCTACTAAAAATACAAAAATCAGCCGGGTGTGGTGGTGTGCACCTGTAGTCCCAGCTACTCTGGAGGCTGAGGCAGAAGAATCGCTTGATTCCAGGAGGCGAAGGTTGCAGTGAGCCAAGAACACGCCATTGCACTCCAACCTGGGCAACAAGAGTGAAACTCCATCTCAAAAAAAAAAAAAAAAAAAAAAAAGAAGGATGAGTTCATGCCCTTTGCAGGGACATGGATGAAGCTGGAAACCATCATTCTCAGCAAACTAACACAGAAACAGAAAACCAAACACCGCATGTTCTTGCTCATAAGTGGGAGGTGAACAATGAGAACACATGGACACAGGGAGGGGAATATCATACACCGGAGCCTGTAGGGGGTTAGGGGAGGGATAGCATTAGGAGAAATACCTCAGGTAGATGACAGGTTGATGGATGCAGCAAACCACCATGGCACATGTATACCTATGTAACAAACCTGCACGTTCTTCTTGCACATGTATCCCAGAACTTAAAGTACAATTAAAATATATATGTATATGGCACTCTACCTTGAAAAAGAAAATTGCTTATGGAAGTGGTTACTGCAAGGCCTACAGCCTGTAAGTTATGAAGCAGCAGAAGGATGATCTGAAATAAGACGTAACAATGTAACACCAGATATGAATGGATGGAGCTCATAATACACTGGTGAACTAAGGTGGAGGGTAGATGTTTGAAGTATGTATCCTAATACACAAAATTCACTGATATGCTCAAATCATTCCCTAATACATCAATTAAAACAAATTTTCATTAAGTGTTACAGCAGAACTGTGAGCATTTTGCATTCTACCACTACATCACTTAAGCATAGCTCTTATTAAAACAGAAAGGAAGACTAAAGAAACTTATTATTCCAATATACTAGATTCAAGACTCTTTAATAAACAGTTTGTATTTTTAAAAAGTTAATTTGACAAAGTTCACAGGCAAGATAAAGGGAATGAGAAAAACCCAAACTTGGTAAATCTGCTTTTAATTAGGACATAGAGTTCAGTATAAATAATACTCTATAAACATTCTTCTTTATATCAAAGGTTTGGCCAGACTAAAAAAAAGGAAAAAACAAAAGCAGCTAGTTTACAATTACACTTGCATTATGTGAAAAATTCAGAGAAAAAGATACCCAGTTTTATCAAGAGAAATGATAAGATGCTCTGACACAATTATAGTGGAAAAGAATAATAAATATCCCAGATAATCATTAATTACTTCCTGGTGCATAGAAAAGTATTCCAGTTCATGCAATCATGTAAACAAGCCAATCATAGCTTCATGTAGAAACTTGGGGCATCTCACCCTCTTTATTCTAGAAAGCCTGTCTCTCACTGCCCCTCGTTGTTCATTCTGTTCCAGAATACAACTTCCAAGTGCACTGCATGGTGTGCAGTGTCCTCTTCCCCTGGACTGTGAGTATATGTGACTAATAAACCACTGTTGATCTCATCTGTCCAGTGTTAGGTATTATACGTTCAGCCACCCCCATGACCCAAGAGTGGCAGTCCCTCCCACAGCAGTGGGTGAATAGAAGGCTATTAAAATAGGCAGTGAGAATATTATATGAATAAATATCTGTAAAGCTCTTAAGAGTGTGACATCATCTATACAACTATAAAAGGCTCATGCCTATAATCCCAGCACTTTGGGAGGCCAAGGCGAGTGGGCCACGAGGTCAGGAGTTTGAGACCAGCCTGGCCAATATGGTGAAACCCCATCTCTACCAAAAAAAAATACAAAAATTGGCTGGGCATGGTGGCGCACGCCTGTAGTCCCAGCTACTCAGGAGGCTGAGGCAGGAGAATCACTTGAACCCGGGAGGCGGAGGTTGCAGTGAGTCGAGATCACACCACTGCACTCCAGCCTGGGTGACAGAGCAAAACTCCGTCTCAAAAAAAAAAAGTAACTGCTGTTATTAGAATTATGCAATACTGAGTTCCTTAGTATAACACAACTAGACAACATGTTTAGAAATTGTCTTACAAGCTAAAGAAAAGATTTACAGAATAGGCTGGGTTTAGAAAACTATCAATTGGCTCAAAGTAGGTCATTAATTCGATATTTTGTTCAACAAATGACCCATCCTATTAGAAATGGAAAATAAAATTGGAAAGTAAAGCCACTTAAGTAAAAAACACCCATTTATAAAATAACTGGTTATAGATACTCTATAATGTTATCTATAACACATTTTGCATTTTTGAGAATTCAAATATATATTTTTAAAAATCATTAAAAATAGTCCACTGAAACCACATACCTAAGCCTTAAACATAAGAACAAGTATTTAATATTTAACTACCCTTCTTTTCCATACAGTAATGTATTAAATTAACTGAAACATTATCCATGCTTTCACAAGTGAAGATACATAATAATCTATTAACCTCTACAAAAAGTCAAAAGGTATAGTTTTCCATTTTTAGCTATCTTTATAATTATTTAGAAAACATCTTTCTCTCTAACCACAGAGTAAGCTCTCTAAAACCTAGGACAGACTCCATACACCTTTTTTAAGTCTTCAAAAATCCTAGCATACATATTAATTAAATAATTCTAAAATTACATTATATTATAAAGTAGCCATCTTTTTCTATTTCAGTTCCTAATAGATAATATCTCTAGATTAACACACAGTGCTCAGATTATATATTTAAATTCCTGAAATTTATACAGTAAGTTTTATTATCTACCATATGGTATAAAAGTAGAGCAATACAATTGCAGCTATCTCTTGAATTCATAATTAAGGAAACAAACTAATATTCTGATGAAATATTAATAAGCACATCAGATTCCTAAAGAGAATGATTGATATGACAACATAAAAAAATATGCTATAGATAGGCACAGTACCTTCATTCATTTCCAGATTGTATTGATCTATGTCTACGCATCTGAGCCCTCATTAGCCTCCTACACACACATTATTATTCCCTTGGTGATTTACCCATAGCTACTTTGGATATCTATTAAACCTGTGAACATTTGTCTTTATCTCAATGCATCTTTAATTTGCCATCTCATTTGAATCTGCTCTCTGTACTATCCATCACTTAAATTATCTCTTCTTCTCTATTATTTCAAATCAGTAATAGCTTTTTAAACTTTTATAAAATATGTGTTTATTGCTAAAAACAAAGGACAATGAAGTAGATGGTAAAAATAATCTCCTGTAACCCCACCACCCAGAAATTAATACTGTTAATTTTGGATTCCTTATTTATCTTTTTTTAAATGAAAACAAAAATCTTCATAGTCCTAAAAAATAAAAAAAAACCTTGGTCTTTTCCAATCAATAACATATTGTGGATGTCTGTCCACTTCTATACATAGATCAGTTGCCCAGTATTCCACTGTATTTATGTCACATAATTTGTTTAACCAATTCCCTCATTAACAGTAACCTCAGAGTATTAAGCATTTACTGATGATATTTTAAAGATGAGAGCTGATTCAATTGAAAATGACCCCTATACTGAGATAAGATTTAGTCAAGGGGCAAACAACTTTACAAAGGAAAAAGACAAAGTAAGATTACCGATGACAATGTGGTCTTATTCTCTAGCTTCTAATATACAGCACTGTCATTGACCTTTACTGAAAGCTAGGTGAACAAGCAGCTAGAATCAAAGGGCTCTGCCTTTAAGTAAGTGTGGATGCAAAAGAGAACAAGGGAGGCAGGCTGCCAGTGGAGTCTTTTAAATAGGATAGGTGATCTGTAGACCCCAAATCGTAGGAGTTGGCTGAAAAAAAACTGGCATAATTTGTTAAGCTTTTATTTTTAATCGTTATTGCTTCCAGTGTTCCATGAGATAGCTCTGTTTAAATGTAATTATGAATGACCCATAATTTAGTCAGTATTTTTATTCTTTATGAGAGTAAAATTACAACCAGAGCTAGGCAACTCTTTTTTTCTCAGGCATGGACCCAATCCTATATCTAAGCTTCTCTAGTTCTCTATCAATCTGAAGATAATAATTATCATTCATTAATTCAGAGAAGGAATTCGGTAACATTTCAAAATACTCAAATAAAAAGTCCTATGTAAAAAAGAAAAAAGAAAAAAAGATAAAAGTTCTGCTACCTTAACCAGTCATGCAATAACTGACAGGAAATATTCTCATACCTTACTTTTGCCATACTGCTATTTTAGACCATGAAAATGCTTTTTAAATTTTCTTTTTTCATGAGATTCAAAGTCAAAAGCTGACTGTCCATTGCCATGGAGACAGTTCTATTTAAGGTACTATATTAGCCCTTTCCTCACAGAAGGATAGAAAAATGGTCACTAGAAAAGCATCACCTACCATGGTTTAGAATTAAGTAATTACATATGCTTCTGGGGCAGCCCATGCGTAAGGAACTTTGGAATTAAAGTGGGGTAATTTAATACAGCCTGTTATTCACATAAGTAACATCAATACAGGTTAAATTGTAGTATTAACTTAGAGGTAATATGAGGAAAACACCCATTACCTCAAAATTAGATACAACCAAAGAACAAAATAAAATGACTTATAGTTACTGTCCTAGATAGAACTGCAACTAACTGAAACAATCTTTGCTTTTCAAAGAGCAATCTTCTATTTACCTATGGTCCATATATAATACACATGGCTTGGGTTTCTTCTGTTTCAATTTGTAGGCCTCCTGTCTCCAAATGGAGACTTTCTGACACTCCATTTTTAATTGAAGAGTAAGCTACTATAGGTGAAAGAGAACATCCATAATTTATATATATATATGTATTTAATATTGTCCAAGAGATTCAAAAGAATTTTTAAAAAACAACATATCAATCCCAAATCTGTCATCAGGACAAATGTTATCATTTCTTCTTTGATTAAAAAAAGTTTTCTTTATGAAAGCTTAAAATATCAATCTTCCTTGAAATAAAAATAATCTAAGATGGAAAGACCTACCAGAGTCTACCAATGTTAGTGCCAAAACGCTTATTTTTATGTAAGCAAGCACGTCCAAGAGATATTTTCACTTGATTTGTCGTAAACAAGCTTTCAAAACCCAATTCCTTTTTCCCCAAGCTAAAGTTCAGAATGTAGCAACAATAAAATAAGACATATTTTTCTTACAGTGAGAGCATATTATATCTGAAGGTCTCAAATCTGCATTTTGTAAAATAGGCAAAAGGAATCTTCCTGATTCTAGCACTGGCGCTGCCAATATCATCTCAAACAACTGATAATGCATGTTGAAACTGAAGTGGATGTAAACAATTTTCATTTGTGGAAGCATTTGGTTAATACTACTAGACTGGTGGTACTAAATTCTTAGAGTATTAGAATCACCTGGAAGGCCTGTTACACTACAGATGGTTGGGTCCCATCCCCAGAATTTCAAAAGATTCAGCAGGTCTAGGGGTGGGGGGTGGGGTAATAATCTAACAAACTCCCAGTTGATACTGATGCTGCTGGTTCTAGAACCACACTGCAGAACCATCGTCCTAGACATGAAACAAACTGATTTGCCTACGGAATTGTTATTCTTTGCTGGTTAATACTTCAACCTTTCTCAAAATGAAACATTTTAAATAAAACGATAGCTACGGTCTGGGGGAGGGGAAGTAGGAACAGTCAATCATAGCAATTTGGGAAAGATATTAATTCAATGAAGACCGAGTTGATTCCTAAAAATTGTTATCTAGTTTGGTGTACTGCTGAATTACAATGACATTCAGGAAAGTAAATACCTGACATGTAGTAAACGGTCTGTGTCCCCTATGAATTCAACTGACCTTGACAAACAAATATCTATCATAAAATAATGAAGAGGAACTTAGTATTTGAATGTGAATTTTTCCTAGAAATAACTGTAAACCAATTATGTGTCACACATGCTCTAGAAAAGGTATGTATCAAGTTTCTGTGAATCCAATCTAGCTTTTCCACTGATTTATGTCTTCATTTTAGAAATCCTTGGCCGGGCGCGGTGGCTCACGCCTGTAGTCCCAGCACTTTGGGAGGCCGAGGCGGGCGGATCACGAGGTCAGGAGATCGAGACCATCCTGGCTAAAACGGTGAAACCCCGTCTCTACTAAAAATACAAAAAATTAGCCGGGCATGGTGGTGGGCGCCTGTAGTCCCAGCTACTTGGGAGGCTGAGGCAGGAGAATGGCGTGAACTCGGGAGGCGGAGCTTGCAGTGAGCCGAGATCCCGCCACTGCACTCCAGCCTGGGCAACAGAGAGAGACTCCATCTCAAAAAAAAAAAAGAAAAAAAAAAAAAAAGAAATCCTTTATCTTAAATTGATTGATATACAATAGACAGCACACTGCATTTTAGTTTCTAAGTGCTCTACACCTTCTGTCAAATAGTTGATGATCCATAAACAATAAAATGTGTTAAGATGACTATAAAGGTAGAACAAAAAGAAATGGCCTTTTATAGTAACAATGGACTCCTCTTTGACAGTCATGTAATGTATACCTATCACTGAAAAGGAAATGGACAGGTTAGGACTGCTAGAGGACATATTACTTCATTTTTGTGATATCATGGCACTTTTTATGAATGATAACACAGTAGTTTATTAAATGCAAAATTTACTAAATATACACTGTCACAATGAGTTCAAATTTTAGTAGCACTCTAAAATGAAAAATGAAATGCTTCAGCACATTGATGGCAACATTCTAGGTAATTTCTTATTCAGTGTTTTTAAAAATCCAATTGTTTCTATAAATAATCTATATCTAACTACAAATGGAGTTATATCATTGAGGTGCTTATTATCAATTCATTCCATTTTCCACTGTGACAAATATGTTTTCCACAACAGCTCTAATAAAAATCTAATAATTAGTAAAGGAAGTAAGATAAAATCACATAGATATTAGCAATAATTAGTAAAGGAGGCAAGATAAAAAAAAAAAACCACACAGATGTCTTGTAGTTTAAAAGTTTAACATCAATTAAGAGTAAAATACTGGCCAGGCATAGTGGCTCACACCTGTAATCCCAGCACTTTGGGAGGCTGAGGCAGGTGGATTATGAGGTCAGGAGTTCGAGACCAGCCTGACTAATATGGTGAAACCCTGTCTCTACTAAAAATACAAAAACTAGCTGGGTGTGGTGGTGCATGCCTGTACTCCCAGCTTCTCAGGAGGCTGAGGCAGGAGAATCGCTTGAACCCTGGAGGTGGGGGTTGCAGTGAGCCACGATCATGTCACTGCACTCCAGCCTGGACAACAGAGCAAGACTCTGTCTCAAAAAAAAAAAAAAAAGTAAAATATTTTCCACTACTATATGCTTATACATCATGTGAATTTGTTTTTTAAAACCACATGTGTTTAGACTAGTGATACTTCACAAGATAAAAGACAGATAAGAAAGGTCACCCATATCAATGTATGCTTTTTGTGCATTTAATTCTCCCATATGTAATCATAAAACTGCACAACTATAACAAGAGTTAGTCAGGGGACTCCCTGTCAAATATAATTTGAAGCATACATTATTAAACTACTTAACTGTCAGCCACTGTAGCTCATGCCAGTAATCCCAGCACTTTGGGAGGCCAAGGTGGGTGGATCACTTGAGGTCAGGAGTTCAAGACCAGCCTCGCCAACATGGTGAAATCCCCGTCTCTACTAAAAATACAAAAATTAGCCGGGCACGGTGGTGGGCACCTGTAATCCCAGCTACTTGGGAGGCTGAGGCAGGAGAATTGCTTGAACCCGGGAGGTGGAGGTTGCAGTGAGCTGAGATGGTGTTGCTGCACTCCAGCCTGGGCGACAAGAGCCAGACTCCGTTTAAAAAAAAAAAAAAAAAGCTTAATTGTCAATCCTCATTTCAAAGGAAGAATTCTGACTGAATAGGGCTTGAATCTTGCACACTGCACTAGTTATGTCATGGCTTGATCTGGGTATCATTAGATCCCAACCATGGAACGCATCATATACTGATGCTTTCACAAATGTGCAACCTAGATAATGGTGCCATATTACTTACATTGATTAAATGCTCAGTGTGCAATTTTAAAAGATTATCCCTATAAAAAGTATTCTGAATGACTTGATTTTCCATTTTTAAATTACTGACATCCACCACTTCTGCTCATCAGAGGAAGGGTTTGTTTCTGCTGAATAATCTTCCTCTCACAACACTCTCCAACACCAACACTCACATATTCCTGCATCAGGTACCACCTTTGTCCCCTCTGGAGTAAGTGTAGGTTCATTTATTACATGACACATTTCTTGAGCACCACTATGCTAATGTTGGTTGGGGAAGGTAGGTAGAGAATTAGGATTTTAAGACAATAAGACAATTAGTTCAAAGCTTTACAATTACTTACTATAGAAGAACTACTGTGCTTATGTGTATGGCCTGTAAGCCCAAAATATTATTACCCAGCCCTTTACAGAAAGTTTACCAAATCCTACTCTTGACTGTAGTGTCAACTGGGAGGCATAACCTTGAAGATCTCTAAGAGACCCAGGCATAAGTTGCAAGTCATCACGCTACGTAGGTAAAAACTCTGATGTTCTCATTCTAAGTCTGTTCAGTGCCTAACAGGTGAGAGCACTTAATGTTTCCAAAATACACAAACTAATTAAAGATATTCATATAGTATTCAGTGATTTATAAATGTTTATAGCCTTAACATTTCTTGCCTAAGAATCTGAAGGCCAGGAAAAGGTAATAGCATCTGACATAGAATTCTGATAAGCATAAAATAGCAATCTGTATAATTTTACAAAAAAAACTGTTTCTACATTCCCATCTACCTAAACATAGATTTACCCTCTTTTTTTTTTTTTTTTTTTTTGAGACAGCATCTCGCTCTGTCGCCCAGGCTGGAGTGCAATGGCGCGATCTCAGCTTACTGCAAGCTCCGCCTCCCGGGTTCACGGCATTCTCCTGACTCGGCCTCCAGCGTAGCTGGGACTACAGGCGCCCACCACCAAGCCCGCTAATTTTTTGCATTTTGTTTAGTGGAGATGGGGTTTTACCGTGTTAGCCAGGATGGTCTCGTTCTCCTGACCTCGTGATCCGCCCGCCTCGGCCTCCCAAAGTGCTGGGATTACAGGCGTGAGCCGCCGCACCCGGCCATATTTACCCTTATTTTTAAGAGCACCAAATACTAAATAGGTTTCTTGTATAATCAAAAGAATACTTACTAGTTTATGCACATTTTGAGTGTTCAATAATGCACTTTGCCTAAAGAATATTACAAACTAGAGCTTTAGTTATTTTTAATAGCTACACAATATAAAAATTAATCTCAGGAGGTTAATTATATAGGTCATACTCTATTAAAACAATAAAACTACAACACAAATAGGTATTCCACACCCCAACTGAGAATTCATTAATTTCAAGTAACGTACAAAACAGTTTTGATAAAATAATTTGAACATTACATGGAATTTAGTGCTAAGGTATCTTACTTTAGCTTAAATGCCTTTTATTTTTATTAGTTTTAAGTTTTTTTTTCTTTACTGGAGCACATTTGCTGGACTGACTTGTTTTACTTTACTAATTTACACCAAAAAATTAAGATATACATATTAAATGTCTAATTTTATATCAAAGAGGAACTTTCTGGGTAGGTAAAACATGATTTCTTTTTCATCTGTGTTACCTTAAAGACAAAAATAAATAATAACAAATATGCCACCCCACTTAAAATTCACCATGCTGAGCCCAAACCTTGGTCAATACAAAGTGAACAAGGATAAGCCAGTTTGATATTGGCCATCAGTTGTCCCAACACCCTGCTTATTATTACCCAACTTTATCTCTTTCTTCATTCAACTCCTACCTAAATATTGGATGGAACTTCATTAACACAGTTTTCCTATTAGACACAGCACAACCGACAAGCACATCCTTGGAGTAAACATATTGAAAAATATTTTTTTTTTTGCCAAAATCATTACCTTTTTAATGCTGAGTAAACAAGTTAGGAAAGACAGTCTCTAGTGAAGCGGTTACTTGAATTTCAGGATATATGTTCCTCTGGAAACGTTATACCCAGTGGTTAGGTTTCTAGGCTAATTAACAAATGCCTGAACATACCTGTAATATTAACAGTACTCTGGAACTTAACCACATATCTTACTGTGTTTCTATGGAAAACTCTCAGAATAAGAGTTCTAACTTAAAATAAATAGCAGAACCACATCTCGCCATAAATCCCTCTCCCCAGCACAAACCCTTTGTTAAGACTGGAAACTCTTCCAGAGATGTAGATTCTGTAGACTATAGGGGATGTAGGTAGGGGAATGATAACAGTCCAAGGGTTTCTTTGCTTCCTTTAATCAAAATTTTTGTCTCAACATATAATGAAAGCCAAATGAGTGGTGGAAATGAGCATTCATGTTATTATTTATCTTCATAAATAATAGTTTTACTGAAAAAAATTTACCAAAAAGTAAGAATATTTCTTAGAGGTCCAATTCGCGAGACACATACTTAAAATGTTTCCAGATAATATCTTTTGTCACAGACACTAGAGCAGTATTAAATGATTCAATGTTATTGAACTAATTAATGACTGGTTGGCAGGAGGGGGAGGGCAAAGTATGCTGGTAAGTTAGGAAAAAAAAATCCTGAGGTTAAGAAAGAATGGTCACATAATTAGGATTTACACAGATAAAAGAGATAACTATATAGGATAAAACTGTTCAATAAGAACTTTAATGTGTTTCTCAATAGATTTAATCTTATAAAATGATTTTTTGCATTTCTAATGTAAAAATAAGATACAATACAAATGAATTTGAAATCACTCCTATAAACTCTTGAATAATCACATCCTATTAAGTTTCATTAGTTTTATTTACACTTTATAACAGCCTTTCACACAAAGAAAAACATGAAATATAAGACAAGGCAGTGTTTATACCTGCATAATGAGCCAGGCTTTGGAGTTCAACCTGGTTGCAAATCCTAAGTCTGTCACTTACTGGTAATATAACCTTTAAGAAGTGAAGAATGCCCTGTGAGCCCTAGTTTCTTTATCCATAAACTGTGAGTAATAATTCATCGCAGGTTAATTGTGATGCTTGAATGTGATAACATATGTAGAGTTTAAATGCTTAGCACATAAGTAGTATTCAGTAGAAGCTATTGTCATTATAGATATTATAAAATGTGTTTTGAAAGTAAGAGTCACAGCCGGGCTGGGTGGCTCGTGCCTTTAATCCTAGCACTTTGGGAGGCCAAGGCAGGCAGATCACTTGAGGTCAGGAGTTCGAAGCCAGCGTGGCCAACATGGTGAAACCCCGTCTCTACAAAAAATATAAAAAATTAGCTGGGTATGGTGGTGGGTGCTTGTAATCCCAGCTACTTAGGAGGCTGAGGCAGGAGAATCGCTTGAACCCGGGAGGCGGTGGTTTCACTGAGCCAAGATGGCGCCACTGCACTCCAGCCTGGGTGACAGAGTGAGACTCCAAAAAAAAAAGGAAGTAAGAGTCACAGTTTCAGATAATTACAATGATCTTCCACAAAACCCAGCTTTAGTTACCCATGAGGTAAATGTGATCTTTCTAATATTTAGCATATATATTGATAACTGAAAAGACAAATTTCATTTCTTCAACTGACTAGTTCCATCTTCTCAGTATAGGAAGATGTAAAAATAAAATATGTATCTAGAAAGAAGAACATATCCTTCCACTACAAGTAGCTATTAATTAGCAGAGAATAAAAAGAAAATAAGTCTTACTAAAATACATATTTTATACTTGTTAAGAAGTCTCTGATGGTACAAGAAATAATACGGCCTTAAATCAGCCATTTTAATTTTTGGTCATATTTATTCACATATGATATTTTCAATACATTCTTTGTAAAACATAAGGTTAAATGCCTGTCATACCTTATTAGAAGTGTTGGGCAGCATAATGCAAGATATTTCAACCAGCCTAAATAGGAATAAAATATCTCATAATATTCATGTGTCCCTCAAGGGGCAGTCAATATACTGGCCCATAGACCAATAAATGACTCACTTCTGCGTGGATCTAAAAAGTAAAGGCTAGTTATGGGGTAGTCTGGGCCTATGAACAATTCTATTTCAAATTTACCAAGGGAGTGCCTGCTGGCCAAGGGGTTCATAGCTGGTTTGGGAGACTTTCAAAGTAAAGGGCTTGTGAGGAAGTGGAAGACTGAAAGGCTAAGCCAGAATTCTAGAGTCAAAACTGGAACCCTAGGCTCACCTAGAATCTTGGAAGTTTGAAGGTATACCCTTAACTACTCAAAAACAGCCATCCCTTATAAAACACTAACAGATTCCAAGAAGTGGAGCATGTGTCCATTTAAAAGCAATGGCCACTTTACATTTCTGAGAAAGGCCAGCAGCTAAGGCTGGTGTCTTGACCCTGTCTCTTGGTGGGACATTCTTGCTCCCTATTAGAATTTCCTTCAAAAGTGATGATATTTAATTGAAATATTTTCATGGCCACAAGGATAATGAAATGCTCGAAAGCAAAAACAAAGAAACAAAGAAGTCCAGGCACAAATGCATTATAAGATTATTTTCTCAAATAATCTTTGCTATTGCACTTCTGAAAGTGTTTCTTATAAAGAGAACAAAATAAAGCCATAGAAGAACAGACATATTTTGGAAAATGAGAAAAGTTTTCATATTATTGGCTATATTGTATCTAATATAAATATACTACTGATATTTTTAAAATAAATGTCTTTAAATCAAAATCCTATTTTGCTAACAATAAACTCTCCATTAACTAGATCCCAAATAAGAGGCAACCTAGTAGGAGAAAGGTTTATGTAATTGTTAATTATAATTCAGTATGCTAAGTGCAATAAATGCAGTGCAATTGAATATCATGGCAGTCCAGAGGATAGAAGGAGAAGGAAGAGTTGGAAGATTAGAAAAGGCTTTTTGGAAATGTCGTCAGACTTTTGAAGAACAGTCTTTCTTCAGATTTTTGAAAGACAAATAGGAATTCTATATGGTAACTACAGGTTTAGGTTATATAGGATATATATTTTAAATTGTTTAAATCACACAGGTTTAAGGAAACTGTTATGGGGACACATGACTAAACGTTTTGACTTGGTAGTGTATTTACTTTATATAGTGAATTCCACTTCCTCCCCGCCATCTGTACTCCTACCACAGTGATGTCTAAGGGACAAGTTAGATACAGCTAGTCACTTATAGGTCTCAGCAGATCTAATCAGACAGAGTAAATAGGCCCTTATGCTTATGCCTTCAAGACCACACTGAATGCAGGTAGTTGCTGGCTGTCATAGCTTTTGTGTATAGTGTACCACAATCCCCCCAACCCCACCCCCGCAAACCCACCACACACACACAATAGAAAGTCCACTATACCTTTGAGGATTTATTTAGGAACTCCCACATTCAAACAATGCTTGTTATCAGTACCCTGCATTAATAGTTCTGTCTCTTCTCTCTCTTTTCTTGTTCCTTCTGCTGCTGCTTCCCCCACACTTCTCAGCTTTCAAGCCAAACAGACTAACCTTGCTACTCAGGGTCCTTCTTTCCCTTGTAGCCAAGAACCAATCAATTTGGTATAATGGACATAATTTTTGGATTTGACCTTTCTTCAGCTGTTGCACAGTACTAAAGGAGAATATTCCTTCAAAGTGAAGGAACTTTGTTTTTTTCCCTCCCTGGTTTATATCAGAAAAAAGATGCTCATGAAAATTAGGGAAAGATCATTTCTAGTTAGCCAGTTACTGTGGTAATAGAGAAGCTTCTAGGATGTCACTGAAAAGGTGGTAGACAGCATCTGCAAGTGATACACACACCAAACAGAGGTAACTGAGTTGACTTTATCAATATTTTCTGTCAGTGGTATTAAGCTTTTTATTTTCCCCATAGAATTACACCATATACTGGCATCAGTAGTAACTCTGGCTCAGTAGTTCGTAAATGTCTTGGTCCTGGAACCCCTTCATAAATGTCTTGGTCCTGGAACCCCTTCGCACTCTTAAAAATTATTGGGGACCCCAAAGAGCCTTTGTTTATGTGTGGGTTATAACTGCCCATATTTACTGTATTAGAAATTAAACCCGAGAAAACTCTGAAATGTTTAATTCATTTAAAATAGTAATAAAATCTATTACAAAATAATATAAATCACATATTTTTTGGAATAATTGTATTTTCCAAAACATAAAAAGTGAGAAGAGTGACATTTACATTTTGCAAATCTCTTTAATGTCTATTTAATACAAGACAGCTGAATTTTCCCCAATCTGTTGTGATGTGTTTTGATTGAACTATGCGTGAAAAATCGAACCTGACATAGCTACATAGTTGGAAAAAGAAGATAAGTGTGAATATTTTTCTTTGATACCACACTAAAACTCAACAAGTATTCTTCTTAAAGGTTAATTGCAATGTATCTGAAATCATATCCATGACCTCAACAGTTTATATCATATTAAAATCCACTTGTACATTTTGCGGTTTAAATGGATTTTACCCATATATGATTCTGATAAACATTTCCTCAAAAATAAGCAAAATGATCCTGAAAACTAGAGGAAAACAACTGACAACAATCATTGTCAGTGATAAAAAGAATGGTCAGATCCAAAGATTACCTTGTCCATTATGCTCTAATTGGCTGCTCTTGGCTGAAAAGGAAAGAAAGACCCCAATTAATAATGTCTTTCTCTGTTGGTCAATTGAAAAATATTGGCTCAATGAGTTATGTAAATCTTTCAAATACTGACAAATTTTATTGCAGATTATCAAAAAGTTACATCCACTAATATCATACTTGATCTCAAGGGGACAGCCTTTAAGAACCAGGAAGCTTTAAGGCTACTGGTGACAGATACATATTTTCAAAAATTCTAATTTTTCCCTGAAAGCTTGAATTTTATCACTGGCAGCAAATAGTGTCAATTAGTTTCCTTGAATTTTCAGGGTCATACTACTCATTTATAAGATAATGTTTATCAAATGCCCAGGTCTGAGTAACCAAAGTTTGTCTGACAGGTGTTATTTCAAGTAAAAATGGGGTTACATGAAAAAAGTGGCTAGTTCAGCTTGCAACTAAAACAACTGCACAAGTTTTCTCCTTGAGCCAACCAGTTTGCTATGCAATGGATGCACTTTATACGCATTCCATTTTGTCATACGGGGTATTAAAAAGATGCACACAAAAAGGTCAAGCTTTAACAAAATTTAAATTTTCACTGCTTCTTCAAGGACATTCAGTGATATTGAAATTTTTTCCCCATTGTTCAATGTGCAGTGGTAAAGAACACAGTGATAACGGTTTGGTGCCACTAACCTGATTAATACTAAGGGGCTAGCATAGTTTTACCCCCACTGCTTTTGCTCTCAGTGAAGAAGGCAAATAAAGTCTTTGTATAATTATGAACACAGTTTTGACCTCTCAGGCCTTTTGAAAGGGTTTTGGACCCACAGGGATCCAAGGACCATACTTTGAGAACTGCTGCTTTATCTTATTAAGGAATTAGCCAAACAACTGTTAGAGAGATAAAAGTGACCAGCTTACTCTTCTCCTACTCCTTCAGTTAATCTACAATAGTATTTAAAGTATGGCTAACTTTCATGTTTCCAACCAATATTACCTGGAGAATCTTCGGTATCTTTGGGCATTCCACAGATGGTGAAGCTGGGAGTAGGGATATTCCCTAGCAGCCTCAATATTGCAGAGGACAATTAGAAACAGCTTATTACAAAGGCAGTATTAAGAATTAAATGGATTTCTTTGTTATTAGTTGTATGACTGAGACCAGGCCACTTAAATCTTCTCAGTTTGTGAGAATCAACTGAAATAATGTGAAAGCACCCTAAAAACTGTGAAGGTCAATACACACTTAAGTTATTATAATCCAAATATTTCAAAGGAAGAAAATGAAAAGGCTGAAGAGATGGGGAGAAAAGGTTAAAAGACTTTTACTTCCATCTCTTCTCCTAAACTAATTAAAAATTTTTGCTTTACCCTAGATTTACCACCCCCCCTTTTATTAAGCACAATTTTCCTTAACTCTTAGTCTTTTCAAACTAAATACCAATTCCCCTTATTTGCTGAAGTGTCAAGGAGGCAATTTAATTATTCGAGAATCAAAAGTCAATGCCTTGCTATTTAAGTGCAGGGGTGGGAAAGGGGCAGGGAATACAGACAGAAATATGGAAATCAAAAATAAGTAAAAAAAAAAAAAAAAGTCATTCTGACTAAAAGCATAATCTTTACCTCTCATTTACAGGCAATAATTAAACAGGACAGAAAAGTGAGTATTAACCAAATTACTCAGTATGTATTGAAATATATTCCCATAAGACGGAAAGAACTAACATAGTCTGGGAAAATGGAAAAATATATGGACTTGTCCTTTTCTTTCTTACACGGTTTATAAAGTTCATTAACACACATCTATCTCTCTCCAACTATACAGCAATCTGTAAGGCAAGTAAAAATTATCAACATTTTACAGAGAAAACTCTGCTTTGAAATCAAAAGATCTGTTAAAGACCTAACTGCAACCACATCTGTGGCTTCCAGTATCACTACATTAGTAGTTATGTTTTCTATTTATTTAGGGTGGGGAGTTGGGGGAAGCAGCAGAACACTTTTTACAAATTAAATCTTCTATTGAACCTGAACTATAAAGCATATAAATATACCAAGCAACTTTCAAGTATTTTAGTAATAAAGTTACAACTACTGATAACAATAAATTTGTGTTCTCACAAGTAAACATTTAACTTAAGTAAATATGGAAGGAATTCTTTTTAAAAAGCCAGTTCCTTCACAATCAATGACAATCTTTCTCATACATGACACAGTAACAAAAAAAAATTCAAATATCTGTACAAAGATAGCAGAACAAATTGTAATTCAAGACCTGCACAAGAATAATTTTGTAATGAAAGATAATGGTGTTAGACTCCAGTTATTAAAATTATGTGTACATATTTGGGGGTACCCATATTTTTAAATTACAGTTTTAAAATAAGTTAAAACATACTTAAAAATTTAATGCAACTCAAGCATTTTAAAACCCCAAAGAATCTTAAGGGTCCATACGAAGCAGTTTGAAAACCATTGCATAAAGGTTTGCCATCACTAATTAACTACTTGATCTCTGCTTAGGATATTTAAGATAATCAAGTTAAAAACTGCCTTTGACAATCAAAAATATGTAACACAAGAAAACTGATTAACCAAGGCATAATGTAACTAGTGGTCCACAGATAGAGCAAATACATTTTATTGGCTAAACCATATAAAGTTGCTATTACTTAACAATTTTGACTATAAAAATGAGGCTCATATAGTTCAATCTAGTATTTTTCTTTTTTTTTTTTGTCTTTTTTTTTGAGACAGAGTTTTGCTCTTGTTGCTCAGGCTGCAGTGCAGTGGCGTGACCTTGGCTCACCACAACCTTGGCTCACCACAACCTCCGCCTCCCAGGTTCAAGTGATTCTCCTGCCTCAGCCTCCTGAGTAACTGGGACTACAGGCACACGATTCCACGCCCAGCTAATTTTTGTATTTTTAGTAGATATGGGGTTTCACCATGTTGGCCAGGATGGTCTCGATCTTTTGACCTCGTGATCTGCCCACCTTGGCCTCCCAAAGTGCTGGGATTACAGGCGTAAGCCACCATGCCCGGTCCTCAATCTAGTATTTTTCATTTTGACAGTATCTTTGTTTATAAAACCATCAAAAAGATGTCAAAATATATGATCATATAACAAAGTGAAAAGTGCAATAACAATACAAAGATATATCACTATAACTATCTTAACATTAAAAAAGTTTAAATGTTAGATCCTCTAAAGAGCACAAAACTATTCATTTAAGTAGCACTAACTGCTCAATACCCAAAGTACATTGGAATATGCCACTTTTTTATTTACTGGAAGATGAGTGGACTGATAATTACCTACCTTCCTCAATGCAGTTTGACACATGACTTTTCAAATTAAAGGATTATGTTCTTCTAGTTATCACTAGAATTTCTTCAAGTAAAAGATTAAACTTAAAAACTCGTTAACTTTACAAAATAAATAGAAGCATTTCCTCTTTTATTAAAAACTTTACTGAACTACCTCATTGACAATAGAGCAAGTTAGACTTAAGAGTTAGGGATTTCAGGATAGTTTTGATGGTTAATTTATTTATGGATATGGTTTACCTCTCCATTCTTTTTACTGTCCTAAGGTTACCAAATTAGGTACATTCAATATTTTAATAAGTCTCTTTATTTTGGAGGATACTAAATCAAAACCGTAAACGGACTTCTAAGAATAAATGTAATTCTCATACAATATATAATTCAATATTCAGGCATTGGGTTAAACCATATTATTTCATTTGAAGGTGAATTCCATTCCTTGTGAAGTTCCCCTAAAATTCAACACACTGCAACAAATTAAGCCACCTACTGAGAGAATAACACTTTCTGTCCCATATAAAGGTGACCCTTCTTCCATCATTATATAGAAATATAAAAGCAAAAGTAATTCACACTGGATGAGCATGAGTTTCATTCTTCCATTATGAATTAGACTGAACAAACATTCAAAATACTATGACTCACTTGGCTACATTACTGAACACTTTATTAAATGGAAAACAAGATAAACTCTAAGAATCACATTTTGAGAGTTATAGATGACTTTTAACTTAGAGTTATATCAACAAGAAAAACATGTCTTTATTAGAAATAAACTTTTCATTGTTATTTTAAGAATGATGAAACATTTAAAATGCTACATACTGATTCTCTTAAGAGCACTTCAAAGTGGCACTCTTTAAAAAGCTGCAAATGTTGCCAAGTCATGTTATAACTGGCTCAAAGAATCCTATTTCCATTAAGTTATTTCATGCCACTGCATGAATCAATATTAAATACCTTGGAGTTACTAAAAACTGGAATACTGGCAGAGATGTGCTCAGCAATTATAAAATACGAAAATGTGAATACTCTTTTTCCACGTTTCTTTTAATAATGGCTAGAAATGAGGATGTTCTTTCTAGGTAAACAGAAATAGTTTCCTAAAAGCTAAAGGAAAGATGTAATATCTTAAATGCTAGCAAAGTGTCATGGATCCATAGCCATAGCTCTCTCAAAAGAAAAATGAAATACATTTTGAAGCCTAATATTACCTCCAAACATTTTATTAGCCTAACAAATTGCCAGAGCCATTAAAAAATTTTTTTATCAAAGTCAATACAGTGCTCTTTTTCCTTATTCAATTAAAAAGCATAACTTGCTGTCATTTTAACCAGGCTGCACTTTAATCAAACATGTCTTAAATGACACATTTTTTCATGTCAAAGACATAACATAAATTTAAAAATTAAGAAATAAATTTTTTTGAAAGCTAAGTTCAGATGACATCTGGCCCTGCAGTGAAAGAGTTAACATCCAACTAAGCTGATCTGCACTTCTGATCCATTACATTTCTCACAAGCTACCCTACAATGAGCTGAGCAAGTATCAACTGTAATTTGATCCTAGAGTTTATGGAAAAAAATAACTGCACATACTCAACATGCACATTTAATAAAAATCTGTTTCAAGAGAAACATATCCAATAAACACAATTTAAGGCATATTTAACTGTTCAATTAACCTCAAATCTGCAATCCCTTTGCTCTCACGCTCTCAAATAAAATAGGAAGAAAAAAAAAAGCAGCAGCCCTACTGCAGGGAAAAGAGGCTTGAAAAACAACTTTGATTGGCACTTGGCCTGACCCACAGAGGAAGAAAAACAGTTTTTGGACAAAGAGCGCAAATATTTGAGCTTGCTTACTTATGTGCTTTTTTCTTTCTTCCTTTTTTAAAAAAAAATGTAGAAAGAACAATCCCAAAGTGAACCGTATTTAGAGATGTTGACTAAAAACGGTACCATATTCATCTCCGCTTTCAGTCCCGATGCATTTGCACAGCTCAGCAATTTTAATTCATTTGTAGTGAACAAACAGAAGCATCTCACCTAACGTTTCCACTTAATAAAATGTAAAAATAGAGTTTGAATACGAATAAACTGATTATAATATTACTTTGGGGCAGCTGTTAAAATCTGATCAAAAAGTCTAGAGACCTTTTTTTCATTCCCTTCCCCATCCCTCTCGCCCTTCCCCGCGGGGCGATTAAGCCAAGTAAGCTAAACAATACTGGAGTAAACTTTCTATCAGTCACTCTAGGAAGCAGCAATAAACTGATGGTGCGCCTCATTTTTCTGGATCAACACGGGGGCAGGGGGGTGCTAAGGAGGAATAACCCACATCCACCTCAGTCTTCTCCTCCCCCAACCCCAGCCTCAGGAACTGGCCAGGTCGAATTGCATTTCCCATGGGCATAAAGTTCAAGATGCTTTACTGGTTCCTTTCGAGACTGAACTACAGACACAGGACTACCATCCAAACAATTTGAAAACGGGGGTTGTTGAGCAAGGCGCGCAAGGCAGAAGCAACCGAATAAACAAAAACAACACTCGCAAGAGTTAGCCACAGCAAAGAGGGGCCAGGTTCCTCGGGATCCGACCCAGCTGCTCTGATTTCACACCGACCTCCATCAACAGCTAAACTGCACAGGGAGGAGGATCGAACGGATCCCTCCCGCCCTCCGCCCAAGGAGCCGACCCGGGGTAGCAAGGTAGGGAAATGAGCCGTAAAGGAGAGCAAAGGCACCAAATAAAAGGAACAAGGGAAGAAAAAATATCCCAACCCCTCCAGACTTGGGTCTGTCCCGGCGGAAATAAAAAGCCGCAGTAGTCCAAACCCTCCTGCCCTCAACCCACGCCCCCTTTCTCAGTCCCTGCGGAGGGACGGTGCCCGGGGATCCCTCTCAGCCTCCCCCAGTGCGCGCCCGGGGACGAGCCGCCCGAGCCCCGGCCGGCAGGAAGCGACCCTCGCCGGCAGGACCCCGGGCCGAACCCGTACCTTCCGCAGCACTTTCCGGCAGTTGGTACAGAGCAGGTAGTTGGCGGCGGCCGACGGGCTGCCGCCGCCCCGGTTCATCGTGGCTGCGGGCGCCGAGGCGAGAGCGGGCGGAGGGCCGGGTCCGGGCTGTCACTGCGGCCACTGCAGGGCCGGTCCGTCCCCCCGCCGCCAGCCGCGATTCCGCCTCAGCCTCCTCAAGGCGGGATGTCGGGAGGAGAGGCGACTGCCTGAAAGCTAGCGGCACTGCCAGAGGCGACCACCGCGGCAGCTGCCCCAGCGACGGCGGAGACGGCGGCGGCTGCTCCTCACCGGCCCGTTGTTCCACCCGCCCCCATCTTCCAGACCCCCGCCCCCGCCAGGCTAGGACGAGCAGCCGCCACCGCTGCCACCGCCACCACCGCCGCCGCAGCGCCTCAGTGCGGCCCCGCCTCCGCCGCCCCACCACCTTCACCACCTCCACGCTCCGGTACCGCCCCTCCCGCCAATCGGACAGCTCCGGCTACGCCCCCAGGGCGCTAGCCCGCAGCCAATGAGCAACGAGAGCCCGACTGGGAGTCGCGCCGGCCAATCGCAGGGGCCGAGGAAGCCTTGAATCTCCGGGCAAGTTAAGTTTATCTCCGAGGCTCGGAACTGAAGGGAGGTGGCGGTTAGCTAAGTAGTAGGGTAGCAGGGAACAGTTTGCTCTCCTCTGCCAATAAGAGGACGAGGGTGTGTCATATGCAAATATACTGCCCTCCAAGCCCCACCCCCAAGATAAGCTACGCCCCCTTCTCTAGGTCCCTGCAGAAGTGGTGAGGAGAATGAGATAAATAGTTGGGAGCTAGAGCTCGCTAGAGAGTCTAAGATTGAGCTAAATATTTCCTGATCTCTCGAGAAAGGGGGAGGGGAGTGGGAGGATTAAATGTTCCTTCCTTCAGGGCAGTGGTTAGGCTTTCTCTCCACCAAAATCTAACTTTAGCTGTAAAGAAGACTGCAGTTATGTAGTACTTTGTATCCAGGGATCTCAAAGAACTTTACGCATCATTTATTGTGAACCTTGTTTTGCAAAGATTTCAGTTACTTGAGGCTTGGGAGGCGGATAGGGGATAAATGTCTGAGTTATATATATATTTACGCAAGTAATCGAGTTTGAGGGGAGAGACACAAAACCTCTGGTTTAGCGGTTTCCTCTTGTTTGTGAAGCACCTTCTAGCAGTTATCTTAGAGATGTAAGTTCATTTACTTGTCCAGCACTAAAAGGCCAAAGGGGCTTGTTTTCTCACCCAAAAGACCTTCCTGAGGCAGCTGTTCGGATACATGCAGAGCACAGCGCCCTGCTCAGAAAGGAAGGTTCAGAGAACAAATTGTCGTTTAAAACTATTGGGACAAACCTACCTCTTCTAAAGCTTAAAATGGTAAGTCAGGGTTTTAGCGTCCACGTTCTGCGGAGAGAAGGCAGACTTGACTGGGGAAAGCGCAGGCTGACCGAGTGTGGCGGGACAGACGGGTAGGGGAGCCAGGTCTCCCGAAGGGGCTAGCAATGCGCGTCCGAGTCGAATGCGGGTTCCCGATGCTAGACGCCCGCAACCTGCTCCCGAGTGAGAACAAAGGCCGGCGCAGAGCGAGAACCTGATTGGTGCCCGGTCCTCACTCGTGTCCTCCGGGCCCCAGAGATAACTTGCATCGCCTACTGGCAAGGAGCTCTGTGCTCACTGGAGCCCAGCTCCCCACCCGGCCATGGCCGTGGCCACAGGACTGTGCATTATGACATCACCTGTTTTCGATTTTTAGAACCTAATCAGTATTCTCGGCTTCTCCCTTTTTAAAGGTCTCCAGCGTACCAGGATTTGTGAAGGCCTGAAGTTCGTAGAATGAAATCTATGTGGAGATGATTTAAAAGAACGGTTTCACTGGTTTGCATTTCTTTCTTTTCTTTTTAATTAAAAAAAAACAACAACCCTGGTTTCCTTAGGGATTCAGGGTGGTGTTATGCAAAATCGGAAAGGTACACTTGGAGGAGCTAGCAAGTTTAGCATATCAAAGCTATTAGACCAATTTGTGCGGTTAAAACTGCCATTCTCATTTCTCAACAGCTGTCTCCTCTCTGTCCCTTTTTAGAGACCAACACATATAAACCAAGTCTACACAAGAAACAAAGGTAATGGAAATCTGCTAGTATCAGGTTTAAATAGATCAAAATAGAGTAGAAAACCCCAAAAGGGTCTAAGTTATGTAGTTGGGTAAAGGTGTTGATCTATTTAGCCAGTGTTAGCTAAAGGTCGCTTGATGCTGTGTAGACATACATAACTAAAGAGCAATGAATGGTGTGGGGAAGGTGCTTAAGATTCAGTTAGAAGAAACTGTAAAAGCAAGTAAATTCAGAAAAGGAGGGAATTACCACATGCCCTTCGATGCAGAGAACCAAGAAATGCAGGGAGAAAGTCAGCAAGGCACAGTTTTTCTAAGAAACACATATGTGTCCCCATTTAGTGGTAAATTTCTTGGGCTATATTCCTGGCTGGTTCTGGCTTTTAAAGCAGATTTTATGTGAGTACATTTTAAAGGAAAGGAGAAATTGAAGGATGAAGTGAATTTTTGTGCAGATTGAATTTTCTCAAATAGAATTTTAAATTCATATTGTTTTCTAGCACATTCTTCTTATAACCTTTTCTTTTCTTTTTTCACTTGACAGCTAAAATCCTTTCGAAATGAGTTCCTTTAAGTTCTTCAGTAACTAAATCCTCCAGAAAGGAAAGCCGAGAGAATCTAGTCCTATACAATAACACCCTCTAACAAAGATCGCTAAAGGAAGATTTTAGTAGATGAATATCTTCAATAATACATGGTCACATACATGTATCTGACCATATGATGGCTCTCTGCACCAAATTCCTCCAAACTATTATAATATGTATTGTCTGTAGTGCTATTTATTTGGCAGTTAATCATGTATTACATTGTGACATTTCTTACAGTGAACCATTATGTATGTGTTTATGTTCTGCCCTCAACTACTCAATGCCAGTACCTTATTCTTAACACAGCAACCACCCTTTCTGGTCTGTCCTCACACCCTCATTCCCATCATAGTTATTCTCCTCTCTCATGGAAATGTTCAGTTTCTGGACATCTCCTTTCTCTTCCATTCTTCACCTGACCTTCCTTCCTTTCTTGGCCAGCCTGAATATTATAAAGGGAATTTTATTTCAAACCCAGGATCGCACTTAAGAGGAAAAGAAACAAAAGCCAGTTCTTTTTATTGCACATAGAACAAGGAGAAACTCCACCCCTTTTGTTGTCTGGTATGTTTAAAACAAGAAAGAACTTTAGAAAAGTAGGATATGAGTGAAAATTACAACCAATGTTGAGAACTACTTTTTAATTTTTTATTACAAAATTAGGATGATACTTCATTAAACATTGTACATCATTTCAAAACTGTTATCTCATAATCATGTTGCTTGTTTTGAATTATTCTTTTAAAGTGTAATTTTTTTAAGCAAAGAATCCATAAAATTACATGGCTTGGATGTACCATAACTTACTTAATCCTTATGCTATTGTTTAATATGTGGGTTGTTTCAGATTTTTCATGATTGTAAATAACAAAATAAACTTCCTTATACTTAAGTTTCTGGCAGAATCTCTGATTCCTAGGCCTGGAATTTCTGAGTAAAAGGGTATACATATGTCTTAAGGCTCATGGTGCAACTTGCTATAATATTTTGTGGAAAGATTTGAATAAGAACACAGGTGAGAGCAATCATTTGAAAGCTATCATTCTGCATAAGGCCCATCAGTATTCCACCTACCTCTACCTTAATCCCTTTCCCTTCTTCCTTCTGCCTGGTGAATATCTTCTGTTGAAACACTTCCTGAATCAAGCACTTGTCCAAGCATCCATAGTGCCCCTCTATACCTCTTCTTTACCAAAAAGCTCACTAGGGAAATGGTAGGTTTAACTCCTGTTTTCTCATTAGACTTCAAACCCCTTGAAGGCAGGGATAGAGTAACATTTACTTTGTATCCTTGGCTCCTAGCTCAACTGATAGGGAAGTGCTCAAAAAAATTTTGGAGAAAGTAATGAGTTTCACTCTTTATAAAAGCACCCCAATAAATGTGAATTGAATTGTTCAGAAAAATCCACTGCTTTGAAGCAGAGAGATTAGGCTCATGTTCTTACCTGTCACCAATCCTTCTCTGACATTGAATGTATTAACTATTATGGGTTGGGCATCATTCTCTCTTTTATCAAATGAAAGTTGTTACCACAAACCAGAGGTGTAGGAAGGGTTGAAGGAAAATTTTTGTGTTTAGCATGTTTGATTGAAGTTACCCTGTTAATAATATGCTGTGACTTTGGACTTGAAATTGTTTACTTCTTTAAATATTCTCATTCTATTGACCAAAGAACTGAGTTCCTCTATAGTTTCAAAATAAGGAGTTAATTGAGAAAAATCAGTTACTAAAGATATTTTTAAAACTCCATTTCTTGAGACAATAGGTCACTTTCTAACATTTTGCCTCTTCAGGCCTCTTTTTCTTTCTCAAGGGGACACCCAAAGCATTTGGATTGCTGGGAAAGTGCTGCATTATTTACACATTTGCAAATACTGTAATTTGTTTCTTGCACAAAGGAATTTACACTTCACACAATTGTAAATTGATTGCTCCCTCAGAGCTGTTAATTAGATTCCTGCTATTTTTTTCTAAGGCCCAAGACCAATACTACTCCAAAGGAGAAATAAGAGGATCTGTTCTCAAAAGGCCACTACTTTAGTTCCCACCCCATTCCACCTCTTCAATCACCCACCTCCACTAAGATTATTCTTATCGAAGCTCATTTTTCAAAAAACAAATATTCCACCAGGACCCAAATTCCTGTCAGCTTGCTCTTCTAACATTTCAGATCAGAGTTTTCTGTATTTAACCCCACTATAAAGCAGACTACAAAAGGCCTACAGATGTGAAGGGTGTGGTTTATTTGTTTGGCTTGCACAAAGTCAGCCAGCATGATGCTTTTTAAAAAATTTTTGAATTGCTTTCAAATATTCCCAATTCAGGATTTTTTTTTTAAACCAAAAATCTAGATTTCCATTTTCTTTAGAAAAATTGTCAGATCTGGTTACACTGGGCTTATATTCCCACAGGGCAACCATCTGTCAAGCTCACTACTGGCTATTTGGTTTGGACATGCACTCTTCTGTTTACTAAGGTCCCTGCCACTCCCTAGGGGTTATAATTTTGCCATTTTATTTACATTATCTTCTTGCCCTTTGTAGGGATTTGAATTTGCAACCTCCATAAACCTTCTCCAGCATCTAAATTATTGATCTGTTAGTTATCACTGTTAACTTTATCAGAGAACACTAATTAAAAATAAATTTGTCACCTCTTTACTATAACAAAAGGAAAGGGGTCACATGCAAGCAATATTGTGATGTATGATGTATGATGATGTCAGGTACCCTGAAAAAAAAATATATGTATATTGATATGGTTTGGCTGTGTCCCCACCCAAATCTCAACTTGAATTTTATCTCCCAGAATTCCCACGTGTTGTGGTAGGGACCCAGGGGGAGGTAATTGAATCATGGGGGCTGGTTTTCCCCATGCTATTCTCGTGATAGTGAGTAAGTCTCATGAGATCTGATGGGTTTATCAGGGGTTTCCACTTTTGCTTTTTCCCCATCTTTCTCTTGCCATCACCATGTAAGAAGTGCCTTTTGCCTCCCACCATGATTCTGAGGCCTCCCCAGCCATGTGGAACTGTAAGTCTAATTAAACCTTTTTATTCCCAGTTTCGGGAATGTCTTTATCAGCAGTGTGAAAATGACCTAATATATATATTATATATATATACATATATACACTGTATATAGTATGTATATATATCTCACAATGGGCTGAACAATTATCTAACTAAGAAGAGACTACTATGTCCTTTATGCTGCTAACTCCGCTTCTTATCCTCATTCTGCTCAAATCCCTATTCTAATTGTTGCTTTAGGATAAAGGAGCCACAGGTAATGTGGCAATATTGGAAGAGCAAGGAAGCCAGGCCTGATGCATTGAAAGTGTTTTATTTGATAGGCATTATCACATAGAGGCTAGAAGCCCTGGTTCTGGAGTTAGACATAAATTTGAGTATTGACTTTGCCTCTTACTAAATGTATGACCTTGGGCAAATTACTAAATTTCTCTATGCTTTCAATCTCCTCATCTGTAAGATGGAGTAATAATGCTACCTAACTCGAACGGCAATTGTAAAGATGGACTGAAATAATGCATTATAGTGCTCAGCAAAGTGACTGATACATTGTAAGCCCTAAATAAATGCTTACTGTGAACTGACACAATATAAAGGATGTTATACTCTCTACATACTGTGTGACCTGGGTCTAGTGACTTAACTTTCCTGTATCTCAATGTTCGTCATCTGCAGAAATGAAGATATTAAGATTAGTTTTGTCATAGAGTTTTTTTAAAGATTAAATGAATTCTACATAAAACACTTTAAAACAATGCCTAGCTTATAAGAAATGCTATGTAAGTTCTATTATTATATACTGTTGTTAGGAGATTTTTTTTTATTTGTCTTTTTTTTTCCAGTGAAGATCTTTGATTTTGAGATACTTGTCTCAGAAGTAAGTTAATATAGGGTAATAAAAATAGCACTGGACAGAAAGTCAAGAGACCTAGGGTTTAGTTCAGTGAACTATATATGAACTATATGATATATGCAAGCTTGGAATCACAGCTTATCTATCACTTGGAATCACTTCCTTTTCTATTAAATGTGGCAGGGTGATTAAATTGTGTCCAAGCAGATCCAGTTTTTGTGGGGGCCAAAACTTGTATGCTATAGGAAGCTTCTTTGAAAAAAGGAATGTAAAATTGTGGATGCAAAATTATTAATAGTTATGAAAATGAATACGTATTTAAACTCAGCAATAAAATCACAATAAATTTTTAAAAGATGAAAAATACTATAAAATCACAGAAGCCAGAAAAAAAAACAAATTTTTATTAACTGCCTGACACAACCCTGTATTACTTTTTCCCTACATTTCTGGGGCTGTATATTCCACTTTCCTCTTCATATGTTAATGACTTTTTTGGTTTTTTTTTTTTTTGAGACAAGGTCTTGCTCTGTCACTCAGGCTGGAGTGCAGTGGTGCGACCTTGGCTCACTGCAACCTCTGCCTCCTAGGATCAAGCAATTCTCCTGCCTCAGCCTCCAGAGTAGCTAACACTACAGGTGCATGCCACCACACCTGGCTAATTTTTGTATTTTTCTAGTAGAGACAGGATTTCGCCATGTTGGCCAGGCTGGTCTTGAACTCCTGAACTCACGTGATCCACCCACCTTGGCCTCCCAAAGTGCTGGATTACAGGCATGAGCCACCATGCCTGTCCTATTAATGATTTTTGTAATACTATCTTTTTTAGAGGGAATGGAAAGAGAATTCAGTCTTTCCCCTAGCACACATTCCCAGTTCTGAGTGTCCTAGGACACATGTGTGTCATGAAATAGCCTGTGACCTTACATCTTTGTGATATTATGGCTGGTGAATTGGCCCAGTGGGCAGTGGGAATATTCGTAGAACCTATTCTTTTATTGAGACTACTGGAAATAATAACCGTACACTGAAATGACTGTGATCCCCATAAATTTAACTCATAAACCCAAGCTAAAGGTATGTCCATCTCAACTTCCCCTTAGCCAGATCAACAAAGATACCCACAGCTTCTCCAATGCCTCCAGCATGAGGGAGATTGTGAAGGATGGAAATCGGAATACAAAGAAACTGTGATCTTTACCAGTGGTGGTTATAATAGCTTACTTTTGAAATGTATTTAAAAGTATGACCATGTGGGTAAATTGCTTGGACCTCTCTCAGGACCTCAGAAGGGGCCAATGCTAGTGATGGACCCTAAAGTTTAAACTTTATTAAATTCACGCTTAATCCACGTCTGAGTAGAGAATTTCAAAGCCCTCTTTAAACTCTATAATTTTGTGATTTGTTTTGTCTCAGTATATTTCAATGAGAATCTAGTGGAAACAGCGTATAGGAGAAGTAGGAGAATTTCTTCAAGTAGGTGGGGAGAAAGTAAAAGAAGCTCTATTCTCAAATATCACTAGAGTTGTGTTGGTTTTTGTTTGTTCTCTAAGGGATTTTTTGTTGTTGTTAGTCACAGTCTTCTTGATATTCCAAATCCACTGTCCCAAATATTCAACCCTTCTTTCAGAAATGAGGAAATTAAGACTGAAATATTATATATATATATATATATAATACTACTGTAAAATATACTGGCTGTCTGGGTGTTAAAAATGAGAATAGATTAATAAAATAGAAAAAGTCACACAAGCATAAGGCAGGTTGGGAGTAGGATATAGTTAATGGGAGTAAAGAGGAGTTATAATTTGTTGACTTAGAAGTCTTAGATAATGTAGTATTCTATTGTAGGGAGTTTACAGGAAATCAACACAGGACTGAGGTGAGATTGAAAGGGACCTCTGAATAGAATAATTTATACTTCTACTTTCAGATCTTCTGGATGTGACTATGGCATATCTAGACTTTGAGCATCTTTAGGGACAAGACTGATTCATCTGAATATTTCTAGTACTTGGAATCTAAGAGGTGCTCAAAAAAACTCATTGGATGACATGATTAGATATATTAGAGTTTGTTAGCTAGAAATCAAGTGAACAGATTATTTTAATCAAAAAATTCCCAATGTCTTAAAATTGTAAATATATTTTTATACAAAGGTAAAATTTGCCTTATGAGCCAGAAGACACATTCACAAAGTGTATGTGAATGATAGCAACAAAGACAGCAATTTCAAAGATGAAATGTCTTGAGATGATGCATTCTCACATGAATTGCAAACTTGGAATCACAGCAGCAACTTTTGAGATTCTGGAAGGCTGCAAAATTGGAAAATTATGCTTTGAAATATATGCTGTCCAGATAATCCTTTATTTAGTCATTTATTTATTGAACCCTTACCAAGTAGTAAGTCCTGGTGATAAAAGTAACAAAGGACAGGCTTATAATCTAATAGTGAGACTGAAGTATAATCTCTGCATTGTTACAGAAGATGAATAGAAAATGGAGAATAGAATGTAAAAAGGGTTATCAGCAGAGTCCAGAAAGATCTTTTGAGCATTTATGCCTATAACTGGATACATCTCAGTGGTAGTGTTGAAGACATATGATACAGAACTCTTGCTGTGTTTCGATGCAATGTACAATGTCAACAGGAAGACAGGATTAACCCCTATAAATACCAGAGAACAATACAAAACAGTGTATGATGAAATCACCTCCTAATTCCATGTTCATTAATTCACTCATTCATGCGTTCAAGCACTCCATGTTTGTGGAGTGCTTACTATGTGCCAGCCACTTGACTAGTCGTGGAGATAGAGTGATGAACATAAGAGTTAGAATTTATAACCTAGCAGAGAAGATGGACTTTAAACAAATAATCCCAGTGTGTAATGAGTGTTATAGTAGGGAAAAACACAGGAAGGGAACACAAAGCAGGGTGATCAAACCTGGTCTATGTCTCCCCTGGTCTAGGCCTTCCCCGAGGAAGTGAAATGTTAACCCAAGAAGTGGTCTGCCTCCTGGTTTCCAACAGCAACTCCCAGAGACTCCCCTTAGTAGGTCCTTTCCCAGTGTTTCAGTTCCCCATTTTAATATAGTTCATGCTCCAATTGCAAAACTCCTATGTATCCTGGCTTTTTACATTGCAGTAGGCAAACTTCCATGAGGGGTGCAAATCTTCCTTTCTTTTCTGAGGGGCACTATCCCTATTAAAAATTCACCAAAATTTTAATCTATTTTTCCGAATTAAATAATATCACTTTATTATCTAACATTTAGCATTTCACACTTAGCCCCCACCCTGTTGATTTCCATTTGTATATGTGCAAGTGATATGTGTGCACAATTTCTAACAAGTACATCGATATTATCTGTCTTAAGACAGTAAAGTACTTGAAGATAACCATCATATTTCTAATCCATATTCTGTAATCCCCGTAACCTTCATGGTAGTGATGATAATCATCATAGATATGGTAATAGAAGCAACCACTATCATTTTCTGAGTACTTAGTATGTGCCAATAATTATTCAATAACCTACATAAATTATTTTGCCTAATACTTATAAAACGTCTATGAAGTAGCTATTATTATCTCTATTTAAATGTGATTTATAGGGACTGAAAATTTGGTCAAGGTCACACAAGGTAGAGCTCTGATTTGAACCCAGATCTGCTTGATGCCACCAGGATTTACAGTGTTATAAAATCATGCTTTGGCATTATTCAGTTAGTCATTTTTATAAATATTCTTTGAACTAATTATCTGTGTTAGGTTACCAAACAATAAGGTCCACTAGATTAAATCTCTCATACATTTACCAAATATAGCTCACTGGACACCTATTGAAATAAATGCTATGAGAATAGGCAAACACATACCCATTATTCTCTATTCTAGTATTTTATTACCCACTGGCATATTACGTGAAAAATATTTGGGTGATCTTTGGATAAGAAAACTACCTTTGTTGGCACCCAAGTCAAAATTCCAAATGTTCTGAGATATAAGTCTGAAGATTCCTAGGCACTTGGCTAGTCACGGAGATAAAGTGATGGACATGATGAAGATAAAGTTGATAAAATTAACAATTAAGGGTAGAGGAAGGAGGTGCTGTTGGTACTTTCACATGCTATATCAAGACAAGTACAGGTCTATTGCAATAAGCTGGGATTAGATTCTCTAGAAATAAGATGAATAAACTGGTTTCCACATAACCTGCCAGCAAATTCAAGATGTTCATATCAACCTGTCTTATCCACAGCCTCCTCTAAGTAAATCTTTCTGCTGGTGGCCTTATTCTAAATAATTATGCTCTGTACTATGTGAGTCAACCGAGGAATAGACGCTTGACTCAAAGACAGTCATTCCGTAACCTAGCCATCCATCTGTATGGACTAGCTCAAAATGATAATCTGAGCCAATCAGATTCCTTTCTTGGAGATTTGGCATCAGGAAACTATGATACTAAGCCAGTTGGCAGCAAAGTCAGATTGTAAGAGGATGTCATGAACCATATGCAAACTAAAACGAAGAAGGAACAGAACGGATAGGAAGTAAAGGGTGAGGAAGCTGGGAGGGGTAGGAGGAGGGGGCAAGGCACAGAAAGAAAGCAAAGAAGCTAAGACACTGGTATTTAGAGTTCCTTAAATCCTGGTGTGTTTCCACTTCCAGTCCTTGTGTATCTCTGTAATAATTTCCTTCACCGATCTAATCTCCTCCCACTGCTGATTTTGTGAAGTAACTTAATTCTGTTTCTTTCATCCAAAAGAGACTGACGGAAATAATCTTCCTTCATTTCCACGTCAAGCACTTATACATATGAAATATTACCCTTAGTTCTCATTAGTAAATGGATGTGAAAGTCAGGACATTCCAAAAGAAAGAACTAGAACTCACTCGGCCAGAAAACCCCCATTTCAGTTTTTACACAGAAAAATTCTTACAGTCTATGTTTCACTAAGAATGTCTGCTGTGCAAAACCCTCAAACTTTTTAGAACGTTTTTTTTGTTCCAAGTTAGAGAACGGCAATCAGTAATCTATTACCCAAAGTGCTTCTCCTTTCCAGGTTTCATGTTAGAGTGATTCTAATATGTGTGTGCTATCAACTGCCTACACAGAAAACTGAGAGACAAAGGCTTTCTCCTTTTCCACACATTATCCTTCATTCAGACTTAATGCCTGCAGGTCCGGTTTAATGATTTCCCAGAGTTTATGAACGAAAAAGAAAAACAAAGCAATAAAAACAAAAATCAAAGTTAAATTTCCTCAAAAGTTTTCAAGAAGGAAGTAGTCAGGACAAAAACAAAGGGAATGAGGGCACTTTGTCTCAGGATACAAATTAAAGATCACTGTGGTGGCCTCTGTGGGGTGGTTATAAAGGGGACCAGGTGTATACTAGGAAGTCATTTAGTTTTAGAAATGTAAATATGTGTAAATGTTTTAATTTTACTCAACTTGCCAGAGGTAGAATGTCCCTGGACAACTAACTGATACATTTCTTTAGGGCCAATCGCTGGCTTTAGAAGAGCCTCAGCTAATCACAGTAGAGCTGGACTGTTGTGGTTTTCCATTCCTTTGCATCGTATTCCTCAGTCTCTGCGGAAGGCACTGCTCCTTCCTTTCCTTTCTAAATCTCTCTCTGTCTCTCTCTCTCTCTCTCTCTCTCTCGCTCTCTCCTCCCCTAGTTTATCCTGGACTCATGCTGAGCTCAGCAACCCTTGAACTCATTTTCTATCTGACATGTGAAATAGTTCTTAGGTTTCATTAAACATTTGGAAAATAAACGAGGTACTTCGCTCTGCCACTTTTCAGGTATGGTGAAGAAAATAAAATGGCCTCCCTGGGCAGTACTAGATGGGTTGTGGTTGTGCTGGCCTTGCTCTTGATGAGATAGCACTACTGTTATTTCTGTATATACCAGACCTGTCACTTTGCATTTTCTATTTCTCAGTGAAGACATGAACATCTAGACATTCCACATGTCTATGGGGAACTAGAGTGTCCAGGAATGGAAGCAAATGGAAACATTCTCATTATGCAAGTGTAACTTTAGCTGTGACCTAAAATGTATTGCCTAAGACTTCTATAAGGGTGAAATTGAAAATTTTCCATTTTTTTTAACCTCAATATTGTATAATCTAGTCACTGTTCAAAAACTCCTCAAACTTCATTTTTCATTACTTCATAGGGTTTTTTTGTGAGGATTAAATTAAAAGACATATGTAAAGCACTGAGAACAGTGTCTCCCCTATCATTAGTACTCAGTAAATGTTAGCTATTTGTGTTATTTTTAAAAGATTTCATACAAAAATGTATTTTTAAACAGCAATCGAAATTTACTTGAATTTTAATGTTTTGGGTTCCCTAGTACCATTTACCAAGACAGTTTGTTTTGATTTAAAAGGGCCTCAAGTGCTTGATAACACTCAGGGTTTATCATTAAACATCTTTATTGCACTTGTGTTTGCAAAGTACATTTTTGTCTTCTGTTAGCTAGTCTATCCAGTCAGATTCTGAGAGAACTCAGTGTCAGTGATACTGTTGAATAATGAAGAAGCTAAGGTCATGGAGAAATTAAATGACACGAATGTATTCTTCATTCTAACCTCTCTCTAGATGAAGAAAGATGATTTCTAAAATTTGGCTTTACATGTGTATGAAGATGAGTGTATGTGTATACACACAAAAACACACACACGTATATATACCCTTATGTGTCCTGCTCCCAACAAATTCTCTTTTTTCTAAGCTAAAGATCATTCTTTAAGTTTTTAACTGAAAAATTACAGTTTGCCAGTTAATGAAAAGGAAATATTGTTCCCATTTAAGAGCTGGAACTCTGAGATCGAGTGCTTTGGAATACTTCTAGAGCTTTGTCTACTAGCCATAGGTAATGATTCCTACTTTCACTCTGCAGGAAGCAACTACCTGTTGTGATATGAACAAAATATAGAAGATAATATGTCCAATATATTCTGTATGACTCAAGGAAGAACCCAAACATAAATAGGTCTGGTTTTTATAAATGTGGGGCTGGGCTGAGAGGGTCCCCTTGGTGGTAGATGGGTAAAAGTATTTAAGTGTGTACCAAGCACCGCAGTTCTTCTAAAAGGTCTTCTTTGCCTTTTATGATTGCCTTCTGTCTGTAGAAGCCTCTTTCTTTGTAATTCTGGTTTAGTCATCAGGCAAAATGCCTTATTTATTTCTGGTTGTTTACAAAACCAAAGACCCATACTATAGGATATTTATAATGTTGTCTATCAAAGCAGTCACCGGGAGAAGAGATAAGCAATTCCTCTGCTAAAAAATATTGCGGCCTATGGATTATGAATGCTCATGAAAAGGTCCCTGCTTTACCAGGTCATAAGTAAATGATTTTGTTCCCTTGAGCTAATGATGCAACTCATTTAGGTTGATTTCACCTTCCTCAGATATCATAAATCTAATTTCCGTCTTTCACCTATAGTGCTTAGCTCATTGTGCAGTGGCATCACAGGTAAGAAGGGCTGAAGCAAAGTCTGAGTTCATTCCTCCTAAGAACATTGGGAAGAATTTCTCCCCTTTTTCAAAGAACCAGAGGGTATATTTAGCCAAACAAGAATAAGTTTCTAGATATGGAGGGTAACCAAATAGGGTAATATTTTTCTGCGTGGAAAAAGTAAAGAGAAGGTAGATGCCTTTATGTGTTGGTATCATAGTTTCCATAGCCCTGGTGCTTCCCATAGTAGCTTTGAAATGAAGACCAGCAGTCCGTTCCCCTAGATGAGGCAACAACTCAGGGTGAGTAGAGGCTGGAGCCACACCCTACCAGCTCTCAGCCAGCTCAGCTTTTTGTTCTTTTTGCCTTTTGTCTTCAGGGCTCCAGCAACATCATTTAACCCCATTCAGGAGTGAGATTAGGTGAATTCCTTAGAGCCTATGAATCACCACTGGTGATGCAAAGTCAGAAGAGCTAACATGTCACTGGGATCCACGGGCTCTGAGGAATAACCAGTTTCAACAATGTTACATGATTTCAAGGCCTTTTCATGTCTCTTGCTTTTGGCCCTGTCACGTATATCTGATATACTTCCAATTTTTCATGTCCCAGTCTCCCATCCCTTTTATTAATCTGCTTCTTTTCACATCATCTGCCCTACTTCCTGCGACCTTCTAACTATAGCAAACTGCTAAACCCTAGAACCTTTCCTCTATTGTTAAAATTCTCCTCAAAAGTCACCCAAATTATCCTGGTAGCAAAGTAGAAGAGCTTAAAAATATTTTTTGCAGTGAAAAGCCTAGAGATGACTTACCTAAATATGTCCTATTTGCTACCTGTAGTTCATGCTCCTGCCAGGGGGAAGTTATGGGATTTTGCCTAGACATACTTTGGTCATTCTGTGTTTTGCGCTGCCCATGATGAATCAGGGATTGTTTAAGCAAATGAAAGCAAGTGTCCTTGTGGAGTGGTAATGGAGACATTGGTGGCATTCACATGGCTGAAAATTTGCAGCTCATCTCTGGCCCCATCCATGAACTGAATTCTAACCTCAGAATGTTCTTCTGAAAGAAAGACCATTTTCATTGCTAGACTCTAAGCTCCATGAGGGCACACACTGTGTCTGGATTCTGTTCATTTATGTATTCCAGGTGACATAGAATGAAGCTTCTCCCATTGTAGGTGTTCAATAAGTCTTTGTTAATTTAAATTCCTACCTGATGAAGTTATTACTCTAGCACAGCACAAGGTTCTTTTCCATTAAATACCACAATATCAACTGGATATGGCAGGGCAGAGTTTAATGTGCTAATTTAAATACACAGAAATGAAAAGATTGTTGTATCCATCATGGACCTTGGAATAAACATGAATTTCTGAGGGCTGTAAATGTATCTTAGAGAACAGGATTAGGAACAAAGTAGAAATAAGTAAAATTTAAGGAAGATCTCAAATATGAAGGGTAGTGGATAAAGAAAATGCACTTAATTTTGATTATAGAAATGCAAAATTGATAAAGAGTTCTCAGCTTAATTGAAATACCAAGTATTTTCTCAGGACCTTAGTACCATTACCGCTAAATAAAATAAAATAAATAAAATATGGAATTTAGACTAGATAAGATCCCTTCCAAATTTAAAAAGGAGATTATGATTACAAATGATCAAAAATATATAAAATATAAATTAAACTGAGGACCTTATTCTTTCTTTTGAGAATGGGTCTTGGCCTAGAACAAAGGATCTTAACCTAAAACCTATCACTGTACTGCTTTGGATCTTTGAATTTCCTAAAACTGTGCAAAAAATGTGTATATATATATATATTTTCCTGAGGAGGAAGAATCTACAGTTTTCATCAAATTCCCAAAGTGAACCCCAAAAACCTTATAAACCACTAGAGTATTATATTTTAGGTTGTCTCTTCATAGGATTTGGCAGAACACTTTCAATGTGTCAGGCATCATGCTAAACATTTATACATATTAACTCACTTAACCCTAACTTCATAATACCACTGCTTTTCTGAGAAGCAAGTTAACGTTCTCAAATTCATACAGCTGATACATGGTGGTGCTGGGATACCAACTCAGGCTGAATAAAAACGCCCTGCCTTTTTATTACATAGAATTATCTTCCTTTTGAGTAGACAGAACATTTGCCAACAACCAGAGCCTTTTCAGTCTTAGCCATCATTTTCCATTTAAATCATCCTTTATATAGTAATGGCCTCCTAAGGATCCTAAAGTCTTATTACATTCAAGCAGCATTCCTCTATGGAACAAGCCTTCTAAAGCACAGAGGCAACCCTCTCCAGACTGCTCCCTTCAGTTTTTTTCCATTGTAAAACTAGCCTGCAGTAAGCATAATTTTGTCTTAACTGTCTATTCTAGACTCCAGTCTGGACACATGGCACAAATGGACAACCCATACATTTGGAGAGACTCCAAAACATCCATCTCAAGCACTGAATGGTCCTGGCCCTGTTTCAAAATTTTACTAACCTTCCACAAATTGTGATTCCAGACACGTTTATACCTTGGTCCCCAGGATAATGGAAGGCACAAAAGAGGCAGAAATTAAAATGTCAGTCCATCTGGGTACACAATGTGGGCCAGCAATGACAGTGGAACCCATTGTCTCCTAGGTCACCTGAGGGTAGTATATCTGTGCTTTCTGTGAAAGGGTTGACAAAGTAATCCAGAGCAGTTTTCTTGATGTTCCTTAACTCACTGTAAATACAGTGTGCTACTTAACAATAGCAACTAAGATTTAACAAGCAACAGGAAGCATTTTTAAAAACAAGTGAAAAGCTGAGATCAGAATTCCAGTGAACTTCTAATTCAGCTACCACTGCCATTATTCAGAAGCAAAATAACCTGAAATATACGATGGAAGCTGGAGAGGCAAGTAAGATAAAACTTTGCTATTATCTGCCCAAGAGAAAAGTTGGGATCATCCAAACCTTTTCATTAACTTCAAATTCTGAAGGTTGAGTCATATGCCATGTCACTGCAGATGGAAAAAAGAACATCCACAGCAAAGGTGACACCTGAGAGGTCATACAGCCTGTTAGAAAAGCTGAAAGCATCAATCTGAGAAAAATAAGTGAAACTCAAGACCCACGTCAGAACTATGGATGACATAAGGGATTGAGGGTTATGGGATTCGAGACATTGCTAATCTCCTCACTTTTCCCCCTTTTTATTCTTTACAACCCAACCACTGATAGAAGCCACTTGTTTGACCTGAACTAATCTGTTATGTTTTCCGTGCCTCCAAAGGTGCCAGTTTCAGTTCTGCTGTGTTACAGTAGTGCCTTTGCTGAGTTTGAAACTGGATACTCCAAGCAAGTAGATGCCTTTTCTTCAAACATGCCAGGGAAAAACTTAAATTACTTTAGCAAAAATAACCTTTCTGCCATCTTCATCAAGTTAACACAGAAAACTGATATTTAGTCATGAAGGAGCTTGATTAAACTGTTTCACTTTATCATATTACATCTTGATACAGCAATTTTTTTTTTTTTTGGCTTGGCTGCCTTCTCCACGAGATTTTATGCTTCATGAGGACGCTTTTTCTCATCATTATATCGTCAATACAATAATCTTTTATAAGAAAATAAATAAAGAAAGTCCATGCAGAAAAGTCGTCTGATCTATGTTACAAGAATAGTGAATTCTTATCAGGTTAATAAAATATAAATTGCATTACTCAAGAGTTTTTAATAACCAGTGGTTGTAAACTGAATTTATATCATGTATCATGTGTAAATGTAATATTGAATATTGTTGTAAGTTTCAGGATAGGAATTAGTGTTCAGGCTGCAGTGAGTAATTGCTACTTTTGTCATCCTTTGGGTAACTCTTGGCCAGCTTGGGTCTGCGAAATTGCCCCCTCCTTTGCATTCAGCCCTGTCCTTGTTCTAGGAGTCTCCTCCCCCAACATGCAGTGGGTCTAGCATTGGTATGTGATTCTCTGTTCCTCCAGGGAACAGCCCTCCCTGCGGTCATGAGGCTTTGTTCATCCATACTCCCAGCTGTCCTTTCTTTGCTTTGTGTTTTTAGGGGAGAAATGTGCTGGACCTGTTGGGCCCCTACACTGAAGCTTCACAGGGAAAGTTGGGAGAGGGAGAGAAAGAGAAAGAGAGAGTGGGGGAGGTTAAAAAGACAAGCTGCGGTGAAGCAGATTAAACAGGTGGAAAGTATGTGTGCATGTGCATGTGTGTGAGTGTGAGAGGCTGGGGAGGAGTGTTCCATGAAAAGAGACTGGCACTTGTTCAGACTGGAAGGAACTGAAAGAGTGGGAGCAGTATGTGAGCCAGGAAGAGAGCAGTGGGAAGTGGGGCTTTAGGTCAAATGGGGAAGAGGTCCCGCCTTCTAAATCATGCAAAAGATTTTGACTTTTATCTTAAGAAGAAAATGGGAGGAGAAAGCCTAGAGCAGTGTCAGAAAGACTGTACATGAGGGGAGAACTGAAACAGGCTTCTTTGGTGGTTCTGACCACAGCCCATTCATTAGTGGAGCCTATTCCTTTGGGCATTCTTAGTTTTGACTCCATTTCAGAAAGATATATTGAGCACATACTCTGTTTTAGGCCCTATACTAGACAAGGGAGAGAGATTAAAATATTTAAGATGTGACTCCTGCCCTTAAGGATATGTCAGTTTAGTAATGACATTTTGTTTCATTAAAGAAGCTAATAGTCAAACCAAGAACTTCCAGCTAATCATTCCGTGTCTTCTCACACGGAGTGCTTCTGAACCAGTTTTTTCACCTCCTGTTCTTATACATTTGATTTTTTTTTAATACAAATTTTTACATTTTTCTTGGTTTCAGGCCATCCTCCCTGCCTGCTATATCTTTTTGAATCTTGCTACTAGCTCTCTCTTCCAACTTTATGCTACATGCAGATCTGATGAACATGTCTTCTTTTTGTTAACTCAAGATCTTACTTAAAAAATTGGTCCAGCACTTTGGGAGGCCGAAGCCGGCAGATCACTTGAGGTCAGGAGTTCGAGACCAGCCTGCCCAACATGGTGAAACCCCTGTCTCTACTAAAAACACAAAAATTAGCCAGGTGTGGTGGTGCATGCCTTTAATCCCAGCTACTTGGGAGGCAGAGGCAGGAGAATCGCTTGAACCCAGAAGGCAGAGGTTGCAGTGAGCCAAGATTGTGCCACTGCACTCCAGCCTGGGCCATAAAGTGAGACTGTCTCAAAAAAAAAAAAAAAAATTGGTGACAGATCTCAGAGGGTCCTTAAGCCCTTTAGCATGGCACAAGTAGAGATTTCTTTCCAGGTGGTTCTTAATTGATTGGTCAGTACACGTAGGGTACCATACAGTGTTTTTTCCTGGGAAGCCTCTCCCTATTTTATAGCCAGAAATAAGTGCCCTATTTATGGGCACCCACAGCACCTGTGAATACCTATGCCACACTACTTGTGACATTACATTTTAATTTTGTTATGCATCTATCAGTATGGGTTTGTCGTTTTATTCATCACCATAGTCTCAAAATTGAGCACAGTGTATTTGTATTACATGTGATGGACACTCAATAAACATTGTTTGGTGACCTAACCTGCATGAGTTTTTATGGACTTTATTTTATTTATTTATTTAGGTATTTACTTATTTTTTGAGACAGAGTATCACTCTGTTGTCAGGCTGGAGTGCAGTGGCGTGATCTTGGCTCACTGCAACCTCCACCTTCTGGGTTCAAGCGATTCCTGCCTCAGCCTCCTGAGTAGCTGGGATTACAGGTGCCTGCCACCACGCCCGGCTAATTTTTTGTATTTTTAATAGAGACGGGGTTTCACCATGTTAGCCAGGATGGTTTCAATCTCCTGACCTCATGATCCGCCCGCCTTGGCTTCCCAAAGTGCTGGGATTACAGGTGTGAGCCACCAAGCCCAGCTTTTTATGGACTTTCAAAACATCCAGGCTATTTGATAAATTTTGAGGGTTGAAATATAAAATTTAGCCCTTCTGGCATTTCCCAGTTTAGCTCTATGTGGTTAGGAACTGGGTCCCACGTTCATGCCTTGGTGTTGGCTCCACAGAATCATACACTTTGGTCTCTGGAGCACTTCCTGATATGTCATAGGAGTTTTTAGTGTCTTCAGATTATCTCAGAGATTTTACAAATGATGCAGTGAAATCAGGAGAAAAGAGACGTGTAACCCCTTTATCACTGATCTCCAATTTCATGGGCAGGACATGTAGAAAGAGCCTGGAATTTGACAATAGAACTCTGGTGAACAGGTATACTAAACATAATAAATATAATAAAAACTACAGCTTAATTTGAGAAAGCTCATTGAAAGAGAAATAAAAATTCTTCTTTTTGATGTAAACCATCTTGAGATATTTATAGTTTTTTGTTCTGTCCCCACGTGTTTTGCCTTTATCTTTGATTATCTAAACTATAAGGACCACAGATTCTCATTTTTGAAATTTGCTTTCATTAATTCTTCTCCATCTTTTTTTTTTTTTTCTTTATGTATCTGAGTTTCTATCAGTTTGGCAAAAATACTTGGCAACATTTACTGGGATTTTTGAACATCCCACATGCAGTTCTGTGTTAGGGATTTCACAGGTATTATCCTATTTAATCCTCTTCTATAAGAGGCAGGTATGTTACTGTGCTTGATTTATTTAAAAAAAAAAGAAAGAAATAGAGGGAGGTTAAATCATCCCCACTCTTATCTTGGTTTCCGTCTCTCCCTGTAGTCTGCTGGTGTGTTGCAGAGCTGAGGTTTGAATAGGACCTGATTCCAGAGCCTGAACTCTTAATCCCACACACAATTTTGCAAAGGGCTCAAAGTCACAGAATGTCATACTGGAAGCATCCTTAGAGATCATCTAGCTTAGAACATAATATCTAGCTGTGGACCTGATTTGCTCCTACTTTCTGGGCAAAATGAATCTCCCAGAGTGAAAAATAGGTAGGGGAAATGGATGAGGTGGGAGAGGGCTGGGTGGGTTGATTCCAAGTCCCAGACTCCCAGCAGGGACTTTCATGTCTGGAATTTTGTTTTTTGCTTTTTGTTTGTTTGTTTGTTTGTTTTTGAGTCAGAGTCTTGCTCTGTCACCCAGGCTGCAGTGCAGTGGTGCCGTCTCAGCTCACCGCAACCTCCGCCTCCCGAGTTCAAGCAATTCTCAAGCCTCAGTCTCCTGAGTAGCTGGGATTACAGGCTCCTGCCACCACGCCTGGCTAATTTCTTTATATTTTTAATAGAGACAGGGTTTCATGATGTTGACCAGGCTGGTCTCGAATTCCTGACCTCAAGTGATCCACCTGCCTTGGCCTCCCAAAGTGCTAGGATTCCAGGTGTGAGTCATTGTGCCTGTCTGGGGTTTTGGAATTGGATGGTGCACACATTTTTTTTTAGCCTGCATTAATGTCTTTCTTTATCATTAAAATGTTCGTTTAATAATCATGTGAGGTTGGGGTCTAATTTCAGTTTCAACTGCCGCTAACTATGTGACCATAGGATTTTGTTGTTGTTTTTGCTCAGCATCTACTGTGCCATATTTTAAGACACACATTTCAGGCAAAACAGACAGCAGGAACAAAGGTGTGGTAGGTCCACTGAACAGGGAGCCAGAGAGCTGGATGTAGGAACTGCCCATCACTCTGGGGAGTCTATGAGACAACAATTCTGTTTTTCAGCACAACAAATTGTTTGTTACCTTCAAATAACACAGAAAGACAAAAATCAGTAAGTTTATATTTCCACAGGCAGTGAAAATGTGAAGATCTGAGTGGTGTGAAAAGAAGTCACTTTCAGAGAGAACATTTTGCTGAAATTTAGAGTGAGCTACATGTGCCTAAGTCATACACAGGAAGTAGGAGACCTGGGGGTCAAGGGGACAAAAAGCCCCACAGTGAAAAAAGGCAATTACTGGGAAAATGAGAGAAGAATGCAAAGTATACAGAAGCAGCTATGTACGTTGTGAAATACAAGTCACCACACTATGTGTTGCTGCTGTCACAAAGATCAAGATAGAAAATGCAAATATTCACCTCCATGTCTGAGTAATCTTTGCCCCCCCCATTCTTTCATTCCTTTCCTCCAACATTTTAGTCTCCTAAGCCTTTTTTGAAGGATTCTTTGTCTCATTTAAAAATAAAGATGGGTAAGGGAGTACCTGAGCAAACCAGATGTGGCAGGCTCCGTGAAGTATATCCATGTTTTCCTGCTCTGCTTATGTAAAAATAACTGAGGGAAGCTGAAATATTTTGTATGTGTATTAAAAGTTAAAGGGAAGAAGGGTTTGGAGCAATGAATGAGATGAAAGACAAAGCTGTGCCAGGAAAGATGAAAGCCAAGCAAAGGGTGGTTAATCATCCCAGTCAGAGACAAACAAGAGAAATCTAGTGTGTCCTGAGAGCTAAGGAGCCCCGCTATCCACCATGGAAATGTCTCTGACATCTAAGTTACCGAGCTGGTTACTAAGCCTGCTATTTCTGATCTGTCAAAATCATTCCATTAAAACTTAAAATAAGCCTGCAACTGGATAAGCTTATCCCTTACAGAAGCCTTATGTAATAAATGCAAATGTGCATCTGAATTATTAGGCTTCTATTTTTTTCCCTCAAAGCTGCACTTAATCAGTAAAAGCTTGTGAAAGCCTAAAGATTTCTAAAATAAATGTGTATCTAAGAGCATCTCTAACATTGTCTTGAGAGCTACCAAGAGGTTTAGAAGAAAAGGCCTTGTGTGGAGAACAAGAATTGCTGGGTTCTGGCACTGGTTTAGCTACTTAATTTGCACTGGTTCTTGCAAATCACTTAGCCTCCCAAGGTTGAAAGAGTCTATGTCTGAGTGAAAAGAGTTCAGAAACTAGGATTAAAAACCATGGGTTTGAGGCCCAGCTTCATCATGTGCAAGCTATATGGCTGGCAATGGATTTAATATTTAGGGGTTTGTTTTCTTATCTATAGAGTGGGGGAAGTAATAGTACCTCATGCATGGGACAGCTGCAAAGAACATATGAGACATTGTATATAAAAAAGTTCTTTGCGCACTGTAAAGGGCAACAGACAAGTTGGCCTTTGTCACTACTTCCCCAGTTTACCTAAGGCTTACAGAATGCTGGGAAAATAAATGAGAGGTAATAAGGCATTTTTTATAGAAAGTCCTAAAAATTACTTCACAATTCTTTGCAGCAAGTGAAGACATAGTTTAATACTGATGGTAAAGGCAAATGAACTAATCAGAAGGCCAGCCCCATCTAGGAGATGTGTAAGACATCTTCCACCTACAGTCGAAGGCAAACGATAAGGTTTTTTTCTTATTCTCTTGTATTCTAGAGGCTGTTGGGGGTTGGGTGGCTTGGAAGAGAAAGTGCCACACAATAGCATTTGCTAGATTACGGCATGGGGGTTGGGAGGGCGCTATAATTTAAGAGGCATAAGATGACTGAAGTGATCACACAAAAAAGATATCTTCCAATTCCATTTGAGCTACAATCTGATTTCGCTGTTGAGTACAACGTCCCCTTCACAAGAATCAGAAGTCAGCATCAGGGCTGTGCTGCATAAGTTTTCCACCCAGCAACAGGATGATGTCAGCAGCCAGGGAGAACGACCAATCAGCAGGCAGAATGAATCAGAGCGTGCTGGGATTTTGCTCAACTGTCTCTTAGCAAAGCAAGCTGTGCTCTGAAGTGCAGGGGTTATTTGCACTTCCTCTGCACTTGAAGCTGAGGCTGAATGGCTCTTTAGCTGAAAAGGTACCAAGGAGTGTGCAAGCAGTTAAGATGATTTGCATCCAAGCAGCCAGTCTCATAAGTCATGAGTCATATTTGTTTTCCTGAAAGTATTTTTTTGGAATAAAAAATTCAGCATTAATAAAGATTCTAAAGTCTTGATTTATATGTTGTGTCTTATAATTGCTTGAAACCTGTTTTGTTTCATGCATAGTGATGCTGGGCAGCTCTTGGCACATGAGCTACAAGTAAAGTTCAATACTGCCTCTTAGGGAGTTTGAACTTGCCTCTGATGTTTCAAGTCTTCTCTCTAATGACAAGCAGCCTGGAAATCAACAGCTGTTTCATTTCTGGGGCAAAAGTGCTAATTCTCCAATTACACTAAAGTGTGTTTTGTGTGTGCTTTAAAAATAAGTCTAAGCTGGAAGGATATGATGTGACTTGTAGACATTGTCTCATGGGTGGGAGTGGAGAGGGCTTTGTAGCATTTCTGAAAACATGAAGTTATTTCCCAAAATTTTGTCAGTTTTTCTGATCTTAGTGGGCAGTGACAGCAGTATTGGAAAAGGGTGCAATCGAAGGGTTAAACCTACCTACCCGGCATTACCTATGACATATCCCAGGTCGATTAGACCTCCCAGGCAGGTTCCTCACTGGCATTATCTGAGGACAATTTCTGTGCTATCTAAGGCCAGAAAGCAGTTTTTCCTGTGAGTGGTGAAAACACATCTTTCCAAAAGAAAATATATATCTCAGAGAGGGAGTGATTTTTCATCTTGTCTTCTTTCAGAGTCCTTGGTAGGTCTCAGGAAGCACCATGTACTGCAATTTATTAGCCCAGACCTGCTGCAACCTATCCTTCTACAGTTTGCTTCTTGGCTGAATGCCTCGTTTTCCTCATTACTGAAATGAAAAAGGGTTTACAAAGCTAGCTAATTTGAGCTAATTAGGGACGGGCTATTCTGAAATATGAAGAAGGCTGGATTTGAGAATATTCCTTAAAGAAAAGCCGACATTACATTCAAAGGTTGGTAATATGCTGGAGGAGAGAGCACAGCTTCCAGAGTTTAGGCTTCCCAGCTTTTGAATCCCAGCTCTGTGCTTCCAGCCACCTCTCCATTCCACAGGTGCAAACTGGGGTAATGCTTAGCTCCAAGGACGGTTGTGAAGATAAACAATCTCTCACCACCAAGCACAGGCAAAACACATAGTAGCTACTCAATAATTCATAGACCCTCCACCCCCTTTAAACTGGAAATAAACAACTTGTTGGCTGATAGAAATCCCAGAGGGACCTGCTTTCACAAATACTGTAGGATTTGTAATTAGCATGTAAAAAGACTGCTTCCAGCCCTTGAAAGCATGTTGTCCTTTAAAGGCTCTTAGGCAGACTCAAGAAGCCTTGTTTGCCCTCTAGCATTAATTTGCTTAGCAAATTCTCACTGCTAGGGCAAAATTAAATTTCAGTTTAGGCTCTGTTTGATTGACCACAAACTCTAAATGAAGGTGGCTTTAGTGTGATCTAACTTTCACTTGTTTGGGATCCTTGAGATTAATGCAATGGGCCTTCGAGTGATTCTATAAGGCCCTGGCACTCTTTACGAGAAAGACGTAAATATGAAGTATCTGAAGCAATGCTGTTATCACCATTCCCTTTCCTTAGCTTAACATCCCTCAAGGGGTGCTTCTGGTGCCCAGAGAAGTTTAGAAAAGCTTTTGACAGAGCAGAGCAGACTAGGAGTCTGTACAGAGGTGAAAGCCCTGGGAAGGTATGAGGTTATAGCAGCTGTAGAACCCAGAGACTTCTGGAGGAAGTCGGGTAGGGGATGTATTTCCTGGGTGAGGGCAAATCAGCTATTTTGGATTCTTTGGTTCCTCATTAGTCAGAAATCAAGAAGACTACAGAAATGGCAACATTCTGCTGTTGCTACTGGTCCTTTCTCCTGAGGAATGCATTTGCTGACTAAGACATAACTTCGTAGATTCGCTGTCCACTCACGGCTTAGTTTATTGCAACACAGAGAAGGTCTCTTTCTTCCCGGTGTGCAGAAAGATAAACTGACAGCCTGTGGGTAAGCTCAGAGACTTGCGAAAGATCACGTTAGGACATCAGGATGGAGATACTGAATGCGGAAACAATGAAACCGGAAGTTGAGATCTTCAGACAGTACCTCCATTATTCCAATCACTTCAAGTCCAAATGGAGAAGTTTAAAATGAGTACCTTTAACCAAGAGTGTAAGACCTGCCTAGTTTTGAGTAATTGGATCTCTGGATATGGGCTCTAAGAGATCTTTACCTATATTTAGGCAAAGGGAAGCCAATTCATTCCAAGAGAGTCCTTTTTCTTTTTTGACAGATCAATTTGATATGGTATCATGGATTAAATACATTTCTTACTTGGAAGGATCACATTATTTGGGAATAGGTTCACTGCAGATATAATTAGTTAAGATGAGGTATACAGGAGTAGGGTGGGCTCCTTATCCAACATGACAGGTGTCCTTATAAGAAGACGACAGTGTGAAGGCAGGTGCACATAGGAAGAAAGCTGCGTGACACAGAGGATTGGACTGGTACATCTACAAGCCAAGAAACACCGAAGATTGTTGGCAAACCACCAGAAGCCAGGAAGAGGCAAGGCAGGGTTCCCTAGAGGTTTCAGAGGGAGCTTGGCCCTGCTGATACCTTGATTTTGGAGTTCTCCAGAAGTAGGAGACAATAAATTTCTATAATTTTAAGCCACCCAATTTGTAGAACTTTGTTACAGCAGCCCTAGCAAACTAATATATATGGCAATAATCAAAATGACCGAACTGGGAAAAGCTTCCAGCTATGTGTGATTTTTGAGTAAATAACTTGACCCCTCTGGAAGAAAGTTTTCTTACTGGTGAAATAGGAGTGGAGTAGGTGACTTAAAAGGACTCTAAACTCCTTTGGGAGTATGTAGTATCTCCCAGTGTTTTGATCCACCTCTTGACTCCTATCTATCTCTCTGTTTCTACTTGCCTGTATCTTAGTTCAGGGCCCAGTTATTTATTGCCTGGAAAACTGTAAAACTTTTCTTGCTTTCACTCTCTCACTGTACAACATAAGTGCCTGTGGAATCTTTGTAGACAGAGATCTGATAATATAATTCCCCTACACACCCCCTGTACAGCTGATGCTGCTTGCAGAATCCTGTTGAAACTCTTTAGCTTGACACCTGGCTCTTCACATCTGGACCAACATGTCTCTTCAGGTTTGTCTCCCGCGAACTCCCTCCCAGTTCCTCTCATGTCCACATCTGATGCGTTCTAGCCATACTAAAATATTAAGTCATGATCTTCTCTTTTCTTTTTTTTTTTTTTGAGATGGAGTCTCTTTCTGTCGCCCAGGCTGGAGTGCAGTGGCGCAGTCTCTGCTCACTGCAAGCTCCACCTCCCGGTTTCACTCCATTCTCCTGTCTCAGCCTACAGCTGGGACTACAGGCGCCTGCCACGGCGCCCAGCTAATTTTTTTATTTTTTGTATTTTTAGTAGAGACAGGGTTTCTCCGTGTTAGCCAGGATGGTCTCGATCTCCTGACCTCATGATCCTCCCATCTCAGCCTCCCAAAGTGCTGGGATTACAGGCATGAGCCACCACACCTGGCCTATGAACTTCTCTTTGCTTAAATCCTGCACCCACTTGCTCTCTAGGGACTTCCCACCTGCCCTTTTATTCTCCACAAAACAAGGAGCAATTTGAGGAAAGAAACTGTGTTTCTTTCACTGTTTTTGTTTTTGTTTTGAAACAGGGTCTCTTCTGTCGCCCGGGCTGGAATGCAGTGACGCAGTCACAACTCACTGCAGCCTCGATTTTCCAGGCTCAGGCGATCCTCCCACTTCAGCTTCCCAAGTAGCTGGGACTTGAGCATACACCACCACGTACACCACCATGCCCAGCTAATTTTTGTATTTTTTGTAGAGACTGGGTTTTGCCATGTTGCCCAGGTTAGTCTCGAACTGGGCTCAAATGATCTACTCACCTTGGTCTCCCAATGTGCTGGTATTACAGGCATGAGCCACTGTGCTTGGCCTGTTTTTGGTTTTTTGAGACAGTCTTGCCCTGTTGTCCAGGATGGAGTGCAGTGGCATCAACATGGCTCGTTGCAGCCTCAACTTCCTGGGCTCCAGTGATCCTCTCGCCTCAGCCTCCCATGTAGCTGGGATTACAGGTATGGGCCACCACACCCGGCTAATTTTTTGGTTTCTGTTTTTTGTAGAAATGGTGTCTCACCATGGTGTCCAGGTTGGTCTTGAACTCCTGGGCTCAAATGATCCTCCCACCTCAGCCTCTCAAAGAGCTGGGATTACAGGCATGAGCTACTACTGCACCTGACCTCAATTCACTGTTTTTTCTCTATTACCTAGTACTTTCCTTAGCATATAGTAAAAACTTGGTAAGTAGGAGTTGAAGAAAGGAATCATTTATTCTTCAAGATCCGTTTCAAGGATTCTTTAAAAAATATGAATACCCGAGTTAGGTGTTCCCTCCCAGATCCCACTGCACTCTGTCACAATTTTCTTAAATCAGTACTCCCATCTGTGAATCTTGCCAGATCAATGCATGAACTAAATAAATGTGCCCTAAACTAAACTAAATAAATGTGGTGTGGATGGACAAATAAATAATAAACAAGTTCTAACTATTATAAATGTTTGTGTGTACTGTTGTTTACTGTGAAAATCTTCAACTCATCTGAGGTAAGCGAAAAAGTTTAACCCCTACTCAACCAAGTTGACTTGTTCAATCAGATTTTGGCCATAGTGGTTTTGTTCAGTTGGTCAGAGTGTGTGCAGAAGGTTGGTTTCCTCAGTTCTGCTCTTATTTGGGGTTAATTAGCTGGGAACTAACTAGATGGTACTGGGAAACTCTGAAGGGCAAGGCCTCCCTTTCCATTTGAATGGGGATGGAGTGAAAGAGTGCAGAGGGTTCAGCACAAACTCAGCAGGGTGGTCAGCAGCTCAGCCTGAGGGCAGTGGCCAGGAGCTGGGTGGTGACTGGAAATGGGCTCCTCGCAATTTGGCTCTCTGCTTTGGTAACCACTCTTTCTCTTCCTCCATGGGTAAGTTTGGCCAAACAAGGCCCCAGGTGGGTGGGGAAGACGTGAAGCCTCCTGGGGAATGATGCACACACTTCTCCCCAGCAGATCTTCAATGCAAATTGGTGCCAGTGCGAGGCTGACCTGCTGGGCTTAGTCTTACACACAGATCAGAACCATCATTTGAATTATAAGGATAATGACTATGTATTGGACACTTGCTATGCGCCAAGTTCTCTCTCTCTCTGTCTCTGACTTATGTCAAGGTCAAGTTAAATCTGCAAGTCAACTAACTGCAACATGGGAATTGAGATAGAAAATTGTTAGGTCATGTGCCCAAGGTCACGCAGCTGGTGAGTGGCAAATACAGGAACGTAACTCAAGTCTGTTTGACTCAACAGATCTTCTTGACCAATAAACATGCTTTCCAAGTCCATTGTATTCTATCAGATTCATCAATTGATTAATCAACTAAACAATATTTATTTAATACCTGCTATATGCCAGATACAGTTAAGGTTCTGGGGATAATGTGGCAAACAAGACAGATAAAGTCCGTGTTCTCATGGAGCTTACGTTCTAGAGAAGGGAAATAGATGATAAAAATATAAGCAAACAAATAATTTTAGTGAATACTAAGTGCTATGAAGAACATAAAATATGGTAAAGGATAGAAAGTGTAATTGGCAGTTTCTGAAATGGTCCCCAACAATCTTTGCCTTCTTGTATTCATGCCCTTTTATAATGACTTGATGTGTATGGACTTAGTGACTGATTTCAAATGAATAGAATATGGCAAAGATGAAAGGATGCTATTTCTAAGAACAGGTTACAAAGAGATTTTTGTATTTTGAAACGCTTTTTGCATATAGGATTCAGTGAGATGCACATGTGACATTCAGTAACATTATTACATTATTTTACGTTACGTTAAATAACAATTTGCCTTCGAGACAAACCTGAGTCTTTTAAAATATTTTGTAGAAAGAACTTTTCTAACTCTTGATATGCCTGCTAAACTTCCTTGAGCTGAGGCCAACAGATTTTCTGTCTTCTACCCAATTTGGTTTAATGTCCCTGCCCAGGTCATTCTAAGCTCTCAATGCAGACAGTGAGCCCATTTTGATGTTCTCCAATAACCCAGATTTCTGAGAGCTGGAAGTATTAAAAGACTGACCTTGACTTTTATGGGTATTAAAAGGCAACATTAAGGTTTTCTGAAGGTATTTTTGATATGCATTTTCTCAAGCTATAAAGAAATATGGAATGGGATTTTTTTCAGTTAGGCTGGGCCCTGAACAAGAGTTTAAAAATTAAACATTTATGAATAATGAATATACAAAAAAAGGTATAACCTCACAAGAAGTAAAAGAAATGTAAAGGCAAGGATGAGATACAATTTTTCACTTTCAAATTGGGGACTGTAATGCTTAATGCATATAGGATTTAGTGAGATGCAAAATCTTAGGCAGCTCAAGTAGCATAAATTACTGGAACAAGCTTTCAAGTGAAGTAGTTAGTCATATGTGTCAAGATTCTTAACCATATTCATCCCTTTTGACCCAGTGACACCACAGTGTCCTTAGCCCCTCAACTGCAGCTGGTACTTTGTAGATATTTAGTATATATTTATGGAATTAATTAAATCAGATATAAACCTAACAAAGCTTAAGAAAGTAATATTCAGTTATAAAAGTGTTCAGGGTCATTTATTGAAACATTTATTTTAACAAGAAAAGTGGAAACCAGAATGCCTAAAATAGAGATTTTATTAAATATATTATAGAATGTTCATTTGATGGAATATTTTTCTGCCCTTAAAATGAGGACTAAAAAAAAGTGTTTTTTTTTTTTTTTTTTTTTTTTGAGACGGAGTCTCACTCTGTTGCCCAGGCTGGAGTGCAGTGGTGCGATCTCCGCTCACTGCAAGCTCCACCTCCCAGTTTCACGCCATTCTCCTGCCTCAGCCTCCCGAGTAGCTGGGACTACAGGTGCCCGCTACCATGTTCAGCTAATTTTTTGTAGAGACGGGTTTCACCGTGTTAGCCAGGATGGTCTCGATCTCCTGACCTCATGATCCACCCACCTCGGCCTCCCAAAGTGCTGGGATTATGGGTGTGAGCCACTGAGCCCGGCCAAAAATTTTTCAATAAGACGTGACAACATGGACAAAGATCAATATATTAAACTGGGTATATCATGGTCCCCAATATGTGCATAGAGAAGGCAAATACATAGCTATACATATAAAAAAATTTTTTGCAAGGAAATCCTCCAAAAATGTAAGTAGCAGTCACTTAAGTGATTTTGTTGTCTTCTTTATACTATGCTGTGTATAACATTTTTCTACAATGATCTTGATTTACATTCAATATTACAAAAATAGCAATATATACATTTTAACAATAATTTAAAAAATCTAAGCCTATAAAATTCAGACCATTAAAACTATGAATCATACATTGAGCCAGAAGTTTACAGTAAAACACACACACACACACACACACACACACACACACACACACACACACTTTTGGTTTTCCTCAAATGTTAGAATCATGATAGTTTTTCTCCTTTTATTGATTTTTAAACCAGATGAGTCCATTTGTGTACACATAGGGGGAGGCCATGTGGAACAGTGGTGAATAACACATTTTCAAGAACAAGGTTTTGTTAATTTAAACCTGGGCTCTGACAATTACTTTCTGAGTGATCCTTGGCAAATTATTTAACCTCTTGGTGTCTCAGCTTTTTCATCTGTAAAATGGGAATATTAATAGTATCTATCTCATAGGATAATTGCGCATATTAAATGAGAATAGTACATGTGAAGCACTTAGAACCATGCCCGGCACATGGTGAGTGCAACCTGTGTCTTCCCTTGTCTTGTATGATTTCTAAACAAGCAGAGCTCTGTTTACCGTCCAAGGTTTGAAATCCAAACCCTCTACCCACCCACCTTGAACCAAGAGGAGATGCTTGACAGTAAGCCTTCTGAATTATTTAGATGTCCATGTGTGCATGATTTATAGAAGAAATGACAATAATGATGAAGTGAAAGGATTTAGATGAACTGAACCTTAAATAGCATAGTCTTTTAAAGCAAGCATTTTGAAATACGCCTTATTATGGGCACTAGGAATTCTCTTGTCTTTAAATTGTCCAAAATAATATCATGCTCTCAGTTCACAGAGGGGTTCTCTCAACTTAAATGGAGAAGCAGAAAAAGCACAGAAGTCTTGGTGCCTATGAAATAGAAGTATCTTTCTTTGAACACTGAGTGGACATTTGAGAGGTCTAGAGCATATTCTTCCTCCTCCTCCCGGAAGTCTCCTTTGGCCCGCTCAATTGCAAGACCCAATTCCTCACTTTTCTGAAGTCCCTCAGCCCTTTTTCTAGTGCTTCTTGATGACTGTTCCCACTTCAGTCTTGTATTATGATTATTGTGTGTGTGTGTCAATATAGATTTCACATTTTATTCTTCCTGATATCTCCTAACTACACCTAGCATAGGAAAACCTGAGTAGTAGAACTTCAATTTTTTATTAAATTGCGTAATAAAAATGTAGATATTTAGAACTGGGGAAGATTTTTCTAGATGACATTTCAGAGGTGAAGATCTAGAAGTACAGTGAAAACTGTAATTTGCAGTCAAAGGGATCTAAGGTTTTAACCACTCACAGGCTGTGAGACCTTGGGAAGCTTTCTAACATTTTTGACATTGTCTTTATTTTTAAGAATGAGGATAAAAATATCTGTCTCACAGAACTGATAATAGGGTAGAAAGAGATAATTGACTCAAGTGGTTGTCACTTGATGACACTAGTGAAAAACCTTGTTCAAGGCCACATTGCCTGGTGGCTGCTAAAGCCACTGCACTATACTTTCTTAGTTTGTCTGGGATCCGGTTTGAGGTTTTGCCTAAGTACTGTGGCTGTGATATGAGGATTTCTTCTAGGAGGAGAGGAAGTGGCATTTGTTAATGGTTTGCTGTATGCCAACAGCTTTACCTGTAGCTTTTGAAGCTACTCTTGTTGGCATAGCCTATGGAAATAGGTGAAAAAAATCAAATGTGCTGACATAACCTTCTCATGCTTCAGTATTCTTGAGTGCTTTCTGAAGCTCTTGCTCACTTTACTCCCTTTCATTCAGAACTCAACAACCAAGATATCTGGAGATAGCAGATCAGCTCACTGGACAGAAAACCTCTGGGAAATTAGAGGAACATTCACCTGTTTGGGATAATTGGAACTTCTGGTGCCTTGAAACTCCTTTTATTATGAAGCTCTCAGACTAAAGGGCTAAATGGACTTACAGCCTTCCTGTGAATATTGCGGGAGATACTTCAAGTGGCACTTTAATGTCCCTTGTGTGCTACTGTACCACTGCCAACTCCTGGCAAGGACAGTAACTCAGGACCTGCCACTGGCCTATCAATGGTTTTTTTAAAATTATGGACAACTGGTGTGTCCAAATAATAAGACTTTTCAAATGAGGATAAGAAAGGTGCACTCCAGACCTAATCTGACTCTTTTGATCTATGTTTTATGAAAAAGTGCAAACCAATTGAGCAAATTTGCTTTCCAGAGGAAAGAAACATTTGTGAGGACCTACTGTGTGCTGACACTGTTGGGCACTCCATTGTTATCCTGTTTTTTCTTCACAACAGTCAGGTGTAACAACATTATGCTCATTTTACAGATGAAAAAATGTTAACGCAGTTTACTTATTTGCATCATGCCACGCATAAATATCAAGTACTGAAGCTAGGAATCAAACTTTTTTTTTTTTTTAACTGCAAGGTCAATATTCTTTTGGCCACACTATACATCTCATTTTAAATTATTTTCAGCCGGGTGAGATGGGTCATGCCTGTAATCCTGGTACTTTGGGAGCCTGAGATGGTGGATTACTAGAGCCCAGGAGTTCCAGACCAGCCTGAGCAACACGGCAAAACCCTGTCTCTCCAAAAAAAAAAAAAAAAAAACACAAAAACGAAAAAACAAAAAAACAGCTGGGATGATGGAAGTCATCTGTGGTGCCAGCTATCTGGGAGGCTGAGGTGGGAGGATCACTTGAGCACGAGAGGTCCAGGCTGCAGTGAGCCATTAATAATTAATAATTACATTATTAACCGAGACAGGGTCTTGCTCTGTCACCCAGGCTGGAGTGTGGTGGTATGATAATAATAATAATAACAAATTATTTCCAGAGTGATGTTAAAAAATAAATCATTTATGTATTCATTTCATTTAACAAACACCTATTGAATGAGGAGCGTGTCCCAGAGATAGTAGAGATAGAGTTCCAAGACAGTTTTTCCTCTCACGAAGCTCACTCTGCAGTGCCTTCCCTATTTTAAGGACGGTGTGACTTTGCCTCGAAGTTCAACTGATTCTATTCAAATCTGGTTTCCCCAGGGGTGACCTTGAACGAAATCACAGCTGTCACCAGAGCCATCATACGTTGAAATTGTGAGTTTTTAGAAGATGATTTACAGTTAGTTATTGGTTGGGTATGTGGAATACAGAAACGTTGTCAGCGGTTGGATCTATTAGGTGTGTGGGGTGTGGCAATCCCTTCAAGAAGTCAGGCTGTCACTGCATGTGACATGGCAAAACCCAAATTAATGATGACTGCTCTCCTAACCTACACTCTCTGGATGAAGGAACTGCTGGCAACACAGTTTTCTAAATGTAGAAATTGAATTTGTTAAAATTTATGAAGAAAATGTTTTCAGCTAATAACATACATCAAAAGTGGTGTGTAAAGTTGTGGCAATGAAGGCTGATACAGGGAAACTATGCTGAGGGGAAAACGAATGCATGCTGTGGGTCAGGCTGTTTCCTCTGTTGGCACTGAGGCTCTTGTCCCAAAGTCTATGGTGGTATGACACAGTTGTTGATCACTAGCGTCTTTGGAGTTAGGTGGAGTGGGATTCAAATCTCAGCCTTCTCATTCACTTACACTCTCATGCTCGGATATGTTATTTAGCCTGCAAGAGCTGTTGTCTCCTCAACTGTAATAATAGCTCCTACTTCTTCTCTTGGTTGTAAGGATCAAATGAAATGATATCTGTTAAAGTGGCTAGCTCTCAGCAAATAGTAAACAACATATAGAGCCAGGTGCAGTGGTTCATGCCTGTAATCCCAGCACTGTAATCCCCAGAAGCTGAGGAGGGTGGATGGCCTAAGCCCAGTGGTTTGAGACCAGCCTGGGTAACACGGTGAAACCTCATCTTTAAAAAAAAAATACAAAAAAAATTAGCCAAGCGTGGCAGCGTGCACCTGTAGTTCCAGCTACTCAGAAGGCTGAGGTGGCAGGATCACTGGAGCCTGGGAAGTGAAGATGGCAGTGAGCCAAGGTTGTGCCACTGCACTCCAGCCTGGGTGACAGAGTGAGACCCTGTCTCAAAAAACAAACAAAAAAAGATAAGTATTAGTTGATGGGAAAAATCAGCATAGGAATAACAAAGATGTTAAATATTTGCAATACTTTCTTGTTTCGTGGTAACATCAGTTTTTTTCTTTTTAACATCCTGCATGTCTACTATTAGAACCATTTTGTAATTAACTCACATAGAATGTGAGCTCTCCAGGGACAGGAACTTTATCTAATCATCTGTATGTCTCCTGCTCCTACAAATGTGCTTGGTCCACAATGGGCAGGTAGTCAATATGTACGTTGAATGAATGAATTCATTCAATCAGTCACTCAAACTTTCATATCCACTGCGAAGTTCTATAAATGTTGTGGGAGACCCAAAAGGGAATAACAGATTTCTCTCTTTGGTATATTATCCTGAATTAGGGAAGACAAATGTGTAAATAGAAAATGACACTCCAAAATGACAATTTGAATAAGATAAGGACTCTAAGATGAGACTTTGGAGGAGAAAGAGGGATATGGGAAAGCAGGAGAAAAGCTGCAAGGAGGTATTTGAATTGAGCTAAAACAGATAAGAAGAATATTGAGAAGTAGAGATGATGTGAGTAGGGAGGGAGGGTAGGGAATGGAGATGGTATTCCTGGAAGTAAACATTATGAGCAAAAGTACAGAAGCAGGAAGGAGCCAGGTATGTTTGGAGACAAGGAGAAGTACAATTTTACTAATAAATAGAATACTGAAGGGAACTTAAGGACAAGGACTGTGTTTCCAGAACACTTTGTACAGAGCCCAGAACCTCATCCAAGGTTCAGTAAATTAGCTATGAGTCACTGAAATGGAGTGCTCTTGAAATGAGCATCCAGAAGCCCAGGGAGAAGATTGCTTAGCCACAGAAAAGAAAGGTCTCCGGCATGGGGATCGCTACAAACAAAAGAAGAAGCATGGGACTGATTATCATGTTGCTTCCAAACCCACCCACCAGTAGCGTCTGGGAGGATTTCACCACATTCTAGGAAATTAGGACTTTGGAACCCTGGGTTTATTGGCTTGAGACCCGCCTGTCTCTGCATTTTGACTCTAAATAAAAAGTACTGGTGCTTCTATTACAAAATTCATTTGTTTATAAGAGCATGCAGTTCTAAAGAACATCTGTATAACGCAGAGCTGTGTCTAACAGGTGACATTCAGCCTCTTAATCTTGGTAGTTAGAGCATAGAACAAAATACAGTCTAAATCTTGCAAAGAATACTCAACTGAGCTGCAGTGGAGAAACTTTGGATCGTCTTCAAGTGTCTAAGATTTCTATGTGACAAGATCAACCCCCACATGGTTTCCTCCTGCCTGGGTTAGTGGGAACAATAATAACAGCTAACTTTTACTGAACACAAACAATGTGCCAGACACTGTGCATTATCTCATTTAACTTTCCCAACACCAATGAGGTGACTTCCCACTATTGTATAATTGAGAAAATAAGGTTCTGTGAGATTAGACTGCTTAAGAAGTAAAACACAGCTTATACTCAAAACCAGGTTTATTTGATGAGTTAATTGCGTTGCATTGCAATCACAGAGATTTGAAAAAATTAAATAAGATTGTATGTGTTAGGTACAAAGAACTGAGGGACAATGGAAAACTTCCTTAAATTGGGGCTGATTTAATGGGGTGGAAAAGGGAGGCTCAGTATGCATGAAGGGTAGAAGTCAAAGGGCAGCAAATGAAGTAGAGAAAATTACAAAATAACAAGTTCCTGCTTTTTCTTGTAAGGCAAAAATAGCTTCCCACCCTCATTGTCAGATAGGAGTGGGTGGCATATTTCAGATGGGGTTTATAGTCTCTCTAGTAAAGGGCAGATATTTTCAATAAAATCCACATGGTGCATTGGCTCCATGGCCCATGCCACAAGGACAAGTCTACAAGGCCTCCCTATGCCTGTGATGCAGCCGTACTTGAATCCTGGGGATCCACCTTGAGCAGGCCTCTATTGTCATTCTAATTAATCATTCAGCCTGGGGATTCACACTTCCCAGACACAAGCCAAGTGATATAGTTTGGATATTTGTCTCTGCTCAAATCTCATGTTGAATTGTAATCCCCAATACTGGAGATGGGTCCTGGTGGGAGATGTTTGAATCATGGGGGTGGATCCCTCATGGCTTGGTACTGTCTTTGTGATGATGAGTTCTCGTGAGATCTGGTCATTTAAAAATATGTGGCACACCACCACCTCCCACCCTCTTTCTCTCTTTCTCTCTGTCTCCTGCTCTTGCTTTCACCATGTGATGCACTTGCTCCCAACTTCACCTTCCACTGTGATTGAAAGTTCCCTGAGCCTTCACCAGACACTTAGCAGATGACAGCACAATGCTTTCAGTAAAGCCTGCAGAACTGTGAGCCAATTAAACTTCTTTTCTTTATAAATTACCCAGTCTCAAGTATTTCTTTACAGCAATGCAAGAATGGCCTAACACACCAAGTTGCCAGACACTTGCATGACATAAGGAGCTTACGCTTCTCCTGTCACACCCAGTGTGGTGCACTTCCTGGAATCAGCTCTGTCTACCAGCCCAGATCTACAGCCACCTCTGGAATGCAGGGAAAAGAAGGGAGGTGGTCATGTGGATCTTGAGGCTTCCAGGCAACAGGCAATCAAGAAGGAAACTGAGAAGGCAAAATAGAGTTAGCAGTTGTAAGATTTCCAATTTGTAATTAAGTAAGCAGAGTGGAGTAGAATAGAGGCAAAACCCTCTACTCTAACAAAGAGAAATGTTTTCGTACTGTTTTATGTGTTGATATTGAAATTTAAACTCTCTTAAACTGTTCTGAGTGCTAGTGGCTTTAGTTCTGTCAACCCCAGGCTCTTATAGTATGGATTTTAGATTTCTGTTACCATTTGGCTTGAAGTTTGGAGTGGGGTAGAAGCAGAAATGGCCCTGGACAATTAAAGTGAATTGTGAAGGTGGAAGGGAAGTGGCTCAAAATGCAGACCCTGCTCAGCAATATTTGTGTTTGGGGCAAAAGCAAAGCCAAACGGAAACCAGATCTTTGAGTAATCTGCCAGCTGAGAGATGCCTCAGTAGGATAAACAATTGGCTAAGTATTCAGACTCCGAGGTACATCCAGGAATGGCAATCTGTTCATCATACTCCTGTCTAAATGGCTTCCCTTTGCTCTTAGAAGAGAAGTGAATATCTTTAACGCGACACAAGGCCCTGCACAATCTGGACCCTGTCCTCTCCATCACTGGGCTGAAGCCACATTGGCTTTCTCTCAGCTTCTGGGACATGCCAGCATCATGCTTCATGCTGTACCCATCCTCAAGTTTGCACAAGCTTTTCTCTCTTCCTGCATGTTTATTGTCCTCCTCTCCTCACCCCACCAAAAAACAAAACAAAACAAAACAAAATCATCTCCATTCCTCCCTGAAAAAAGGATGTTAGCAATGTTGAGTGCAGGCACCATGTTGTTCTTGTTCACACTCTGTCCCCATACCTAGAATAGTACCTGGCATGTAGTCAGTGCTCAATCGATATTTGTTGAATGAATGAATGGAGCCAGATTGTTTCAAACAGTCACAGTTTCATTGCATAATATTGTTGGACAATTGCTTAATCTGTTGGACAAACTGTATAAACACAAAGGCTGGTTACATAGCATACTTCTACAATACATTGCAAACTAGATGTCAATCAATCAATGACTTGTACCTATAGAATGCCAAGTGCCATGCTTGGTGCTGTCAACTTGACAGTTGAACAGTTCTCTGAGTTCAAATTCTCCAAAGGAAAGCCTTAATGGTGTAGGGGTTGGGGAAGACAGTCTAACGAGTGCCCTATGCCTTTCCCACACAAGAGAGAGATAGAGAGGAATTGAAATGACAGTGGTATAGTTTCAAATTCAGGCAGTGAACCAGCTCACAGGGATGGAATATCTTGGATTCAACATTCATTCAGTAACTAAGTATTGAGAGTTTACTAGATTCTCTGTAGAAGAGTATCAAAGAAGACTGACAAACCTGATGGAACTGGGAGTCTGATCTGCAGAACAATCTGGGCTGGTGCTATAATAAGTAATTGATTTCTGGCTTCAATGGGTCCTCAGTGCTGCTAGCTTCAGTGCAGTGTAGCCTTTTCCTTGTTTTTGCTCAGTGTCCTCTTCAATTTCCTCAGTGACCTTTCCAATTCATCATCATTTTCATTTGACCCTCTACCTTGACTCCATTCTACTCATATTTAACACATGACCTCAAGTCCTACTTCAAGAAATGTGAGGTCATCAGGCCTGAAATGCCTCAATTTTCTCCCTATAAGTGTATATTTAGCCTCATCTCTACCCAGCTTTATTTCTTCTGCTCTGTTTTAGAGATTGAATAGTCTTTCTCTCATTCCAGTGTTCTTTAAAATTGTAAGCCTTAATTGGTTAGTGGAGCATGAAATCAACTTAGTGGGTCGTGACTAGCATGCTTTAATGAAATAAAATAGAACAGAAAAGGAAATATCAGGGTACAAAATATGTAGTAAGGGCAAATATTATGTTTGTAAACTTGTCTTTATGTATATGAAGACGTGTATATCTTTGTGAATATACTGGGTATTTAGTGAGATATTTTCCTTACAGTGGGATACAGCCGAAATTATTAAGAGCACCATTCTACTTAAGGTCATTCTCCCCACCTATCACGTTTCAACAGAATTCTCTTTGATTATCATCTATCTTCTTTACGTATTTGATGTATTACTTTCTAGTGAGTCTTTTCATTCATCTTATAATGCTCTCTAATTTCTTTCTGCTTAAAACTGTCCTCTCTCAACTTAGATTTTCTTCAACTCCTGTTCTTAGTCAAAAAGTGCAATCTAAATAATAGCTTTTCTTCCTTCCTCCTGTGACCTCCATGCCATTAAAATTGCTTCTTAAGAGGTTACAAATGCTCTTCACATTGCTTAATGGAATCCGTATTATTTTAGGCCTATATTAGTTGTATTTTTGTGTTTCCTTGTCATTGTTGGCCATCTGCTTGAAATTTTCAACATTTTGGATTGCTTTCCTGGTTCTTCTTCTACCACTCTGATCATTTCTCTGCTGCTCCTTCATGAATTCTTTATCTTTTTGCTGTTCCTTAAACCTGGGTTCTCCCCAGGGTCTCAGTCTTACCCTCTGATCTTTTCCCTTGATCTGTTTCCCTGGCTTCATCTTTTCTTCATCAGTTGATGACTCCTAAATCTATATCCCCATCCCTTAACTCTTCCTTGAGCTTTGTTTTTTTTTTTTCATAATATCAAAATGCCTGCTAGATTTATTTAATTTTCCCACAACACATCTCGAACTGAGCTCATCCTTGTCTCCAAATACACAGTACCTATATTTCTTTGACCAGGCTGTTACCTGCATCTAAAATGCCCTTCTATGCCTTTATTCACCTGGCTAACCCTCATGTGTCTTTAAAATTCATCTCAGCTATCACCTTTTTAAGGAAGCCAAGATGTGCTAAAAGTTCCATATTATCTGTGAATCTCTTTAAACATTTACCATATTGTGTCAATGCGGTTTGTTTTCCTGTCTTTCTCGTTAGACTGTAAGCATCTTAAGGGCTGAGAAATTTAAACAATTTCTGTGCTCCTAGTGCTGAACATAAGTGTCCAGCATATTATAAGTACTCAATAAGTGTTTCCTAAAACCATTGTCATAGTGGAGAACCAGAAATCATCCTGTGAATTCATACTCCACAAACAGGCCTTCAGATAATTTTGAATTAGCTTACTCCAGGAGGAACTATAGTCTGATGTGCCCTATCGGTTAGCATCCCCAGATTTACTGTATAATTGTTCTGCTTAATTGCCTTGTGCTGTGTAGACCTGGATATAGATACAAAGAGGAAACTTGATATCAAAAGTCAGGACTCAATTAGCTGTTAACTAAAACTAATGACTTAGAGAATAGACATGACACGTCTTATCCAAGTTACTGAATATCCCAAAGGAAAATAATCAGGATATGGTCAGATTTGTTGAAAACCTCATTAAAGAAACTCTTTAAAATTGTATCACACCCATTACTGGATTTAATTACACTCTCAAATTGTTGCCAAGACTAGTTTATTTTGTTTTCTATGGCAGGTCTGTAATAGAGTTGTAGTATGTCTGTCTAACCTTATAAGTAAAATGCTACTGTGTATTTGCTGTAGCATTAAGCTGAAAGGTCACTCAGAGATTCTTTTTGGTGGTCTCCCCTACTTCCTTCACTATCTTTGTATTTTTGATGCTCAGCTGTCATGCTCTTATTCCATTGTTAAAATCTAGGGAATTAAGAAATTCATCTTAGGAGCTAGGTTCAGAGACATTTTTTTCTATCAGCTTCTTAGAGGTTGGGTTTGTTTGGGGTGGGGAGAATTCAGCTTAGTCTATGTAATTATTACCATAAACTGCTTAACAAATACTTGAATTAATGAGAGCATGCTCTGCTGATTTCATAAGTTCTAATAATGCTCATAGTGAATAGTGATTTAATTTTCTCCCTCATGAGTTGATATGTAGGATCAGACGGCCAGTGATATATTGAAAATGCCATTGTGTCGTGATTTGAATTTATAATAATTTAGACTTCTCATCTTTCCTCTGCAGCCTCATCAGGATTATATATGAGCTCAAAAATAAAAGAGAAGCCCCTATAGTTGTAGTTCACTCTTTTTTTTTTTTTTTGACGGAGTCTTGCTCTGTCACCCAGGCTGAAGTGCAGTGGCACAACTTCAACTCACTGCAACCTCCACCTCCCAGGTTCATGCCATTCTCCTGCCTCAGCCTCCTGAATAGCTGGGACTATAGGCACCCACCACCATGCCTGGTTAACTTTTTGTATTTTTAGTAGAGACAGGGTTTCACTGTGTTAGCCAGGATGGTCTCAATCTCCTGACCTCATGATCTGCCTGCCTTGGCCTCCCAAAGTGCTGAGATTATAGACATGAGCCACCACACCTGGCCATTTCACTCTTTAAAAATATAAATAATTCCACATATTAGACTAGCACTACGTGGGTTACCAAGAGTTTTGTACTATATTTAATTCTCAAAACAACCCTCATAATCACTCCCAATTTACAAATGACTAAACAAAGACTCAGAGAGGATAGAGTGGCTTGTCCAAAGTCACACAATTAGTGTCAGAGCCAACATACTGTTTGAAAGACAGGGATTATTCAACAAAAGGCTTTTAAAATTTCCATTTAATCTAGTTCAGTGAAATGCTAGCTTTAGGGTAATGTATTTTGAACACCTAATTCTATCAACAGCTATTATCCAAGAATAATTATTTCTTTCTTATTTCTAGTTATTGCAAAACATTTATTGAAGTGGACTTCTTAAATGCTCATCATCACTGGCCATCAGAGAAATGCGAATCAAAATCACAGTGAGTTACCATCTCACACTAGCTAGAATGGCGATCATTAAAAAGTCAGGAAACAACAGGTGCTGGAGAGGATGTGGAGAAATAGGAACACTTTTACCCTGTTGGTGGGACTGTAAACTAGTTCAACCATTGTGGAAGTCAGTGTGGCAATTCCTCAGGGATCTAGAACTAGAAATACCATTTGACCCAGCCATCCCATTCCTGGGTATATACCCAAAGGATTATAAATCACGCTGCTATAAAGACACATGCACACATATGTTTATTGCGGCACTATTCACAACAGCAAAGACTTGGAAGCAACTCAAATGTCCATCAGTGGTACACTGGATTAAGAAAATGTGGCACATATACACTGTGGAATACTATGCAGCCATAAAAAAGGATGATTTCGTGTCCTTTGTAGGGACATGGATGAAGCTGGAAACCATCATTCTGAGCAAACTATCACAAGGACAGAAAACCAAACACCGCATATTCTCACTCATAGGTGGGAATTGAACAATGAGAACACTTGGACACAGGGTGGGGAACATCACACACCAGGGCCTGTCGTGGGGTGGAGGGAGCAGGGAAGGATAGTATTAGGAGATATACCTAATGTAAATGACACGTTAATATGTGCAGCACACCAACATGGCACATGTATACATATGTAACAAACCTGCATGTTGTGCACATGTACCCTAGAACTTAAAGTATAATTAAAAAAAAAAAAAGGAAAAAAAAAGAAGTGGACTTCTTCTAATGCTTATTTCCTGACTTTCTCCATAGTTAGTGATGATGTAGAAATGTTCTTAATTTTACTTTTTGGGAATTTAGTTATGTTCACTTCATCCAAATCCGTTAATTTAATGATTAAAAAAAATCTCCATCCATTTGGTCCTCACTGGGCCCGTTATGGAATCAGACTGTTAAAGCTAGAAGATGCAAGAGACCATTGATATGGTTAGGATTTCTGTCCCCACCCAAATGTCGTCTTGAATCGTAATCCCTATAATTTTCGTGTGTCAAGGGAGAGACCAGGTGGAGATAACTGAATGATGGTGGCAGTTTCCCGCATGCTATTCTAGTGATAGTGAATGAGTTCTCATGAGCTCTGATAGTTTTATAAGGGGCTCTTCCTCCTTTGCTTGGCACTTCTCCTTCCCGCTGCCTTGTGAAGAAGGTGCCTTCCTTCTTCTCCTGCCATGATTCTAAGTTTCCTGAGGCCTCCCCAGCCATGCTGAAGTGTGAGTCAATTAAACCTTTTTCCTTTATAAATTACCCAGTGTCGGTCAATTCTTTATAGCAGTATGAAAATGGACAAATACAACCACACAATCACAGGTATGGCAGGTCATATTGTTTATCTCTCCTTCTCACTCTAGCTCATTTCTATAGCATTGCGTTAACAAGGATTGTGAGGCTGTGTTGAGCTCAGTGGGAGCAAGTGCTATAATTGATTAACCATGCCAGCCATTGCTAATCACAGAGCTCATTACTGTTCTGTGGTCATCCTTGATTCTTCTTCCTTTTGCTATTTATCTCCAATCTGTCTCAAAGTCCAATCAGTTAAATTTCTGAACTATCTCCCGACTCTGATTAATTTTCACAATTTCTATATCTGTTAGGATATGCTAGGTTATTCTGTGGGAACAAATCCCCATATCTCTGCAGTTTAAATGATAAATGTTTCCTTATCACTCATGTCCATTGCATATCAAGAGGAAGCTCTTCTCCACTTCTTTCTCACTCTAGGCCCCTCACTGGAAAGGCTCCATGATCTGGAATGTCCCCAGTGACAGTTGCAGGAGTAAGCAAGCACAGGAAAATCTCACCTAGCAATCAGGTCCTTTAATCTGGAAGTGATACGCATCATTTCTGCCCCCAAACCATTGGCCAGAACCAGTTACAGAGCACCACTTAACTGTAAAGGGAATAAAAAAGAATCCTTTGATGGGCCTGGAAGGTGAGGAAAACAGACCTAGGTGAATGTTACATTTCCAATTCACTACCATCTCTCACCTGGATTTCTAAAACATCTTAACTAGTTTTTCTGCTTCTACTCTGGCCTCCCTGAAGTACATTCTCCATAGGGCAACTAGAAAATTTATTGAAAATATAAATCAAAACATCTCTCTCCATCTAGTCACTTGATACATAAAAATTCTCCTTTGCGGAGGGAAACTTCTATTGTGTCCACAGTATCTTCTGTGTTGCCATGTATTCCTATGATGCCTATTTTCTTAAATCTTTCTTTTTGAATGAGGAATGGGTCAGAGCATCTTCACACAGAACCAGATGGAAGTAGAAAAGAGGGAATCCTTATAGAGGGTGGCCTTCTACACTGTTCTTTTGTGGAGAGCACATGAGGGGTTGCTGTGAGAGAAGCGAAGGTGTGTCAGCTATTGTGTGGAGTCCTTCGTACGAGTGAGGATTGTGGCCATGCCTTCATTACCCAGACCACATTCCCTGTGCTAGCTCTACTAGTTCAGCTTGGTAGGAGAATATAAGGGAAGTAAGGAGTGGCTTGTTTTCCCTCCATACAGGGCAAGGGCAAAATAAGTGATGAAGAAACACAAGCACATATTGCTTTCTTCTTTCTTATCTAATCTCCTGCCTCTAGTAACTAAAAAATTATCTGAATCTTCCAACGCTTTGTGATCGAAAGCAATCCTCCAAAATCTTTGTCAGTATCTTACTTGATAATTGAGGCAGTATCTTACTTCATCCATATTCTCATAGTATTTGGATTAAAATGAGCCTTATGGACACAGCTACCTATACCAAGAGGGAAATATTAGCAGCATAGAGAGGAAAATAAGCTATGCCCTAAAATCTGGCCTCTCCGTGATGTTTTCTGTCCTTCAGTACTATTATTATCTATTTGCTTCAACTTACAGTACTTGCTCCACCCTTCCTGCACTGGCTGATTCATTCGGACCTGACTTCTGACTATTGTAGATTTATGTGTCTGTCCAACCTTTTTAGTCTTGAATACTTCTCCAGAGTCACTACTCAGACTTTTTCTTCTATATAATTTCATTTCACTTCATTCATTCTATTTTCCTTGAGCGCGTATGTGTCCTCAACATGCTTTCAATAATAATACCAGTATATTTTATATATGCAGGTCTCAACATGACATACGTTTCTGGAGAGAACACTATGTTCCATTATATCACCATACCCCAGACCGAAATATTCTGAGAAATATAATTTACTTAATTTCAAAAAGCTATTACAGAGGTTCTGAGGTTCTTCACCACAGAACTTTAATTTCATAAATGTGAATTCACATAAATACAGAGCTGGAAGAAACCCTAGGGATTGTCTAGCTTTATTCTCTCAATGTACAATTTTGAGGAAACTGAAGCCAAAAAATAATAAGCCAAATGTCCAATATTACAAAGTTAACTTGTATTGTGCTAGAATCCAGGCCCCTAGGCCCAGGGCACTGGTGTGTCCATTTCATGATGTTGTCTTTGGGTTTCACATTATCATCATTACTCAAGATGTTGATATCCAAGTGTTCATTTTTTACAGTGCAAATATGTGTTTGGAAATCTTTGGTTTGGGAGATTTAGCTTTAGAGCATGGAGTTGTTCAAAATGAGAAAAAAGTATATCTTACTAATAATGTTTTAAGTGAGTTGTATACAACACCAATACCTGAAATATTCTACAGCATTCACCCTATTGTCATTTATATATTAAGCTTAGAAAATATTCATTGAATGAATGATTGAGTACATAAAATAATAATGAATGGTTTTGCCATGTTAAAAAAAAAAAAGAAAAAAGTATATCCCTCTGTAGAATGTAGTTATAAATTTTATCTTTTATATATTGGAGATCACATTGCAATTCTCCTTTTTATATTAGAGACCTATCTGAAATCTCCTTTTTTTGTATTTTATTTTGTGATGCAAAGTCTATTGTTGCGAAATGCAAATCAAATCTAGATAGGGCCTGACAATATGGAGCATTGCTTCGATAAAAACAAATAATACCAGTGATAGAAAAAATATAGAAATTCATAATCTAACATATGTTTCTTTCTATTAATTCCATTGAAAGAACCAGAGGCATCTATGAGCCAAAATCTCACTGTAATTTCCCATTCTATAAGCATTATGTTTTTTTTTATCATTCTAACCCACATTTGGTCTCTGATACATCTACCTACTATTTATCCTTGCTTACTCAGGCTAGGCAAGAAATTTTAAAAGTATTTACATGTTCAAAATCTCCTTTATGAAAATACAATATATTTCCAAAAGACACAGGCCATGGAAGCAAAGCAGTCCAAGTATCCCAAGTAGAAAATTAGTATCCGAATTGTCCATTTCGCTTGATATTAAATTCTTTTAGATTTTAATTCAACATATTATTTATTCCAAATTCCATTTTAATCTTGTCTATGAGGCTGCAAAGGCTACCCGGGAAAGCTGACCCCTCTTCACATATACATGATTCCACCATATTCTTGACTAGCGGATTCAGACAAAGCTAGTAAGAGACAGGAGTCAAAACAGGTTTCCATCAGTGGCTCATTGCTCTCAGTGAGAGTGAAAGCTGTGGATTTGAACAAGATAACAATTCCAAAGTCTGAAGCATGGGGAAGGAATTTGAAATGCTTGTGTCTGATGAAGATGTGCTATGTGGCCTTGGGGAATATCACTCAACGTCTGGATGTCTTCATCAATCAACAGAAAAGGTCAACAGATACCTGCTTCCCCACAGTGCTGAGAATTTACTTAAAGTTCTGATGGCAGTGAAAAGTACTGAAAGACTCCCTAATACATGAACTCCTAAGTCAGACTTTCATCAGAATGTGAAGGGAGAGAGCCAGTTTGGGAAAGGTGAGACTACTTGATTACCTTGAATTTTAGGGATGGGGCAGTTGGGATTAATTGCATATTCTGGTTAACTGAGGATCAGCCATAAAACCTCTTTTACTTCTCTTATTGTCATTCAAAATGTTTCTGAGATATATAAATGGAGTTTTGTACTAATGAAGAATAATGTGAGCAATTGAGATTCTGGATTTATGAAGATTGATGTTTAGATCCTACCTTGATCATGTAGAAGGTATTAAGCAATTGATTTAGCCTCTGTGAGCTTGAGTAAATCCAGGGTGATAATTGTCATGCAAATTGGTTATGAAAGTTAGAGTAATTAAATTTCCAACTGAATATAAAGTCTTAAAAATGGTGCATGGCACATAATAGATAATAGATAACTCCAAATGTCTTAGGTTGGGTTCTTAAGACACAGAGCCTGAGACAGGGATTTTTATGTGAGTGATTTATTGAGAGAGTGCTCTCAGAAAAACTTGTCAGGGAGGGAATGAGAGAAGCAGAATGAGGAGGGACCAAATAAAGATGTGCACTCCCTTTGATCCCTTGAGGAACTCTAGATGGCAAATGACATTGCAAAACTTTCCCACACTGAGAGGTACTGTGGGCGAGTGGTGTGGAGGCAACATTTTGGAGCCCTTTATCAACCAGTCATTGGCTACTGGCCACCTCTGGAGATAATGTGCAACCTCCCATGCCTTTCTGGGAAAGATGTTTCCAGCCACTGAGAGCAATTCTCCGGAGTAGTGGGCAGCTCTGAGCTGTTAGCAGACAACCCTTATAGCAGCTGGGGGCTGAGGGCATTGGTCTGGTGAAGGATATGGGCAGGGCAGTGTCTTCTATACTAAAGACAGCTGGATGCTTAATGAGGACAGAGGCTATAGCTCATGTGTTTTTATATTTCCTATTCATTCGTCATTCAATCATTCATTCAGCAATTATTTATTGTGTGCCACCTCTATTCCAGTCATTCTTTAGGCACACGGGCTACATCACTGGATGAAACAAAGATCACTTCCACATGGAACTCACATTTCAGTAGGTTCAGTAGGAGAGAAATCATAAGCAAATAGGTATATAAATAATTACATATCATACTATGTAATGATAAGTACTATGGTAAATGGATAAAAGGATTGTCTTTTCATCACTAAAAATGTGCACCATCTCAAGACTTGATTCCTAAACTCTGGTCTCCCTGTGGAGTGCTGTAGATGTTTGTCGTATAGAATAACATAGGCATGGATTTTTATTTTATTTTATTTTGTAGTGGAAGAAATCTTAGAGATTAAGTTCAAGGTTTGCTTGAATTTGCACTGATCTCAATATATTCTTTAATTTGTTTTTTGCCTATAGGTTTGATGGGGTCTAATTTTTCGATTTCTTTTTATTTCCTCCAAAATTGGAGTTTTGACACTTTTCAATTCATTATGCTTTCTGGCATTTTGAATTCATTCATTTATTCACTCATTTTGTAAAGAGAATTTAGTGTCTACTATATGCAAAACACCGATAAAGTTTGTAAAGGGTAAGACAAAAATCTCTGCCCTTAGGAGCTTATGATATACTAGGAAACGTAAGTTGGGTATACTAATAGCTCTACTATAAGGAAGAAAACACTGGAATCAAGAGACCTACATATGAAGCCCTATGGAATAGTGAGAGATTACTTGTGGCCAGCAAGGTTCAGAGAAGCCATATGGAGGAGATTTCCCCTGGGGCTCAAAGCCTGGCTGACATATAGATACTTGGACATGAAGGTAACAGGCCTTTGGAGCAGAGAGAACCTATAACCAAGAAATAGAGGCAACAAAAGGCTAAATGCATTTGCAAGATAATGAATAGCTCTGGCTGGGTCTCACTCCTGAGGCAAAATAGTGGGTTAAAAAGATAAATGTATGACTCAAAAGAGAAGAATTTGAACGTGTTCTAGTCAAAGATTTTTTTTTTTTTTTTGGTAGGAAGAAACAGAAACCCACTTGAGTTAACACATTTAAAAGGATTTAGTAAAATAAAATAGAGAGATTGCACAAAATTCAAGATGGGGAAAGTACAACTAGGCTCATTGAACCTTGTAGGAAATTAGGAAGTTTCAAAAGCTCTCTGTGTCTCCTGTGAGATGTTTTGTCTCTAGTTCTTGTCTTCACTTCTCCTTATTTGTCTGTTTCACCCTTCTCTTTCCCTTACTGGTTTCCTGTATTTACTTATTTTTCTGATACAGATACTCGTTTCTAATGTCTGGCGATGAGCAAAGGCAATAATTTCCAGGTCTTGTGGTACAAAGTTTCTGGGAGATACCTGAGCCAAGTCACCTGGCACTGGAAGGCAGGCATCGGGAACTTGCTGCCCACTCAGCAGATTCTGGGCTTGGTGCCTTTGGAGGGGAATTCTGGCAGGGCAGGCAGGACTGGGGACTTGTCATGCAGATGGCCTGGCTGAGTAGCTCCAGGGAAGTGGAGAGCCTAGGAAACTTTCTGAGTAGGAGTTTCCAGTTCACTTATTATTCGTAGTATTACTTTTTGCTATTTTTGCTTTGTTTCTCAGTTTTATGAACCGCTAGCAACATTGGTTCCCTCTAGAATTGTGTTAACTGTGCAAATGTGAACATCTGAAAACAATGAGTAGATGGCACCAAGGTCTCTCAGAGGCGCAATTACGTTAGATGCCCCTGATCTGGGAGTGTATATGACAGCCCCTCACTAGACTCACTACCTTCTGTTGAAAGTTCATGTCTTAAGAATTTATCTCCCTGTAAGATTGAGGGTTCTTTAAAGGCAGGGACCACATCTTAGCACCTAACATAGTGCCTGGCATGTAATAGAACCTCAATAAATGCTGGCTTCTGTTTTTTTCTGAGGACTGTATCTCTCCCAATGTACTTATACTGTATGTTAAATACATGAATCTGTACATACATTAGGAATGAAGTGCTGGTGCTCACACATGGATAAATTAGAAAATGATCAAACAATGATTCTCTGCTTGGGCTCTTTCCCTAAGAAAACAATGAGGAAAAAAATGAAAGAGGCTCTGAGAAGATTTTGGACATTGAAATCAGCAGCTTTGTATTTGAACTCCAACTTGCCATTTACTGGTCAGTTGGAAAGAGCTGGGTCAAGTTACTTAAAACATCTTAGATTCTGTTTTCTCATTTTTAAAGTGGGCATAATATGTATTATTATTTATGTACAGGCAAGTTTGTGTGAGATCAAGCACAGTGTCTAATAGGTAAGAGTTTCAATATTTATAGTTCTTGTCATTATCCTTGTTGGTCTCAGGATTTTGTGCCATTAAAAAAAAACAGTGATATAATTTTCTTATAAAACAAAATTCTGAGAAAGATGGGAGTGGGCTAGGCATTATAACATCATAATTAAGAGCAAATTTTGTTTCAAAATTGTGTCTCTAGCAAGTTAGGCCTCAATTTTCTTCTCTGTAAAATGGGGATAGTAACAACACCTGCCTTTATAAGCTTGGAGAGAATTTAACTAAAGAATGCCTGTATAGTACTTAGCAGCGTGGTGCCTGGTCCATAGAAAGTTCTCAATAAACAGTTATTATTAATAGTAGTCTCTCTCTTTCTCTCTCATATCCACACACCACTACCACTAAATCTATCAAATACCTTGTCTTTGCTTCAGCTGATTTTTATTCCATATGGACCAGTATGGTTCCACAGTGATTAATAAACAATACAGGGCAGGTGGAGAGAGAGACAGAAAGAGAGAAGTGTTTGTGTATGCATATAAGGGAGAAACATCTAAGGCTATTTCAAGATTCAAAATAACTGTTCCAGAGACCCTGGGCAAAAGCAGTGAAAAATCAAAGCAGCTAAATCCCCCCTCAATCCCAAACCAAGTGTTTACTCCTTAGCAAAACAAAGCTGCTGAAAGAGAATCAGCAGAACAAAAGCAGAGACTTGGAAAGTAACTTTGAGAGATATTGCAGAGAATTGTAAAGAAACTGTCCTTTCTAATCCCAGAGTTGCTGAAACTACAGAAAAGCTAGTAGAAATTAACCGTTTGTGTCACAGGCGGAGCACCATATGCTGCTCCCCTTCCCTGGAGAAAGAACAGCCAGCAATTGCTTCCCCATCCCCAGCAAGGCTGCTGAGCTCAGCCTGCACTCACTTGGGCTCTCTAATGAAATGCAATTGAACAAGCCAGGCCCCAGCATACTTAACCTTTGGACCACGGATGCCTACGTTTCTCTGGAGAAACAGCCAGTTGTGCTTGTCTTAGTGACTGTGATGCAACCACTGAAGGGAAAAGAAGGCTTATACCCACTACGATTTTGCAATGGCTCCAACAAAGAGCTTAAAGTATTTCAGATGCATTCAGAAATTAAACTCTGCTGGTCCTCCTGAGCCAGCATCTCTTCTGAATGCCAGAGGGACTGACAATGACAAAACCCAGACTCAACTGCTGATGCAGGCGTGGTGGTATTTGGGTTGTCTAGTCATGACAAGGCATAAACAAATCTCTTTGCCACTGTTTGCATGTGAAAAAATGGCATCTCATCAGACCACTTTCTACCCAGCTCCATTGGCAAGCTACCTCAATACCAACCCCCCGACCCCCGGAGTGGATCTTTGGGAAACTGGCCTTGAATATAGAACATGGAATTTTTTAAGAGAATAAATGTGCTCATTCTCTCTCTGGTTATACAAATATTTCTAGTCAAAGGTTGACTGACAGTAAGGGATTCAGGACAGTTGGACAAGAGGTTGGCTCCTGCTGACATCAATGAAAAGGGGCAGATCTCAGAGATGGGGTCTGACTTCGAAGGAAATGAAAAATGAGAGCTTGCTACAAAGACAGAATTTTTGTTTTAAGTAAGGTGCTTATAATACTTGCCTCTGGTGTGTACAGTGGGCCCCCACTTATCTGTGGGGGATAAATGTGTGGATGCTTCAAACTGCAGATGGTACTGAATCCTATATATATACTGTGTCAGTCACTCTGATAACTGAGATAGCTACTAAGTAACCAGAAGGTGAGTAGTGTGCACAGTATGGATACGCTGGACAAAAGGATGATCGTGTCCAGGATGGGAAGGTGTGAGATTTCACTGTGCTGTTCAGAAGGGCATGCAATTTAAAACTTGTAAATCGTTTCATTTCTGAAATTTTTTGTTTAATATTTTCTGAATGAAGTTGACTGCAGGTAACTGAAACCACAGATAAGGGGGAACTACTCTACTCTATAGATGATAAGAAAGGAACTGGATTTCTGTAACCTGGACAAGAGAAACTAAAGGGAAGAGCATGTGGCAGAGGGGCTGGAAAGAAGCAGTGGTGGAATTTTGTGACCATTTGCAAGGGAATGGAGGCTTACACATGGAGGATACTGGCCTCCACTTTGATTTGCTTTACTTCAAGTTCTGGGGTATGAGTTATAAAGAAATGGGTTCTCTGTGTAATTAAAAATGCCTAAGATTTTGCACCAGTGAGTCTGATTACGCAGAGTAAGAAAGTATTGCTCAATAAAAATTTGTTGAATTGAATGTTGCAATGGTTTGAATGAGTCCCTCAAAGTTCATGTGTTGGAAACTTAATCCCGAATGCAACAGTGTTGAAAGGTGGAACCTTTAAGCAGTGATGTGGTCATGAGGCTCTGCCGTCATGAATGGATTAAAGCAGGAGTGGGTTAGTTATCTTGGGAATGGATTCCTGATAAAAGAATGAGCTCAGCCCTCTTGCCCTCTCTCCCATGTGCTTTCTAGCCTCTCATGTTCTACTATAGGATGATACAACACAGAGGCCCTCACAAGATGGCAGCCCCTTGATCTTGGACTTCCCAGCCTCCAGAACTGTAAGAAATACATTTCTTTTCTTTATAAATGACCTAGTCTGTGGTATTTTGTTATTGTAACACAAATTGGACTGAGATAAATGCTCACATTTCCAGCCTCACATTTTTGTCACTGTGGCTGCGTAATGTGAGTCTCATTGTAACATGACTCACTGACAAACAAAATTATACACTGCTGCACCACCCACCTCAACACAATATTGCACACTGACAAAGCCTCTGATGAGGGAGTTCAGGCTGCTTGCAAACCCTACCTGTACAGGGGCCACCTTCACATCCGGTGAGTGGTAAAACAAATGAAATGATGACTGCATGACACAAAAACCTAGGTGGTCAGTCCCCAGTAGATCCCAAATAACCAGAAGATGATAACAAATTACCCTGAAAAGTGATGGATTACCTTTACTCTTGCCTTCCTGTCTTTAATAAAAATGTAATTATTTGCTTTCTCTCTCACTATGTAAATTTGGCTTAGTTAGGATTTTACCACTAGCTTCATATCACAAAACTAGGTTTTGATATGAGTAAAAAAGAAAAACTTGAAAGGAGAAAAGAGAACAGAGTGAGGACGAGGAGAAGAAGGAGTGGGGTAAGAACAACATAATTTAAATCAGAAAGCAAACAGCCTTAAGGAAGTCAGAACTACAATGAAGTTGGCTACTCACAAGCCAGAAGCCAGATTCTAGCCATCTACAAATAAAAAGGGGATTGTGGGTATGTGTACGTGTGTGTGTGTGTGTGTGTGTGTGTGTGTATGCATATGTCAGAGACAGACACAGTCATATCAGATAGCTTCAGCACATGCCAGTTCCATCACCTGCAATGGAAATTCAGCCATCTTAGAAGTTTCTTCTTTCCTTTCCCCAACATGGTATAATTTACCAGATTCTGTGATTATCTGCCTTAGCCTAGGTTACACCAAAACAAAGCCTGAGACAAGTCTTGTATACAGTGGTTTAATATGAGAGTGGACCCAGGGAGCAGTGAAAGGTATAGCAGAATCAACAGACACGGAGCAAACAGCCGAATCAAGTTTGTATTACTGAGTTGGCCACCGCTGCAAATCTTTGATCCTGTGGGATCTTTTAAAGAGTCTTGTGAAATGCATCACCATTGTCCATGCAGAGAACTCCTCCATACCATAACTCAACCATGGCCCCATGGGGATTAGAACCATCATATTTCTGGCTTGTGCACGTGAGACTGCAGAGCGGGTTCCTGGGGCATTCCATGCAGTAACATCAGGTCAAGCATGGAGTACATGGTCTTGGCTCCATGCTCTGTTTGCACCTGCCCAGAGCTAGTTGAAGTCTGTGCAGAAATGGTGATGGCCACAGTGGTCAGAGTAAAGGGTAGGGCAGGAAGAATTTGAAATAGCACAAAAGAGGTATATAACTTTTTCCCAACTGTCACTACCCTAGTTTAGGGCATTTCTTGCCTGGATAATTACAGTAACCTCCTAACTGAGCTCCCTGTGAATCTCTTTTCTTTCAAGCCCACTGTAAATATTCTACCAGAATTGTGTTTCTAAAATTCAGATCTGATTATATTCTTTCTTTCTTAAAAAGCTTCTCCTCCCTTACTCCTTTCTTATTTGTATATTTTGTGCCTTTGTATGTTTCTCGACTTCCTTTTGAAGTTCTGGTGTAACCCAAGAGGTAGTTTTCAAAATCTGTCCAATATACCTCTCTGGCCTCATTTCTCACCTTCTCCAAACAAGCATCCTTCAAACTATCCCTGATGTGTGAACCTGCAAGATGCCCTGTGATAAGAGAGCCTGCCTGCTCTTGAGTGTCTCCATGTCAACCTGCCCCAGGACCATGCAAACTCTTCAGGAGGAGCAGGCAGTTCTTTTACTCAAGGGTTCAGTTAATCAGCCTTAAAGGGCACAGAGCCTGATAATTGGGAGTTGTGGTGGTGATGGTGGTGGTGGTTGTGGTGGTGGTGGTGGTGATGGTGGTGTTTTCCTAACCTGTTCCCCTACACCAAACAAAGGTGCCCCTATTTCTAGTCCCTCATGGCAGCTCTCTCATTCTCTGCCTTGATCTCCCCTATGTCGTCTCTTTCCTGAAACTTCCTCTTTAAAATCCTTCACACGGGTGGTCTACCCCAAACTCTCCTTGGGAAAAGGAAAATATCTTGGGAAGGTCTCTTCTTGGCATGGAGTGTTGTAGGGAACGGGGTTGGGAGATGATGGGTTCCACCTGAATTTACCTAATATTAAATTATAATTTCACAATTGTGAAATAGTTAATTTTTTTCTTCTGAATATCATATGGTCTATTCTCACCTGAGAAATACTCCTCAGTTAAAACGACACTGAGCCTATTAATTGCAAAGTAATAACTATGGCTTTATATGCTAAGGGAAGAAGGTAAGCTCTATGAGGGCAGGATTTTTGTTGTTTATTAACTGTTTTATCCAGAGCACCTGGAAAAGCCCCTGACACACAGCAGGATATGCTCTTCTTTCCGGGATTTCTTTTGTTACAAAAGACCCCTTGTTTGGCAGAGAATAGATTGATTTTTGCCTTCCTTAGGTAATTCTCATGGGTGGTGAGGATTTGGAGAATGTGGAAATGGTGTCTCAATTCTTTCAATGGTTTATAATTTCTAATGATAACTTTATGAAAAACATTAAAATAAATGTAATGTGGTATTTTTTTCCCCAACGAAAACGTGAGTCCATAGAATGAACTCTTTCATCCCAAAGACAGCTTCCCAGTTTCATGTCCTGAAAGCAGTCACTATTGACAGGCTGTGTTTTTAATTTTACTGGTAACCACTCAACTTTAGAAAATATACTCGCCCTTCTGTTTCTTGTTATCATCAGCTGGAGAGAATTATTGACTATGAAAGATCAGAAAGTAACACTACATCATTGCCCACTCTCTTCCTGCTTGTCTACTGTTTTTTCTTTCATATTTTACTTTTTAAAACACTTTTTTGATCCACATTTTGGGAGCTTTTTTTGACTTTATTTTTTTGAGTATCTAAATTATTTTGAGGTATTTTTTGGGGTCCGCTGTATTCAGCATATTCCTGTCCACTTTTTAAACTTCTTAGAACTTTTAATTTCCTGTTTTGGACTGGTTGCTCCTTTTTTTTTTTTTTTTTTTTTTTTTGAGACGGAGTCTCACTCTTTCGCCCAAGCTGGACTGCAGTGGCGCTATCCCGGCTCACTGCAAGCTCCGCCTCTTGGGTTCATGCCATTCTCCTGCCTCAGCCTCCCGAGTAGCTGGGATTACAGGCGCCCGCCACCACGCCCGGCTAATTTTTTTTTTTTGTATTTTTAGTAGAGACGGGGTTTCACCGTGTTAGCCAGGATGGTCTCGATCTCCTGACCTCGTGATCCGCCCGCCTCGGCCTCCCAAAGTGCTGGGATTACAGGCGTGAGCCACCGCGCCCGGCCTGGTTGCTCCTTTTTACATAGTATTCTGTTCTTATTTAATTGATGCAACATCTTGAATATCTGAGGATTTTAATTAAAATGTTTTGAAAAGGTTCTTTCTGTTCCCTGGATTATCTCTGTTTCCTTTGTGATTTTAGTCCTTTTCTTTATATGCTGTTTGTTTTCTTCCAATATCTATTGATAATTTTCAGTTTATCTTTATGAGCAAGGGTTATGCCATCAGCTATACTTTTTCTGCAACTGTATAGATCCTTGGATTAAAGAGCTACTTCTAGGCTCTTTATAAGTAGGTTTTCCTCCAGAAGGCAGTTTGGGGGTTCCTACCTACACTTGCAAAGGAGGATGGCTTTTTTTTTTGGTGGCAGAGAACTTAGGAAGACAGTATTTCACTTAAGGGCAGAGTTGCCTTTCGTTGTAATTTCTCAACTTGCTCCTCCTCTTCCCCCTAAACACACTATTGTATGTCTGTGTGGGAGGTTCAAGAACTACCTAAAGCCCTAGTTTTCTTTTCTGATACTCTCACAAGGTGAATTTTCCAGGAAGATTTTCCTTAGACAACCATTTCCTTAGACATATTTATTTATATTTATATTTATTTATATTCATATAAATTTATATATTATATATTATATCTAATTATATATTTATATGTAAAATATACCTTGTAAATAAATACATTATTTATAATATATATTTATATATTATATTTATATATAAATTTATATTTACATAAATTTATTAAATTTATATAAATTATCTATTTATATATTTATATATAATATATATTATATAATATTATATATTATATATAATATAATATATATAAATATATATAATATATATTATATATATTTTCCTTAGACAACCATTTCCTTAGAAATACTTTCCTTAGACAACCATTATTCATTTTTGTTTCAGTGAAACATTTAAAGGATGGAAATAGATGTGAACATTAAGTCTTACATTATATACCACATTTTTCTTTTACTGTATGTAGGTGTTAGAGTGATTAATAAAACACACATTTGTTCAAAAACCTTACTAAACATGTAGTAAATTTTGCTGTTATGTGCATTCTCAATTGGTGGACGCTAAAGCTACAACTGTTTTCACGTAGAGGTTAAAAATACTCTTTGGTGTTAAAATTTCTCAACAAGGAACCTCTTAGTTACACTGTCAACCATCTGGGGGTGACTCCTGGAATATGATGCATGCTTGATGCCTTCATGATGCCTTCTTCATTTCAAATGCCCATCTAACCTCTTCTACTTGCAAAATCCTACTGTTTTGAAGGTCTAGCTCAATGATCAATTTCTTTGTAAAGTTTCTCCCCATGCTGTGATACAGAATTAATTGCACTATCTTCATTATTCTCTGAGCACTCTGTCCATCCCTCTAGCATAGCAATTACCACATTATATGATTGTTGTTTACATTCTCTCTCATTCACTGCACTCTATTCTTACTTATCTTTTCACTTTTTAAATTTCAAATACCCAATGCAGAATTAATACTTGTTGGCTTATATTGAATTGCAGATTTTTCTCTTATTATTATTAATGGTTGTCTCTGACTGTACATAAGCAAAGCAAGGCCATAAACTGAATGGCTTGTCTTTAACCTTACCTCTATGAAGCCTTCTAGGGGAGAGCAGTCATTCCAACCACCATTCCTGGTGTTTTCTAAAATTGTGCAGGAGAAGGTTCCTGCTTTTGTGTTTCTGCGGAGATTATTATTTCTCCTTACAAGGACTTGCTATAAAAAGAGTAAAGACTCCATTTTGAAAGATCTTTAAGAATAAATGAGAGAGAAAATGTAAATAATCTTCAATGAAGGTAAGAGTTACGGAGGAGAGAGGAGACTATGTCTCTTGCCAGAATTTCCCTTAGGGCAGAACTTGTGTTCACCATTGGCTTTGTATTATTTGTTCATTCATCCATTTACTGAATATATATTTAGGGAGTGCCTATGGTGTGCCAGACATTGCTTCAGTCCTAAGGAAAATGCTAAATATGGTAGAAGAGGTCTCTGTCTTTATGTAGTTTACAATCCCCTGGGCATTTCACCAGGTTGCCAAGTGACTCATGTGGAAGTCAACCCAGTGGCATGTCAATAGATAATTAGTCAATGGTGTTTGTCAGGTATTTCTTATGTGTTCATATCAGTGCTAAGCTTTGTAGGTAGATCCTTTCTGTAAAGAATTTAGAATGTAAAAATTAGTAGAGTCCTGTACAAAATGGCATAAAGAGTCATCAAATCAGATGGTTCATAATACAAGGACATTAGCAGTTCAGAGAGTCTTAGGATCAGTTTGTCTGGAAGTACGATAGATGGGCATACCAGAGGCCTTTGGATGATCCCCTGAAGCCCTTTTCCCCTGCTCCCTCTACCTCCAGTGCCTAGCATGCATACTTGCCTAATGAAAGAGTTTTAAAATGTTTGCTGTGGTTGAAAGCCTATGCAACTGTATGTGGATCCAGGTCCACAGCCAAGTTTCACAGGAAGCGTTAATGAACTTGAGGCCTAAAGAATAAGGAGTAAATAGATTGTGATGGGGCACAAGAGGATTCCAGATAGACCAAGAACATGTGTGGAGGCCTAGAGGAGGCAGAGAGCAGGGATTTCAAGGGCTCTATTCTGTCAGTATGGCAGGAGCATAGAGAAGACAGTATGGGAGTGTCAGGAGATGAAGCTGGAAACACGGAAGTGAAATCATGTAGGATTTTGTTACCCTGCTGATGTTATATAATAGAGGTCCTCTGCCTGCATAATGCCCAATCATGGTGTGACACTCTCTATGACTTTGACGTGTTGTTATAAATTCATTTTTGATTTTAGGTTTTGCTAACATACACATTTACAGACATCCACGCAAATACACATGCAAAGTTTTATGAAAGAGCGCTTGACATGATCCCTTTTGTGCAGACTATGAAGTCCTCCAATGACAAAAATTGACAATTCAGGGGTGAATGATTACTTTGTAATGTCGACAAAAGAGTAAAGCCACAAGGTCTTAAGACAAAATGAATCTGTTGAAGGAGAGGGAAAATGGTTAAGTATGAAGACAAAGCTCAAGAAAAGATTATTATGGAAGATAAGAAATAGTACTCAGTATAAAAATTACCCTTGATGTGTGACTCAGCTCCAGCATATAGTGAGTTCTATTCTTGTGTCTGTCACAGGAGGAATCTAGATAGGACCTCATCCTCGTCTTCTACTAAGATTGCAAAAAGGAGATGAGCTATCCTATTTCTTCTTGCAAAATAACAGAGCTTGCCTGGGAAGAGTATATTAATGGGCCAATTACAGCTCCATACTTAAATATGCAGACAGCTTTCAATTACTGGAATGGAGAGAGATGAGAATGTAAAAAAAAAAAAAAAAAAAAGGAAAGAAAGCCTAACGACAGACAATCCAAAAGTCACTGAATCTTGGCTTTTGAATGAATTGCATTGTTTTCTTGCAGCAGCAGATTTGTGTTCCTAATTATGCCTTGCTTAAGCTAATATTAAAATGAGTTTGCATTCCCAGAGAAAGCACACACCAGCTGGGGAAAGAAAAGAGAGGGTCCAAAAACTTGGTGAGTGATGGGATAGGGGTAGTCATAAAGGAAGGGGTCTAGGGCTAAATATTTGCTATAATAATAAAATATAGCCCTCCTAGCTCTTCCCAAATCACATCAATATGTTGTAGCACACAAATACACACACACACACATGAAAATTTATTATTGCTAAATCAAGAAACCGAATAAAAGCAAGCACAACTTTACATATAATGTAGAAAATAATTTCTTGTTTAAGATTATCTTGCATTTCAAAAACCAAATTGTCTTTGTTATAATATAGTGGTGGGGGGAATCACACTTAAAAGCTGTGTGACCTCTGTGAAATTTAAACTTTAATTATCACTTAACCTATGAAAACTCTGCCAATATTATAACAGTAAGTCCCTTCAGAACCATAATTCAATTTCTGCCCGTGGGTTATATGGATAAATACTGTAAGAGGGGAAAATCAATTATGTGAACATTTAAGTGAGCCATAAAATCCAGGATTCCTTCTGGAGATGAGAGTTCCTAAATGTTATTTGAGAATTCCAGGATTATGTCAAAAGAATAATTATACCACCTTACTCTAGAGATAACTAAGGTTGATGACCATGCCTGGTAAGTGAGAATCTGAAAAAGTACAATCATAGTCACGGAATTTATACTGACAGAGAATATTAGAGAGCAAAGAGGCTGATAGAAGTAGCCGCTAAGATTTACTGAGTATTTACTATGGGGTATGCATGGCTTTAGTCCAACCCTTTCTGTTAGAAGTAAGGAAATTGAGGTCTGTGGAGGTAAAAAGACGTAGCCAAGCTGCCCAATTAGGAATGGCCAGAGGCAGAACTAGAACTCAAGATTTCTGACTCTTACTCCAGGGCTTTCCTTCTACTCCAGACTCTTTCTGTGAGCTAGAAGATCCTATCAATCAATCACACCTGCAGACTTTTTTTTTTTTTTTTCCATCACATAAATGTGCTGGGTACAGTGGAAAAAGCATGGACTTTAGACTCCAACCTCGATTTGATCACTTGCTTCTTACTAGAAAGTCTGACCTCCTGAAGGACTGCTGTGTTTCTCCGCCACTTCCTGGAATAAAGTCCAACATCCTTGCTTGGTCTGCAAGGCTGGCGCTGGTGGCTGAGGCTGTACTAATCTCACCAGCTTCACCTTATGATAGTTCCACCTCTGGCCTCTGCTCTACCTGTCCTGGCATGTTTTCCCTTCTTTGAAAGGCCATGCTTCCTTCTGCTGTTGGGGCTCCGTGGTGCTGGTGTGGGGAGTGCTCATTTGCCCCCCTCCTGAGTAATTCCTCGGGTCTCAACTTCAATCTCGCTTCCTCCGGGAGGTCTTCTTGGATCTCCAGATTGGGTTGGCTCCCTCTGCTACTTGTTCTCACAGCATTTTCACTTTCCCTACCATAATTAATTAATTACTTGTGTGGTTGTTGAATTGACACTCCCCTACAAGGATGCAAGCTTTGTGAGGCAGGGACAGGGTCTTTATTGTACATTTTAGTGTCCCCAGTACTGAGGTCCCTAGGAGGCACTTAAATATATGAATGAAGGAACCCACCTCGAACCTCAGTTTTTTTCTTCTATAAAGTAGATATAACAAGCACTGGGGATTGTCAGTGTTAAAAGGCATATTTATTTAAGGTATCCTGTTCAGCACTAGCAGCAGCATAGAACTTGATAAATGTGATTTCCATTTTATGCACCTTCTTCCTTCCAAGACAGTGCTCTGAGGCACCATGACTGCTGAAACATCTTAAAAAAAAAAAGAAAAGGAATTACCTTCTGCATAGTTTAGGTACAAAGTGTATTTTATGAATTCTGTGTCCTTGCATCCTGGTTGCCCACTGATGGTATATGTGGCAGCTTCCCATGAAACAGTGTATTTGATAAAACAGGGCACCTCACTTCCCAGCTGGACAGGATAGCACAGCGCTTACTGTAGGCATCATTCTATCATTCTTTTGGGGTCAGAACATGAAGCTAATCACCCTGCTGAATATGGAACAGATGAAAGGGGCGCAGCTGCTTTTCTCAGCTGGTGAGCTGCTGGAGCTTGAACCAGTGTGGTTTTCAGGTGTCTTTTTCCCCCAAAACCCAGACAGAGTGACAAGGAGGTGGCTCGGATTTGTGCTTACTGAAAGACCCTGGCCATGCTTTCCTTTGGAAGGAAACCCTTAGTTCTCTTCCTTCCCCCACAGCTAGAATCCAGACTGCCTGAAGACAATGAACTTTGTTTCCTTCTCAGCAGGCTCTCCTGTGGATTGTAACTCTCCTGGAAGCCCTTGACCCTCTGCCGCTTTGGAAACTCTGTGAGGAGTATGGGAGAGGAAACTGATAGACAGTTGGGGCCAGTTTTTTGGTTTTTTTTTTTTTTTTTGAGAGAGAGTTTTGCTCTTGTTGCCTAGGCTGGAGTGCAATGGTGCCATCTCAACTCACGGCAACCTCCGCCTCCCGGGTTCAAGCAATTCTCTCGCCTCAGCCTCCCTGGTACCTTGGATTACAGGTATGCGCCACCACGCCTGGCTAATTTTGTAATTTTAGTAGTGATGGGGTTCTCCATGTTGGTCAGGTTGGTCTCGAACTCCCGACCTCAGGTGATCTGCCCGCCTTGACCTCTTAAAGTGCTGGGATTACAGGCGTGAGCCACCATGCCTGGCCTGTTCTTTGTTTTTAACATAAGGAGAGGTGAGATGCAGCATGTTCAGGGATGTTGGCAACAGAGAAGTCATGTCACAAACTCTTTAGGATCAAGCTATGGATGGGTCAAGTTTGGGCTTACATTAAAGGGAAAGGAAACATTTTACTGTAATTTAAGGCAATAAAGCTAGTGTTTAAGGCCATGGGTATGAGATTAGATTTAGAACCAAGACTTGCCATTTATCTGTCTGGCCTTGGGTAATTACTTTACCTTTCGAAAACTCAGTTTACTCATTTGCAAAGTGGACACACTTTTAGTACCTATCTTATAGGGTAGGGATTGGCAAATTTTTTTCTGAAAAGGGCCAGAGGGTAAATATTTTAGGCTTTACAATACAGATAGTCTTCGTATCAAATTCTTTTTGTTTCTTAAACCTTCAAAAATATACAATTATCTTGAGGGCTATGCAAAGCAGTCCCAGGGCCATACTTGGCGTCCCCTGTGCAGGATTAGATGAGTAAGTGAGATAAAATATATAACATTGGACCTAATGTTTTATCTATATATGTTATGTATTGGTCCATTACATTGGACCTAAAACATAGTGAATTCTCAACAAGCAGTCAATGTGATTATTCACACCTGGTGATTGTGTGGAACGCTAACTAAGGGCAACAACCAGAACTTCAGGCTTATAAACTCAGCAACCCTGCCACACACACATCTAACAAAACGTACATTTACAAAGGAAAATGTAACTCATACAAATCGGAACTATTAATATGATCCTCATTATTTGACTTAAAGCATTTGAAAATTAAATATTAAATGCCCCTTTATGGGGGACAGCTGGGTGCCAAGCCTTTGCCATGCACCCCTTGTGTGTTATTTCACCACATTCCTGCTGGGTAGTTTCTATTGTCGCTGTTACAGAAGAAGAGCAGAGGCTTGAGGAAGGAAACTACCCCCGAAAACCAGTTCTGTCTGCCCAGGGCCTTCTAGTCTCTATTCTCTTTTTAATATACATGCATTTGCATCATCTTTTGCTCCCTGACTCTGAAATAGATGGCTGCCTGCTGAATGGAATTTAATGAGTGGTATACTAATTGTATACCTCCTGTGTGCCAAGCCCTGTGCTACGCACTGGAATTTTTTTTGAAGAGATAAAACAGTCTCTCTTGTTAAAGAGTTCAGAGTCTAGCAGGAAAGACACTACCTGTATAGCAAATCATAACATATTATGAAAGCATTCTATCAGTCATGCTTGGCAGAAACTTAACAAGTCAAGTCTTTGTCTTTTGAAGGCCATTGTGACAATGCCTAGATTTGTATTAAAAATATCCAGCTTGGATCCTATCACAATCTCCTACTTCAATATAAAATCTTCATCAGCTCCCTGTTACCCACAGAATGAAGCTCACACTTCTTGGATTCTATTCAAGGCTTTAAACCAAAACTTCCCAGTGGGTGTGCCAGATACGCTGAGAGGCTGATCCACCACAGAGCCTTGTCCTTTTCCCCTGATGTACGCTACACATATGATCATTATTCTACACGTGCCTTAATCTGAAGTTTGGGAAGAACTGTTTTTTACGACCTGTCCCTGACTTACCTTTCCTGCCTAATTGCCCTCAGCTGTCGCAGCGCACATGGTGTCTGCTCACTGATCCTTATACGTTGTCCATGTTTTTCAACCTCCACACCTTTGCTTATGTGGTTGTCTCTGTCTAGAAGTCCTGCCCTACCATTTGACTACTTCTGCATAGCCTGCAAATGCTTTACAACGATAACCAATAAGTTAGGTCTTTCATGAAGAATTGTCCAAGTTCATTGTCCCTTGAACTTTAATACTGTCTTATCTTTTTTATGGCACATGTCCTCTGTTATATCCTTAGTAGTAAAAGGACCTAGTGCTGCTGAGTCCGGCATGCAGTAGGGCTCAGGTGGCCAGCTGGCCAGCCCGCCTGTCTTTCCTGCTCTATTCGTGGAATCTTAGGAAAATTACTTATATCAGTGGCTCTTAAACATGGCTGCACATTAGAATTGCCTGAAAAGGTGTTTTATTTTGTTCTTTAATATCTGGATGACCAGGAAATACCCCAGACCAATTAAATAAAAAACTCTAGAGGGTCGGCTCCAGCGTCAAACCTCCCCAGGTGACTCCGCTATGCAGTCAGGGTCAACAGCCACTGTTTTAAACAATCTGAGCTTTGTTTCCAGGGTTTTTCTAAATATTAAATGCAATGTTTGCAAAAGCTTGGCCCAGTTCCTGGTGCATAGTGAGTGTGCAGTAACTGTTAATTGTTGTATTATATTTTACCCTGGTTTTTCAGTCCATTGCTAATAATGTCTTGCACAGAGTAGGTACTGAATAAACACTGGTTGAATGAACAAATGCTACTTAGGGAGACCTAAGAGGAAGCCCTAGAAGGTTGTTGCTGAGAAATGGCTTCAATGAGGAACTAAAGCTTGTGCCTAGAGAAGAGGCATGGGGTTGGCAGAGGGGCAAGTGTTCTATTCTGGGTGCAGGCAATGGGGTGGAGGGGGGTGTTAGCATTTACAGGCTTTGAAAGCAATAATAAAACCAAATAAAAGTCAGTCTGCTTTTTGTTATCACCATGCACTGGAAATTCCTAGCAACACCAGTGATAAAGTGTTTCTTGCAGGAGCAGACTTCTCCCAACATCCCTGCCCCCCTTCCCCTTACCTTGGTAACCACTGGCCTGTAGCCCAGCAGGAAAGGACTGAAGAGCTCTTATAGTCAGCACTATTAATGAACTAAATGGCTTGAGAAAGAAACAAGGGAACTGTAAATTATATTTATAAATTAAGTCATATAAAGCTGGACTAAGTAATTAAACTGTGCACCCATAATTAAATACTTGTATAGCATTTGGGCTCTGAGACTTCTTTCTGCTGTAATAAACTAGCTTTGACCTCTAAATGGTTGGCGGTCTGTGTGGTGAGCTAATGACTCATACAGAGGTGCTGGGCAGAGTGATGCCAAGGTCACTGTCTAAACAGAAGGATCCTTGAGGGATGCCCATAGAGGTGGTCAAAGCGATGGGTAAGTGATACACAGGGCAAGTGGTAAGTAGAGAGAAATCCTCACACTCCCGCAAACCTATGAGACGCAACGTTAGCATCCTAGATTAGTGAAGGAAGGTCAAGAAGCAGGCTGAACAGAAAGGGAAGGTCTTCCTATTTTCGGCCCCAGACAACCCTCACACTTTCACTTCCTATTCTCCCCTTCTGCTGCCCCACCTAGAGCCCCAGAAGTCAATATGCATTCTTTTAACACAATCTGCTTCTAATGTCTCTCTCTGCCTTTGCCCTTGTCATTCCCTGCATGTCCTTCCCTTCTCCTTTCCTCATTTAGCCATTTAGTCCTTCAAGATTTAGCTCCAGGGTACCTCAGGGAGCATATTTCTGGCTCATTTTGGCAGGTGATAAGTATCCCTCTGGTTCCCACAGTTACACTGAGGTATAATCCTCTACAGAACCTCTCCCCCTATAAGGTCCTAGGGACCAAAGCTCCTCTTACTAGTTCCTAAAAGTTGCTTGGCACAAAGGAAGATGCTTAATACTCATCTGCTAAGTGAGTAAATGAATGAAGGATAGTTCTGTGAAGAAGGAGGTGGTATTCTTATTTTTCAGGTAGAAGAGCTAGACTATAAGCTCTTGAGGCTAGGAGCTATATTTTACTCAATTCTATATGGGCAGCAGCAAGGTGCTCAGCAGACAGAAATTGTTCCATGAATATTTGCTAGGTGAACAGGAGACATCAAAAGGAGATAGGCTTTGGCACAAATTCCCCTTATCCCAGCTCCTCGCCTCCAAATAGAGTAAGCATACTGCTAGCACAGGTGTCAATGTAAACTGGTGTTTACAAAGCATTACTGTCTGTATAGTAAAAAGATGAAAAGAGAGCCAGAGCAGCCTTAAAATAGAGATCACACAAGAAATGAGGAGTCAAGAGGGCACAGTTAGGTTTCAGGGGAGAGTGATCAGCTGTCAGATAAGCTATGCAAATGGTAAGGGAATGTTTTCAGGATGAAAGAAGGAGAGGGGAGAGAACTGGGAGTTGGCGGCACTGAACCAGGAGGTGCTGGGAGGAGTCCAAGGGAGAGACCCAGCTGACTGTGTTGCTCACAAGCACCCAAGTGGTTCAGAGATGTGCCAGGGTTTGAAATCTGCTGGCAGTGGTTAAAGAACTCAGACTCTGGGCTCACATAGAACTGCCTAGGGTAGAGGTCTGCATTGCCATTCCTTATGTGTGACCTTGGGGAAGTTGCATCATATCTCTAAATCTCAGTCTCCTTATATGTATAATGGGAATAAATGTATCTACCTCTTAGTGTAGTTGTGAGAAATCAATGAGTTAATATATATAAGCAGTGCCTGGTACAGAGTAACTGCTCAATAAATATCAGCAGTAATAGTTACATGTAAAATCTAATTTGACATCTGACTCACAGATTCCATGTTTTTCTGTGCCCTTTACCCCAAGAAAGGGGAAAGCCCAAAGGGCCTCTGAGCACCCCTTATTTCTATAGGTAGCAGATATAGGAAGCTGGAGGGAAGAGCATTACACACTTCTTAGGCATTGTTTTTATTAGGGCTTCACTATGTTCATTCTGTTATGAAGTTTTGTGTTCCCCAGTGGGGTGCACAAGAGCCAATTGTGTATCCCTGGGAAAGTGAAGTGACCTCTCTGAGCCTTAGATCACCCATTTGTAAGTTTAGGAGGATTGTTTTTCTGATTCCCTAATGGACTTTCTTATCTAACATTTCATGATGCCACTAAGTCTAAATCAGTCAAGGCCTGAGCTGGGAGTCGGGGGAGAGGTGGGCACTGGCTGGGGACATCCTAGTTGCTTGTAAGGTCAGGGAGCTGCCATGGTTGCGGTCTTCAGTCTCAGAGTTCCAGAGAGTACTCAGAATGGCTGTATATCCTGCACTGGGAGAAGGGCAGAGGGATGAATGTCCCAGCGGGCCTCTGTTCTGGTCGGGCAGTGGCCATGAAACATCTACTGGGGAGCAGGGCAAGTATAAAGAAATATTGCAGGGGGTCCCTGCAGCCATTTGTCTCTCTGCAGCCCTGAATTTACAGGATTGCCAGGTAAGAATTAGATTAGATACTGCAATGTTTTCTCAGACCAGATGTCCTATCGTGTAAATCCCCTCAATATCAACCCTTACGGGCTTAATGAAGTTGCAAGAAAACCCCTGCACTCTCTACTTGAGCCCTCAGATTTATTTAGGTCATCTATAATTTGAGAAAATATCCTTTTCCATACCCAAAGGCTCCTTTCTGTGCTTCTCTCTTTTTCTCTCTCTCTTTCCCTGCAGACATGTTTTTCTGTAAATACTGCAGCTCAGCTCTGAATCACACATCAAAGCATTTCTTCTTCATTCATCTTTTGAGGCCAAATTGCAATTTATAATGTCTGTGGTTTTCACTAATCTGTTTCCATGTCATCTCACTTTAAATCAGCAGAAAGCAGCTCACAATAACACACTGAAGCTGCCCCATGGAAGCGAAGAGTGTAATTTGAGAACGGCATTATTGAGTCTCAGTACCCACAGGTAGAACTGTCTGGGGCCTTTATTATACCCAACATTAATCTCGGTAAACAACTTGTTTTGATGAAAGCTGAAAGCCAGATGAAACAACGAAAATTCATGGTTATCAGAAAACAAAACATGATCCCTTTCTCCTCCCACCTCTTCCTGCACTTTTCTGTGACATCTAAGCCTTTGATAATTTGGGCCCCATAAAGGGAGGGCGGAAGTCAGGCTGTTTGCCTCAAAGAACATGCCGGTAGACCGTTCCAGAACCTTTTGAGAGTGGACATTTGCAGAGCCGGGTCAGAGTCTAGGGCCTGGGAGGAGTCCTGGAGAGCTACAGGTTTTGTGATTTTTTTTTTTTCCCCTCGGAAGAAAGCATTCCTGAAGGCAATTATTATGCCTTGTTATTTAACCCCAGCTGGTTGTCTCCGGGGAACAGAGCTGACATCCATTGTGATCATCCTCAGCTTTTCGGGTGAAACATGGTTCCTTAGAGGCTCCAGGATCTAAGGGGGTGTGATAAACCAGGAACACATACACTAATGGAAAATATTTGCATGGATAAGCTAGGGTTAAACACACCATTGAATAAAAACCGTATTGTTAAGCACATCAGTTTTTCACAAGTACTGGATGAAAATACTAGTATGAATAATCTTTATTCTTGCTGAATTTCTCTAGGGGACTTTAAGGAGCTTAGTTGTCACTCAGGCCAACCAATGGAAGGTTGACGATTTAGCATCTCCAAGTCCTAGGAGTGCCTCAGGGTTTAATTTCAGGCCCAACTCCCTCCAGGCTAATAGAATCTGCCCTACTTTCCCAGAGAGGAGCCAGTAAAGATCTCCTTGTTTGATCTTCTGGGAAGTACACTAGCCACAGAAAGGTAGCGAGTCAGGGGAGACCTGGGGGTGCAGGTAGTGGGGAGTGTTGAGGGTCTGGGAGATAGGGAAGGAGGAGACTTTGGTTAAAATTCCTAGTTCAGTCTTCCCTGGGAAGGAGCTGCACCATCATAACACTATACAACGTGCTTTAGTTTACAAAGCAAATTCAGATTAAAATGTTCTGTATAATATAAGCCAAGAAGGAGACATTATCTTCATTTTGTAGATGAGGAAATCAAATCTCTGAGAGACTGCAGTAATTAATTGCCCACAATTACACAGCTATTAATACTAAGGGGCAAAAGGAAATCTTCAAAGCCAGTGTTTCTGTCATACTCCAGTCTGCTCACAGAAACTAACCAGGCTAAGGTTAAACCCATCACTGAATAAGCACGGAGCTGGTACTTGCAGGTCATCCAATCCTCACTGTAACTGAGCGAAGTAGATGTTATTGTCTCCATTTTACAGATGGGTAAACTGAACTCTGGAGCATTTAAACCTCCTTCCCAATGTCACACAGCTAGTAAGTGGCAGAGCTTGGATTTGAACCTAAGTCTTCTGATCCTAAATGCAGCATTCTTTCTAAGTCACCTTGTTGGATATTGGAAAGTCAATCTGGAAATAAAGAACATCAGCCCTTTGCTATCCTGAATTATCTGGATCCATTGTCTGTAGTAGGAAACTAATGAAAATTTCATCTACTTTTCCGTAGAAATATAGGATTGTAATGAAGAGTCTTTTGCCCTAATTATGTGCAGCACAATTAAGTCCCTTCCTACTGAAGACAAAGGTAGCTTTATGGATGTGCTATGCAAATGTGGTTGGGGGGTGATGATTTTATAATGAACTTGAAGTGGGTTGTCAGGATCAGACAATAAATGGATAAGGACAAGGCAGGGTAAGGCAAGGTGGGAAGGGGTGTGCTGCACTCAAAAGTCTCATTCGGTTTAAAAAAAAAAAAAGGTTTGGTGAGAAGCCTGACTAAAAGCAAAGACTGGAGACACGTTACTTGGTAAAAAGCACAGGAGTGGATAGATCTCCTCCCAGAAGGGGAGATCTAAAGCAGAAAGAGGTTTTGAGAATCTAACGAAATCAAGGCCTATCTATCTAAATAACTTCGCGTGCCCACACCACTGTTTTCCTAACCTGAAGCCGTGGAATAGTGCCCTTTTCCAAGAGGTAAGACAAAAGGAGACTTAAGCAATTATTTATTAAGCTCAGTCTGTCAGTGAGGCATCGGAATTGGGACTTGTTAGGGGAAAGGTGGAATGGAATCCAGGAAAGCAAGGAACTGTTATGGATTCTGTAGTTTGGGTCTAAAAAGGAGATTTGCATTTGGAACCCTGTCAGAAAGAACCTGAAGCTCAAAAAGCCAAGCCAAGCAGCTAAGCCAAGGCATATGGCATCCATCAAGTAACCAGCCAGCCGGGGGTGAAGCTGGCTGGGCCAGGAGCTAGTCTGCTGAGTGGAACTGTGCCAGGTGGGAATCGGTGACTAACCTGGGGAAAATATTTATAATTTACTTATCAGTAAACATCATGTACTCTGAAACGTGGCATGTTGAGGTCAAGTAGATTTTCTCTTAATGGCTTCCTGAGTGCATTCTGCCCACACATTCACAGAAGAATGAGGAGCAGGGAGGGGAGGGTGCCAAGCTACAACCCCAACACAGCACCTCCAAAGACAGAAGCAGATTGTACCCGCAGTCAGAAGGGGAGTTGAGGCTCATGGCCTGATCAGCAATTTGGTCCCCGGAGTCCAAAGTTGCCTTGTTAAGGGTAATCTTGTCCAGTGTCATCTAGGGGAAATTATTGAGATGTCAGGTTTTAACTTCATATTTGCTAGCTGGACTTTACAGAAAACTAGAGGTTATGACTTTGATCAGTTTAAAGGTAAGTGGCTCTGTTAGAAACATTCTGCTCTTTAAGACTTGATATCCTGTCCATCTGGTCCAGCAAAAGTAGGAAGTCAGCGAAATGGGTGTGTTAACTCTGAAGTAGGACTCACCTGAAATAGGAGTGAAACTAGCTGGATTATCCTACATTCTTTTCTTTGAAATAAAAAAAGGGCACCCAAAAATTATTCAATCCTTTCCATGTTAAAATATAACTGACAGGTTGATTTAGACAAAAGAAAAGATATGAACAAAAGCTACTCAATCAGAACATCTTCTGCAGAAGCTGCAATCAGACCACACAGTCAAGATTTTTTCAATGACAATTAACATCCACTACACATCGATCAAACGCCTCTCTTTGGGCAGGCACTGTACTTGGTGCGTGGGGTGAGGGATCGACAGTCCTTTCCTTGTGTAGAGACAAACTTGTTAACTGCTAGCATGAAGCAGAATCAAATAAATGGAAATAATGGATTTGGAGAGGGAAATTGGGGTTATAATGAATTCTGACCCATTACAATAAAGACTGTTTTGTCTGGTTGTGATTTGATGTGAGTAAATTTGGGATCTTTCCGCTAGGCAAGAAGAGAAAAACTGAAAGCCAGAGAATGGGCCCTTAATTTTGGAAAGCCAAGAGAGGACTGATGGGGTTGCCAAAGCTGGAACAATGTTAGAGGGGAGGCCTCCATGTTCCCGCTTTAGACCTTTGCAGAGAAATGGTGTGGCATTCAGGTAGGTCATGAGGGTAAGGAGCATTTGCATGACAAGGGCTTCTCAACTTTGACACTGTTGACATTTGGGGTCAGGGAGTTCTTTGTTGTAGGGGACTGTCCTATGCGTTGGAGGATGTGTAGCAGCATCCCTATCCACTACATGCAGTGGCACACTCTACCCAACTTGTGAAAATCAAGACATGCCAAATATCCCCTTTGACTTTCAACAGCATAGCTGGAGGTAAGAGGAAAGTGCTTCAGGCAAAGGGACCCCTTTGAACAAAGATTCGGTGATGTGACTCTGCCTGGGTATGTTGGAGAATGGTGGCCACAGGATGTAGTTAGTAGAGGGACATAGGACGAGAAGTGTCTGGAAAGGCAGTTTAGGGCTGTGTTGAATACCTTGCTAATAAATTGGTCTTGATTTTGCAGATAATTTAGAGAGCAAGAGGTTCGGGAGGAGAGTGACAGAAGAAGCTGGCAGGAGTATTGGAGATCTGAATGGAAAAGCAAGACAGTGAGCACAGAAGACAGGAGGCTGCCCCTACCTGTCCAGATGAGGGGTAAATTGAGCTAAACTTAGTGAGGATGGAGAGGAGAGGGTGGGCATGAGAGACATCACTCAAGGAGATTTGAGACTCGGTGACAACCAATATGTGGTGGGCGAAGGCAAGAGAGAAATTAGATGAGTGAGAGGGAAGATGATGTCTTTGACTTATATAGGGAGAGGTGAAGAGGAGGAGGGGCGGATCTGGCATTCAAAATGGTTTCTTAAAGCCCATTTTGTCCACACCTCCAGGTGAGTATGCAGAAGTCACTCAACAAATCCTTTTTATGGATCTTGAATTACCAGTTACTGGTTCAGGTGGAGCAAGTCACCTGTTTAGTAGGGCAAAGACAAAGGTTTGCATAATAATAATAGTAATAATAATAGCTACCACTTTTTAGCACTTACTATGTGTTAGGCACTGAGCCAATATTTTACACACTATCTCATTCAATATTCAAGCAGTCCCATGAGGTGTACTACTTTTGTGCCCACCTTGGAGATGATTTCATTCATCAAATATTTATTAAGTGACTACTATATGTGCCAGGCACTGTTTTGGGCATCCAGGATATATCAGTGAATAAAACAGGGGGAATAAGTCCCTGCCATTGTGGAGCTTACCTTTTAGTGGGGAAACTAAAATAAGGAAACTAGGACTTAGTGAGATGTGGTACCTGCACATACCCCCAGCTAGTGTGTGCTGGGCAAGATGAGGGCAGCAATGTACCTGTTGTGGTCAGCTGTGGTCAGGCCCACTCGAGCTCACACGTGGACACAAATGGGAAACTCCCTTGCAAGGCAGCCACAAAAGAGGAAAGGTTGTCCAGTGTTGGCACATAAGAACTCTAAAACCCCAGAGGCTAGAAGTGAGGACAGATAGTCTGGCTTCCTGATTGACAGAATTATTGAATTATCTGGAGTTCATGTGTTTTTCTGGGTGCTTCTATAAGCAGAGATATATCGGCAGCGTGCTCACAGCTCTATGCAAGTCTAATCAGTCATGTGTCTCCTTCCTGATTAATTGCCAAGACACCAAATTTCAGTTAAGAGTCCATAAGAAATAAGGGGGTTAATGAAGAGCTATGTTGATCCACCTTTAACCTTACTTAGTTTAGATATTTTGCACTATTTGTTAGCTGCCTTGAGAGCAAATCAAAATAACCGCAGCTATAATTAAGGCCATCCTTCTTGCCCATCCTCGACTCTAGTCTGGACTCTATAGGCTGTCCTTGCTTACCTATTTAGGGTTGCCAGTGCTTCACATTCACCAGGGGCAGTGGCCTCATGGCTACCCCTGACCACATCCCTCCCCTACATCAGATGAGAAAGGACAGACCTTTTTTTGCACATTTGGGTGGAACCTTTGTTTTTTCTTAAGAAGAACAGGGATACAAAAGCATTTTATCTTGCTTTCCTCCTGGGCAAGAGGAATGACTGCTTTGCACTATGCAGGCCTCAGGGGTCTGTGGTCTGAGGGTTTCATCTGTGACATGAAACAGTCCAACTAGCTTCTTCTAGAGCCATGGAAGTTCACACTAGTCAGTGGTGTCCACTGCCCAACACTGGGGAGGAAAAGCCAGACTGATTGTACACAGAATGCATGAGGCCTGGCCTTGGAGCTCTGTACATTTAAATTAGGAAGCTTTTGGCCACAGTACATGTAAAACCACAACTGAAACAATGATACAAGTGTTTGCTCATACAGTAAGCAGTCTGGAGTGGACTATGGTTCTGGTATGACCGAGGCTTAACACCATCCTGAAAGACCTAGGTTGCTTCCTACTTTCCATCCAGCCATCATGATGTTGGCTTCATCCTCAGCCTGATAAAACAGCTGCTGTACTCCCAGCTATCACTGCTGGGCCAGTCATGGCCAGAGGAAGAAGAAAGATTTTCTTTTTCTATTTTAGATACAAGGAAACTGTCCCAGAAGCCTCCTAGCAGATTTCACCCTCACGTTGGATCAGTCAGAATTAGACCACACGCCCATTCCTAAACAAAGCCTTGCCAAAAGGAATGGGGCTACTATGGCTGACTTTGTAGGCAAACCAGAATCACAATCTGGAGGTGGAATTGACATCAGCTTCCCCTGAAGCCCATGGCTATGTGAAGGAGGTGGATACCTGAACCAAATCACATTTCTATCCAGGTGAAAGAAGAGAAGTGGGCAACAGATCTTGGATAGGCAACCAGGAGTGTTTGCCTCAACAGCTAGACATGTGGCTCTCACTGGTTCAGTGCCTCCAGAGAGGGAAAGCAACTTACCTTTGTGTCTTCCCTCACTCAGCCCTACCCTGAGGCCCCCACATCTGATGCATTTGGATTGTGCCAGCTGGAGGCTTGTGTGTGTGTTTTTTTATTTTGTTCTGTTTTTAATGATAGTTATAATCTTACTTTGTACTTGGGAAAGGCCTTTCTTCCAACAAGCTCCAGGCACTTTTATAGACTCGATGACCTCTGCCCTGAGAATTATTATCTTCCATTTATGGAGGTGGTGTGAGGGTCACGAGGCAGCCCCAAAGGCCCAGTCTGGAAGGAGAACACATCCTGCTCTGGGTTTTCTAAAAGGAGTGACAGGCTGGAAGGACTAAGACTCCATCCATGAGAATGGCTCTGGGTGCAGAGGTGTGGTCTGTTAACAAAGGCTTCCTTTGTGCTGACTGGAGTTTCTGGAAAAAGTTAGCTCTCCAACAATCTTGGAGAAGTGCTCGGTGATTACATAGAAGCAGAGTGGATTAGAAAGGCTGAAATCAGTATTTGTCTACCTTGGCTCATTCTAGTTCATTCCCTTGCCTTTGGGGGAAAATCAAAGGGATTCTTTCAAGAAATATTCGGTCCCTTCCCTATGCTGGCCATCGTGCTGGGCATTGGACATATAGTCCGGAACAAGATACAGTTCCTAACCTCAAAGAGCTCACAGATTGTTGGGGAGAAAACTCAAAAAATAGGCAATTACAATGCAGTGGAATAAGTGCTTTGATCCCCCTCTGCTGGGTGCAGGGCTTCCAGGAAGACCTGCTGTTAAAGCTGAGATTGAAGGGACAGGGAGGAGTGAAATATTGTCTATTTCCAAGCAAGGCATGTCTTACCTGCAGTTTCTCAAAGTTTGAGGAGCATTAATTTTACAGAATGTTAATTTAAATCTTTTTTTTTTTTTTTAAAAAGAAAGCATAGATGGTCAGATAAATTTGGGGAATGGTGGGGTAAGCAGTCTAGGATTTTGCAGAGCTTTTGATAACTGTACTAGTGGTAACCATAAACTTCTGAGAGAGATGTGAAGTGGATGTTTGCCCCATCATACTTGACTACAAAATCTTTTTCCCTCCATCTTTCCCAGATGAGTGATTTTAACGCTGAGAACTTACAGCACTGTAACTGAGTTGAGATTGAGGGTAGGGGCAATAGTAGGTCAGAGGAAGCATCACAGTTCTGCTCTAAAAATATAGGGGCTAGCTTTTCAAATAATAGCTGTGTTTGTTTTATGAGCCTATTTACATTCTGTAGTGGACACCATGGTCTCCCGTAATAATTAGACTCAGTCAGTCATTTGTAGGAGAAATATTCTTCTTGCAGTGAATGGGTTAGCTGTGGCCATGAGGCTCCATTTTCAGTGGGATGAAAGAGGAAATATGCTAAGGACTTAGGGGAAAGTTTCATGCTCTAAGAAAAAAAAAAAGGAAGAGGTAGCTTCTCTTATTCCTCTAGATATTCTCTCTAAATGTGATGACTGGAACTGTAGAGCCATCTGGCCAAAAACTTGAGGATAAAACCAATACCTAGATGGCAGAGTAGAGACTGAAGCTACCCAGATCTTTGATGACAACATTGAGCTTCTGATTAATCACATCTAGAGGCTGTCCTAGCTATTGACTTAACTTTGACTTCTTGTTATGTAATAATACATTTCCTTATATTTTAACTATTTCTAAGCAGACTTTTCTGTTATTTGGAGTTAGAAGTATCCTGGCTAATAAAATTTCCTATTTTAATCTTCTCACATGGTTATCCCACTGACATATTTAGTCATTTCCTTGATGAAGGCACATAACTTAGATTTTCAGAGTGGAGGTAAAGTTGTCCTGGACTCAAGTGTCTGAGGCAGCAGGTGGTACATTAGTGAAGCACAAAAGCATCTCCAAGACTCATTGGTTTAGGCAAATGAGGATGGCTGTGGACTGATGTTCTAGTGGGGCTGGTTAATGCAGTGCTTGAAGGGCTGAACATGGGCCTGCTGAAGACACCAGCCAGGCAGCTGGAACTCAGGAGTCAGGCAGGGCACAGGAAGAGGAGAAGCGATTGTTAGGCCAACTATTCTGGCAAAGGCCTGAACTCCCCTACAAAGTTTTCATGTACCCAGTCCCCCTCCCCCAGAACTTTTGCTGCTTCAACAGCTCTCTCCCCACTTCCCCTCCCTTCGGCTTCAGAAATGTCCCTTTAAGTGTTTTGTGGCTTCTTTCCCTTGACATCATTTTATTTTTAATGGTTCAAATTTATATTTATACATATTCAATGAAATATCCCTTTTTTATGTACAGGCCTGTTGACATGATTTATTAGTAATTGTGTCCATTAATTTTTCTTAAACCATCTTAGCCCCTTTCAAGAGTATAGTTCAGCAGCATTAAGTATATTCACATTGTTGCAAAACAGATCTCCAGAGCATTTTCATCTTATGTCATGGTTAATTTTATGTGTCAACTTGATTAGGCCATGATGTGCCATGAGGTGCCCAGATTAAACCCTAATTCTGGGAGTGTCTTTGAGGGTGTTTCCAGATGAGATTAGATGTTAAATCTGTGGATTTAGTAAAGTGGATTTTCTTCACCAATGTGGATGGCCATCATCCAATCCATTGAGAGTCTGAATAGGGCAAAAGGTGGAGGAAGAGAGGATTTGTCCCCCTCCTGCCTGCTTGCTTGAGCTGGCACATCAGTCTTCTCCTGACATTAGCCTGGGATTTCCATCATCAGCTCCCCTGTTTCTCAAGCCTTTGGACTTAGACTAGAAATACATCCCTGGCTTTCCTGGGTCTCCAGCTTGTAGATGCCAGATAATGGGACTCCTCAGCCTCCATAATGGCATGAGCCAGTTGTGCATAATATGTGTGTATATATATATATGTATATTCTGTTGGTTCTGCTTCTCTGGAGAACCCTGACTAATACATCTTCCAAAATTGAAAGTTTATACCTATTAAACAACAACTCTTCTTTTCCCCCTCCCCACCCCAGCCCCTGGTAACCACGATCTGCTTTTTGTTTCTATGGATTTAATGGCTTTAGGTATCTTATGTAAGTATAATTATACAGTATTTGCCTTTTTGTGACTGGTGTCTTTCACTGAGCATAATATCCTCAGTAGAACATGTGACAGGATTTCCTTTCTTTTTAGGGCTCACTCATATCCCATGTGCGTATGTACCACATTTTGTTTGTCCATTCATCCATCCTTCTGCCTCTTGGCTATTGTGTCTTGGCACCACTTTTACCTACTGTTGTGGTTTATGTTTGGGTTTCTAATTCTGCTGCCTGTGTTTCAGTTTAACCAGGTTGCTGTAGGGAACATCCTGGAAGAGAATGCCTGAGAGACACCTCATCCTCCTAAGGATGATCTTGCTAGTGAACTTTTCCAAGAAAAAATTTATTTAGAAAAAAATGACACCAAACAATTCATATGTGCTATATGTATAAAGTAAAAAGTGAACATTTTTCCTTTAATGTAACTACTCCATCTCATGTCTACTCTGTAGCCATAATGACTCCAGCTGAAATGTAGAATTTGAAAATTCATTGGCTTACTCATAAAAGGTAACGTAAGCTCAGTATAAAAAATTTGAAAAACAGCAATAAAAACTACCTTTTAATTAGGTCATATTTTGTGCAGGGCCCTCTACTAGGCATTTTAAAGATACTCTTTTTAATCTACATGACTCTTTGAAGGAGGCATTGGTAATATTTCAAGTAAATTGTAGATTGGTGAGAGGACATCTCCTTCCCAACACCATCACTGTGCACACTTCTACCATAGCTTCTCATTTATTCTCCATGAATAGGAAACTGCACGCCCACAGTGAAGCAGGACAGAGCAAGTGCTGTCAGGCCTCTGAGCCCAGGCCAGGCCATCGCATCCCCTGTGACTTGCACGTATACATCCAGATGGCCTGAAGTAACTGAAGATCCACAAAAGAAGTAAAAACAGCCTTAACTGATGACATTCCACCATTGTGATTTGTTCCTGCCCCACGCTAACTGATCAATGTACTTTGTAATCTCCCCCACCCTTAAGAAGGTACTTTGTAGTCTCCCCCACCCTTAAGAAGGTTCTTTGTAATTCTCCCCACCCTTGAGAATGTACTTTGTGAGATCCACCCCTGCCCACCAGAGAACAACCCCCTTTGACTGTAATTTTCCATTACCTTCCCAAATCCTATAAAACGGCCCCACCCCTATCTCCCTTCACTGACTCTGTTTTCGGACTCAGCCCGCCTGCACCCAGGTGAAATAAACAGCCATGTTGCTCACACAAAGCCTGTTTGGTGGTCTCTTCACATGGACGCGCGTGAAATTTGGTGCCGTGACTCAGATCGGGGGACCTCCCTTGGGAGATCAATCCCCCGTCCTCCTGCTCTTTGCTCCGTGAGAAAGATCAACCTACAACCTCAGGTCTTCAGACCGACCAGCCCAAGAAACATCTCACCAATTTCAAATCCGGTAAGCGGCCTCTTTTTACTCTCTTCTCCAACTTCCCTCACTATCCCTCAACCTCCTTCTCCTTTCAATCTTGGTGCTACACTTGAATCTCTCCCTTCTCTTAATTTCAATTCCTTTCATTTTCTGGTAGAGACGAAAGAGACACGTTTTATCCGTGGACCCAAAACTCTGGCGCTGGTCACGGACTGAGAAGGCAGCCTTCCCTTGGTGTTTAATCATTGCAGGGACGCCTCTCTGATTATACGCCCACGTTTCAAGGGTGTCAGACCACGCAGGGATGCCTGCCTTGGTCCTTCACCCTTAGCGGCAAGTCCCACTTTTCTGGGGAAGGGGCAAGTACCCCAACCCCTTTTCTCCTTGTCTCTACCCCTTCTCTGCTTTTCTGGGGAAGGGGCAAGTACCCCAACCCCTTCTCTCCTTGTCTCTACCCCTTCTCTGCTTTCCTGGGGCAGGGGCAAGTACCCCTCAACCCCTTCTCCTTCACCCTCAGTGGCAAGTCCCACTTTCCTGGGGCAGGGGCAAGTACCCCTCAACCCCTTCTCCTTCACCCTTAGTGGCAAGTCCCACTTTCCTAGGGGGCAAGAACCCCCCAGTTGCTTATTTCCACACCCCAACCTCTTATCTCTGAGCCCCAATCCCTTATTTCTGCACCCTGACCTCTTATTTCCGTGCCCCAAACCCTTCTCTGCTTTTCTGGAGGGCAAGAACCCCCCACCCCTTCTCCGTGTCTCTACTCTTTTCTCTGGGCTTGCCTGCTTCACTATGGGTAAGCTTCCACCTTCCATTCCTCCTTCTTCTCCCTTAGCCTGTGTTCTCAAAAACTTAAAACCTCTTCAACTCACACCTGGACCTAAAACTAAATGCCTTATTTTCTTCTACAATTTTGCTTGACCCCAATACAAACTCGACAGGAGTTCCAAATAGCCGGAAAATGGCACTTTCAATTTTTCCATCCTACAAGATCTAAATAATTCTTGTCGTAAAATGGGCAAATGGTCTGAGGTGCCTGACGTCCAGGCATTCTTTTACACATCAGTCCCTTCCTAGTCTCTGTGCCCAGTGCAACTCGTCCTAAATCTTCCTTCTTTCCCTCCCGCCTGTCCCCTCAGTCCCAACCCCAAGCGTCACTGAGTCTTTCTAATCCTCCTTTTCTACAGACCCATCTGACCTCTCCCCTCCTCGCCAGCCCAAGCTAGGTCCCAATACTTCCTCAGCCTCCACTCCTCCACCCTATAATCCTTCTATCACCTCCCCTCCTCACACCTGGTCTGGCTTACAGTTTGGTTCTGTGACTAGCCCTCCCCCACCTGCCCAGCAATTTATTCTTAAAAAGGTGGCTGGAGCTAAAGGCATAGTCAAGGTTAATGCTCCTTTTTTTTTTATCCCAAATCAGACAGCGTTTAGGCTTTTTCATCAAATATAAAAACCCAGCCCAGTTCATGGCTCGTTCGGCAGCAACCCTGAGACGCTTTACAGCCCTGGACCCTAAAAGGTCAAAAGGCCGTCCTATTCTCAATATACATTTTATTACCCAATCTGCTCCCGACATTAAATAAAACTCCAAAAATTAAATTCCGGCCCTCAAACCCCACAACAGGATTTAATTAACCTCGCCTTCAAGGTGTATAATAATAGAAAAAAGTTGCAATTCCTTGCCTCCACTGTCCCCAGCCACATCTCCAGCACACAAGAACTTCCAAACGCCTGAACTGCA